>NC_000023.11:226351-1426351 GCF_000001405.40 Homo sapiens | reverse complement strand
AAGGAATAAAGGTGGTTACAGCACATTCCGTCTGTGCCTCTAATTTACCAAGTGGTGATTATTAAATCACCACCAGGTGGTTTATAAACAACAGACATTGATTCTCCCACAGTCCTGGAGGCTGGAGGTCCAAGATCAACGTGTGGGCAGGGCTGGTTCCTCCTGAGGCCTCTCTCCTGGGCTTGGAGATGCTGTCTTCTCCCTGTGTCCTCACAGGGTCGTCCCTGTGTGTGTGTCTGTGTCCTCATCTCCTTTTCTTATAGGGACCCCAGTCCTATTGGATTAGGGTCCACCCAAATGACCTCATTTTACCTGAATCACTTCTTTAAAACCCTGCCTACAAATACAGTCACATCCTGAGGGACTGGGGGGATTAGGAGTTCAACATCTGGGTTTTGAACTCAGTCCATATCGGCAGCATGTTGATTTTTCTCCCATGGGCTAGTTTTTCTGCATGATATTCGTTGATGTGCTTTTTCCTTGTGTACACCTTGTTTTATAGCTGGGGACTTGATCCTATAAATCCCCACCGTTCTCTGTGAAAGAAGGCTCAATGGCCAAGTTGTATACTTCCGACAGCGTTGGCCTCCATCTTTTGAGTCTGTGGGAGTAGAAAGTACTGGACAAGGGACTTAATGAGTCTCTCTGCACTTGCTTTTAACAGGGCCTGCTCACCGCTTGCAAACTGAAGGTGTTCGATTTGTTAAAAGATGAAGCACCCCAGAAGGCTGCGGATATTGCCAGCAAAGTGGACGCCTCTGCGTGTGGAATGGAGAGGCTTCTGGACATCTGTGCTGCCATGGGGCTCCTGGAGAAGACAGAGCAAGGTGACAGGACCCAGCGGGTTTTGCTCTGAGGATCTTTGCAGGTGGAAGTCACTGAGGGAAGGTGACCTGGAGCCTGGGCAGAGCGAGGAAGGAGGCCCACACCTTCTGTCCCTCTGCCCTCAGGAATGCTGCTTTTCCCGAAAGGTTGAGAAGCAGAGGGTGAATGACAGAGAGGGAACAGTGGCAGCCGCGAGCACATAGGAGAAGCGTGACCTCCTTATGGGCTCTAGTCTCAAAGGGGCTGTATCAGTCCATGTTCTCCTGAGAAACAGAACCCAATACGGTGTACACAGACATTGATTTAGTTGCTTATTTATTTTTATAGACAAATAACGTAGATGGATGGGTAGACAGATACATAGATAGATGATAAATGCATAGATACATTGATATAGATTGACGATAGAGAGATGACAGATACATAGATGATGGGTAGAGTTGATATATAAATGGATGGATGGATAGATGGATGGATGGATGGTAGGTGGATAGATGGGAGGAAGGATGGATGGATGGATGGATGGATGGTAGGTGGATAGATGGATGGGAGGAGGGATGGATGGATGGATGGATGGACAGATGGATTGATCAATGGATGGATAGATACATGGATGGGAAGGTGGATGGATTGGTGGATCAGTGGATGGGTGGATGGATGGGTGGGTGGGTGGATGGATAGATGGATGGATGGAGAGGTGGATGGATAAATGGAAGGGTGGGTAGATGGGTGGGTAAGTGGATGGATGGGTGGATGGATGAGTGGGTGAGTGGATAGATGGATGGATGTGTGAATGGAAGGATGTGTGGATGGATGGGTGGATGACTGGATGGATAAAGGTGGGTAGATGGATGGATGGATCGATGAATCGGTGGATGAGTGCATAGATGGGTGGGTAAGTGGATGGATGGGTGGATGGATAAGTGGGTGAGTGGATGGGTGGCTGGATGGATGGATGGACGGACAGATGGATGGATGGATGGATGTGTGGATGGATGGGTGAGTGGATAGATGTGTGGATAGATGGATGAGTGGGCGTGTGGATGGGTGGGCGTGTGAATGGATGGATGAGTGGATGGATGGGTGCACGGCTGGGTGGATGATTGGGAGTGTGGGTGAATAGACGGATGGGTGGGTGGACAGATGGATGGGAGGGTGGATGAACAGATATATCAGTGGATCGGTGGTTGGGTAGCTGGGTGGGGGAATGGATGGATGAATGGGTAGGTGGGTGGTTGGATGGGTGGATGGATGAGTGGGCATGTGGATGAGTGCATGAATGGATGGACGGGTGCATGGCTGGGTGGATGATGGGGAGGGTGGGTGAACAGATGGGTGGGTGGGTGGGTGGATGGATGGATGGATGAGTGATTGGATGGGTGGGGGAATGAATGGATAAATGGATGTGGATGGATGGATGCATGCATGGGTGGATGGATCAGTGGATCCATCAGTGGATGGGTGGATGGATGGGTAGGTGGGTGGGTGGATGGATGGATGGATGGACAGATGGATGGATGAGTGATTGGATGGGTGGGGGAATGAATGGATAAATGGATGTGGATGTATGGATGCATGCATGGGTGCATGGATCAGTGGATCCATCAGTGGATGGGTGAATAGATGGATGGGTAGGTGGATGGATGGATGAGTGGGCATGTGGATGGGTGGGCGTGTGAATGGATGGATGAGTGGATGGATGGGTGCATGGCTGGGTGGATGATTGGGAGGGTGGGTGAATAGATGGATGGGTGGGTGGACGGATGGATGGGAGGATGGATGGATAGATGTATCAGTGGATTGCTGGATGGGTAGCTGGGTGGGGGAATGGATGGATGAGTGGGTAGATGGGTGGATCGGTGGATTGGATGGGTGGGGGAATGCATAGATGAGTGATGAATGGGTGGATCAGCAGATGGGTGGGTGGATGACTAGATGGGTGGGTGAGTGGATAACTGGATGGGTGGGTGAGTGGGTGGATGGATGGATGGATGACAATGTGTTTTCTGAATTGAACAGAACTCTTCAGCATGGTGCTAGAATAGAGAGCACATGACCAAGTCCTTGAGTAGCCTGGGAAGGGCAGGACAACAGATGACACCTGGGCAGAGGTGGCTGTGCTTCTGTGATTAGGAGACAAAGCATGCCCTGGTTGAGGCTCCAAAGGCTGTGCCCTTACCACAGAGACATGTGACTATATCCTTAGAGGCTGGAACATAGAAGCCAGAACATCTTCCCCAGCCAGAGCAGTTCAGGACCATTCTCCCGTATTGAAAATAATGATGAATAGGCCACGCCTGTAATCCCAGCACTTGGGGAGGCCAAGGCAGGCAGATCACGAGTTCAGGAGATCAAGACCATCCTGGCTAACACGGTGAAACCCCGTCTCTACTAAAAATACAAAAAATTAGCCGGGCACGGTGGCGGGTGCCTGTAGTCCCAGCTACTCGGGAGGCTGAGGGAGGACAATGGCATGAACCCAGGAGACGGAGCTTGCAGTGAGCTGAGATCGTGCCACTGCACTCCAGCCTGGGGGACAGAGTGAGACTCCATCTCAAAAAAAATTAAAAAATTAAAAGAAAGAAAATAATGATGAATATGGAGAAAGGCTTTTCATCACCGGCACCATGCAAGCTTGTTCCAACTCCTTTTGACAACGCTTTGTGCAGTTGAGTCCTAGGAGCAGTTCCACGTCTGCAGAGGCTGCTCCTGCTTCACCATAGGTCTCATCATTTATTCATGATGAAAATAAATGTCATCTATCTGACTATAGCAAACCGTACACTCAGGGTCAGCTCGGTGGGAAAACAGTAACATTTCATCATTAACATGAACACAGGGCTGTTTCTTACATAGGAGGACCGGAGTGGTGCGAGGCCATCTGTTTCCATATACGGGTCTCCACCAACAACTTCTCCACCTTCCAGCCTCCCATTCTGTGGGAGGGGGCATCCTGGAAGGGAGCTTGGGGACTGGGTCTATGGACAGCTGACCTGGGCATGAAGTGGGTGGAGAATGAAGTTCCCTGTATCATTTGGGGCTCTCCAGGGTAACAGAACCCCTAGGATATAACCTAGGAGATTTATCTTGAGGACTTACGTGATTGTGTAGGCTGGCAAGTCCAAAATCCACAGGGCAGGCCAGGAGGCTGGAAGCTCAGGCAGGAGCTGCTGCTGCCATCTTCAAGTGGAATTTCTCCTCCAGGAAAGCCCAATGTTTGCTTCTGGGGTTTTCAATGAGCTGGATGAGGCCAATGCACATTTTGGGGGGTTAATCTCCTTAAAGTCAAACTGATGGTAGATGCAAACGCCAGCTACAGCACACCTCCACAGCCACATCTAGATGGGTGTTTGCCTGCATAACTGGGAACTTGAGCGTGGCCACGATCATGAAGAAAGGATCAGCCTCAGTGGGTAACAGTTACAGCAGTTGACAGCTGGGGCGTGGTGGCTGCTGTTTTCCTGCCCAGCTGACCCTGAGTGTACAGTTTGCTATAGTCAGATGGATGATGTTTATTTTAACATCTCAATGATGCATCCCCTATGGTCAGGTTTCCTTGAGTGTACGGTTTGCTATAGTCAGATGGGTGATGTTTATTTTAACATCTCAATGATACATCCCCTACGGTCAGGTTTCCTTGGGTTTTCTCGTTAGGAGGTCACACGACTGTCCCCATTTCTCCAGGTTACAGTAACACAGAGACAGCGAACGTCTACCTGGCATCGGATGGCGAATACTCTCTGCACGGCTTCATCATGCACAATAATGACCTCACATGGAACCTCTTTACATACCTGGAGTTTGCCATCCGAGAGGGAACAAACCAGCACCACAGGGCGTTGGGGAAGAAGGCGGAAGATCTGTTCCAGGTAGCATAACACCCCCGCGGACACCTTTCCGTCTAGCGTGCATTTTGCTAAAACACTTTGACACACAGATCAGTAGGCACCTTGACCAGTCTGTCTCCAGTCTGACAGATCCCAAAGGCTTGGCTCGTTCTGCCTGGAGAACTTAGTGCCGTGGCTCTTGTGTCACTCAGCCCTGGAACAGGTGCAACTTAGACATCCTCCACTGTTATCCAGCAGCTGATGAAAATAGAATTTCCTCCTAGAAACAGGTTTGAAGGCCATGCTCAGGGGCTCACACCTGTCACTCCCAGCACTTTGGGAGGCCAAGTTGGGAGGATGATTTGAGCCCGGGAGTTTGAGACCAGCCTGGGCAACATAGTGAGACCCCCATCTCTACAAAAAATTAACAGTTAGGCTGGGCATGGTGGCATGAGCCTGTAATCCCAGCTAGTTTGGGAGGCCAAGGTGGGCTGATCACCTGAGGTCAGGAGTGCGAGACCAACCTGGCCAACGTGCTGAAACCCCATCTCTACTAAAAATACAAAAAAAAAATTAGCTGGGGATGATGGCGCGTGCCTGTAGTCCCAGCTACTCAAGAGGCTGAGGCAGGAGAATCACTTGAACCCGGGATGTGGTGGTTGCAGTGAGCTGAGATCACGCCACTGCCCTCCAGCCTGGGTGACAGAGCGAAACTCCATCTCAAAAAAAAAAAAAAAAATTAACGATTAGCCAGGTATGATTAGGCAGCTACTTTGGGAGGCCCAGGTGGGTGGGAAGATCACTTGAACCTGGGAGGTCAAGGCTGCAGTGTAAGCCGTGATGGTGCTGCTGCACTCCAGCCCGGGTGACAGAACAAGACTCTGTCTGAAAAATAGAAATAGGAAGGAGTTGGACAGGCTGCCTTAAATGAATGCCCTGTTTCTTCTTTGCTTCAATGGAACTGACACTTGCTTATCTGAGGCCGCTGTTTGCAAAGCGCTCCCTGCATCCTCTCGCCCCTCCTTCCCCTTTCCCCGCCCAGAACCTTCCTGAGGTGGACGTGTGAGATATGGTGGGGTCCGTGGGGCCTGTGCAGATGGGTGGGTCTCGGTCTGCAGGGCTGTGCCAGCCAGGCGTGGGGAGTCTGCTGTGGGCTCGGCTGGCCGTGGCCTCATGCCTCCTTGGCAGCGCTGGCCGAGCTTCTGTGGCAGTGAGCACGGAGTCAGGGTGTGTGTGTGTGATGCAGAGATGAGCCCCAGGGAGCCGGGGGCTTCCTGCAGATGTTGGGGAGAGACATACAGACAGGGAGACACAGAGAGAGAGATAGGCAGACAGAAAGATAGAGGGAGACAGAGACAGACAGAGATGGAGGCAGACAGAGACAGGGAGATAGAGGGAGACAGAAACAGGGAGACAGAAAGACAGAGACAGAGATAGAGTGAGACAGACACGGAGATGGGAGACAGATAGTGAGATAGGGAGAGAGATGGAGAGACAGGGAGACTTGAGAGACAGAGGGAGGCGGAGACAGAGATAGGGAGACAGAAACAAAGATGGAGACAGACAGACACATAGAGGGAGATGGGAGACAGAGACAGGGAGGCTTGGAGAGACAGAGATAGAGGCAGATAGAGACAGAAACAGGAGACAGACATAGAGACAGAGACAGAGGGAGATAGAAAGAAACAGAGACAGGAGACAGAAACAGAGAGAGAGAAAGAGGAAGACAGAGACACACAGACGGAGACAGAGACAGACAGACAGAGACCAAGGGAGAAAGAGTCAGAGAGAGAAGCCAGTGGTGGAGAAGCCGAGAGGCACGGACAGGGGCCCTGAGCTGGCGTGAGCAGCCAGCGTGGGCATCGCAGAGGACAGATCCCTGAGCCCCATGATTGCCACCCACGCAGGGGAGGGCCGGGGAGCCCCCGCGAGATTTAGGGAGCCAGGATGGAGACCGGCTGTCCTGCTGGGAGCGGGGCTCAGAAGCATCCTCAGCTGGGCTTGCTTGCCCTGCAGGGACGGGATGTCCAGGCGAACCCTGGACACAGCACTGAGCCAGGATGAGCCTGGGCTCCTCTGGGACCCGGGGTAGGTGCCACTGGGGGGACTTGGAGAAGCTCGGAGGAGCTTCTCCTCTGCACACCAGAATTCTCGGAGGAGCCCCCTCTGCACACCGCACCATTGTGGTGAAGGCTGAGCCGGGGCACCTGCAGAGACATTGTGGCTTCTCTCCTGGTTTTCTCCAGTGAGGTGTTTGTGGGCCACCCGGAGCCTCCAGGGTGAAAAGCTTTATTGTGAAAAGCCTACTGCGAAAGTCAGACGCTTGGAGTTCAGGCTGTGGTGTGGACCAAGTGATTCCAAGGAGATCGTCCACCACTTTGGGGTCCTCTGTCCCCAGCCAGCCCAGCCCCCACACAGACAAGAGTAGCCCACACAGCTGTGGCATGAAGCCCGCTCTGCAGCCCAGGCGCGGCTGAGCCCCCACGCTCTGGAGCCCTGCACTTCTCCCCCCGACCCCCAGGGAGAGGCTGGGCGAGCCCTCGCCCCGTGTTCTCTGGTGCCCCTAAGCACCTGCTGTGTTCCAGGATGCGTACTACCAGAGCCCGGAGACGCGGCTGAGGTTCATGCGGGCCATGCACGGCATGACGAAGCTGACTGCGTGCCAGGTGGCCACGGCCTTCAATCTGTCCCGCTTCTCCTCCGCCTGCGACGTGGGAGGTGGGTGGCCCCCCCGCCAGGGCTCTCCTTACTTTCGTTTATTAAGCCACAGGTATCTTCCCTGCTCAGGACACCTACCAACTGCCTTTTTCCATTGACAAACCTGATAACGACCTGAACCGGGCCAGGCTGAGTCCCAGATCATGGGTGGATATTCCCAAGTTCCAGGAGGACCCCGGGGATGCCTAAATGCCCCCCTAGAAACTCCGGGGCCCTCTCTTTTGGCTGCGGAGCTGAGGCAGAGCACCTTGGAACCCCTGGATTCCCCTCAGCAAGTCTGATTATATCCTGACTCACCCTCCACCCCACCCCAGCCCTGGACAGTGGGTGGAGCAGTAGACACATTCCCAAGGGCTGCTGGGGGATCGGGGCCTGGGACGATTCTCACACCATCAGCTTACATTTCCCCAACCTCTGAATGCCTCTCCTCCTTGTGGTCCAGAGTGGCTGCTGTAGCACCAGCCATCGTGTCTGCATCCCCATGGCAGGAAGGAGAAGGGAGGAGTACAGCCCCCACCCCTGGGCAGAAAGGATTTCCCTGTAGGTCTGTGCCCCCTACACGTGGCCCAGAGTGGCTGCTGTAGCACCGGCCATTGTGTCTACATCCCCACGGCAGGAAGGAGAAGGGAGTACAGCCCTCCACCCCTGGGCTGGAAGGATTTCCCTGCAGGTCTGTGCCCCCACACTCACCTGCTTGTACAGTCTTGTCTGGGATACCAGCGAGCTCCCCACCACTGGCTTTCCCTTCCAGCATGGGAATCAATGCCATGCCCTTGAACATTACTTCTGCCCCAGTTGAGCTTTGGAGAGTCGTCAGAGTTCCATAGACGACCCAGCCACAGAGCATGCATTTGCTTCCCCGCAGGCTGCACGGGTGCACTGGCCCGAGAGCTGGCCCGTGAGTACCCTCGTATGCAGGTGACTGTGTTTGACCTCCCAGACATTATCGAGCTGGCCGCCCACTTCCAACCCCCCGGACCGCAGGCAGTGCAGATCCACTTCGCAGCAGGTGAGCCCTCCTCCTGTTCACCCTGCTAACCTTTTCCAGACTGCAGCATCTCTTTCTAGACAGAGGGCATGGCTGTGTGTGCACCTGTGTTTCTGCCTGGGCGTTTCCATGGTGGGTATGTGTGTGCAAATGGGACTGTCTACGGTGCTTGTGTGTGTGTGTCTCTCTGTGTGCATGTGTGTGGTATGCCCTGGAGCATACCTGTGACATGGAGCATGTCTGTGCGTGAGCATGTCTGTGTGTGTGTGTGTCTGCATCCGCATGTGTGTGCACGTCTCTGGTGTGTGGTTGCATATGTTTCTGTGAGAGTATGTGTGTGTGTCTGTGTGGGTATATGTGTGCATGTCTGTGTGTGTGTGTCTGCATCTGTGTGCATGCTGTGAGCCGGTGGGTGTCTGTGTGCATATGACTGTCGTGCTTGTGTGTCTGTGTGCATGTGTGTGTGTGTGCATGTCTGTGTCTGTATCTGTGTGCATGGTGTGTGTCTTCCGTGCATATGTAACTGTGTGTGCACGTCTGTGTAGTATGTCCTTGTGTGTGTGTCTGTGCATGAGACTGTGTGTCCACGTGTCTGCAAGTCTCTGTGGTGTGTGGTTGCATATGTTTCTGTGAGGTGATGTGTGTGCATCCGTGTGGATATATGTGTGCATGTCTGTGTATGTGCGTCTGTGTGCCCGTCTGTGTCTGCATTTGTGTGTATGCTGTGTGCTGGTAGGTGTGTGTGTGTATGTGACTGCTGTGGTTGTGTGTCCCTGTGTGCATGTGTCTGTGTGTACGTCTGCATCTGTGTGCATGCTGTGGGCCGGTGGTTGTGTGCATATGTGACTGCTGTGGTTGTGTGTCTGTGTGCATGTGTCTGGGTGTGCTTGTCTGTGTGTCTGCATCTATGTGCATGGTGTGTGTCTGTGTGGATATGTGAGCATCTGCTGTGCTTGTGTCTGTGTCTCTGTGTGTTTCTGAGTCTGTGTGTGCACATCTCTGTGTGGTATGTCCTTGCATGCGTGTCTGTACGTCAGAATGTCTCTGTGTCTGAGTCCGTGTGTGTGTGTGCACCTCTGTGGTGTGTATGTCTCTGAGGGTATGTGTGTCTGCGTGTCTGTGGATATATGTGTACATGTCTGTGTGTGCATGTCTGTGTGCCCATCTGTATCTGTGTGCATGGTGTGTGTGCATGTCACTGCTGTGCTTGTGTGTACGTCTGTGTGTGCATGTGTCTGTGTGTGCATGACTGACTGTGTGTGGTATGTCCTTGTGTGTGCGTGCGTAAGAATGTGTCTCTGTGTCTGCATCTGCGTTTGTGTGTGTGCAACTCTCTGTGGTGTGTGCTTGCATATGTGTGAGGGTATGTGTGTTTCTGTGCGTCTGTGTGGGTATATGTGTGTATGTCTGTGTGTCTGCGTCTGTGTGCCTGTTGGGGTATCTCTGTGTGTCCGTGCGTGTGCCCATCTGTGCATGTCTGCATCCGTGTGTGTGTGCCTGTCGCTGTATCTGTATGTCCATGTGTGTCTGCGTGTCCATCTGTGCATGTCTATGTTTATGTGCGTGTGCCTGTCTGTTGGTGTATCTGTATGTCCGTGTGTGTGTGTGCCCATCTGTGCATGTCTGCGTCTGTGTGTGCCTGTCACTGTATCTGTATGTCCGTGTGTGTGTGTGTCCAGCTGTGCATGTCTGCGTCTGTGTGCGTGCCTGTCTGTTGGTGTATCTGTGTGTCCGTGCGTGTCTGTCTGTGCCCATCTGTGCATGTCTGCGTCTGTGTGTGCCTGTTGCTGTGCATGTCTGCGTCTGTGTGTGCCTGTCGCTATATCTGTATGTCCATGTGTGTGTGCCCATCTGTGCATGTCTGCGTCTGTGTGTGCCTGTTGGTGTATCACTGTGTGTCCGTGCGTGAGTGTGCCCATCTGTGCATGTCTGTCTCTGTGCGCGTGTGCCTGTCACTGTATCTGTGTCCGTGTGTGTGTGTGTGCCTGTCTTGCTGTATCTGTGTGTCCATGTGTGTACCTGTCAGTGTATCTGTGTCCTGCATGTGTCCGTGTGTGCATGTCTTGTGGCGTGTGCTTGCATGTGTGCCTTTGTGTCTGCATTTCTGTGCATCTGGATGGGTATATGTGTGTGTGCCTGTGTCTGTGTCTGTGCGTCCGTGGGTCTGCCTGTGCGTGTCTCTCTGCGGGTCCACACAGACACGAGGGCATCTCCAAACAGGTGGACAAGGCTGGGCACAGTAGCTCACGCCTGTAATCCCAGCACTCTGGGAGGCTGAGGCGGGCGGATCCCCTGTGGTCAGGAGTTCGAGACCAGCCTGGCCAACATGGCGAAACCCCATCTCTACTAAAAATACAAAAATTAGCCGGGCGTGGTGGCGGGCGCCTGTAATCCCAGCTACTCAGGAGGCTGAGGCAGGAAAATCGCTTGAACCTGGGAGGCGGAGGTTGCAGTGAGCTGAGATCTCACCACTGCACTCCAGCCTGGGCAACAAGAGCGAAACTCCATCTCAAAAAAAAAAAGACAATGATAATAATAATGATAAATAAAAATAAACAGGTGGACGACTGTGTGAAGTTATCATCAGTGCAAGTAGCCGAGACGTGAGGGGAGTGGAGATGGGGAACAGCCGAGATCAGCATTCATGGGCATCCACGGTGCCGAGGTCACGGAAGGAACTGACCCGAGAGCCGTCACAGTGTGGCCTTAGGTTAGACTTGAAGGAGAACTTCCAGGTGGCAGCTGCTGAGGCCAGGACGGATTGACAGGAGACGCCTGGAATCCCAGCCCTCTGGGAGGCTGAGGCGGGTGGATCACCTGAGGTCAGGAGTTTGAGACCAGCCAGAGCAACATGGTGAAACCCCATCTCTACTAAAATTACAGAAATTAGCCAGGCATGGTGGCGGGTGCCTATAATCCCACCTATTCAGGAGGCTGAGGCAGGAGAATCGCTTGAACCCGGGAGGCGGAGCTTGCCGTGAGCCGAGATCGCGCCACTGCACTCCAGCCTGGGCAACACAGCAAAACTCCATCTCAAAAAAAATAAAAAAATAAAAAAAGAGACAGCTGACGTGCTGTAACTCAGCACCATCCGACAGCGGCCAGGCCTGTGGGCACAGGTGCTGGGGACCTCCACAACCCTCCCCCAGAGGTTCCTGGATGCTTTTCTCGTTTTTAAAAAAACAAAACGCAACCACCCTACAGCTCCTCCTGCAGGACATCATGATAGCTGTGCTTCTGATTTGCCAGATCTGCAGAGACAGAAATGCTGAAATTTATTTATGTTTGAATGGTGTCTCGCTCTGTCACCCAGGCTGGAGTGCAGTGGCGTGATCTTAGCTCACTGCAACCTCCACTTCCTGGGTTCAAGGGATCCTCCCACCTCAGCCTCCCGAGTAGCTGGGGTGACAAGTGCCCGCCACCACGCCTGGCTAACTTTTGTATTTTTAGTACAGATGGGGTTTCACCATGTTGGCCAGGCTGGTCTCGAACTCCTCACCTCAGGTCATCCACCCGTCTTGGCCTCCCAAAGTGCTGGGATTACACCCCGCCCGGCCGGAAATGCTAAAGTTTAAAATCATGAGCCCTGAAAGAGCACCTTCTCCTCGCAGCTGGGGGAAAACAGCTCTGGAGACTTCCCACCGCACACTCTCCCGCCCCTTCTTTCCCCTCATGCAACTCACAGCTTGCTATTTATCCTCTCCCTGTCCTGCAGACCGGAGGTCTGAGATCAAGGCATCTCAGGGCTGTGCTCCCTCTGGAGGCTCTAGGGGAGGATCCTTCCTGCCTCTCCCAGCTCCTGGGGGCTCCGGGTGTCCCTGGGCTTGTAGCCGCATCACTCCAGTCTCTGCCTCCATCTCCACGTGGCCTTCTCCTCTGTGTGTCTCCTCTTCTGTCTCTTAGAAGGACACCTGCCATTGCATTTAGGGCCCACCCTACTCCAGGATGATCCCATCTCCAGATCCTTAATTACATCTGCAAAGAAACTTTATCCAAATGAGGTCCCATTCCCAGGTTCTGGGGCTTAGGACTTGGACAGATCTTTTGGACGTCACCACCCAACCCATTGCAGTTGTGTTTGATTCTTTCTGAGAGGCTCTAGGGGAGGATCCTTCCCGCCTCTTCCAGCTCCTGGGGGCTCCAGGCGTCCCTGGGCTTGTGGCCGCATCACTCCAGTCTCTGCCTCCGTCTCCACGTGGCCTTCTCCTCTGTGTCTGTCTCCTCTTCTGTCTCTTAGAAGGACACCTGTCATTGGATTTAGGGGACACCCTACTCCAGGATGATCTCATTTTGAAATTCTTTACTCAATGACATCCATAGAGACCCTATTTCCAGATAAGGTCCCATTCCCAGCGACTGAGGGTCAGCACCTGAATATATCTTTTAAGGGGACACCATTCACTGCACTACAGCAGACCATCTTTTTATTTCAGCAATTACAGAGGGGCGTGCAGCTACATGCGCCCCCCGCAACAGGCAACCCTCCTGGGGCGCCTGAATCAGGGGATCACCAGAGAAGGCCCTGCCATTGCCCACTCACCGGCAGTGCGGCCCCGACTCTCCCTGGCACACGCCCATGTGCGCCGACTCTGCCTGCCTCGCCCAGGTGCTGCCCCTGAATTCCCTGCTTTTTTCCTCCCTTGCCTTCTTGTCGCCCAGGCTGGAGTGCGATGGCGCGATCTCGGCTCACTGCAACCTCCACCTCCCAGGTTCAAGCGATTCTCCTGCCTCAGCCTCCCGCGTAGCTGGGATGACAGGCGCCCGCCACCCCTGTCCAGCTAATTTGCATTTTTAGTAGAGATGGGGTTTCGCCGTGTTGCCCAGGCTGGTCTCGAACTCCTGAGCTCAGACAATCTGCCCACCTCAGGCTCCCAAAATGCTGAGATTACAGGTGTGAGCCACTGTCCCCAGCGTTTTCTCAGCCCGAGTCAAACCGCACGGGCGTGACATCACTAACCAGCTCCTCATGGAGCTCTGTTCAAGTCCCCACGGGGATGTACTTCAGGAAGACCCATTCCCGCCCACACCCCTCTCTTCTCTGTCCCTGATTTAGGATGCGGGTGGCCGTCCCAGGATCTGTCCGGGGAGGACTGCTTCTTCCATACCTGACGGACGTATCTCGTTTTGTCTTTAAACCAGGTGACTTTTTCAGGGACCCCCTCCCCAGCGCTGAGCTGTACGTCCTGTGCCGGATCCTGCATGACTGGCCAGACGACAAAGTCCACAAGTTACTCAGCAGGGTCGCCGAGAGCTGCAAGCCAGGTGAGAGCCCATCGTCAGGTTAGCTGTTTTTGTTAAGACGTAGTATTTTGGGTTCAAGTTTTACAAGGAGGCCGGGCGCGGTGGCTCACGCCTGTCATCCCAGCGCTTTGGGAGGCCGAGGCGGGCGGATCACCTGAGGTCAGGAGTTTCAGACCAGCCTGGCCAACGTGGTGAAACCCCATCGCTACTAAAAATACAAAAATTAGCCAGGCGTGGTGGCTCATGCCTATAATCCCAGCACTTTGGGAGGCTGAGGCAGGTGGATCACCCGGGGTGAGCAGTTCGAGACCAGCCTGGCCAACATGGTGAAACCCCGTCTCTACTAAAAATACAAAAATTAGCCAGGTGTGGTAGTGCGCACCTGTAATCCCAGGTACTTCAGAGGCTGAGGCAGGAGAATCACTTGAACCCGGGAGCTGGAGACTGCAGTGAGCCGAGATCGCGCCACTGCACTCCAGCCTGGGCGACGGAGTGAGATTCGGTGTCAAAAAAGAACAACCACAACAAAAAAAGAATTGGCTTATGTGACTTTGGAGGTTGGCAGGTCCAGCGTCTGGGTGAGAGGCCCGCTAAATTGTGGAGGGTAAATCTGCTGTATTTAAAGTTGGCCAGTGTGGCCAGGTGTGGTGGCTCACGCCTGTCATCCCCGCACTTCGGGAGGCCGAGGCGGGCGGATCACCTGAGGTCGGGGGTTTGAGACCAGCCTGGCCAACATGGTGAAACCCCGTCTCTATTAAAAACAAACACAAAAAATAAGCCGGGCTTGATAGCGGGTGCCTGTAATCCCAGCTACTCAGGAGGCTGAGGCAGGAGAATCGCTTGAACCTGGAGACGGAGGTTGCAGTGAGCCGAGACTGCGCCACCGCACTCCAGCCTGGGTAACAGAGCGAGACTCCATCTCAAAAAAAAAAAAAAAAAAAAAAAAGAAAATCCTAAAGAGAAAATATATTTACTATTCGTGAAGTTGAAGTGGCTCATGATAAAAGTCTTCATTCTTGAGGAGGTCTTCACACTGAGGAGGCTGCAGAGGAGGAAGCCGTGGGCTGGTGTTGCTGTCTCAGGGGTGGCCGAGGCAGAGGGAAATCCACGCATGAGTGGACTCTGCAGCTGGATCTAATCTGTGTGTTTCTACGCAGACACACGTGCACACACACACAGCACGCACCATCTCGGCTCAAAGCCTTCACATCAGGTTTCTCCCCCGTCCACCCAGGCTGCTCCTGGAGCCCAGTGGGGCTGCTGGAAACCCTGGCTCCAGGGGTTCGGGCCAGGGCTGCATATTGGGTTTCCACAGTTGAACCAGCTGGCCCTGAGGGAATCTGACGGGCACTCAGCCTCCCTCAAGAGTTCAGCGTTGTTGCTCCAGTGAGAATTCCTGGAATATTTGCAGACAACGGTTAATTATCTTCACAGAGCCAGGGCCTGGCACCTGCGCGTTGAAACAGGACTCCCCATAGGCTCAAATGGTCAAGAGACTTCCATTCTTCTCTCCCTCTGTCTCTCCTTCTTTCTCTCTTTCTCTGTGTATCTCTCTTCTTTTTTTTTTTTGAGACGGAGTCTCGCTCTGTCGCCCAGGCTGGAGTGCAGTGGCACGATCTTGGCTCTCCGTAACCTCCACCCCCAGGGTTCAAGTGATTCTCCTGCCTCAGCCTCCCGAGTAGCTGGATTACTGGCACATACCACCACGCCCGGCTAATTTTTTATTTTTAATAGAGACAGGGTTTCTCCATGTTGGTCAGGCTGGTCTCGAACTCCCAACCTCGGGTGATCCACCCAGCTGGGACTCCCAAAGTGTTGGGATTACAGGCGTGAGCCACCTCGCCCGGCTCTATTATATTTTTTGAGACGAGGTCTCACTCTGCTGCCCAGGCTGGTGTGCAGTGGAGCAGTCACAGGTCACTGCAGCCTTGACCTCCTAGGCTCAAGCTGTCCTCCCACCTCAGCCTCCCGAGTAGCTGGAAGTACAGGCATGCATCATGCATCACCATGCCCAGCTAATTTTTTAAGAAGTTTTTTCTGAGACCGGGCACGGTGGCTCACACCTGTAATCCCAGCACTTTGGGAGGCCAAAGCGGGCAGATCTCGAGGTCAGGAGTTCGAGACCAGCCTAAGCCACGTGGTGAAACCCCGCCTCTACTAAAAATACAAAAATTAGTCCGGCGTAGTGGTGCACGCCTCTAATTCTAGCTACTCAGGAGGCTGAGAGAGGACATCACTTGAACCTGGGAGGCGAAGGTTGCAGTGAGCAGAGATCGCGCCACTGCACTCCAGCCTGGGCAACACAGCAAGACTCCGTCTCAGAAAAAAAAAAAAAAGTTTTTTGTGGAGATAGGAGTCCCCCTCTGTCACCCAGGCTGGAGTGCAGTGTTGTCATCATAGTTCACTGCAGCCTTGACCTCCTGGGCTCAAGCGATCCTCCTGCCTCAGCCTCCCGAGTATTTGGGAGTACCAGCATTTGGCTGGAGGGCAGTGTTGTCATCATAGTTCACTGCAGCCTTGACCTCCTGGGCTCAAGCGATCCTCCTGCCTCAGCCTCCCGAGTATTTGGGAGTACCAGCATTTGGCTGGAGGGCAGTGTTGTCATCATAGTTCACTGCAGCCTTGACCTCCTGGGCTCAAGCGATCCTCCTGCCTCAGCCTCCCGAGTATTTGGGAGTACCAGCATTTGGCTGGAGGGCAGTGTTGTCATCATAGTTCACTGCAGCCTTGACCTCCTGGGCTCAAGCGATCCTCCTGCCTCAGCCTCCCGAGTATTTGGGAGTACCAGCATTTGGCTGGAGGGCAGTGTTGTCATCATAGTTCACTGCAGCCTTGACCTCCTGGGCTCAAGCGATCCTCCTGCCTCAGCCTCCCGAGTATTTGGGAGTACCAGCATTTGGCTGGAGGGCAGTGTTGTCATCATAGTTCACTGCAGCCTTGACCTCCTGGGCTCAAGCGATCCTCCTGCCTCAGCCTCCCGAGTATTTGGGAGTACCAGCATTTGGCTGGAGGGCAGTGTTGTCATCATAGTTCACTGCAGCCTTGACCTCCTGGGCTCAAGCGATCCTCCTGCCTCAGCCTCCCGAGTATTTGGGAGTACCAGCATTTGGCTGGAGGGCAGTGTTGTCATCATAGTTCACTGCAGCCTTGACCTCCTGGGCTCAAGCGATCCTCCTGCCTCAGCCTCCCGAGTATTTGGGAGTACCAGCATTTGGCTGGAGTGCAGTGTTGTCATCATAGTTCACTGCAGCCTTGACCTCCTGGGCTCAAGCGATCCTCCTGCCTCAGCCTCCCGAGTATTTGGGAGTAGCAGCATTTGGCTGGAGTGCAGTGTTGCCATCATAGTTCACTGCAGCCTTGACCTCCTGCACTCAAGCGATCCTCCTGCCTCAGCCTCCCGAGTATTTGGGAGTACCAGCATTTGGCTGGAGGGCAGTGTTGTCATCATAGTTCACTGCAGCCTTGACCTCCTGGGCTCAAGCGATCCTCCTGCCTCAGCCTCCCGAGTATTTGGGAGTACCAGCATTTGGCTGGAGGGCAGTGTTGTCATCATAGTTCACTGCAGCCTTGACCTCCTGGGCTCAAGCGATCCTCCTGCCTCAGCCTCCCGAGTATTTGGGAGTACCAGCATTTGGCTGGACTGCAGTGTTGTCATCATAGTTCACTGCAGCCTTGACCTCCTGGGCTCAAGCGATCCTCCTGCCTCAGCCTCCCGAGTATTTGGGAGTAGCAGCATTTGGCTGGAGTGCAGTGTTGCCATCATAGTTCACTGCAGCCTTGACCTCCTGCACTCAAGCGATCCTCCTGCCTCAGCCTCCCGAGTATTTGGGAGTAGCAGCATTTGGCTGGAGGGCAGTGTTGTCATCATAGTTCACTGCAGCCTTGACCTCCTGGGCTCAAGCGATCCTCCTGCCTCAGCCTCCCGAGTATTTGGGAGTAGCAGCATTTGGCTGGAGGGCAGTGTTGCCATCATAGTTCACTGCAGCCTTGACCTCCTGCACTCAAGCGATCCTCCTGCCTCAGCCTCCCGAGTATTTGGGAGTACCAGCATTTGGCTGGAGGGCAGTGTTGTCATCATAGTTCACTGCAGCCTTGACCTCCTGGGCTCAAGCGATCCTCCTGCCTCAGCCTCCCGAGTATTTGGGAGTACCAGCATTTGGCTGGAGGGCAGTGTTGTCATCATAGTTCACTGCAGCCTTGACCTCCTGGGCTCAAGCGATCCTCCTGCCTCAGCCTCCCGAGTATTTGGGAGTACCAGCATTTGGCTGGACTGCAGTGTTGTCATCATAGTTCACTGCAGCCTTGACCTCCTGCACTCAAGCGATCCTCCTGCCTCAGCCTCCCGAGTATTTGGGAGTAGCAGCATTTGGCTGGAGGGCAGTGTTGTCATCATAGTTCACTGCAGCCTTGACCTCCTGGGCTCAAGCGATCCTCCTGCCTCAGCCTCCCGAGTATTTGGGAGTACCAGCATTTGGCTGGAGGGCAGTGTTGTCATCATAGTTCACTGCAGCCTTGACCTCCTGCACTCAAGCGATCCTCCTGCCTCAGCCTCCCGAGTATTTGGGAGTACCAGCATTTGGCTGGAGGGCAGTGTTGCCATCATAGTTCACTGCAGCCTTGACCTCCTGCGCTCAAGCGATCCTCCTGCCTCAGCCTCCCGAGTATTTGGGAGTACCAGCATTTGTTATCATGCCCTGTTAGGGTTTTTTAAATTTTGTAGAGATGGGATCTTGCGATGTTGCCCAGGCTACCCTTCCTGGGCTCAAGCGATCCTCCTGCCTCAGCCTCCCAAAATGCTGGGGTTAAAGACATGAGCCACTGCACCCGGCCTCTGTCTCTCTTTCTCTCTCTTCTCCCTCTTCCTCTCTGTCTCCTCCTCTCTGTGTCTTTTTAGGTATCTCATCTATCATCATCAATCTCTGTTTCTCTTCTCTCCTCCTTCCTCCTTTATCTTCTCTGTCTCTTCCTCCCTCTCTCCACCCTGTCTCTGTCTCTCTTTATACATCTATCATCCTTTTTTAAAAAAAATAAAATAGAGACAGGGTCTCACTATGTTGCTCAGGTTGGTTTCAAACTCCTGGGCTCAAACCATCCTCCCACCTCTGCCTCCCAAAGTGCTGCGATTACAGGTGTGAGCCACTGCGTCTGGCCTTCTAACAATGCTCCGTCACCTGTCATCTGTCTATCATTTATTATCTATCCATCCATCCATCATCTACCTACCCATCATCTACCATATATTCACCCATCCATCCATCTCATCCATGCATCCATCTATCCATCTATTCATCTATCTACCTATCATCTACCATCTATTCACCCATCCATCCATCTCATGAATGCATCCATCTATATCCATCCATTCATCTACCTACCTGCCCATCACCTACCATCAATACACCCATCCATCTCATCCATCTATCCATCCATTCATCTACCTGCCCATCATGTACCATCTATTCAGCCATCCATCCATCTCATCCATGCATCCATCTATCCATCCATCCATCTACCTACCTACCCATCATCTACCATCTATTCACCCAGCCATCCATCTCATCCATGCATCCATCTATATACATCCATTCATCTATCTACCTACCCATCATCTACCATCAGTTCACCCATCCATCCATCCATCTACCCATCATCTACCATCAGTTCACCCATCCATCTCATCCATGCATGCATCCATCCATCCATCCATCTACCTACCCATCATCTACCATCTATTCACCCATCCATCCAATCCATGCATCTATCCATCCATTCATCTACCTACCCATCATCTACTATCTATTCACCCATCCATCTCATCCATGCATCCATCTATTCATCTATCTATGTACCCATCATCTACCATCTATTCACCCATCCATCCATCTGTTCCATGCACCCATCTATCCATCCATTCATCTACCTACCCATCATCTATTATCTATTCACCCATCCATCCATCTCATGCATGCATCCATGTATCTATCCATTCATCTACCTACCTACCCATCATCTACCATCTATTCACTAATCCATCCATCTCATGCATGCATCCATCTATCCATCCATTCATCTACCTACTTAACCATCATCTACTATCTATTCACCCATCCATCCATCACATCCATGCATCCATCTACCTACCTACCTATCTATTCACCCATACATCCATCTCATCCATGCCATCTATCCATCCATCCATCCACCTACCTACCCATCATCTACCATCTATTCAAGCATCCATCACATCCATACATCCATCTATCCATCCACTCATCTATCTACGTACCCATCATCTACCATCTATTCACCCATCCCTCCATCCATCTCATCCATGCATCCATCTATCCATCCATTCATCTACCTACCTACCCATCATCTACCATCTATTCACCTATCCATCCATCTCATCCATGAATCCATCCATCCATCTACCTACCTACCCATCATCTACCATCTATTCACCCAACCATCCATCTCATCCATGCACCCATCTATTCATCTTCCTACCTACCCATCATCTACCATCTATTCACCCATCCATCCATCTCATCCATCCATTCATCTATCTACCCATCATCTACCATCTATTCAGCCATCCATCCATCTCATCCATGCATCCATCTATACATCCATCTACCTACCTACCTACCCATTTATTCACCCATCCATCCATCTCATCCATGCCTCCATCTATCCATCCACCTACCTACCCATCGTCTACCATCTATTCACCCATCCATCACATCCATACATCCATCTATCCATCCATTCATCTATCTACGTACCCATCATCTACCATCTACTCATCCATTCATCCATCCATCCACTCATCTACCTACCCATCATCTACCATCTATTCACCCATCCATCTCATCCATGCATCCATCTATCCATCCATCCATCTACCTATGTACCCATCAGCTACCATCTATTCACCCAACCATCCATCTCATCCATGCATCCATCTATTCATCTTCCTACCTACCCATCATCTACCATCTATTCACCCATCCATCCATCTCATCCATACATCCATATATCCATCCATTCATCTATCTACCTGCCCATCATGTACCATCTATTCACCCATCCATCCATCTCATCCATGCATCCATCTATCCATCCATTCATCTATCTACCTACCCATCATCTACCATCTATTCACCCATCCATCCATCTCATGCATGCATCCATCTATCCATCCATCCGTCTACCTACCTACCCATCATCTATACACCCATCCATCTCATGCATGCATCCATCTATCTATCCACTCATCTACCTACCTAACCATCATCTACTATCTATTCACCCATCCATCCATCACATCCATGCATCCATCTATACATCCATCTATCTACCTACCTACCTATTCACCCATCCATCCATCTCATCCATGCCTCCATCTATCCATCCACCTAACGATCCATCATCTACCATCTATTCACCCATCCATCACATCCATCTATCCATCCACTCATCTATCTACGTACCCATCATCTACCATCTGTTCACCCATCCATCCATCTATCCATCCATTCATCTATCTACGTACCCATCATCTACCATCTATTCACCCAACCATCCATCTCATCCATGCACCCATCTATTCATCTACCTACCTACGCATAATCTACCATCTGTTCACTCATCCATCCATCTCATCCATGCATCCATCTATCCATCCATTCATCTATCTACGTACCCATCATCTACCATCTATTCATCCATTCATCCATCTATCCATCCACTCATCTACCTACCCATCATCTACCATCTATTCACCCATCCATCCCTCTCATCCATGCATCCATCTATCCATCCATACATCTACCTACGTACCCATCAGCTACCATCTATTCACCCAACCATCCATCTCATCCATGCATCCAACTATTCATCTTCCTACCTATCCATCAGCTACCATCTATTCACCCATCCATCCATCTCATCCATACATCCATATATCCATCCATTCATCTATCTACCTGTCCATCATGTACCATCTATTCACCCATCCATCCATCTCATCCATGCATCCATCTGTCCATCCATTCATCTACCTACCCATCATCTACCATCTATTCACCCATCCATCCATCTCATCCATGCATCCATCTATCCGTCCATTCGTCTACCTACCTACCCATCATCTATCATCTATACACCCATCCATCCATCTCATGCATGCATCCATCTATCCATCCATTCATCTACCTACTTACCTAACCATCATCTACTATCTATTCACCCATCCATCCATCCATCTATACATCCATCTATCTACCTACCTACCCATCTATTCACCCATCCATCCATCTCATCCATGCCTGCATCCATCCATCCATCCATCCACCTACCTACCCATCATCTACCATCTATTCACCCATCCATCTCATCCATGCATTCATCTATCCATCCATTCATCTATCTATGTACCCATGATCTACCATCTATTCACCCATCCATCCATCCATCTCATCCATGCATCCATCTATCCATCCATTCATCTACCTACCTACCCATCATCTACCATCTATTCACCCATCCATCTCATCCATGCATCCATCTATCCATCCATCTACCTACGTACCCATCATCTACCATCTATTCACCCAACCATCCATCTCATCCATGCACCCATCTATTCATCTTCCTACCTACCCATCATGTACCATCTATTCACCCATCCATCCATCTCGTCCATGCATCCATCTATCCATCCGTCTACCTGCCCATCATGTACCATCTATTCACCCATCCATCCATCACATCCATGCATCCATCTGTCCATCCACTCATCTACCTACCTACCCATCATCTACCATCTATTCACCCATCCATCCATCTCATACATGCATCCATCTATCCATCCATCCATGTACCTCCCCATCACTTACCATCTGTTCATCCATCCATCCTTCTCATCCATGCGTCCACCTATCCATACATCTTTCTACCTACCTACCCACCCATCATCTACCATCTGTTCATCCATGCATCCAGGAGAACCGGAAAAGGCCCAGGTGATGCATCCATCTATCCATCCATCTTTCGATCAAATCTCCTTCTCCCTGTCTGTCCGCCCTGCATCAAGTCTCTGTCTCTCTCCCCTCCCCTACCTGTGTGGGCCCCCTGGCCAAGGGTTCTCAGCAGCCTCTGCTCACCGTTCTGAGCTCCTGTTGCCTGCTGTGTCCCCTGTGTCCTGCTGAAGGATCCCCGCCTGGCTGGCCAGGACTCCAGCTCTCTGCTGTCTCCCTCAGGGGCCGGCCTGCTGCTGGTGGAGACGCTCCTGGATGAGGAGAAGAGGGTGGCGCAGCGCGCCCTGATGCAGTCACTGAACATGCTGGTGCAGACTGAAGGCAAGGAGCGGAGCCTGGGCGAGTATCAGTGCTTGCTGGAGCTGCACGGCTTCCACCAGGTGCAGGTGGTGCACTTGGGGGGTGTCCTGGATGCCATCTTGGCCACCAAAGTGGCCCCCTGAAGCCCAGGCAGCATGTTCATTATAGGGATGTCCTCCCCCAGGCTGCAGGTGGACCGCCCGGTCCCCAAGTACCATAGGACAGTCACATAGGAGCGTGTAGTCGTGACTGAATAAAGAAAGCAAAAGCCTGTCTCTGCCTCCTCCATAGGGGTTTTGATGAGGGAGACGGCTGCATTTAGGGAGGAGGAGACAGAGGCTGCATTTGGGGAGTGGGGGAAGGAGGCTGCTTTTGGGAAGGAGGAGACAGAGGCTGCATTTGGGGAGGAGGGGAAGGAGACGGCATTTGGGGAGGGGGGGACAGAGGCTGCATTTGGGGAGGACAGGAGGCTGCATTCGGGGAGGAGAGGATGGAGGCTGCATTCGGGGAGGAGGGGAAGGAGGCTGCATTCGGGGAGGAGGGGAAGGAGGCTGCATTCGGGGAGGAGGGGAAGGAGGCTGCATTCGGGGAGGAGGGGAAGAGGCTGCATTTGGGGAGGGGGGAAGGAGGTGGCATTTGGGGAGGGGGACAGAGGCTGCATTTGGGGAGGAGGGGAAGGAGGCTGCATTTGGGGAGTGGGGACAGAGGCTGCATTTTGGGAGGGGGAAGGAAGCTGCATTGGGGAGGAGCGAGGAGAAAGAGGCTGCATTTGGGGAGGAGGGGAAGGAGGCTGCATTTGGGGAGTGGGGACAGAGGCTGCATTTTGGGAGGGGGAAGGAGGCTGCATTTGGGGAGGAGGAGGGAAAGGAGGCTGCTTTTGGGAAGGAAGCTGTATTGGGGGAGGAAGGGAAAGAGGCTGTATTTGGGGAGTGGGGACAGAGGCTGAATTTTGGGAGGGGGGAAGGAGGCTGCATTCAGGGAGGAGGGGACGGAGGCTGAATTGGGGGAGGAGGGGATGGAGGCTGCATTTTTAGAGGAGGAGATGGAGGCTGCATTCGGGGAGGAGGGGACGGAGGGACAGCCAGGAATAACTGTTCAGCCCACGGATGTTCTGGGAACCAGCAGCCTTCCAGAGTAGCCAGTGGGGACTCCCGGGGAGGGCGGTGGGGACAGGGCTTTCTCCTACCTCCTAGCAGGCAGACGGCTGCTGTGACGGTGCCGTCTACCAGGCAGGGTCTCAGTCCTTCTCCGCACTCCAGCCTGCATCTTCCCATCTTCTGCACGATTTCCAGTGTGTTTCCTCCATGGGGCGCCATCGCTGCCGCTCACCCCTGGATGCCCACAGGCTATGGAGTGGCAGTTCTCTGGGCGGCTTCCATCTCTCCTGCCTTGGTGCAGAGACTGTCACGAGCGGGACCTCCCCAGCCCCTGCTGCGGGGCTGAAATGCGTCTGTAAACACCCCCCACCCCGAGCCCAGGCAGGCCAGACTCACACCCACCCCGTGAGGCCCTCCTGGGCACATGCTCACTGCGGTTGTAGGGAGCTCAGCGCATCCACGTTTCCCCCGTGCTCCGCTCCCAGCTGCTGTTCCCGGCCTGTGTCCCGACCCTCAGACCTCAGTTCACCCTCTGGTGCCCACACAGCCCCCTTTCCTCCCTGGCCCCTCCACCAGGGAATGGCTGGGCCAACCTGGGGCTGGGCTGGGGTGGAGCCCTTTAACTCACAGCCTTGACCTTAGGAGGCACTGAGGTTCAGGAGGCATCTGCAAAGCGAGAACCGGAGCAGGCCTAGGTGCTGTTTTCACGGCGCGTGCACCCAGCTTACCTGTTCCTGGGCTGGGCGTCAGTCTCCTATATTTCAGCTGTTTTCCTTTTTCTGAGACAGACTCTGGAGTTTAGCTCTTCTTACCCAGACTGGAGTACAATAATGCAATCTCGGCTCACTGCAACCTCCGCCTCCTGGGCAGTCTATTTCAAGGTGCAAACTCCGCCTCCTGGGCGGCCTATTTCAAGGTGGAAGCCCCACCTTCTAGGCCTATTTCAAGGTGCAAGCCCCGCCTCCCGGGCGGCCTATTACAAGGTGCAAGCTCCGCCTCCCAGGCGGCCTGTTTCAAGGTGCAACCCCACCTCCCGGGCGGCCTATTTCAAGGGGCAAGCCCTGCCTCCTGGGCGGCCTATATCAAGGTGCGAGCTCTGCCTCCCAGGCAGCCTATTTCAAGGTGCAACCCCGCCTCCTGGGCGGCCTATTTCAAGGGGCAAGCCCCGCCTCCTGGGTGGCCTATTTCAAGGTGCAACCCCGCCTTCTGGGCGGCCTATTTCAAGGTGCAAGCCCCGCCTCCCGGGCGGCCTATTTCAAGGCGCAAGCTCCGCCTCCTAGCCCAATTTCAAGGTGCACCCTCTGCCTCCTGGGCGGCCTATTTCAAGGTGCTCACTGCACAGATGGGAGTGGTTTTCTGCAATGGTCACGGATGATCTCAATAACACCAAAGTCACATGCTGCTCCACCCTTACAGTGGCCTGGTATCACAAAAGAATGTGTAGGTTGCTTTGTGCTTTAAGAAAACAGCTGAAATAGGCTGGGTGCAGTGGCTCACGCCTGTCATCCCAGCACTTTGGGAGGCTGAGGTGGGCGGATCACCTGTGGTCAGGAATTCGAGACCAGCCTGGCCAACAGAGTGAAATCCTGTCTCTACACAAAATACAAACACTAGCCGGGCATAGTGGCAGGAGCCTATAATCCCAGCTACAGGGGGGAGGCTGAGACAGGAGGATGGCTTGAACCCAGTAGGTGGAGGTTGCAGTGAGCCGAGATTGTGCCACTGCACTCCAGCCTGGGCGACAGAGTGAGACTCCGTCTAAATAAATAAATAAAAGAAAACAAAACTGATCTCTATATATTTTATGTAATATAAATTATGTGTTCCATAAATTCTGTAAATTATGTGTTCTATCCGTGTACAGGCACGTGTGTAGAGGTGTGAGTGTTCAGGTGTGTATACATACACATACACACCCATCTGTGCGCACACACACACACACACACACACAGTCACGTGTGTCACTGAATGACAGGGACCTGTTTCGGGAAATGCATCCTTAGGCAATTCTCTTTGTGTGCCCATCACGGGGTGCACTCACACATACCGCCGTGGCACATACAGCCTGCTACTCACCTGGGCTGTGCGGCAGGGCCCCAGGCTCCCGGGCTACAAACCTGGACAGCAGGTGAGTGTGCCCAGTGCTGCAGGCTGCTGTAATACAATGGTAGGGATTTGTGTGTCTACAAATAAAGGCACACGAAAACTACTGTATTACCATCTCCTGGGACCTCCGCTGTCTAGGAAGGCCGTTGTTGACTGAAGGGTTGTTACCTGGCACAGGTGACTGTGTATAATTCTGGACAGACTCCGTTTTTTTTTTGGTCTGTTTTTTTCTTTTTTGAGACAGAATCTCACTCTGTTGCCCAGGCTGGAGTGCAATGGCACGATCTTGGCTCACTACAACCTCCACCTCCCGGGATCAAGTAGTTATCCTGTCTCAGCCTCCTGAGTAGCTGGGATTACAGGCACCCACCACCATGCCCGCCTAATTTTTGTGTTTTTAGTAGAGATGGGGTTTCACCATGTTGGCCAGGTTGGTCTGGAACTCCCGACCTCAGGTAATCCGCCCACCTTGGCCTCCCAAAGTGCTGGGATTACAGGCACGCACCACCAAACCCAGCTAATTTTTGTATTTTTAGTAGAGACGGGGTTTCACCATGTTGGCCAGGGTGGTCTAGAACTCCTAACCTCAGGTGATCCGCCCACCTCGGCCTCCCACAGTGCAGGGATTACGGGCATGCGCCACCACACGCGGCTAATTTTTCTATTTTTAGTAGAGACGGGGTTTCACCATGTTGGCCAGGCTGGTCTCGAACTCCTGACCTCAGGTGATCTGCCCACCTCGGCCTCCTAAAGTGCTGGCATTGCAGGCGTGAGCCACCGTGCCCGGCCTGACTCATTTTTTTTTTTTTTTTACAATCACACATGGTGTCTCCATGGGAGGCCTAGATGAAACAAGAAGAAAATTTGGCTTTGATGATGAAAGGGGGAGTCCAGTGCGGTGGCGCATGCCTGTGGCCCTCACCGCGTGGCAATCAAGAAGGATGAGGCTTCCAGGCCCCTCCATCACACTGGCCTCAGCGTGGGGCCAGGCAGGACCTGACAGCCACCAGGAGATGCCACGGAGCCCAGCCCTGCAGAGCAGCCAGGCCTCTGTCCCTCCTACCTCCCTCCTCCCTCCCTTCCCACGTCAGCCTGGCCCGTAACTGTCCCTCCTTCCTCCCTTCCCACATCAGCCTGGCCCAGAGCTGGGGCGACAGCATCCCGGTCACCTCGGGCTGCCCCAGCCAAACTCCTCTGTCCTGTTCTGAGAAAGCAGGCAAAGTCCCTGCCTACAGGGTTCCCCCACGTACCTGCAGGACACCGTCTGTCTTACGGCACGAAGCCCAGGGCCTCCGTAGGGCTCACAGGCGGCTTCTAGAGAAGATGCCCGCCACAGGTGCTCTCTGCTCCATCTCAGGTGACCACTGGCCATCTCGGAAGAAACCTGCTTTGATGGTTTTGAAGCCTGAAGCTCCTTCCTCTCCAGCCCCTGCCACCCGGGGCGGGGAATGGGGACGGGATGCAGACAGAGGTGGGCCCAGCCCTCCAGGAGTTCTAGGGGCTAGGGACAGATTCCCACCACTTGGATGCCCAGGGAAGGCCCCACCCCAGATTGAAATGTTCATGGGTCCAAGAAGGTTCTGGGAGTCACCCCAGGAAGAGGCCGGCATGGGAGGTGCCTCTCGGTGGAGAGAATCAGAGGCGCCTGCCCTAGGGGGAGCCCAGGCCCCCCTTCGTCTTGGCTGCTGGGAGTGAGCTGGGGGGCCGCATGGTTGCAGCAGGGACCTCCGGCATGGCCTCCCTGTGTTCTGGTGCCCTCGCCATTTGCCCTTAAAGCAAGGGCCCGTGGAGGGAGTCCCCCAGGTGGAAGGAAGTCGGATAAAGGGTCCCTGGGGCTTGTTCCTCTCCCTCTCCCTTCAGTGTCTGCTAGAAATTTTTTTTTTTTTTTTTTTTTGAGACAGTCTCACTGTCGCCCAGGCTGGAGTGCAGTGGTGTGATCTCGGCTCACTGCAACCTCCGCCTCCCGGGTTCAAGCGATTCTCCTGCCTTAGCCTCCGCAATAGCTAAAATTACAGGCGCCCACCACCACGCCCAGCTAATTTTTTTGTATTTTCAGTAGAGACGAGGTTTCACCATGTTGGCCAGGCTGGTCTTCAGCTCTTGACTTCAGGCAATCCACCCCGCCTCGGCCTCCCAAAGTGCTCGGATGACAGGCGTGAGCCACCACGCCCAGCCCGTCTTTTTATTCATTGGAGTAACTGTGCAAAAACAGGACCTCTGGACTCTTAAGAGTCTGTGTGTGGCATGCACAGAACATCCCGAGGATTGTGATGATTTAAAAACCAGTGGGGTGACAAGGCTGGAATTCTGTGCAGGGCAGCCTGGCGGGCCGGGTTCACCCACTAACTCCTCCTCTACTCAGCGAGCACTGCACTATGAGTGTCTGGTGCATACCAGGAGTGTCCGTCTGGCTCTAAAACAGCCTCTGGATTCATCTGGGGGCCGGGGCAGGGGAAGCGGGAGGACAACAGATCCTAAGGATGATGTCGAGTACACAGCTCCTCCCTACCTGCCCAGCTCGAAGGCGCACGTCCAGGGAAGCTTTGCAGAGAGCCCTTTTCCAGGGTAAAAGTCTTAGGGGGCTCTTCTAGGGGGAGAGGTCTTGGGGAGCCCTCTTCCAGGGGGCAGGTCTTGGGGGGCACCTTCACGGGGGAAGTCTTCGGGGGCCTCCTTCAGAGGGCAGTCTTGGGGGGACCCCGTTCGGGGGGCCTTTTGAGGAGCCCTTTTCAGGGGGGTGACCCTGGGAGTCCCTTTTCAGGGATGAGGTCTTGGGGAGCCCTCTTCAGGGGCAATGCCTTTTGGGGGCCCTCTTCTGGGGAAAGGGGTCTGTCAAGCCCCCTCATCCTGCAGCCTCATCAGCCCTCCCCGGACCACACTTCGTACAGGCAGAGCCTCGGCAATGATTAATTACAAAAGATGTGCTGCTGCCCCCACCCGACACAGAGCCTGGCACCCCACCCCACCCCGCACAAAGCCAACCTCACCCCTGCTCTGATTCCTTCCCGGCCGTCCGATGAAGCCTGAAGTCTTCCCGTTAAAACACCTCTGCTTCTGGGCGGGGCGCGGTGGCTCACAGCTGTCATCCCGGCACTTTGGGAGGCCGAGGTGGGCGGATCACTTGAGGTCAGGAGTTTGAGACCAGCCTGCTTGGGCCTGGCACCCAGGATGTGCTTGCCAAATGCTTCTGGAATGGATGGATGGAACCCCATCTCTACTAAAAATACAAAAATCAGGCGTGGTGGTGCACACTTGCTATCCCAGCTACTTGGGAGGCTGAGGCAGAAGACATGCTTGAACCTGGGAGGCAGGGATTGCAGCGAGCCGAGATCACGCCACTGCACTCCAGCCTGGGCCACAGAGCAAGACTCCGTCTCAATAAACACACAAACAAAAAAACCCACATCTACTTCTATTATTAACCCACCTACTTTTCTGAGCCCCAAGGGGCTTTCTGGACAGATTCCAGCAGAGCGGCTGCTGGTCAGGCAGCAGTGATCTCTAAAGCTACGCAGGTAATTTTATCAGATGCTGGCAGAGAAGGGGTTCTCATGGGTGGGTACCTGGCAGGCGGATCGGGGCTCATTCCTTTCTTCTTGGTCCTTGGAGGGGCAGGGCAGTGAGAGACACAGCTCTACCCCCACTACCCAGCAGCTGTTGTCTCTCCCACTTCCAATTCCTGGGTGTGAGGCCCACCTGATCCTCCTTTCCCAAGGAGGCTGTGTGGCCCCAAAGGCCTCCCAGGTCATGCCCTAGTCAGGCATAGCAACTGTGTTGTTCCCTCCCAGATACGAGGGGCAAAGGAGTTAGTGTCCAAGGCTAAGTCCCACGTGCAGCACTCTGTATGGAAAAACAGCCCCAATTAGCAATTCATTCATCCATCCATCCATCCATCCATTCATCCATCCATCCATCTATTCATCCATCCATCATCCATTCATTCCAGAAGCATTTGCTGAGTGAGCACATCCATCTATCCATGCATCCATCCACCCACCCATTACCCATCCAATTATCCATCCATTCCAGAAGCATTTGCCGATCGAGCGCATCCATCCATCCATCCACCCATCCATTCCAGAATCATTTACCAAGCAAACACATCCATCTATCCATCCATCCACCCACTCATTGATTATCCATCTATCCATCCATTATCCATCCATCCATCCCAGAAGCATTTGCCAACAGAGTGCATCCATCCATCCACCCACCCACCCATTCATTATCCATCCATCCATTCATTCTAGAATCATTTGCCAAGCAAACATATCCATCTATCCATCTGTCCATCCACCCATTCATTATCCATCCACCCACTCATTATCCATCCATCCCAGAAGCATCCATTATTCATCCATCCACCCATTATCCATCATCCATCCACCCATTATCCATCCATCCATCCATCATCCATCCATCTATACATTATCCATCCATCTATCCATTATCCATCCATCCATCCATTATCCATCCATCCATCCATTATCCATCCACCCACCCATTACCCATCCAATTATCCATCCATTCCAGAAGCATTTGCCGATCGAGCACATCCATCCATCCACCCACCCATTCATTATCCATCCATCCATCATCCATCCATCCATCCATCTATCCATTATCCATCTATCCATTATCCATCCATCCGTTATCCACTCACCCATCCATCCATCCATCCCAGAAGCATTTGCCAAGCACATCCTGGGAGCCAGGCCCAAGCAGGCGGGCATCCTCCTGGCTCTGAGAGGAGCTTGAGCAGAGCCCACAGACAGCACCACCCTGCTGGCGGGTCACCAAGCCACCAAGCCAGTGCAGGCTGAAGGCTGAGCACACAGAGCACCGGTCTCAGTGTCTGGACATGGTTAGCCGTCCCCACCCGCATGGAAGGAAACTTCTTCTCTCCCCTAAGACAGGCTTTGCAGACTTGGAAAGGGAACGCCGTGTTGCAGGGCTCAGGCCTGGAGCCCCGGCCAGAGCAGATGCGAGCCAGCCTCATCTGGAAATAGCAGCTCTGGTCCCGGCCTCGCTGAGGCACTGAAAACCAGCACCAGGGCCCCGTCCAGCCCGGCCTCGCTGAGGCTGGGAAACAAACACAGGTCTGTAAGGCGCAGCTCCCCAGCAAACTCCCCACCCCTGCCCAGCACCCACAGCGCTCCTGGCCTCTGTCCTCTATTCCAGGACCCCTGTAGCGAGCCTGGCTTGGTCCTGGGTCCTCAGGGGACACTGTCCACCCCCGCTGCCCTGGCAGAGCCTCAGGAATGTGCTTGGTCTCCACAGCCCTCCCCACAGCAATGTCCCAAGGTTAGACCTACCCATGCCTCAGTGACTTCTGAGACACCCGTCCCGCCGCCCAGCAGCCACTCCAGCCTCCAGAGCTGGCCCCAACCTCCAGCCCCAGGCTGAGCCGCCCTCCCCAGAGGTCAGGAAAAGCCTCAGGCAGGGCTCACAGCTGCACCCAGGAGTCACCCAGGGTGACCCCGCTCTCTGGGGCGGGTCACTCCTGCCCACCCACAGCCGGGGACTGTCATTTTCTCAGTACACAAAGGAGAGAAAGGAAAAACAAGAGCGAGAAAGACACAGGGAGAGAAAAGGAAGAGAGAAGGAAAGAAAAAAGAAAGACACAGGGAAAGAAGAGGAAAGAAAAGAAGGGAGGAAGGAGGGAGAGTGGGAGGAGAGGGAAAGAAAGGGAGAGACAGGGAAAGGCAGGAAAGGGAGAGATGGGGAAAGGCAGGAAAGAGAGAGGCAGGGAAAGGCAGGAAAGAAAGGGAGAGACAGGGAAAGGCAGGAAACGCAAGGAAGCAATGGGAAGGGAAAGAAGTGAAAAGGAAGGCGGGGAGGGAGGGACGGGAGAAAGGGAGGAAAAGAGCAAAGGAGACAGGGAGACAGGAAAGAAAAAGGGGAGGGAGGCAAACGGGGAACGGGAGAAAAAGAAAGGAAGGGAGAGGGAATGATGGAGAAAAACAGGAGGGAGGGAGGAGAGAAGAAAAAGGAAAAGGAGGGAGGAGAGAGGAAAGAGGCAGGGAGGTAGGATAGAAAAAGACGGAGGAGAGAAGAAAAAAGAAAAGGAGGCGGGACGCAGTGGCGCACGACTGTAATCCAGCACTTTGGGAGGCCGAGGTGGGCGGATCACCTGAGGTCAGGAGTTCAAGACCAGCCTGGCCAACATGGTGAAACGCCATCTGTCCTTAAAAAAAAAAATAGCCGGGTGGGGTGGCTGGCACCTGTAATCCCAGCTACTTGGGAAGTTGAGGCACAAGAATCTCTAGAACCTGAGAGGCAGAGGTTGCAGTGAGCTGAGATCACGCCACTGCACTCCAGCCTCGGTGACAGAACAAGTCTCCATCTCAAAAAAAAAAAAGGAAAACAGGGAGAAAGGGAGAAACAGAGAGGAAGGAAAGAACAAGACAGGAAAGAATAAAAGGAAGAAGAAAAAGAGAGGCAAAGGGAGAGAGGAAAAATGAAAAAAAAATTAAAAAATGGAAAAGAGACAGCTAGGCGTGGTGGCTCACACACCTGTCATCCCAGCACTTTGGGAAGCCGAAGTGGGCGGATCCCCTGAAGTCCGGAGTTCGAGACCAGCCTGACCAACATGGCGAAACCCCGTCTCTACTAAAAATATAAAATTAGCTGGGCGCGGTGGCGCATGCCTGTCATTCCAGCTACTTGGGAGGCTGAGGCAGGAGAATCGCTTGAACCCGGGAGGCGGAGCTTGCACTCCAGCTTGGGCAACAAGAGCGAAACTCTGTCTCAAAAGAAAAAAAAAACGGAAAAGAGAGAGGGGAGAAAGGGACGAGAGGAAGGGAGACAGGAAATAAAGAGGAAAAGGAAAAGAGAGGGAAGGAGGGAAAGGCAGAAAAGGGAGGAAGGGAAGGAAAGAGGAAAAGGGAAGGAGAGACGGAAAGAGGGAGAAAAAAGAGGGAGGGAGCAAAGAAAAAACAGAGGAAGGGCGGAGGGAGAAAAGCAGAAAAAGGAAGGAAAAAAATGAAAAAGAGGGAAGAAACGTAGCAAGAAAGGAAGGAGAAAGGGAGAGAGAAATGAAAGAAAAAGGGAGGGAGGGAAACGAAGGCAGAGACGGAAAGACGGAGAAAAAGGAGGGAGGCGGGAAAGCAGCAAAAAGCAAAGGCAAGCAGGGAAGGAAGAGACGGGGAGAAAAGGGCGGGCGGGAGAGAGCCGGGAAGGGAGAGGAGGCGGGAGGAGGGAGGAGGGAGGCGGGAGGGAGGGAGGAGGGAGGCGGGAGGGAGGGAGGGAGGGAGGGAGGAAGGGCGGAGTGGGAGGTCGCGAAGGAGGACCCCGGCCGCAGCCCCCGCCGGGCAGACACGGGCACAGACACGGGGAAATAGGGGAGCCCGGGCGGGTGGGCGCGGCCCACGGAACCCCCAGCCCCGGCGCGGAGGGCACCGCGGGGTCAAAGAACGGAGGCCCAGAGAGATCCCCCCCCCACCAACCTAGGCCGGGCGCGGAGGGCGGCGCGGAGTCACGGATCGGCAGCGGGACTGAGCCGCGCCCACGTGGAAGCCGCCGCAGGCTTCGCGCGGGGCCCCCCGGGTGCACGCGGGCAGGGGCCGGGGTCTCCCGACGCACGACCCCGGAGAGTGTTGAAAGGGTCGGAGCTGCCCGGAGGTCAAGGGTCAAGGGTCGGGGGTCGGGGCACCACATGTCGCACATCCCGGCGGGGTCGCCGCGGCCTCCGGGAGAAAGCGGACGACGCACTCGGAGCGAACTGGGCATCAGGGTGGGCTTCTGACTCCGCAGCTGCCCTCCCGCCCGCTCGGGTACTGGCAGCGGCCTGACCTTCACAAGGTCAAGGCTGCCGCGGAACCCCCAGCGGCCCCTACGGCGCATGGGCGGGGCCTGGCTCCCGGCATACCTAGGGGTGCGGGGCGGGACGTCTCCGGGGAGCGCAGCCAATGGGCGCGGTTCGCTGGAGTGCGGGGCGGGACGCAGCGGGATTCCCGGCAGCCCTCAGAGGCGAGGCACGCAGGCTGGTGTGGGGCGGGGCCTGGCGGCGCAGCCAATGAGCGCGGCGCGAGGAGGCGCGGGGGCGGAGAGTGGGCGTGGCGTCGGCGTCTTAGCGGCTGCGCGGTGGCTGCTCCGTCCTTTCGGTCCAGGCGGCGGCAGGGCTGAGCCAGCGACGCCCTCCATTCACTCTCCGCGCCCGTTCTCCGGCTGTCCTCCCGTTCCGCTGCCCGCCCTGCCACCATGACGGAACAGGCCATCTCCTTCGCCAAAGACTTCTTGGCCGGAGGCATCGCCGCCGCCATCTCCAAGACGGCCGTGGCTCCGATCGAGCGGGTCAAGCTGCTGCTGCAGGTGGGGACGCGGGCGCGGCCGCTCCGGGGACTAGGGGACGGGAACCGAGTGGCCGGGTCGGGCGGGGACGTGGGCAGCAGAGCCTTGCAGGCGGGCGCCGGAAGTGGAAGGCCGCGATCGCTTTGTCCACGCGCCGCCGGCTTCCGGGGGCCGCGTCACGTGACCGCTGCTGCAGGGCGTGGCGACGTCCACGCGTGCGCACTGGGCCCGGCGGGCGGGGGGAAATGCGGCACGGATTGGAGGGCGCATGCGCGCTGAGCAGGGCCCATGGACGGACCCTGCGGCTGGCGGGCCTTGACCTTGAGCTCAATCCTGCGGGTCCCCCGGCTGGGACCAACCCTTCCGGTGGATGCCTGGCAGGTGTCTGCTCTTGCTCCCTCCACCGTGAAGGGTAATTCTAAGGCCAATAGGGCAACGAGCCTGCCCGCAGGTGTCCTGGAATAACCAGGATATGGTTATTGGTGGTTCTTACCCCCTTCTTAGCTCATTTGTGCAATTCTGATCCAGAGCAATGCATTTTTTGTCTTTTGGGAGAGGCTTATAGAAAGTAGCATGATGCCTAGGAACATTGCCGCCAGGACGTCCTTGCTAACGTTGTACTCCGAGTGACAGCTCGGTGATGGGAATGAATAGGCTTGGCTGCAAGGACAGGTCACGCCCGCGATCCCAGCGCTTTTGAGAGGCCCGGGGAGTATTGCTTGAGGCCAGGAGTTTGAGAGCAGCCGGGGCCACACAGCAAGACCTCACCTCAAAAAAAATTATTTTAACTTAACGAAGCAGGACGTCCCAGTGCATTGAGAGGCCCGGAGAGGATCGCGTGAGCTCAGGAGTTTGAGACCAGCCTGGGCAACAGAGCAAGACCGCATCTCTAAGATAATTTTTTAAACCTAGTACAGGGTGGCGTGTCCCGGGAGTTTGAGACCAGCCAGGACAACATAGCAAGACCCCATCTCTAAGAAAATTTTTAAAACTTAGCAGGCGGGGTGTCCCCGCACTTTGAGAGGCCCAGGGAGGATCGCCTGAGCTCAGGAGTTTGAGACCAGCCAGGGCAACATAGCAAGACCCCGTCTCTAAGAAAAAGTTTTAAACTTAGCAGGGCGGGGTGTCCCAGCACTCGGAGAGGCCCAGGGAGGATCGTTTGAGCCCAGGAGTTTGAGACCAGCCAGGGCAACGTAGCAAGACCCCGTCTCTAAGAAAATTTTTTAAACTTAGCAGGGCGGGGTGTCCCAGCACTTGGAGAGGCCCAGGGAGGATCGTTTGAGACCAGCCAGAGTAACATAGCAAGACCCCACATCTTAAAAAAACCTTTTTTTTTTTTTTTGAGATGGAGTCTCTCCCTGTCGCCCAGGCTGGAGTGCAGTGGCACGATCTCGGCTCACTGTAGCCTCCGCCTCCTGGGTTCACGCCATTCTGCCTCAGCCTCCCTAGCAGGCACCTGCCACCACACCTTGCTAATGTTCTGTATTTTTAGTAGAGACAGGGTTTCACCGTGTTAGGATGCTCTTGATCTCCTGACGTCGTGATCCACCCACCTCAGCCTCCCAAAGTGCTGAGATTACAGGCATGAGCCACTGTGCCCGGCTTAAAAAATTTTTTTAAACTTAGCAGGGCGGGATGTCCCAGCGCTTCAAGAGGCCCAGGGAGGATCACCTGAGCTCAGGAGTTTGAGAGCAGCTTGGTCATCGTAGCAAGACTCCATCTCTAAAAGTAATTTTTCAACTTAGTGGAGCTTGATGGTTGTGCATCTGTAGACCCGGGTACTCGGGAGACTGAGGCGGGAGGATGGCTTAATCCAGGAGTTGGAGGCTGCAGTGAGGTGAGATCGCACCACTACACTCAAACCCGGGTAACAGCATGAGACCTTGTCTTTTTAAAAAAAGAAAGAGCCGGGTGCGGTGGCTCACGAGGTCAGCAGATCGAGACCATCCTGACTAACATGGTGGAACGCTCGTCTCTACTAAATAAGCAAAAAAATTAGCCGGGCGTGGTGGTGGGCGCCTATAGTCCCAGCTACTCGGGAGGCTGAGACAGGAGAATCACTTGATCACCCCATTGCACTCCAGCTTGGGCAACAAGAGTGACTTGTGTCAAAAAAAGGATGCACCCTGTAGCTGGGATGTTTCTGGGTGGTTGGCCCTGGGTCTGGTCTGAACACCCTCTGCGTCCCCCAGGTCCAGCACGCCAGCAAGCAGATCGCCGCCGACAAGCAGTACAAGGGCATCGTGGACTGCATTGTCCGCATCCCCAAGGAGCAGGGCGTGCTGTCCTTCTGGAGGGGCAACCTTGCCAACGTCATTCGCTACTTCCCCACTCAAGCCCTCAACTTCGCCTTCAAGGATAAGTACAAGCAGATCTTCCTGGGGGGCGTGGACAAGCACACGCAGTTCTGGAGGTACTTTGCGGGCAACCTGGCCTCCGGCGGTGCGGCCGGCGCGACCTCCCTCTGCTTCGTGTACCCGCTGGATTTCGCCAGAACCCGCCTGGCAGCGGACGTGGGAAAGTCAGGCACAGAGCGCGAGTTCCGAGGCCTGGGAGACTGCCTGGTGAAGATCACCAAGTCCGACGGCATCCGGGGCCTGTACCAGGGCTTCAGTGTCTCCGTGCAGGGCATCATCATCTACCGGGCGGCCTACTTCGGCGTGTACGATACGGCCAAGGGTACGTGTGGCTGCCATCGCGAAGTCCCAGAGACGGGCTCAACACACAGACGTTCCCCCAGGGTCCTGTGGGCTGAAGGTCTGAGATAAGGTGTGGGCAGGGCTGGTTCCTCCTGCGGCCTCTCTCCTGGACTTGGAGACGCCGTCTTCTCCCTGTGCCCTCACAGCATCATCCCTCTGTGTGTGTCTGTGTCCTCATCCTCTCTTCTTATGGGATGTCTTAATCCATTTCAGGCTGCTATCACAGAATACCATAGACTGGGTGACTATAAACAACAGACATTGATTTTCCTACAGTCCTGGAGGCTGGAGGTCTGAGATCCAGGTGTGGGCAGGGCTGGTTCCTCCTGCGGCCTCTCTCCTAGGCTTGTAGATGCCGTCTTCTCCCTGTGCCCTCACGGGGTCGTCCCTCTGTGTGTGTCTGTGTCCTCATCTCCTCTTGTTATGAGATGTCTTAATCCATTTCAGGCTGCTATCACAGAATACCATAGACTGGGTGGATTGTAAACAGCAGACATTGATTCTCCCACAGTCCTGCAGGCTGAAGGTCTGAGACCAAGGCATGGGCAGGGCTGGTTCCTCCTGAGGCCTCTCTCCTGGGCTTGGAGATGCTGTCTTCTCAGGCTTTTTCCTGTGTGTGTGTCTGTGTCCTCATCTCTTGTTATGAGATGTCTTAGTCCATTTCAGGCTGCCATCCCAGAACACCATAGACTGGGTGACTTAGAAACAACAGACATTGATTCTCCCACAGTCCTGGAGGCTGGAAGTCTGAGATCCAGGTGTGGGCAGGGCTGGTTCCTCCTGAGGCCTCTCTCCTGGGCTTGGAGACTCCGTCTTCCCTGTGTCCTCACAGGGTCGTCCCTCTGTGTGTGTCTGTGTCCTCGTGTCCTCTTCTGATGAGATGTCTTAGTCCATTTGAGGCTGCTATCACAGAATACCATAGAGTGGGTGGACTGTAAACAACAGACATTGATTCTTCCATAATCCTGGAGTCTGGAAGTCTGAGATCAAGGTGTGGGGCAGGGCTGGTTCCTCCTGAGGCCTCTCTCCTGGGCTTGTAGACGCCGTCTTCTCCCTGTGTCCTCACAGGGTCATCCCTCTGTGTGTGTCTGTGTCCTTATCTGCTCTTCTTATGAGGTGTCTTAGTCCATTTCAGGCTCCTAAAACAATACTATAGACTGGGTGGCTTATAAACAGCAGACATTGATTCTCCCGGAGTCCTGGAGGCTGGAAGTCTGACATCAAGGAGTGGGCAGGGCTGGTTCCTTCTGAGGCCTCTCTTTTTGGCTTGTAGACACCGTCTTCTCCCTGTGTCCTCACAGGGTCATCCCTCCGTGTGTCTGTGTCCTCATCTCTTTTTAGAAGGACACTGGGGTCGTAGGATCAGGGCCCACCCTACTGGCCTCCTTTAGTCTTACCTCTTTCAAGACCTTATATCCAAGTACAGTTGCATCCTGAGGTCCTGGGGTGGGGGTGGGACTTCAGCATGTGGATTTTGAGGACAGAGTGTAACTCCCATAGTAACGGTGACCCTTCAGAAGGTCAGGGCCCTATTCCCTTCCCCAAACAGGCCTAACCCCGGCCTCTGGGACTGTCTTGCTGGGCTCCGGTAGGTGGCAGGCGGCCTTTTCCCCTCTGGCCCTGCCCCGACCTCTCGTGTTGTAAACGTCAGCTGGCACTGAGCAGCCACGTGGAGGGGGCACTGGTGGTCTCGGAAGAGCTCGGCACCACCTCAGGGGGCCGTGAGCACACCCTGGGGGCCGACCCTGGTCTCGGGTGGCCGTGCAGGCGCTGGAGACGGTGACGTGCCGTTCCCGCGCAGGCATGCTCCCCGACCCCAAGAACACGCACATCGTGGTGAGCTGGATGATCGCGCAGACCGTGACGGCCGTGGCCGGCGTGGTGTCCTACCCCTTCGACACGGTGCGGCGGCGCATGATGATGCAGTCCGGGCGCAAAGGAGGTACTCGGGGGGGCGGGGGACCCTTGCTGCCGGGAAGGGGAACCAAGCTCCTTGCCCTAGGCCCGTGGGAGGTCAGGAACCATCAAAGGAGGCACTTCCAGGGCGTGTGAGACAAGCAAGTGTGTCCGAAAGTAACCTGGCTGTGTGGAAGGATTTTCCTGAACGATGGGCTTCTGATCTTTTTGGGGTTTCATGGTCCGGGCGGCAGTTTCTAAATCCCCGCCTCCTAGAACCTCTGGTTGCACCCACACCCTCGATCCTGCCTTCTCTGCATGGACCCCGGGGTGGAGATGGGGGACACCCAGGGCGGGGCCTGAAGTCCTGTGTCCAGCCCTCCCTGAGACAGTGGCTTAGGAGGAGGGCTTGAGCTGGGGGAGCCTCAGGTATCCCTCCTGTAATCAGAACTGTGGCTCAGGCGTCTGGGGTGTTATTTCTGTGAAACGTCTTTGTGGGTGCAGGTGGCGTCCGTGTCTTGAAGAGCTTGGCGGCGAGGCCCTCACTGTCTCCCTGTCGTTGCAGCTGACATCATGTACACGGGCACCGTCGACTGTTGGAGGAAGATCTTCAGAGATGAGGGGGGCAAGGCCTTCTTCAAGGGTGCGTGGTCCAACGTCCTGCGGGGCATGGGGGGCGCCTTCGTGCTGGTCCTGTACGACGAGCTCAAGAAGGTGATCTAAGGGCCGCGGCCTCCTCCACACACACACACACACCAGGGGAACCAAGAGAACCACGTAGAATCCTCAACCGTGCGGACCATCAACCTTCGAGAAATTCCAGTTGTCTTTTTCCCAGCCGCATCCTGCCTGTAGATGGCCGGGGAAGGCTCTAGAAAAGGGGCGCATTGCGATCCAACCATCGGCAGCCGATTCCGTGTCTTGATCACGGGGTGGGAGGGAACCGTGGCGTCCCTGCGTGGGGCCCATGGGTGAGACACTCCAGTACTGAGACCTAGAGTCCAGATGCTTGTAGGAGCCAAGTCGTGTTCTAAGTATTTATTTAAAACAAAAGAATCACGTTTTCCCATTTGTACTTCAGCGCTAGCCCCTGTTTTGCACAGCCGAGTACTGGCGAGTATGTTCTATGTTGGGCCTCCTGCTGCAAAACAATAAACAGAGGACGCAGAGGTCCTCCTGCCTGGCCACGCACCTCTCCACAGGGCGGCCTGGGGTCTGGAGATGGGCGCTGGGCCCACGGGACGCAGATGGGGCCACGCTCTGCCCGTGGCTGGCCCACGTTCCTGGTCTGCAGTGCTGCCTCCTCCCCAGCACCCCTGGGGCACAGAGGGCAGGGTCACAGCTGGGAAGAGGCGGGGGGTAGAAACCAAGGCTGGCAGAAGTGTAGCCGGGCTCCCTGATAAATGCTGGAGGACCCCAGGGCACCTGCACTTACTGTACCCTCTCTGAGAGCATTTGTATGATCTCATGTCTCAGCTCTGGAGGCTGGAGGTCCCAGAAAACCAAGGTATGGTAGATTCAGTCTCTGGTGAGTACCCAGTTCCTGGCTTCTAGATGGCGCCTTCTCCCTGTGTGTCCTCAGATGATGGATGAGGCCAGGGTGCTCTCTGGAGTCCTTTCTGTAAGGGCACTGATCCCATCCATGAGGCCTCATGACTCCCAAAGACCCCCACTTCCCAACGCCATCACTTGGGAGAGGGGCGTTTTCAGCGTGAATCTTGGGGAAACTGAAACAGGCGTGACACCCTGCGTTCCTCTCCACCTCCTGTAGCTCCCGAGGGCCACTCCAGCCCCCATTCCAGCATGAACAGTGGAGTCGGTCGGGGTCCCCAGAGTGGCAGCTGTGTGTCCGCGGGTTCACCCGTGAGAATCCACCACAAGGGGTACCCACCGCGAGGCACGACAGCTTCCTTCAAGCTCTTTCTGCTCAAACATTCATTGCGGGGCAAGAAAAGCCGTGTTGAATCTCTACCGGGCCGAACCTTGGGCCTTGGTGTCAGCGCACGGCAGGGCCACAGAGACTACAGCCCTGGGGTTCCAGAGCCGGCTCTCCCGTGCTCTCCAGAAATCCCAGCCATAGTAAAAAGAATCTGTTTTTTGAGATGGAGTCTCGCTCTCGCCCAGGCTGGAGTACAGTGGTGCAACCTCTGCCTCCCAGGTTCAAGCAATTCTCCTGCCTCAGCCTCCCAAGTAGCTGGGGCTACAGGCATGCGCCACCACACCCGGCTGATTTTAGTATTTTTAGTGGAGATGGGGTTTCACCATGTTTACCTACCTGGCTGCTCTCGAGCTCCTGGACTCAAATGATCCGCCCACCTAAGCCTCCGAACATGGTGGGACGACAGGTATGAGCCACCGCTCCTGGCCCGAAAGGCAGACTCTACATCTCTGCACTTGGCCAGGTAGAAACCCTCATTTGTGTCCCGATGATATCAGAGATCAGGAAAGCTCCGTGAGCCCTCGTCTTGGTCACGTGACTCGGCCCAGAGGCAAGTGGCAAAGCAGGACCTTCCACCATCAGCCCTGTGGGTCCTGCACACCCTCCACAAAACAGCCTCGACCCACGGGGACCTGGGCTCCGAGTTCCTGCCTGGAGCTGTGGTCACTGCTTCATTCACTCTTGGATGTATTTTCACTCCTGATACTTAATAGTTTTTTATTTTTATTTTTTTATTTTTTTTGAGACGGAGTCTTGCTCTGTCCCCCACGCTGGAGTGCAGTGGCGCAATCTCAGCTCACTGCCACCTCCGCCTCCTGGGTTCAAGCGATTCTCCTGCCTCAGCCTCCCAAGTAGCTGGGATTACAGGCAGCCGCCACCATGCCCGGCTAATTTTTGTATTTTTAGTAGAGACGGGGTTTCACTGTGTTGGTCAGGCTGGTCTCGAACTCCTCACCTCAGGTGATCCACCCTCAGCCTCCCAAAGTGCTGGGATTACAGGTGTGAGCCACCGCGCCCGGCACTTAATAGATTTTAACCTAGTAATTGGGGCATGGTTTCCTCCGCGGATCAAGTGAAATCCTACATGGTACACTGGACTTTGGGGAATTCGGTAGTGGCGGGGAGGTTCTCCAAAGTTACAATTCAAAGACCAACAAGTTTACTCCTTGATTTTTTTTTTTCTTTGAGATGGAGTCTCTTGTCACCCAGGCAGGACTGCAATGGTGTGGTAACGGCTCAACTCTACTTCCATCTCCGAGGTTCAAGCCATTCTGCCTCAGCTTCCCACGTAGCTGGGATTACAGGTGCCCGCCACCATGCCCGGCTAATTTTGTTTTTTTGTTTTTGAGACAGAGTCTCACTCTGTCACCCAGGCTGGAGTGCTGTGGCGCAATCTCAGCTCACTGCAAGCTCCACCTCCCGGGTTCACGCCATTCTCTGCCTCAGCCTCCTGAGTAGCTGGGACTACAGGCGCCTGCCACCACAGCCCGGTAATTTTTTTTGTGTATTTAGTAGAGACAAGGGTTTCACCGTGTCAGCCAGGCTGGTCTCAATCTCCTGACCTCGTGATCCGCCCGCCTCGGCCTCCCAAAGTGCTGGGATGACAGGCATGAGTCACTGTGCCTGGCCAGTCCTGCACAATCTTGAAATGCTGAGGCTCTCAGCAAGCTGAGTGTTGGAGATAACTTCATAGACAGTAATACATGGTGGCATAGCTGTTTTTAAGAGAATCCTGCCTTGTGGGTACTATCAAAATCACAGTTCCAGTTGGGCTCAGTGGTTTACCTCTGTAATCCCAGCACTTTGGGATGGTGAGGCAGGTGAATCACCTGAGGTCGGGAGTTCAGGACCAGCCTGACCAACATGGAGAAGCCCTGTCTCTACTAAAAATAAATGTTAGCCAGGCATGATGGTGCATACCTCTAATCCCAGCTACTCGAGAGGCTGAGGCAGGAGAGTTGCTTGAACCCAGGAGGCAGAGGTTGCTGTGAGGTGAGATTGTGCCACTGCACTCCAGCCTGAGTGACAGAGCCAGACTTTGTCTCAAAAAAACAAACAGGGGTGGTGGGGGGCCAGACTCGGTGACTACAGGCCAGCCTGTAATCCCAACATTTTGGGAGGCCGAGATGGGCGGATCACATGAGGTCAAGAGTTCCAGACCAGCCTGGCCAACATGGTGAAACCCCGTCTCTACTAAAAACACAAAGCTAGCCGGGCGTGGTGGCATGTGCCTGTAGTCTCAGCTATTCGAGAGGCTGAGGCAGGAGAATCGCTTGAGCCCAGGAGGCAGAGGTTGCTGTGAGCTGAGATGGTGCCACTGCACTCCAGCCTGGGTGACAGACCGAGACTCGGTCTGAAAAAAGAAAAAAGGCCAGGTGTGGTGGCTCACGCCTGTAATCCCAGCACTTTGGGAGGCAGAGGCGGGCAGATCACAAGGTCAGGAGTTCGAGACCGGCTAATATAAAAATTAGCCAGGGGTGGTGGCAGGTGCCTGTAATCCCAGCTACTTGGGAGGCTGAGGCAGGAGAATTGCTTGAGCCCGGGAGGCAGCGGTTGCAGTGAGCTGAGATTGCATCACTGCACTCCAACCTGGGAGACAGATCCTGACTCCATCTCCAAAAAAAAAAAACCGGGGAAACAGTCTCTCTAGTAGTGTTGGAGGAATGGGGCTGAATCCAGAGACCGGGACCAGTGAGTGGGTTAAAAAAAAAAAAATCACTTTATCATGAAATAAACACACAAAGTTCTGTTCTTCTTCCTGGCAGCTTCGGACGAAATTACACAGGCATCTCCCATGCCCACCACCCGTTAGGAATGTCCATTCCTGGGCTGCGTGCGCAGGTCCAGCAGCCAGTCTGTGCAGGCGCCTGGCCCGGCCAGGGAGATTGAGGCAGACCCCCACAAGCCCTGAACCCCAGTCTCAAGTTTTCTGCACGACCTGTACTTCAGTCACCAGACACTCCTCCAGGCCGGCTTTGCCCGCCTCCCAGACCACCTGCAGAGACGAGAGGAGGCAGGGTGAGTCGGCCACCCCCCAGATAACAGAGCCCACGTCCTGATCTGCGGGGGCCTGTCCCATCTCAGATCTGCTCTGTGGGCCAGGCATGGTGTCTCACGCCTGTCATCCCAGCACTTTGGGCCAGGCGCGGTGGGTCACACCTGTAATCCCAGCACTTTGGGAGGCCGAGGCGAGCGGACCATAAGGTCAGGAGATCCAGACCATCCTGGCCAACATGGTGAAACCCCTTCTCTACTAAAAATGCAGAATTAGCTGGGTGTGTTGGTGCATGCCTGTAGTCCCAGCTACTTGGGAGGCTGAGGCAGGAGAATCGCTTGAACCTTCAACCGGGAAGGTGGAGGTTGCAGTGAGCCGAGATTGCACCATTGCACTCCAGCCGGGGCAACGAACAAAACTGCGTCTCAAAAACAAAAACAAACAAAACAAAACAAAACAAAAAACTCTGACAGAGATGTCTGCCTCCTTTTCCTCTGCCCTTCCTTTCTCTTAGGGACACAGGTATCACTAAAAACTTGTTGAAAACTAGGCTGGGCATGGTGGCTCATGCCTGTAATCCCAGCACTTTGGGAGGCCGAGGCAGGGGGATCACAAGGTCAGGAGATCGAGACCATCCTGGCCAACATGGTGAAACCCCGTCTCTACTAAAAATACAAAATTAGCTGGGCGTGTCGGTGCGTGCCTGTAGTCCCAGCTACTCGGGAGGCTGAGGCAGGACAATCGCTTGAACCTTGGACTGGGAAGGTGGAGGTTGTGGTGAGCCAAGATCGCACCATTGCACTCTAGCCTGGGCAACAAGAGCAAAACTCCATCTAAAAAAAAAAAAAAAAATCTGCTCTGCTCTGGTGTGCAGGGTGCGGAGACGGCCCGTGATCACGGTGGGCTGGGAGCCCAGTGTCCCCCCACTCCCTTCATCCTGCAGCTTTTCCCAGCCGCCCACCAGCGCCAGCAGACAGGTGTCCAGCCTCCTAGTCCAGGCCATTTCACTCTTGTCGCCCAGATGGAGTGCAGTGGCTCGATCGTAGTTCACTGCAGCCTCCACCTCCCGGGTTCAAGTGATCCTCCTCCCTCAGCCTCCCGAGTAGCTGGGATTACAGGCGCCCGCCACCACACCCGGCTAATTTTGTATTTTTAGTAGACACGGAGTTTCTCCATGTTGGCCAGGCTGGTCTCCAGTTCCTGGCCTCAAGTGGTCCGCCCGCCTGGGCCTCCCAAAGTGGCCACCACGCCTCCAGACCCGTCCCAAGGCAGAAAAAACAACATACCAGCTTGTCGTTTTGGAAGCTGTCACCGATGGGGTCTTTCATGTGAGGGATGCGGGGAAAGAGTCTCTGCATCACCAGATACCTCGGAGGAAAGAGAAATGGCCCAGCTCTGAACCCAAAACCGACCAGCTCATCATCTGGGACACAGCGTGTCCAGGACAGACAGTGCCAGGACAGAGCAAAAGACTCAAGTCATCTACTCGAGGGGTCTCTATTTTCCCGGCCCCTGAGGCCCTGACACGCCCCCGACCATCATCATAGGCAGGCGCTGGTGTCTAATTAAAGGAGTAGGGCGCTGGTACCGGAGCCACCCAGGGGTGCAGCTGCAAAGACAGACCCCTGGTGCCTCAGGTCACTGAGTTTACGACCTGAGACAGCTTGCAGGAAGGGCCTCGTCCCCCTCTTCCTCCCCCTTTTCCTCCCTCCTCCACCCCTTCCCCCCTACCCCTCCCTCTCCCCCTCCCCCTCTCCCTCCTTCCCCCTCCCCACTCATCCTCCCCTCTCCTCCTCCCCCTTCCCCCTCCCCCACCCTCCCCCTCGCCTCTCCTCCCCCTCCTCCTCCTCCCCTTCCCCCTCCTCCCCCTCTTCCCTTCCCCCTCCTCCCTTCCCCCTCCTTTCCCCCCTCCCTTCCCCCTCCTCCCTTCCCCCCTCCTCCCCCCTCTTCCCCTTCCCCCTCCCCCTCCCCTTTTCCCCCTTCCCCCGGGAGACAGAAGTCACCATGGCACCCATTTGACAGATTGTGAAGCTCTGATGCCCAGCAGGAAGGAAACAGGGCCTGGCTGGTCATGGTGGCTCAAGCCTGTAATGCCAGCACTTTGGGAGGCCCAGGCGGGCAGATCAACTGAGGTCAGGAGTTCGAGAACAGCCTGACCAACATGGAGAAACTCCATCTCTACTAAAAATACAAAATTATCTGGGCATGGTGGCACACGCCTGTCATCCCAGCACTTTGGGAGGCCCAGGCGGGCAGATCAACTGAGGTGAGGAGTTCAAGACCAGCCTGATCAACACGGAGAAACTCCGTCTCTACTGAAAATACAAAATTATCCGGGCATGGTGGCTCACGCCTGTCATCCCAGCACTTTGGGAGGCCGAGGCGGGTGGATCACATGAGGTCAGGAGTTCAAGACCAGCCTGACCAACACGGAGAAACCCCATCTCTACTAAAAATACAAAATTAGCCAGGCGTGGTGGCACATCCTTGTAATCCCAGCTACTCAGGGAGGCTGAGGCAGGAGAATCGCTTGAACCCAGGAGGCAGAGGTTGCAGTGAACCGAGATGGCGCCATTGCACTCCAGGCTGGGCAACAAAAGCAAAACTCCTTCTCTAAAAAAAAGGAGACAGGACCTGGGGTGACCCAGCTGGTGACCAAAAACCTCGAGTTGGTCTGCATGACGGATCCTGGCCCATCCAAGTGGACAGCTGTGACGTTCGCCCAGGCCCCTTCCCGACCAGAAAGCCTGGCCTTTCGCCCTCTGACTGTGTCAGGCCCGCTGGGCAGGGCAGGGGAGGACCGGCCCTGCTTCCTCCACCCTGGGGACACCCTTGGTCCCACCAGAGCCCTCAGCTTTGGCTCTACAGACCTCCTGGCAGGGGGCAGCTAGCAGAGAGGACCTGGCCCCTGGTCTTTTGTGAATAATTCTCAAGGGGCCAGGTGCGGTGGCTCACGCCTGTAATCCCAGCACTTTGGGAGGCCGAGGCTGGGGGATCACTTGAGGCCAGGAGTTCAACACCAGTGTGGCCAACATGGTGAAACCCCGTCTCCACTAAAAATACAAGAATTAGTTGGGTGCAGTGTTGCACACCTGTAATCCCAGCTACTCGGGAGGCTGAGGCAGGAGAATCACTTGAACCCGGGAGGTGGAGGCTGCGGTGAGCCGAGATCGAGCCACTGCACTCCAGCCTGGGTGACAGAGCAAGACTCAAAAAATAATAATAATCATAACAATAATAATAATATGGGCCAGGCGAGGTGGCTTACGCCTGTAATCCCAGCACTTTAGGAGGCTGAGGCAGGTGGATCACCTGAGTCCAGGAATTCAAGACCAGCCTGGCCAACATGGCAAAACCCCGTCTCTACTAAAAATACAAAAATTAGCTGGGTGTGTTGCTGGGTGCCTGTAATCCCAGCTACTTGGGAGGCTGAGGCAGGAGGATCGCCTGAACCCAGGAGGCAGAGGCTGCAGTGAGCCCAGATCGTGCCACTGCACTCCAGCCTGGGAGACAGAGCGAGACTCCATCACAAAAATAATAATGATAATTCTCAGGATGGTTCTGTGAATAACTTTCAGGGTCACACTGGAAACAAGCGACGCTCGCGGACGCCCTCGAGGGCTCACCTTCTGCAGATCACGAAGACACAGACCAGGGCCAGCAGCGTCCCCAGCGCGATCAGCAGCGACGTCCGCCAGGCACGTGTGTTTGCGCCCTCCTCCTGGTCGCACTCTAGGGGTAAAGGGTGAGAGGGTCACAGACCGGGGGCCGTCCTGGGGGGACCAGGGACTGTAAGCTCTCCCCGGGGCCCTGGGAAGCAGAGAGGTGGCTGCCATATGGGGTGGCGTCCAGGGGGGGACACCCCAGTAGTGCCACCTGCACAGAGACCGTGACCACCTGCGGGCCACCTGCAGGCCACCTGAGTACCAGGACCGGGAGCGACTTCCGGACCTCCCAGCCCCAGTCTGGAACCCTAAGGGAGCGGAAAGACCACCAGGGATCCCTGTCTGCCTGGTGCTCGGGACACGGGGAGCGCCAGGGACTTCCACTGTGCCCAGCAGGCCGGCAGGTGCTTTGGGTGTGGGCAGCATGGAGGGGCAGCAGAGGCAGCACTGGCGTGCGTGCTTTGAACTTGATTTTGTGTTTATCATGGAATTTGTGTGTGTGTGTTAATTTTTTCTTTTTCTTTTTCTTTTTTTTTTTTTTTTGAGATGGAGTCTCGTTTTGTCGCCCAGGCTGGAGTGCAGTGGCACGATCTCAGCTCACAACCTCCACCTCCCAGGTTCAAGCGATTCTCCTGCCCCTGCCTCCCGAGTAGCTGGGACTACAGGCGCCCGCCACCACGCCCGGGTAATTTTTGTATTTCTCATAGAGATGGGGTTTCACCATCTTCGTTAGGCTGGTCTTGAACTCCTGACCTCAAGTGATCCACCCGCCTCGGCCTCCCAAAGTGCTGGGATTACAGGCGTCAGCCACGCACCCGGCCTATTTTTTTTCTTTTTTCTTTTTTTTTTTTTTGAGACAGAGTCTCGCTCTGCAGTGCTGTGGTGCTATCTCAGCTCACTGCAACCTCTGCCTCCCGGATTCAAACGATTCTCCTCTCTTAGCCTCCCGAGAGGATCGCTTGAGCCCAGGAGGTCGAGGCTACAGTGAGCCGTGATCGCGCCACTGCCCTCCAGCCTGGGCAATAGAGAGAGACTCTCTCTCCAAAAAAAAAAAAAAACATACATCTATGACCTCACCCCCAGAACCTATGACGATAACCTTATTTGGAACGAGGGTGGATCTGTCTGCTGGGACTGCCATAAAAAAGTCCCACAGCTTGGTGGCTTCAGAAAAAAGGAATTTGGCCGGGCGCGGTGGCTCACGCCTGTAATCCCAGCGCTTTGGGAGGCCAAGGCGGGCGGATCACCTGAGGTCGGGAGTATGAGACCAGCCTGGCCAACATGGCCAGAAAGCCCGTCTCTAATAAAAATACAAACAGTAGCCGGGTGTGGTGGCGGGCGCCTGTCATCCCAGCTACTCAGAAGGCTGAGGCAGGAGAATGGCCTGAACCTGCGAGGTGGAGGTTGCAGTGAGCCAAGATCACGCCACTGCACTCCAGCCTGGCGACAGAGTGAGACTCCATCTCAGAAAAAGAGGAAAAAAAAGAAAAAAGAAAAAGAAAAAAGGAATTGATTCTCCCACAGTCCTGGAAGCTGCAGGTCCAAGATCAAGAGATGGGCATGGGCAGGGCTGGTTCCTCCTGAGGCCTCTCTCCTGGGCTTGGAGACCCCGTCTTCTCCGTGTCCCACAGGGTTGTCCCTTGGTGTGTGTCTGTGTCCTCATCTCCTCTTCTTATGAGATGTCTTAGTCCATCTCAGGCTGCTGTCACAGAATACCAGAGGCTGGGCGGCTTAGAAACAAAACACATTGATTCTCCCACAGCCCTGGAGGCTGGAGGTCTGAGATCCAGGTGTGGGCAGGGCTGGTTCCTCCTGAGGCCCCTCTCCTGGGCTTGGAGACGCCGTCTTCTCCCTGTGTCCCACAGGGTCGTCCCTCCGTGTGTGTCTGTGTCCTCATCTCCTTTTTATGGGATGTCTTAGTCCGTTTCAGGCTGCTGTCACAGAATACCAGAGGCTGGGCGGCTTAGAAACAAAACACATTGATTCTCCCACAGCCCTGGAGGCTGGAGGTCTGAGATCCAGGTGTGGGCAGGGCTGGTTCCTCCTGAGGCCTCTCTCCTGGGCTTGGAGACGCCGTCTTCTCCCTGTGTCCTCACAGGGTTGTTCCTCCGTGTGTGTCTGTGTCCTCATCTCCTCTTCTTATGAGGTGTCTTAGTCCATCTCAGGCTGCTGTCACAGAATACCAGAGGCTGGGCGGCTTAGAAACAAAACACATTGATTCTCCCACAGCCCTGGAGGCTGGAGGTCTGAGATCCAGGTGTGGGCAAGGCTGGTTCCTCCTGAGGCCTCTCTCCTGGGCTTGGAGACGCCGTCTTCTCCCTGTGCCCTCACAGGGTCGTCCCTCTGTGTGTGTCTGTGTCCTCATGTCCTCTTCTTATGAGATGTCTTAGTCCATCTCAGGCTGCTGTCACAGAATACCAGAGGCTGGGCGGCTTGGAAACAAAACACATTGATTCTCCCACAGCCCTGGAGGCTGGAGGTCTGAGATCCAGGTGTGGGCAGGGCTGGTTCCTCCTGAGGCCCCTCTCCTGGGCTTGGAGACCCCGTCTTCTGTGTCCCACAGGGTCGTCCCTCTGTGTGTGTCTGTGTCCTCATGTCCTCTTCTTATGAGATGTCTTAGTCCATCTCAGGCTGCTGTCACAGAATACCAGAGGCTGGGCGGCTTAGAAACAAAACACATTGATTCTCCCACAGCCCTGGAGGCTGGAGGTCTGAGATCCAGGTGTGGGCAGGGCTGGTTCCTCCTGAGGCCCCTCTCCTGGGCTTGGAGACCCCGTCTTCTCCCTGTGTCCCACAGGGTCGTCCCTCTGTGTGTGTCTGTGTCCTCATCTCCTCTTCTTATGAGATGTCTTAGTCCATCTCAGGCTGCTGTCACAGAATACCAGAGGCTGGGCGGCTTAGAAACAAAACACATTGATTCTCCCACAGCCCTGGAGGCTGGAGGTCTGAGATCCAGGTGTGGGCAGGGCTGGTTCCTCCTGAGGCCCCTCTCCTGGGCTTGGAGACCCCGTCTTCTCCCTGTGTCCCACAGGGTCGTCCCTCTGTGTGTGTCTGTGTCCTCATGTCCTCTTCTTATGAGATGTCTTAGTCCATCTCAGGCTGCTGTCACAGAATACCAGAGGCTGGGCGGCTTAGAAACAAAACACATTGATTCTCCCACAGCCCTGGAGGCTGGAGGTCTGAGATCCAGGTGTGGGCAGGGCTGGTTCCTCCTGAGGCCCCTCTCCTGGGCTTGGAGACGCCGTCTTCTCCCTGTGCCCTCACAGGGTCGTCCCTCTGTGTGTGTCTGTGTCCTCGTCTCTTCTTATGAGATGGCTTAGTCCATCTCAGGCTGCTGTCACAGAATACCAGAGGCTGGGCGGCTTAGAAACAAAACACATTGATTCTCCCACAGCCCTGGAGGCTGGAGGTCTGAGATCCAGGTGTGGGCAGGGCTGGTTCCTCCTGAGGCCCCTCTCCTGGGCTTGGAGACCCCGTCTTCTCCCTGTGTCCCACAGGGTCGTCCCTCTGTGTGTGTCTGTGTCCTCATCTCCTCTTCTTATGAGATGTCTTACTCCATCTCAGGCTGCTGTCACAGAATACCAGAGGCTGGGCGGCTTAGAAACAAAACACATTGATTCTCCCACAGCCCTGGAGGCTGGAGGTCTGAGATCCAGGTGTGGGCAGGGCTGGTTCCTCCTGAGGCCCCTCTCCTGGGCTTGGAGACGCCGTCTTCTCCCTGTGCCCTCACAGGGTCGTCCCTCTGTGTGTGTCTGTGTCCTCGTCTCTTCTTATGAGATGGCTTAGTCCATCTCAGGCTGCTGTCACAGAATACCAGAGGCTGGGCGGCTTAGAAACAAAACACATTGATTCTCCCACAGCCCTGGAGGCTGGAGGTCTGAGATCCAGGTGTGGGCAGTGCTGGTTCCTCCTGAGGCCCCTCTCCTGGGCTTGGAGACGCCGTCTTCTCCCTGTGTCCTCACAGGGTCGTCCCTCTGTGTGTGTCTGTGTCCTCGTCTCTTCTTATGAGATGGCTTAGTCCATCTCAGGCTGCTGTCACAGAATACCAGAGGCTGGGCGGCTTAGAAACAAAACACATTGATTCTCCCACAGCCCTGGAGGCTGGAGGTCTGAGATCCAGGTGTGGGCAGGGCTGGTTCCTCCTGAGGCCCCTCTCCTGGGCTTGGAGACGCCGTCTTCTCCCTGTGCCCTCACAGGGTCGTCCCTCTGTGTGTGTCTGTGTCCTCATCTCCTCTTCTTATGAGATGTCTTAGTCCATCTCAGGCTGCTGTCACAGAATACCAGAGGCTGGGCGGCTTAGAAACAAAACACATTGATTCTCCCACAGCCCTGGAGGCTGGAGGTCTGAGATCCAGGTGTGGGCAGTGCTGGTTCCTCCTGAGGCCCCTCTCCTGGGCTTGGAGACGCCGTCTTCTCCCTGTGCCCTCACAGGGTCATCCCTCTGTGTGTGTCTGTGTCCTCGTCTCTTCTTATGAGATGGCTTAGTCCATCTCAGGCTGCTGTCACAGAATACCAGAGGCTGGGCGGCTTAGAAACAAAACACATTGATTCTCCCACAGCCCTGGAGGCTGGAGGTCTGAGATCCAGGTGTGGGCAGTGCTGGTTCCTCCTGAGGCCCCTCTCCTGGGCTTGGAGACGCCGTCTTCTCCCTGTGTCCCACAGGGTCGTCCCTCCGTGTGTGTCTGTGTCCTCATCTCCTTTTTATGGGATGTCTTAGTCCGTTTCAGGCTGCTGTCACAGAATACCAGAGGCTGGGCGGCTTAGAAACAAAACACATTGATTCTCCCACAGCCCTGGAGGCTGGAGGTCTGAGATCCAGGTGTGGGCAGGGCTGGTTCCTCCTGAGGCCTCTCTCCTGGGCTTGGAGATGCCGTCTTCTCCCTGTGTCCTCACAGGGTTGTTCCTCCGTGTGTGTCTGTGTCCTCATCTCCTCTTCTTATGAGGTGTCTTAGTCCATCTCAGGCTGCTGTCACAGAATACCAGAGGCTGGGCGGCTTAGAAACAAAACACATTGATTCTCCCACAGCCCTGGAGGCTGGAGGTCTGAGATCCAGGTGTGGGCAAGGCTGGTTCCTCCTGAGGCCTCTCTCCTGGGCTTGGAGACGCCGTCTTCTCCCTGTGCCCTCACAGGGTCGTCCCTCTGTGTGTGTCTGTGTCCTCATGTCCTCTTCTTATGAGATGTCTTAGTCCATCTCAGGCTGCTGTCACAGAATACCAGAGGCTGGGCGGCTTAGAAACAAAACACATTGATTCTCCCACAGCCCTGGAGGCTGGAGGTCTGAGATCCAGGTGTGGGCAGGGCTGGTTCCTCCTGAGGCCCCTCTCCTGGGCTTGGAGACCCCGTCTTCTGTGTCCCACAGGGTCGTCCCTCTGTGTGTGTCTGTGTCCTCATGTCCTCTTCTTATGAGATGTCTTAGTCCATCTCAGGCTGCTGTCACAGAATACCAGAGGCTGGGCGGCTTAGAAACAAAACACATTGATTCTCCCACAGCCCTGGAGGCTGGAGTTCTGAGATCCAGGTGTGGGCAGGGCTGGTTCCTCCTGAGGCCCCTCTCCTGGGCTTGGAGACCCCGTCTTCTCCCTGTGTCCCACAGGGTCGTCCCTCTGTGTGTGTCTGTGTCCTCATCTCCTCTTCTTATGAGATGTCTTAGTCCATCTCAGGCTGCTGTCACAGAATACCAGAGGCTGGGCGGCTTAGAAACAAAACACATTGATTCTCCCACAGCCCTGGAGGCTGGAGGTCTGAGATCCAGGTGTGGGCAGGGCTGGTTCCTCCTGAGGCCCCTCTCCTGGGCTTGGAGACCCCGTCTTCTCCCTGTGTCCCACAGGGTCGTCCCTCTGTGTGTGTCTGTGTCCTCATGTCCTCTTCTTATGAGATGTCTTAGTCCATCTCAGGCTGCTGTCACAGAATACCAGAGGCTGGGCGGCTTAGAAACAAAACACATTGATTCTCCCACAGCCCTGGAGGCTGGAGTTCTGAGATCCAGGTGTGGGCAGGGCTGGTTCCTCCTGAGGCCCCTCTCCTGGGCTTGGAGACGCCGTCTTCTCCCTGTGCCCTCACAGGGTCGTCCCTCTGTGTGTGTCTGTGTCCTCGTCTCTTCTTATGAGATGGCTTAGTCCATCTCAGGCTGCTGTCACAGAATACCAGAGGCTGGGCGGCTTAGAAACAAAACACATTGATTCTCCCACAGCCCTGGAGGCTGGAGGTCTGAGATCCAGGTGTGGGCAGGGCTGGTTCCTCCTGAGGCCCCTCTCCTGGGCTTGGAGACGCCGTCTTCTCCCTGTGCCCTCACAGGGTCGTCCCTCTGTGTGTGTCTGTGTCCTCGTCTCTTCTTATGAGATGGCTTAGTCCATCTCAGGCTGCTGTCACAGAATACCAGAGGCTGGGCGGCTTAGAAACAAAACACATTGATTCTCCCACAGCCCTGGAGGCTGGAGGTCTGAGATCCAGGTGTGGGCAGGGCTGGTTCCTCCTGAGGCCCCTCTCCTGGGCTTGGAGACGCCGTCTTCTCCCTGTGTCCTCACAGGGTCGTCCCTCTGTGTGTGTCTGTGTCCTCATCTCCTCTTCTTATGAGATGTCTTAGTCCATCTCAGGCTGCTGTCACAGAATACCAGAGGCTGGGCGGCTTAGAAACAAAACACATTGATTCTCCCACAGCCCTGGAGGCTGGAGTTCTGAGATCCAGGTGTGGGCAGGGCTGGTTCCTCCTGAGGCCCCTCTCCTGGGCTTGGAGACCCCGTCTTCTCCCTGTGTCCCACAGGGTCGTCCCTCTGTGTGTGTCTGTGTCCTCATCTCCTCTTCTTATGAGATGTCTTAGTCCATCTCAGGCTGCTGTCACAGAATACCAGAGGCTGGGCGGCTTAGAAACAAAACACATTGATTCTCCCACAGCCCTGGAGGCTGGAGGTCTGAGATCCAGGTGTGGGCAGGGCTGGTTCCTCCTGAGGCCCCTCTCCTGGGCTTGGAGACCCCGTCTTCTCCCTGTGTCCCACAGGGTCGTCCCTCTGTGTGTGTCTGTGTCCTCATGTCCTCTTCTTATGAGATGTCTTAGTCCATCTCAGGCTGCTGTCACAGAATACCAGAGGCTGGGCGGCTTAGAAACAAAACACATTGATTCTCCCACAGCCCTGGAGGCTGGAGTTCTGAGATCCAGGTGTGGGCAGGGCTGGTTCCTCCTGAGGCCCCTCTCCTGGGCTTGGAGACGCCGTCTTCTCCCTGTGCCCTCACAGGGTCGTCCCTCTGTGTGTGTCTGTGTCCTCGTCTCTTCTTATGAGATGGCTTAGTCCATCTCAGGCTGCTGTCACAGAATACCAGAGGCTGGGCGGCTTAGAAACAAAACACATTGATTCTCCCACAGCCCTGGAGGCTGGAGGTCTGAGATCCAGGTGTGGGCAGGGCTGGTTCCTCCTGAGGCCCCTCTCCTGGGCTTGGAGACGCCGTCTTCTCCCTGTGCCCTCACAGGGTCGTCCCTCTGTGTGTGTCTGTGTCCTCGTCTCTTCTTATGAGATGGCTTAGTCCATCTCAGGCTGCTGTCACAGAATACCAGAGGCTGGGCGGCTTAGAAACAAAACACATTGATTCTCCCACAGCCCTGGAGGCTGGAGGTCTGAGATCCAGGTGTGGGCAGGGCTGGTTCCTCCTGAGGCCCCTCTCCTGGGCTTGGAGACGCCGTCTTCTCCCTGTGTCCTCACAGGGTCGTCCCTCTGTGTGTGTCTGTGTCCTCATCTCCTCTTCTTATGAGATGTCTTAGTCCATCTCAGGCTGCTGTCACAGAATACCAGAGGCTGGGCGGCTTAGAAACAAAACACATTGATTCTCCCACAGCCCTGGAGGCTGGAGGTCTGAGATCCAGGTGTGGGCAGTGCTGGTTCCTCCTGAGGCCCCTCTCCTGGGCTTGGAGATGCCGTCTTCTCCCTGTGTCCTCACAGGGTCGTCCCTCTCTGTGTGTCTGTGTCCTCGTCTCTTCTTATGAGATGGCTTAGTCCATCTCAGGCTGCTGTCACAGAATACCAGAGGCTGGGCGGCTTAGAAACAAAACACATTGATTCTCCCACAGCCCTGGAGGCTGGAGGTCTGAGATCCAGGTGTGGGCAGGGCTGGTTCCTCCTGAGGCCCCTCTCCTGGGCTTGGAGACCCCGTCTTCTCCCTGTGTCCCACAGGGTCGTCCCTCTGTGTGTGTCTGTGTCCTCATCTCCTCTTCTTATGAGATGTCTTACTCCATCTCAGGCTGCTGTCACAGAATACCAGAGGCTGGGCGGCTTAGAAACAAAACACATTGATTCTCCCACAGCCCTGGAGGCTGGAGGTCTGAGATCCAGGTGTGGGCAGGGCTGGTTCCTCCTGAGGCCCCTCTCCTGGGCTTGGAGACGCCGTCTTCTCCCTGTGCCCTCACAGGGTCGTCCCTCTGTGTGTGTCTGTGTCCTCGTCTCTTCTTATGAGATGGCTTAGTCCATCTCAGGCTGCTGTCACAGAATACCAGAGGCTGGGCGGCTTAGAAACAAAACACTGATTCTCCCACAGCCCTGGAGGCTGGAGGTCTGAGATCCAGGTGTGGGCAGTGCTGGTTCCTCCTGAGGCCCCTCTCCTGGGCTTGGAGACGCCGTCTTCTCCCTGTGTCCTCACAGGGTCGTCCCTCTGTGTGTGTCTGTGTCCTCGTCTCTTCTTATGAGATGGCTTAGTCCATCTCAGGCTGCTGTCACAGAATACCAGAGGCTGGGCGGCTTAGAAACAAAACACATTGATTCTCCCACAGCCCTGGAGGCTGGAGGTCTGAGATCCAGGTGTGGGCAGGGCTGGTTCCTCCTGAGGCCCCTCTCCTGGGCTTGGAGACGCCGTCTTCTCCCTGTGCCCTCACAGGGTCATCCCTCTGTGTGTGTCTGTGTCCTCATCTCCTCTTCTTATGAGATGTCTTAGTCCATCTCAGGCTGCTGTCACAGAATACCAGAGGCTGGGCGGCTTAGAAACAAAACACATTGATTCTCCCACAGCCCTGGAGGCTGGAGGTCTGAGATCCAGGTGTGGGCAGTGCTGGTTCCTCCTGAGGCCCCTCTCCTGGGCTTGGAGACGCCGTCTTCTCCCTGTGCCCTCACAGGGTCATCCCTCTGTGTGTGTCTGTGTCCTCGTCTCTTCTTATGAGATGGCTTAGTCCATCTCAGGCTGCTGTCACAGAATACCAGAGGCTGGGCGGCTTAGAAACAAAACACATTGATTCTCCCACAGCCCTGGAGGCTGGAGGTCTGAGATCCAGGTGTGGGCAGTGCTGGTTCCTCCTGAGGCCCCTCTCCTGGGCTTGGAGACGCCGTCTTCTCCCTGTGCCCTCACAGGGTCGTCCCTCTGTGTGTGTCTGTGTCCTCATCTCCTCTTCTTATGAGATGTCTTAGTCCATCTCAGGCTGCTGTCACAGAATACCAGAGGCTGGGCGGCTTAGAAACAAAACACATTGATTCTCCCACAGCCCTGGAGGCTGGAGGTCTGAGATCCAGGTGTGGGCAGGGCTGGTTCCTCCTGAGGCCCCTCTCCTGGGCTTGGAGACGCCGTCTTCTCCCTGTGCCCTCACAGGGTCGTCCCTCTGTGTGTGTCTGTGTCCTCATCTCCTCTTCTTATGAGATGTCTTAGTCCATCTCAGGCTGCTGTCACAGAATACCAGAGGCTGGGCGGCTTAGAAACAAAACACATTGATTCTCCCACAGCCCTGGAGGCTGGAGGTCTGAGATCCAGGTGTGGGCAGTGCTGGTTCCTCCTGAGGCCCCTCTCCTGGGCTTGGAGACGCCGTCTTCTCCCTGTGCCCTCACAGGGTCGTCCCTCTGTGTGTGTCTGTGTCCTCGTCTCTTCTTATGAGATGGCTTAGTCCATCTCAGGCTGCTGTCACAGAATACCAGAGGCTGGGCGGCTTAGAAACAAAACACATTGATTCTCCCACAGCCCTGGAGGCTGGAGGTCTGAGATCCAGGTGTGGGCAGTGCTGGTTCCTCCTGAGGCCCCTCTCCTGGGCTTGGAGACGCCGTCTTCTCCCTGTGTCCCACAGGGTCGTCCCTCTGTGTGTGTCTGTGTCCTCATCTCCTCTTCTTATAAGGACCCCAGTCCTGTTAGATTAGGGCCCACCCTAATGACCTCATTTTACCTTAATCGCCTCTTTAAACACCCCAACTCCAAACACAGTCACATTCTGAGGTCCTGGGGGATCAAAGCTTCAACACACGAATTTTGAGGGAACACAATTCAAGCGATTCTCCTGCCTCAGCCTCCCTGGTAGCTGAGGTTACAGGCTTAAGCCACAGCACCTGACCTAATTTTTCTATTTTTAGTAGAGACAGGGTTTTTCCATGTTGGTCAGGCTGGTCTCGAACTCCTGACCTCAGGTGATCTACCCACCTCAGCCTCCCAAAGTGCTGGGATGGCAGGCATGAGTCACCGTGCCCGGCCAGAAGTTCTACTCTGAGGCGATCCTTTTGTTTTGTTGTTGAGATGGAGTCTCGCTCTTGTCGCCCAGGCTGGATGGAGCACAGTGGCGCGATCTCGGCTCACTGCAACCTCCGCCTCCCGGGTTCACGCCATTCTCCTGCCTCAGCCTCCCGAGTAGCTGGGACTACAGGCGCCCATCACCACGCCTGGCTAATTTGTTACATTTTTTGTAGAGACCGGGTTTCACCGTGTTAGCCGGGATGGTCTCGATCTCCTGACCTTGTGATCCGCCCGCCTCGGTCTTTATTACAAGGCCCAGGGGGTGTCTGTCAGTGGGACGACCTTGTTTCCCCTCCACGTCTCCTCTCGTGAGTAAGAGCAAGCTGTGAGTTCACCGTCGGGTTCAGGGTCCTTTTTGGGGTCACAGAAACTGGGGGAGTGAATCTCCTCTCCTTTGCAGGAGAGGAGTGTTTCCGTGACCCAGGATGGCGCACCCCGCTCACCCCGCGCACCCCGCTCACCCGGCGCACCCCGCTCAGCCCGCGCACCCCGCTCACCCGGCGCACCCCGCTCACCCCGCGCACCCCGCTCACCCGGCGCACCCCGCTCACCCCGCGCACCCGGCTCACCCCGCGCACCCCGCTCACCCCGCGCACCCGGCTCACCCCGCGCACCCGGCTCACCCGGCGCACCCCGCTCACCCCGCGCACCCCGCTCACCCCGCGCACCCGGCTCACCCCGCTCACCCCGCGCACCCGGCGCACCCCGCGCACCCGGCTCACGCCGCGCACCCCGCGCACCCCGCGCACCCGGCTCACCCCGCGCACCCGGCTCACCCCGCGCACCCCGCTCACCCCGCGCACCCCGCTCACCCCGCGCACCCGGCTCACCCCGCGCACCCCGCGCACCCGGCTCACCCCGCGCACCCCGCTCACCCCGCGCACCCGGCTCACCCCGCGCACCCCGCTCACCCGGCTCACCCCGCTCACCCCGCGCACCCGGCTCACCCCGCGCACCCCGCGCACCCCGCGCACCCCGCTCACCCCGCGCACCCGGCTCACCCCGCGCACCCGGCGCACCCCGCGCACCCCGCGCACCCGGCTCACCCCGCTCACCCCGCTCACCCGGCGCACCCCGCTCACCCCGCGCACCCGGCTCACCCCGCGCACCCCGCTCACCCCGCGCACCCGGCTCACCCCGCGCACCCCGCTCACCCCGCGCACCCGGCTCACCCCGCTCACCCCGCGCACCCGGCTCACCCCGCTCACCCCGCGCACCCGGCTCACCCCGCGCACCCCGCGCACCCCGCGCACCCCGCTCACCCCGCGCACCCGGCTCACCCCGCGCACCCGGCGCACCCCGCGCACCCCGCGCACCCCGCGCACCCGGCTCACCCCGCGCACCCCGCTCACCCCGCGCACCCGGCTCACCCCGCGCACCCCGCTCACCCCGCGCACCCCGCTCACCCCGCGCACCCGGCTCACGCCGCGCACCCCGCGCACCCCGCTCACCCCGCGCACCCCGCGCACCCCGCGCACCCCGCTCACCCCGCGCACCCCGCGCACCCGGCTCACGCCGCGCACCCCGCGCACCCCGCTCACTCCGCGCACCCCGCTCACCCCGCGCACCCGGCTCACCCCGCGCACCCCGCTCACCCGGGGCACCCGGCTCACCCCGCTCACCCCGCGCACCCGGCTCACCCCGCGCACCCCGCTCACCCCGCGCACCGCGCACCCCGCTCACCCCGCTCACCCGGCTCACCCCGCGCACCCGGCTCACCCCGCGCACCCGGCTCACCGGGCTCACCCCGCGCACCCCGCTCACCCGGGGCACCCGGCTCACCCCGCTCACCCCGCTCACCCCGCGCACCCGGCTCACCCCGCGCACCCCGCTCACCCCGCGCACCCCGCTCACCCCGCGCACCCCGCTCACCCCGCGCACCCGGCTCACCCCGCGCACCCCGCTCACCCCGCGCACCCGGCTCACCCCGCGCACCCGGCTCACCCGGCTCACCCCGCGCACCCCGCTCACCCCGCGCACCCGGCTCACCCGGCTCACCCCGCGCACCCGGCTCACCCCGCGCACCCCGCTCACCCCGCGCACCCCGCTCACCCCGCGCACCCGGCTCACGCCGCGCACCCCGCGCACCCCGCTCACCCCGCGCACCCCGCGCACCCCGCGCACCCCGCTCACCCCGCGCACCCCGCGCACCCGGCTCACGCCGCGCACCCCGCGCACCCCGCTCACCCCGCGCACCCCGCTCACCCCGCGCACCCGGCTCACCCCGCGCACCCCGCTCACCCGGGGCACCCGGCTCACCCCGCTCACCCCGCGCACCCGGCTCACCCCGCGCACCCCGCTCACCCCGCGCACCGCGCACCCCGCACCCCGCTCACCCCGCTCACCCGGCTCACCCCGCGCACCCGGCTCACCCCGCGCACCCGGCTCACCCCGCGCACCCCGCTCACCCCGCTCACCCCGCGCACCCGGCTCACCCCGCGCACCCCGCTCACCCGGGGCACCCGGCTCACCCCGCTCACCCCGCTCACCCCGCGCACCCGGCTCACCCCGCGCACCCCGCTCACCCCGCGCACCCCGCTCACCCCGCGCACCCGGCTCACCCCGCGCACCCCGCTCACCCCGCGCACCCCGCTCACCCCGCGCACCCGGCTCACCCCGCGCACCCGGCTCACCCGGCTCACCCGGCTCACCCCGCTCACCCCGCTCACCCCGCGCACCCGGCTCACCCCGCTCACCCCGCGCACCCGGCTCACCCCGCGCACCCCGCTCACCCCGCTCACCCCGCGCACCCCGCTCACCCGGCTCACCCCGCGCACCCGGCTCACCCCGCTCACCCCGCGCACCCCGCTCACCCCGCTCACCCCGCGCACCCCGCTCACCCCGCTCACCCCGCTCACCCCGCTCACCCCGCGCAGCCGGCTCACCCCGCGCACCCGGCTCACCCCGCTCACCCCGCTCACCCCGCGCACCCCGCTCACCCCGCGCACCCCGCTCACCCCGCGCACCCCGCTCACCCCGCTCACCCCGCGCACCCCGCACAGCCCACTCACCGAAGCGCTGGGGGGTGCTCCAGGCGCTCAAGAATTCATACACTCTTTCCCGGGCTCTTATTTGTACTGTGTACGTTCCAGGATTGAGTAGCTGGAAGGAGGTTCTGTCTCTGACCTGTGGTTTGAAAGAAAATAAAGAAGAGGGGCCAGGTATGGTGGCTCATGACTCTCACCTGGGCACTTAGGGAGGCCAAGGCAGGTGGATCACCTGAGGTCAGGAGTTCGAGACCAGCCTGGCCAACATGGTGAAACCCTGTCTCTACTAAAAATACAAAAATTAGCCTGGCATGGTGGCAGGCACCTGTAATCCCAGCTACTCAGGAGGCTGAGGCAGGAGAATAGCTTAAACCTGAGAGGTGGAGGTTGCAGTGAGGCGAGATGGCACCACTGCACTGCAGCCTGGGCAACAGAGTGAGACTCTGTCTCTAAATAAATAAATAAATAAATAAATAAATAAATAAAAGAAGAAAAGAGGGGCTGGGTGCTACGGTTTATGCCTCTCACCACAGCACTTTTGGAGGCTGAGGTGGGAGAATTCCTTAAGCCCAGGAGTTTGACACCAGCCTGGGCAACATAGCAAGACCCCATCTTTACCAAAAAAAAAAAACTGTAAAAATTACCAGACGTGGTGACACATGTCTTTGGTCCCAGCTACCAGGGAGGCTGAGGTGGGGGGATACCTCGAGCTTAGGAGTTTGAGACCAGCCTGGGCAACAAACCAAGACCCCATCTCTAGAAGAAAATTTGTTTTGTTTTGTTTTGAGACAGAGTTTCACTCTTGTTGCCCAGGCTGGAGTGCAGTGGCACCAACTCGGCTCACCGCAACCTCCGCCTCCCAGATTCAAGCGATTCTCCTGCCTCAGCCTCCCGAGTAGCTGGGATTACAGGCGCCCACCACCACGCTCGGTTAATTTTGTATTTTTAGTAGAGTCGGGGTTTCTCCATGTTGGTCAGGCTGGTCTCGAACTCCCAACCTCCGGTGATCCACCCGCCTCAGCCTCCCAAAGTGCTGGGATTACCAGTGTGAGCCACCACGTCCAGCCAAAAAAAAATTTTTTTTTTTTTGAGATGGAGTCTCACTCTGTCCCCCAGGCTGGAGTGCAGTGGCGTGATCTCGGCTCACTGCAAGCTCCGCTTCCCGGGTTCATGCCATTCTCCTGCCTCAGCCTCCCGAGTAGCTGGGACTACAGGCACCCGCTACCATGCCCAGCTAATTTTTTGTATTTTTTTTTTTAGTAGAGACAGGGTTTCACCATGTTAGCCAGGATGGTCTTGATTTCCTGACCTCATGATCCACCCGCCTCGGCCTCCCAAAGGGCTGGGATTACCAGCGTGAGCCACCGCGCCCAGCCAAATTTTTTTTTAAATGAGCTGACCTGGTGGCAAACGCCTGTAGTTTCAGCTACTTGGGGGGCTGAGGCAGGAGGATCCCTTGAGCCCAGGAGGCAGAGATTGCAGTGAGCCGTGACTGTGCCACTGCACTCTAGCGTGGGTGACAGAGTGAGAGCCTGTCTGAAATTAAAAACCAAACAAAAAAGTAGAAGAAAAGACCATTCATATTTGATGGGTACAAAAGAATGAGTCTGCATTGTGATCCCCCAAAATTCATATGTTGCAGTCTTAGCCCCCAGCTCCTTACAGTGGGGCCTTATGATGAAATAGCTCGGCCAGGCGCGGTGGCTCACGCCTGTAATCCCAGCACTTTGGAGGGCCAAGGCGGGCAGATCACAAGGTCAGGAGATCGAGACCACAGTGAAACCCCGTCTCTACTAAAAATACAAAAAATTAGCCGGGCCCGGTGGCGGGCGCCTGAGGTCCCAGCTACTCAGGAGGCTGAGGCAGGAGAGTGGCGGGAACCCGGGAGGCGGAGCTTGCAGTGAGCCGAGATTGCGCCACTGCACTCCAGCCTGGGTGACAGAGCGAGACTCCGTCTCAAAAAAAAAAAAAAAAGAAGAAAAGACCATTCATATTTGATGGGTACAAAAGAATGAGGCTGCATTGTGATCCCCCAAAATTCATATGTTGCAGTCTTAGCCCCCAGCACCTTACAATGGGGCCTTATGATGAAATACCTGTTCATGGCAGATGTCGTTAAGATATAGATTGAGATGATGTCATTTTGGATCAGGGGGGGCCCTAAATGCAATGACCAATATCCTTATAAGAAGAGGAGACGTGGCCGGGCGCGGTGGCTGACACCTGTAATCCCAGCACTTTGGGAGGCTGAGGTGGGTAGATCACCTGAGGTCAGGAGTTCGAGGTCAACCTGAGCAACAAGGTAAAATCCCATCTTTACTAATAATACAAAAATTAGCCAGGCGTGGTGGTGTGCACCTGTAGTCCCAGCTACTCGGGAGGCTGAGGCAGGGGAATCGCTTGAACCTGGGAGGCGGAGGTTGCAGTGAGCTGAGATCGCACCACTGCACTCCAGCCTGGGTGACAGAGCGAGACTCTGTCTCAAAATAAATAAATAAATAAATAAAAAGGAGACACGGATGCAGAGGAGAAGGCCATGTGGAGACGGAGGCAGAGAGTGGAGTGATATGGCCACAAGCCCAGGGACCCCAGAGTCCCCAGGAGCTGGGAGAAGCGGGAAGGATCCTCATTAGTCCATGAAAATGGACTAATACAGGAGGACGGAGATAGAAACAGACAGGGAGAGACAGAGAGAGAGAAAGAGATACAAAGAGACACAGAGAGGGGAGACAGAGAGAGGGAGAGAGAAAAACAGAGACAGAAAAACAGACATAGACAGAGATAGTGGGTGATGGACAGAGAGAGACAGATAGAAACAGAGAGAGACAGAGATACAAAGAGACACAGAGAAGGGAGACAGAGGGAAAAAGAAAGAAAAACAGAAACAGACAGAGACAAAGAGACAGAGTAGGTGATGGACAGAGAGAGACAGAGATAGAAACAGACAGGGAGAGACGGAGATACAAAGAGACACAGAGAGGGGAGACAGAGAGGGAAAGAGAAAAAGAGACAGAAAAACAGAGAGACATAGACAAAGACAGACAGAGTGGGTGATGGACAGAGAGAGAGACAGAAACGGAGAGACAGAAAGACATAGATACAAAGAGAGAGGGAAAGAGAAAAACAGAAAAACAGAAACAGAGAGACATAGAGAGACAAAGAGACAGAGTGGGTGATGGACAGAGAGAGACAGAGATAGAAACGGAGACAGAGAGAGAGAGACAGAGATACAAAGAGACAGAGAGAGGGAAAGAAAAACAGAGACAGAGAGGAAAACAGAAGCAGAGAGACAGAGAGAGTGGGTGATGTAGTTTGGCTGTGTCCCCACCCAAATCTCATCTTGAATTGTAGCCCTTATAACTCCCACGTGTTGTGAGAGGGACTGGGTAGGACATAACTGAATCATGGGGGCAGTTTCCCCCCACACTGTTCTCGGGGTAGTGAATAAGTCTCACGAGATCTAATGGTTTAATAAGGGAAACCTTTCTCTCGGCTCTCATTTTTTTTTTTTTTTTTTTTTTCTCGAGACGGAGTCTCACTCTGTCACCCAGGCTGGAGTGCAGTGGCGCGATCTCAACTCACTGCAACCTCTGCCTCCCGGGTTCAAGCGATTCTCCTGCTTCAGCCTCCCGAGTAGCTGGGACCACAGGCGCCTGCCACCACCACGTCTGGGTAATTTTTTTTATTTTTAGTAGAGCTAGGTTTCACCATGTTGGCCAGGCTGGTCTTGAACTCCTGACCTCGTGGTCCACCCACCTCGTCCTCCCAAGGTGCTGTGATTACAGGCATGAGTCACTGCGCCCGGCGACTGTCTCATTCTGTCTTGCCCGCTGACATGTAAGACATGCCTTTCCTCCTCCTTCACCTTCTGCCGTGATCGTGAGGCCTCCCCAGCCACATGGAACTGTGAGTCCAGGAACCCTCTTTTGTTTATAAATTACCCAGTCTTGGGTATATGTTTATCAGCAGTGTGACAATGGACTAATACAGGGGGACAGACAGACAGAGGCAGAGAAAGAAAGAGACAATCACAGAGAAATAATGGGAGAGAGAAAGGGAGAGACATAGAGACAGGGGAATGGAGAGAGAGAGAGGGGAAGGGAGAGAGAGACAGAGAAGGAAAGGGAGAGAGAGACAGAGAGGGGAAGGGAGAGAGAGACAGAGAGGGGAAGGGAGAGAGAGACAGAGAGGGGAAGGGAGAGAGAGACAGAGAGGGGAAGGGAGAGAGAGACAGAGAGGGGAAGGGAGAGAGAGACAGAGGGGAAGGGAGAGAGAGACAGAGAGGGGAAGGGAGAGAGAGACAGAGAGGGGAAGGGAGAGAGAGACAGAGGGGAAGGGAGAGAGAGACAGAGAGGGGAAGGGAGAGAGAGACAGAGAGGGGAAGGGAGAGAGAGACAGAGAGGGGAAGGGAGAGAGAGACAGGGAGAGAGCTAGAAAGATAAAGAGAGGGGCCGGGCACGGTGGCTCACACCTGTAATTCCAGCACTTTGAGAGGATGAGGCAGGTGGATCGCCTGAGGTCAGGAGTTCGAGACCAGCCTGGCCCACTAGTGAAACCCTGTCTCTACTAAAAATACAAAAAAAAAAAAAAGTTAGTTGGGCATGGTGGCGAGTGCCTGTAATCCCAGCTACTTGGGAGGCTGAGGGAGTAGATTCGCTTGAACCTGGGAGGCGGAGGTTGCAGTGAGCCGAGATCGTGCCATCGCACTCCAGCCTGGGCAACAAGAGAAAAACTCCGTTTCAAAAAGAAAGATGAAGAGAGGGAAGGAGAAAGGGAGAGAGATACAGAGATACAGAGAGACTGGGAGAGGGGGAGATATAGACAAGGAGAGAGATAGAGAAAGAGAGGGAGAATGAAAGAGGGAGAGACAGAGACACAGATTTGGACAGTGGGAGATAGAGGCAGAGAGAGAGAGAGAGATAAAGAGAGGGAGGGAGAAAGGGAGAGAGATACAGAGACAGACACAGAGAGACAGGGAGAGGGGGAGATAGAGACCAGGAGAGAGAGAGAAAGATGGAGGGAGAAAGGGAGAGAGATACAGAGACAGACACAGAGAAAGAGATGGGGAGGGAGGAAATAGAGACCGGGAGAGAGAGAGAAAGATGGAGGGAGGGAGAAAGGGAGAGAGACACAGAGACAGACACGGAGAAAGAGACGGGGAGAGGGGGAGATAGAGACCGGGAGAGAGAGAGAAAGATGGAGGGAGAAAGGGAGAGAGATACAGAGACAGACAGAGAGAGAGAGATGGGGAGAAGGGAAGATAGAGACCGGGGGAGAGAGAGAAAGATGGAGGGAGAAAGGGAGAGAGATACAGAGACAGACACGGAGAAACAGACAGGGACAGTGGGAGATAGACACAGGGAGAGACAGAGAGATGGAGGGAGAAATGGAGAAGGTTACAGAGACAGACACAGAGAAAGAGATGGGGAGGGGGGAGACAGAGACCAGGAGAGAGAGAGAGAGAGAGAAAGAGAGGGAGGGAGAATAAAAGAGGGAGGGAGAATGAGAGAGGGAGAGACAGAGACACAGAGAGAGAGATGGGAACGGGGAGAGAGAGACAGGGAGAGAGAGATGGAGGGAGAAAGGGAGAAAGATAGAGACAGACACGGAGCGGGAGATAGAGACAGGGAGAGAAAGATAGAGAGAGGGAAGGAGAATGAGAGAGGGAGGGAAAGAGACACAGAGAGAGATGGGGACAGGGAGAGATAGACACAGGGAGAGAGCCAGAAAGATAGAGGGAGGGAAAAAGGGAGGGAGATACAGAGAGGGGGAGGGAGATAGAGACGAGAGAGAGAGAAAGAGAGGGAGGGAGAAAGGCAGAGAGATTCAGAGACAGAGAAAGAGATACGGGGAAAGAGATGGACAGAGAGAGAGGGGACAGAGAATGCTGTGGTCCGGCTGTCTGTTCCTGCAGATCCCAGGCAGGGGCTGGGGGAGGGTCCTCTGTCTGAGGTCTGGGCCACCTGTCTGAATGCTTGTCTCTGCTGGGTGGAGCTATGGTTTGGTAGCTTGTTCCTGCTGGACTGGGGCTGCCTGGCCCAGGGTAAGGAATCTGGGGCAAATGGGTGGACCTCGTTTGGACAGCACCTGGCCAGCCATAGCATCTGGCTCTCACACCTTGGGAGGTGTCATCCCTGACTCTTCCTTTTCCCATCCCTCAATTTGGGGATGTGAAATATCCCAATTTTGCAAGATCGCAGTAAGGGTGACACTCAAGAGTCTGTCCAATGAAAGTCACTGAACATTGAATAATAACATTTATTATTAATAATATTTTCATTATTTTATTAATAAGAATTATTAATATTTTTTATCATTTTATTCTTAATAATAATAAAACTCACCCTTTGCAATGTCAAGTACAGCGGCTGGGGGTAGGGAACACTCACCTGTTCTGTGATTACAGGCTGCATTCTCTGCAACACAAAAGCAAGCAAACTTTTGAGTGTCTGGACCGTCCCTGAAAGCCTCCTCCTCCCAAACTCAAATTTCTCCCTCCAGGAAAACCAGCAAAACAGTGAGGGCTCTGGGAAGGCCTTCGGGCAGCAGTGGGGGCAAAATAATGAGCTTAGGAGTAAATAGCACCTGACCAAAAGGTTTGTTTGTTTATTTATTTATGAGACGGAGTCTCACTCCGTCACCCAGGCTGGAATGCAGTGGCGTGATCTCGGCTCACTGCAACCTCCGCCTCCCGGATTCAAGTGATTCTTTTGCCTCAGTCTCCCGAGTAGCTGGGACTACAGGTGCGTGCCACCACGCCTGGCTAATTTTTTGTATTTTTAGTGGAAACAAAGTTTCACCATGTTGGCCAGGATGGTCTTGATCTCTTGACCTCATGATCTGCCCACCTCGGCCTCCCAAAGTGCTGGGATTACAGGCATGCCCCATCGCGCCTGGCCCAAAAGGTTTCTTATGGGCCACTGTGGCAAGACCTTGGTGGGAGGGGGCTTTGTGAGGCCGGTGGACAAACAAGACCCACCGTCCTCCCAGACTGTGTCCAGATGCACTCAGGGGTAGCCACAGACAGCCTATGCCAGGCCAGCGAACTAGGTAGGGGGTGCAACATCAGACTAGCTACGACTCTGCCTGTGGCTGCAGCTATGCCTGCTCCCTCAAATCAGTGAAAGAAAGAAGTCTGTGCTGTATTTATTTTCTTTTTTTTTTTTTCTCCTGAGACGGAGTCTCACTCTGTTGCCCAGGATGGAGTGCAGTGGCACAATCTCAGCTCGCTGCAAGCTCCGCCTTCTGGGTTTACGCCATTCTCCTGCCTCAGCCTCCCAAGTAGCTGGGACTACAGGCGCCCGCCACCACGCCCAGCTAATTTTTTTTTGTATTTTTAGTAGAGACGGGGTTTTACCATGTTAGCCAGGATGGTCTCTATCTCCTGACCTCGTGATCGTCCTGCCTCGGCCTCCCAAAGTGCTGGGATTACAGGCGTAAGCTACTGCACCCAGCCATTTATTTTCTTAAAAAAAAAAAAAACCCAAACAGATTGGCTAAAAAACACTTGGTAATATAAAAGAAATTAATAGACCTAACGTTTTTTAGCAGATTTAGACTTACAGAAAAATTGCATATGAAATAATTAGTATTTGAGCATAAATAATAAATATATGGCGGGGCACAGTGCCTCACGCCTGTAATCCCAGCACTTTGGGAAGCTGAGGCGGGTGGATCATGAGGTCAGGAGTTCAAGACCAGCCAGGACAAGATGGTGAAACCCCATCTCTACTAAAAATACAAAAAAAAATTAGCCAGGCATGGTGGCAGGTGCCTGTAATTCCAGCTACTCAGGAGGCTGAAGCTGAGAATTGGTTGAACCCGAGAGGCGGAGGTTACAGTGAGCTGAGATCATGCCACTGCACCCCAGCCTGGGCAACAGAGCAGGACTCCGTCTCAAAAATAATAAACAAACAAACAAACAAACAAACAGCTTGGGTGACAGAGCAGGACTCCGTCTCAAAAATAAATAAATAAATAATAAAATACAATAAAATAAAATACAAACTAAATATAACACATAGGCTGCGCACGAAGGCTCACACCTGTAATCCCAGCACTTTGGGAGGCCGAGGCGGGTGGATCACCTGAGGTCAGGAGTTTGAGACCAGCCTGGCCAACATGATGAAACTCTGTTTCTACTAAAAATACAAAAACTTAGCTGGGTGTGGTGATGGGTGCCCATAATCCCAGCTACTCGGGAGGCTGAGGCAGGAGAATCACTTGAACCCGGGAGGCAGAGGTTGCAGTGAGTCAAGATTTAAGCCACTGCACTCCAGTCTGGGCTACAGAGCCAGAGTGGCTCAATAAATAAATCAATATTTATGTTCAACTGATCCAACGAACTGTGGATCAAAAATATCTGGGAAGCTTGCATTGAATCTGTAGATCACTACAAAAGAAAAAAGAAAGTTCAAGAAAAAATTAAAAAACCACATAACAATAGAAATAATAAAAATAAAAAACAACAGACCACATACAGTCTCAAACTTTTTTTTTTTTTTTGAGACGGAGTCTCGCTCTGTCGCCCAGGCTGGAGTGCAATGGCGCGATCTCGGCTCACTGCAACCCCCACCTCCTGGGTTCAAGCAATTCTCCTGCCTCGGCCTCCCCAGTAGCTGGAACTACAAGACCGTGCCACCACGCCCAGCTAATTTTTTTTCGTATTTTTAGTAGAGACGGGGTTTCACCGCGTTAGCCAGGATGGTCTCGATCTCCTGACCTTGTGATCCACCTGCCTCAGCCTCCCAAAGTGCTGGGATGACAGGCGTGAGCCACAGCGCCCGGCCTTTTGTTTTTGTTTTTGTTTTTTAATGATCCATGCCTTCTGTGACGTTATCAGAGGAGATTGTTGCCCGTTTCAAGGCCCCAGAGTGCGACTTACCAAAAATAAGGGATGTCCACGGGGGTGGGGGGGCTGGGGGCGGGGTGAAAGTTTACCTTTTGTATCTGAAGCTCATAGCGAAATTTGCGATTGAAATGACTTCTCATTTTCCAGTGCATAAAGGAATGTGTCTTATTACACTTTGCAGTCATGTTGGGTGGAGTTAATATCTCTAGCAACGAGAAAAACACTTTTAGGATTTAGGAGTACAAGAAATCAATTCTTTTTCTTTTTCTCTTTTTTTTTCTGGAGATACTTCAAATTACTTCTCCTATGCATTTGGAGAGCGGGAGAGAAAAACACCAGGAAGGAAGAGGGAACAAAGAAACTCTACAGGCAGAGACACAGGACTGAGCCGCGTTGGGGGCACTGGGAGGAGTGAGCCTTGGGGTTGCACCCTCGGAGCCCCACTGTCCTGGGAGCAGCCTTCAGAACCACCCTTTTGTTCTCTGAAGTACCAGGCGTTCAGCTTTTCCAAGGACTGGCAGCTGCACATCTTTGTCCCTGCCCCTTCCATCTCTAGGCTCAGCCCCGCTGGGCAGCCTGGCCCACTCCCCACCCCTGCCCAGGGCCAACCCCTACTTCCCATGCCCCCTCTGCCCACCTGCAGCACACTGGAGCCTTGGAGGCCCTCTCTGCATCATTCAAGATGCAGACTCCTACACTTTGACCTGCACACATCCTCCTGAAGCTTCCACTTCCTGGCCCCTGCCTGGCTTCTCACCTCCCCCACCTCCGCCCCCCAGGGGATGTGCCGCCTCTCCCAGTGGCCCAGGACATCCTCCACTTCCCGGGAACCCCAGGCACTTCCACATCCTCAGGTGTGACCCGACTACCAGCCCAGCCCTGTGTGTCCGGCTGCCTGGCTGGGTCTCCCCTGGGCCCCTGGAAGGAAGTCCAGCCCTGGCCCCCTCCTCCTCCTCCCCCTCCTCCTACCCTCCTGGTCTTTCTCCCCTCCCCTCCCCTCCCCTCCTCCCCCTCCGCTCCTACTCTTCCTCTCTCTCCTTTTTCTACCACTCCTCTCTCCTCCCCATTCTCCTTGTCACCCTCCTCCTCCACTCTCCTTTCTCCTCCTCCCCTCCTGCCCCTCCTCCTTTTTCCTCCCCCTCCTGCTCCTCTTCCTCCATCCTCTCCCCTCCTTCTCCCTCCTTCCTCCTCCCCCTCCACCCTCCTCCCCCTCCACCCTCCTCCCCCTCCACCCTCCTCCCCCTCCTTCCTCCTCCCCCTCCTTTTCTTCCCTCTCCTCCTCCCTGCCCATTCTCCTCCTCCTCCTCCTCCTCTCCTCCCGCTCCTTCTTCCTCCTGCCCCTCCTTTTTCCTCCCCCTCCTGCTCGCCTTCCTCCATCTGCTCCCCTTCCTCCATCCTCTCCCCCTCCTTCTCCCTCCTCCCTCCTCCTCTCTCCCCTCCTCCCCCTTCCTCCCCCCAGTCCTCCTCTCTCCTCCTCCCCCTCCTTCTCCCTCCCCACCTCACCACCCTTCTACCCCACCTTCTCTATCCTCCCCTTCCTCCTCCTCACCTCCTTCTCTTCCCTCCCCCGCCTCCTCCTCCTCTCCATTCTCCTCCCTCTCTCCTTCACCCTCTTCCTCCTCCACCCTCTCCTCCTCCTTTCTTCCTCTTCTTTCTTCTCCTCCTCCTGCTCCTTCTCTCCCCATCTCCACCTCCTCCCCCTCCTTTCCCTCCATTTTCTTCTCTTCCTCCCCCTCCTGTTTTCTTCTCTTCCTCCTCTTCCTCCCCTCCCCATCTCCACCTCCTCCCCCTCCTCTTTCTCCATTTTCTCTTCCTCCTCCTCCTCCCCCTCCTCTTTCTCCGTTTTCTTCTCTTCCTCCTCTTCCTTCCCTCTCCATCTCTACCTCCTCCCCCTCCTTTTCCTCTGTTTCTTTTCCTTCTCCTCCTCCTCCCCCTGCTCATGTTCTTCCTCTCCTCCCTTCTCTTCTCCTTGTCCTTCTCCTCCTCTTCCTCGTTTCCCCCTCCTCTTCTGAAGCATCCGAGCACCCTGCCCTTGGGTTCAGGGCACGTCAGCTCTGGGCATATTGACATTCTCACCACCTGGGAGGTTCCTCGGAGCTCGGGTATCGTGGACTGAAAGTGTGTGTCCTTCTGTCCCAAATTCCTCCACTGAAGCTCTAACCCCTGGTTGGGCGGTGTTAGAAGGTGGGGTCTTTGGGAGGTGACTGGCGTGGGCTGAAGTTATGAGGGTGGACCCCCATGATGGGGGCTCCCGTGACCCATGATGGGACCCATGACCCATGATGGGGGCTCCCATGACCCATGATGGGACCCATGACCCATGATGAGGGATTCCATGACTCATGATGGGGGCTCCCATGACCCATGGTGGGACCCATGGCCCATGATGAGACCCATGATGAGGGATTCCATGACTCACAATGGGGGCTCCCATGACCCATGATGGGGGTGGGGGTCCCACGACCCATGATGGGGGGGGGGGTCCCATGACCCATGATGGAACCCATGATGAGGGATCCCATGACTCATGATGGAATCCATGATAGGGGATCCTATGACCCATGATGAAACCCATGATGGGGGTTCCCATGACCCATGATGGAACCCGTGATGGGGGGGGTCCCATGACCCATGATGGAACCCATGATAGGGGATCCTATGACCCATGATGAAACCCATGATGGGGGTTCCCATGACCCATGATGGAACCCATGATTGGGGGGGGTCCCATGACCCGTGATGGAACCCATGATGGGGGGGGTCCCATGACCCGTGATGGAACCCATGATGGGGGGGGTCCCATGACCCATGATGGGACCTATGATGGGGGATCCCATGTGGAACCCATGATGGGACCTATGATGGGGGATCCTATGACCCATGATGGAACCAATGATGAGGGATCCCATGTGGAACCCATGATGGGGGGTCCCATGACTCATGATGGAACCCATGATGGGGAATTCTATGACCCATAATGGGACCCATGATGGAGGTTCCCATGACCCATGATGGAATCCATGATGGGGGTCCTATGACCCATGATGAAACCCATGATGAGGGATCCCATGACTCATGATGGGACCCATGATGGGGGGGTCCCATGACCCATGATGGAATCCATGATAGGGGGTCCCATGACCCATGATGGAATCCATGATAAGGGATCCCATGACTCATGGTGGAACCCATGATGGGGGGGTCCTATTACCCATGATGGAACCCATGATGGGGGGTCCCATGACCCATGATGGAACCCACGATGAGGGATCCCATGACTCATGGTGGAACCCATGATGGGGGGTGTCCCATGACCCATGATGGAACCCATGATAGGGGGTCCTATGACCAATGATGGGACCCATGATGGGGGTTCCCATGACCCATGATGGAATCCATGATAGGGGGTTCTATGACTCATGATGAAACCCATGATGGGGGATCCTATGAACCATGATGGGACCCATGATGGGGGTTCCCATGACCCATGATGGAATCCATGATAGGGGGTTCTATGACTCATGATGAAACCCATCATGGGGGATTCTATGACCCATGATGGGACCCATGATGGAACCCATGATGGGGGGTCCCATGACCCATGGTGAGGGATCCTATGACCCATGATGGGACCCATGATGGTGTTAGTGCCCTTCTAACAAGAGACCCCAGAACTTCATCTCTCTCTCTCTCTACACCACGTGAAGACACAGTGAGAAGATGACCCTCTCTCCAAGCCAGGAAGAGACCTCCCGAGGAGCCCAGCCAGCCAGCACGCTGACCTCCAACGTCCAGCCTCTGGAAATGTGAGAGGCCAACGTCTGCGTTGGGAGCCACGTGGTCCCGTGGGATCTGGCCTGGCGCTAAAGCCGTGGTATCACAGAACTGAGGGTGGGAGGGAGTGTCCCGGGCTACTCACCAATCTGTGAAAAGACGACAAACTTATCTGTGCAGGGGATACCGAAGGCTGCGCTCCTGCCCCGCACCAGGATGTGGGAACTTTGAGAACCGCTGGAGAGTCGAGAGATGTCATCGAAACGACACCCGATACGTGTTCCCTGAGCATCCGTTTTGTAGTGAAGACACTCGTACTGTTGACGCCTGCTGCGGTAAGCGGTAAGGTTGGGGGACGACCCCACGCCGATGGCACCCGCACCAGGGACAGCCCGGCCTCTGCCCACGGGCACACCTACTTGGCAACGTTCAAGTACAGGTCGTACTGGACGTCCGCGGGGGCCCCCGGGCCTACCGCCCAGCTGCAGCTCAAGAAATCCACGTCATGAATCCAGCAGGTCAGATTCTCCGCACCTGCCCAAGGCTTCCCACCTGGGTTCACAAACATGAAAGAGAACTCGAATCGGGACCGGGCGCGGTGGCTCACGCCTGTCACCCCAGCATTTTGGGAGGCCGAGGCGGGTGGATCACATGAGGTCAGGAGTTCGAGACCAGCCTGGCCAACATGGAGAAACCCAATCTCTACTAAAAATGCAAAAATTAGCTGTGTCTGGTGGCACGCGCCTGTGATCCCAGCACTTTGGGAGGCCGAGGCAGGTGGATCACCCGAGGTCCGGAGTTCGAGACCAGCCTGGCTAACATGGTGAAACCCAGTCTCTACTAAAAATATAAAAAATTAGCCAGGTGTGATGTCGGGCCGCTGTAATCCCAGCTACTCGGGAGGCTGAGGCAGGAGAATTTCTTGAACCCAGGAGGCAGAGGTTGCATGGAGCTGAGATCACGCCACTGCACTCCAGCCTGGGCGACAGAGTGAGCCTTCGTCTCAAAAAAATAAAAAAACAAACCCAGGCATGGTGGCTCACGCCTGTAATCCCAGCACTTTGGGAGGCCGAGGCAGGAGGATCACCTGAGGTCCGGAGTTCGAGACCGGCCTGGCTAACATGGTGAAACCCTGCCTCTACTAAAAATACAAAAATTAGCCGGGCGTGATGTCGGGCCGCTGTAATCCCAGCTACTAGGGAGGCTGAGGCAGGAGAATTTCTTGAACCCAGGAGGCAGAGGTTGCAGTGAGCCCAGGCCACGTCACTGCACTCCAGCCTGTGTGACAAGAGCGAGACTCCGTCTCAAAAAAAAAAATAAAACTCTAATTCCTTTTTAGAGTGCCTTTTGTATTTTGAGACCATGGTAGATACACAAGCCGTTGTAAAAAATAATAATAATATGGAGAGATCCTGCATATTCTTTTAATGATTTATTTATTCATTTTTACAGAGTCTCGCTCCGTCGCCTAGGCTGGAGTACAATGGCGCCATCTCGGCTCACTGCAACCTCCACCTCCCGGGTTCAAGCAATTCTCCTGCCTCAGCCTCCCAAGTATCTGGGACAACAGGCACCCACTACCACACCCAGCTAATTTTTGTATTTTTAGTAGAGATGGGGTTTCACCATGTTGCCCAGACTGGTCGCGAATTCCTGACCTCAAGTGATCCACCCGCCTCAGCCTCCCAAACTGCTGGGACTACAGATGTTTTTCTTTCATTGTTTGTGTGTGTGTGCGTGTGTGTGCATCTGTGTGTGTGTTTAAGACAGAGTTTCACTCTTGTTGCCCAGGCTGGAGCTCAATGGCTCACCACAACCTCCGCCTCCCAGGTTCAAGTGATTCTCCTGCCTCAGCCTCCTGAGTAGCTGGGACTGCAGGCATGTGCCACCACCCCTGGCTAATTTTGTATTTTTAGTAGAGATGGGGTTTCACCATGTTAGCCGGGATGGTCTCGATCTCCTGACCTCGCGATCCACCCACCTCGGCCTCCCAAAGTGCTGGGATTACAGGTGTGAGCCACTGGGCCCGGCCGCTAATTTCTTTTTAATTTTTTTTTTTTTTTAGATGGAATTTCACTCTTGTTGCCCAGGCTGGAGAGCAATGGCACGATCTCAGCTCACCGCAATCTCCGCCTCCCGGGTTCAAGTGATTCTCCTGCCTCAGCCTCCTGAGTAGCTGGGACTACAGGCATGTGCCACCACCCCTGGCTAATTTTGTATTTTTAGTAGAGATGGGGTTTCACCATGTTAGCCAGGCTGGTCTCGAATTCCTGACCTCAGGTGATCCGCCTGCCTCGGCCTCCCAAAGTGCTGGGATTACAGGCGTGAGCCACCATGCCCGGCTAATTTTTGTGTTTTTAGTAGAGACGGGGTTTCACCATGTTGGCCAGGCTGGTCTCGAACTCCTGACCTCAGGTGATCCGCCCGCCTCGGCCTCCCAAAGTGCTGGGATTACAGGCGTGAGCCACTGCGCCCGGCCTCCCCAAGGAGCACTTTTACAGCCAAACCCACCTCTCTCAGCTCTCACTCCTGCTTATATCCCTGCAACCCAGGAGACTGTTTTCTATTTGTAAAATTTTGCCATTTCAAGACAGTTGTATTAATGAAATCACTGTGTGTGTCACGCTCTGGAGTGGTCTTTTTTTTCCGACTCGGCATAACTCCCTGGAAATCCATTAAACTTAAAAATAATTAAATTGAGGCCCGGCACAGTGGCTCCCGCCTGTCATCCCAGCACTTTGGGAGGCTGAGGCGGGTGGATCACAAGGTCAGGAGTTCGAGACCAACATGGTGAAGCCCCGTCTCTACTTAAAATACAAAATTTAGCCGGGCTTGGTGGCGGGTGCCTGTAATCCCAGCTACTTGTGAGGCTGAGGCAGGAGAATCGCTTGAACCCGGGAGGCGGAGTTTGCGGTAAGCTGAAATCGCACCACTGCACTCCAGCCTGGGCGACAAGAACAAGACTCCATCACAGAAAAACAAACAAAACAAAACAAAAAAATAAACCATGGACTTCTAATTAATTAAAAAACAAAGAAGAGGCCAGGCGTGGTGGCTGATGCTTACAATCCCTGCACTTTGGGAGACTGAGGCGGGAGGATCACTTGAGCCTAGGAGTTTGAGACCAGCTCAGGTAACATAGCGACACCCCATCTCTACAAAAAGTATTTAAGGCTGGGCGCGGTGGCTCACCCCTGTACTCCCAGCACTTTGGGAGGCCGAGGCGGGCAGATCACGAAGTCAGGAGTTTGAGACCAGCCTGACCAACATGGTGAAACCCCATCTCTACTAAAAATACAAGAATTAGCTGGGCGTGGCGGTGGGCGCCTATAATCCCAGCTACTCGGGAGGCTGAGGCAGGAGAATCGCTTGAACCCGGGAGCCAGAGGTTGCAGTGAGCCGAGATCGCGCCAGTGCACTCCAGCCTGGTGGACAGAGTGAGACTCTGTCTAAAAAAAAAAAAAGGTGTTTAAAAAATTAGGTGGGCATGGTGGTACATGGGTGTAGTTCCACCTACGTGGGAGGCTGAGGCAGAAGGATTGTTTGAGCTCAGGAGGTGAAGCCTGCAGTAAGCTGTGATTGCACCACTGCGCTCCAGCCTGGGCAACAGAGCAAGACCGTGTCAGGAAAGGAGAGGGGAGAGGAGGGGAAGGGAGGGGAGGGGGAAAGAGAGAAAGAGAGAGAGAGAGAAAGGGAAGGAGGGAAGAAGGAAGGAAAAGAGGAGGGAGAGAAGGAAGGAAGGGAGTGAGGCAGGGAGGAAAAGAAAACGAAAGGGAAGGAAGGAGAGAGAGGAAGTAGGGTGGGAAGGAGGAGGGAGGAAAAGGAGAGAAGGAGGGAGGGAAGGAAGTGAAGAAAAGAAAGAAGGGAGGGAGGGAAAGAGAAAGAAAAGAAAGAGAGGAAAGAAGGAAAGAAAGAAAGAAAAAGAAAGGAAGAAAGAAACAGAAACAGAAAGAAAGAAAAAGAAAGAAAGAAAGAAAGAAAGAAAGAAAGAAAGAAAGAAAGAAAGAGAAAAAGAAAAGAAAAAAGACACAGCGAAGGCGAGAGGGAGGGAGAGAGGGAAGGAGGGAGGGAATAGAGAATAAACAAACAATGAACATTTTTCTCACTGTTCTCAGGGAAGAGGATCCACGTGGAGAATGGTGGGTTGGCCACTCGGACGGTGTAGTTGGTCACTTCACATAAGGAAATTGCTCCAAACTGGCAATAGCTATTGTTCACTGCCTAAGAGAGACATAGGACTATGATGGCTGCTGACAGACCATGCTTAATTTGACGCTAATGATGTTCAGATTTTTTTTGAGGCAGAGTTTCGCTCTCGTCGCCCACGCTGGAGTGCAGTGGCGTGATCTCGGCTCACTGCAGCCTCTCCCTCCCGGGTTCAAGCCATTCTCCTGCTTCAACCTCCCGAGCACCTGGGATTACAGGTGCCCGCCACCACGCCCAGCTAATTTTTAAAGTATTTTTCTGGGTAGAGACAGGGTTTCACCATGTTGGTCAGGCTGGTCTCGAACTCCTGACCTCATGTGATCCGCCTGCCTCAGCCTCCCAAAGTGCTGGGATTACAGGCGTGAGCCACCGTGCCCGGCCAAGACTTTTTTCTGTTTTTTTTTTTTTTGAGAGGGAGTCTCGCTCTGTCGCCCAGGCTGGAGTGCAGGGGCGCGATCTCGGCTCACTGTAGCCTCTCCCTCCCGGGTTCATGCCATTCTCCTGCCTCATCCTCCCAAGTAGCTGGGACTACAGGCGCCCGCCACCACGCCCGGCTAATTTTTATATTTTTAGTAGAGACGGGGTTTCACCGTGTTAGCCAGGAGGGTCTCGATCTCCTGACCTCGTGATCCACCCTCCTCGGCCTCCCAAAGTGCTGGGATGACAGGCGTGAGCCACCGCGCCCGGCCACAATTTTTTTCTAAAGATACAAAAGCTTGAATAAAAATAATCCCACTTAGCAGTAAATATTAGTGAAATACTTTTCTGTTTGTTTTGCTTTGTTTTTTTCTTGTTTGTTTGTTTTTTGTTTCTTTGTTTTTTTGTTAAGACAGGGCCTCACTCCGCTTGCCCAGGCTAGACTTCAGTGGTGCGATCTCAGCTCACTGCAACCTCCACCTCTCGGGTTCAAGCAATTCTCCTGCCTCACCACCGCACCCGGCCACATTTCATTAATCTACTTGTATATTCTTCGTTTTGTTTGCTTTTGTTTTTGTTTTTTTGAGACAGAGTCTCGCTCTGTCGCCCAGGCTGGAGTGCAGTGGCGCGATCTCGGCTCACTGCAAGCTTCTGCCTCCCAGGTTCAAGCCATTCTCCTGCCTCAGCCTCCCGAGTAGCTGGGACTACAGGCACCAGCCACCACGCCCGGCTAATTTTTATATTTTTAGTAGAGACGGGGTTTCACCGTGTTAGCCAGGAGGGTCTCGATCTCCTGACCTCGTGATCCACCCGCCTCGGCCTCCAAAGTGCTGGGATGACAGGCGTGAGCCACCACGCCCGGCCTACTTGTGTATTCTTATAGCAATCCGCACATTGGGTATGAACTTTTCAGTGCCTTTTGATATAGGTAAGGCAGGTTCTCCTTCATTCACCTTCTTTTTCAAAATTTCCTTAGTTTTTTTTTCAGCATTTGTGTTTCTAAAGTTGAGAGTCAGTTTGCCATGGTATGGTAAAATCGCTCTGGGATTCTAGACTGTTTTATCTCTACTCTCCAAAATCACAAAGTTCAATGGGACTGTATTTGGAGCTGGGGGTAGGATTTTATAATGGTGGCCCGAGCAGACGCATGAAGGGCCGTGATTTGAATTGTATTGAACGAACATAGCTCTTGGAGGGGACCAAATAGGTTCTCAGGGAAACGTGCTCCTTTCCCATAAGACACTGACTTGTAAATAGCTCACAGTGTCACCTGGGCCACCCCATGAGGTCTGGCGCTGTTCTCAAACCCTGAGAACGCAGGTGATGACAAGATGGGGGATTTGGAAGGATTTCGTGATGAGGACCTTGTTTCCTGAGCACACACTTTTGTTTTGTTTTTGCTTTTGTTTTTGTTTTTGTTTTGAGATGGAGTCTCACTCTGTCACCCAGGCTGGAGTGCAGTGGCACAATCTCGGCTCAGTGCAACCTCGGCCTCCCAGGTTCAAGCAATTCTCCTGCCTCAGCCTCCTGAATAGCTGGTATTACAGGCATGTGCCACCACATCCGGCTAATTTTTCTTTTTCTTTTTTGACATGAAGTCTTGCTCTCGTCCCCCAGGCTGGAGTGCAGTGGCACAGTCTCGGCTCAATGCAACCTCTGCCTCCCGGGTTCAAGCGATTCTCCTGCCTCAGCCTCCCAAGTAACTGGGATTACAGGCGCCCACCACCATGCCCAGCTAATTTTTATATTTTTAGTGGAGGCGGGGTTTCACCATGTTGCCCAGACTAGTCTCGAACTCCTGGCCCCAGGTGATCCATCCGCCTCAGCCTCTCAAAGTGCTGGTGTGAGCCACTGTGCCCGGCTAACTTTCGTATTTTTAGCAGAGACAGCGTTTCACCGTGTTGGCCAGACTGGTCTCGAACTCCTGACCTCATGATCCGCCCGCCTCAGCCTCCCAAAGTGCTGGGATTACAGACGTGAGCCACCACGCCCAGCGTGGGGTTGGGTTTCGCACCAGTCATAGCTTAGCCTCATTTCACTTTCACATCCACCCTGTCCAGTGTGTGCCATCTTAGATGTCCCGCGGACGGGGAACCAGACCCTCCAAAGTCACTTCAAATCCCACACCTGACTTCGGGGCAGAAACCAGGTAGTCATGACACCAGCGATGGGAGCAGTATTGGTTCTGAGATTCCTGCAGAAGACGGAAACGTCTTGTTCGTCAACATTAGAGAGTCTGGGCCATGCGCGGTGACTCGCGCCTGTAATCCCAGCACTTTGGGAGGCCGAGGCGGGCAGATCACGAGGTCAGGAGATCGAGACCCTCCTGGCTAACACAGTGAAACCCCATCTCTACTAAAAATACAAAAAAATTAGCCGGGCATGGTGGCGGGCGCCTGTAGTCCCAGCTACTCGGGAGGTTGAGGCAGGAGAATGGCATGGACCTGGGAGGTGGAGGTTGCAGAGAGCGGAGATCGGGTCACCGCAGTCCAGCCTGGGCGACAGAGCAAGACTCCGTCTCAAAAAATAAATAAATACATAAATACATAAATAAATAAAATAAAAATAAAAAAACAATAGAGAGTATGATTTACCGGCATAGAATAGTCGGCGTCTTTAACACACTCGATATCGGTCACATTTCTGTTAAGGTCCCAGGTCAACTGCTGAGCCTTTGCTTTCATCCTTAGGTTCGTGATTGGTGGGTTTGGATCTAAAACGGTGACAGGTTGGAGTTCGAAGAGATACGTAAGAATCTTAAAACGGCATTGTAAGGGGTATGGTTTTTTTTTTTTGCCCGTGGAGTTAGCCAATACCTTTGGGAGGTGGAGTTCTTTTATTTAATTTTTTTAAATTTTTTGACATGGAGTTTCACTCTTGTCGCCCTGGCTGGACTACAGTGGCACGATCTCAGCTCACTGCAAGCTCCGCCTCCTGGTTCAAGCAACTCTCCTGCCTCAGCCTCCCGAGTAGCTGGGACTACAGGCGCCCGCCACCACGCCCGGCTAATTTTTTTTTTTTTGTATTTTTAGTAGAGATGGCGTTTCACCGTGTTAGCCAGGATGGTCTCGATCTCCTGACCTCATGATTCGTCCGCCTCAGCCTCCCAAAGTGCTGGGATTACAGGCATGAGCCACCGCACCAGGTCAACAATCTTAAAACAGCATTGTAATGGGTATGGTTTTTTTGCCCGTGGAGTTAGCCAATACCTTTGGGAGGTCGAGTTCTTTATTTTTTTAAATTTTTTATTTTTTTGAGACGGAGTTTTGCTCTTGTCACCCAGGCTGGAGTGCAGTGGCACGATCTCAGCTCACCGCAACCTCTACCTCCCGGGTTCAAGCGATTCTCCTGCCTCAGCCTCCCGAGTAGCTAGGATTACAGGAGCCCACCACCACGCCCGGCTAATTTTTGTATTTTTACTAGAGATGGGGTTTCACCATGTTGGCCAGGATGGTCTCGATCTCCTGACCTCGTGATCTGTCCGCCTCGGCCTCTCAAAGTGCTGGGATTACAAGCATGAGCCACCATGCCCAGTTGATATACAACAATCTTAAAACAACATTGTAATGGGTATTTTTGTTTGCTTGTTTGTTTTGAGACGGAGTCTCACTCTGTCGCCCAGGCTGGAATTCAGTGGCGCGATCTCGGCTCACTACAACCTCCGCCTCCCGGGTTCAAGCGATTATCCTGTGTCAGCCTGCTGTGCAGCTGGGATAACAGGTGCCTGCCACCACACTCGGCTAATTTTTGTATTTTTACTAGAGATGGGGTTTCACCATGTTGGCCAGGCTGGTCTCGAACTCCCAACCTCACATGATCTGCCTGCCTCAGCCTCCCAAAGTGCTGGGATCACAGACGTGAGTTACTGAGCCTGGCTGGGAAGTGGAGTTCTATGTACACAGGAGACTTCTGTGAGCTGGTAGAAGTCATAAAGCAAACGGGCGTGGTGGCTCACGCCCGTCATCCCAGCACTTTGGGAGGCCAAGGTGGGCGGATCACCAGGTCAAGTGATCAAGACCATCCTGGCTAACACGGTGAAACCCCGTCGCGACTAAAAATACAAAAATTAGTTGGGCGTGGTGGCGGGCGCCTGTAATCCCAGCTAATCAGGAAGCTGAGGCAGGAGAATCACTGGAACTCGGGAGGCGGAGGTTGCGGTGAGCTGAGATCGTGCCACTGCACTCCAGCCTGGGTAACAGAGCGAGACTCCATCTCAAAAAAACAAAAAAACTCCGTCTCAAAAAAAAAAAAAAGAAAGAAAGAAAAAGAAGGTCTCTCTTAGCCATCACAGAGCTCAAGATATTTCATAAATGACCTGTACAAAGATGTTAAAGGCAATATTCTTTTTTTTTTTTTTTTTTTGAGATGGAGCCTCGCTCTGTCACCCAGGTTGGAGTGCAATGGCGTGATCTTGGCTCACGGCAACCTCCGCCTCCCGGGTTCAAGTGATTCTCCTGCCTCAGCCTCCTGAGTAGCAGGGATTACAGGTGCACAGCACCGCGCCCAGCTAATTTTTTTGTATTTTTAGTACAGACGGGGTTTCACCATGATGGCCAAGCTGGTTTTGAACTCCTGACCTCAAGTGATCCACCCGCCTCAGCCTCCCAAAGTGCTGGGATTACAGACGTGAGCCGTTGCACCCGGCCAGTAAAAGGCAATATTCTATCACATTTTGCTGGTCACCCAAAGCTAGAAACATACATCAACTATTTCTCTAGGGTTTATCTCTGATCGGCCACTTAGAAAACTTGAGGAAATGACTTTATAAACTGTAAGGATCTTGAGTGGTTATCAAGGTCAGCAACCTTGGTTTGATAAGCGGGACCAAAGCATAAGAATGTCTAGACTTCTGGCATTATTTTCTTCTAACTTAGAAGGATAATTTATCCCTTAAAACAAACTGTCTGGGGAAAAAAATTCTTATAAGAAATTCATTCATTCATTCATTCATTTTGAGACGGAGTCTCACTCTGTCGCCCAGGCTGGAGTGCAATGGCGTGATCTAGGCTCACTGCAACCTCCTCCTCCCGGGTTCAAGCGACTCTCCTGCCTCAGCCTCCCGAGTAACTGGGATTACAGGCGCCCGCCACCACGCCCAGCTGATTTTTGTATTTTTAGTAGAGACGGGGTTTCACCGTGTTAGTCAGGCTGGTCACGAACTCCTGACCTTGTGATCGTCCACCTGCCTTGGCCTCCCAAAGTGTGTAATCCCAACCCCGAGGCAGGCGGATCATGAGGTCAGGAGATCGAGACCATCCTGTCTAACACGGTGAAACCCCGTCTCTAGTAAAAACAGAAAAATTAGCTGGGCGTGGTGGCGGACACCTGTAATCCCAGGTGCTTGGGAGGCTGAGACAGGAGAATCAATTGAACCCAGCAGGTAGAGGTTGCAGTGAGCCATGGTCACGCTATTACACTCCAGCCTGGGCGACCAGAATGAAACTCTGTGTCAAAAAAAAAAAAAAAAAAGAAGTTAAAGAATGAAAAGCAAATTAAAGTTAAAAGAAATTCAAGGTAAAGTGAAACCCTGCAGTAATAGACTGTAAAAACCAATGAAAAAAAAGGCCGGGCGCTGTGGCTCACACCTGTAATCCCAGCACTTTGGGAGGCCAAGGCAGACGGATCACTTGTGGTCAGCAGTTCTAGACCAGCCTGACCGACATAGTGAAATCCCGTCTCTATCAAAAATACAGAAATTAGCCGGGTATGGTGGTGCGCGACTGTAATCTCAGCTCCTCGGGAGGCTGAGGCAGAAGAATCGCTTGAATCCGGGAGGCAGAGGTTGCAGTGAGCCGAGATCACACTATTGCACTCCAGCCTGGGCAAGACAGTAAGACCCTGTCTCCAAAATAAAAATAATAAGAAAATGAAAAAGTAAGATAAACAATGAAGGAAACTGGAAATTGTTATTGGTGCTGTTGATCCCAGCGTGTGAGTTTCATCAAAACACCTCACATGGCATCTGTGTCACGATCAGGTCCCTGCCTGTGAGGTCGTATTACCGTTTTGCAAGATGCTGCATTACAGGGAACTTGGTGACGGGTACAGGGAAGTGTCTGAGTCATTCCCGACCACTGCATGAGACTCTGCCATGAGCTCAGCATGAAAAGTTTCCCTGAAGGACGGCACGCTGACATTGTGTGTCTGTCTACCCCCACCGCTCCCCAGGTGGCACGTGCATTTTTTCTCCAGTTCTTACCTTCCTTCGTTTGCAGGAGACAGGGCAGGGCGATCAGGAGCAGCGTGAGCCAAAGGAGGACCATCGGGAACGCAGCTCCGGAACGCAGGACAGAGGTGCCTGCTGCAGGAGAAACGAGAGTCAGGCAGCGGGGACTGGCTGTGAAACTGGGTTGCGGGTAATGAAGGATGCTTGCCCCTTCCAGAGCCTGGTGCTCACAGCAGAAGGAGCTGCTTCTGGAGGGAAAGCGGTGGTGAGTGTGCATATGTGTCTGTGTGCAAATGCGCCTTTGCACATGCATGCACATCAGAGTGTGCTTCTACATGTGTGCACGAATATTCGTGTGTGTGTACATGGGTCTATATGTGTGCATGCCTCTATGTAGCCATGTCTGTTTGCACATTTGCAGGACTGCATGCATGCCTGTGCACACACGGGTACTGTGTACATGTGTCTGTGTGTGTGTGTGCTTGCACGTGTGTACATTTTTGTGCCCGTGTGTATCTGTGTGCACACATAAGTGTTTGTGTGTTTTCTTTTTTTTTTTTTCCTGATGGAGACTCGCCCTTGTCGTCCAGGCTGGAGTGCAGTGGCATGATCTCGGCTCATTGCAACCTCTGCCTCCCAGGTTCAAGCGACTCTCCTGCCTCAGCCTCCTGAGTAGCTGGGATTACAGGCACTCGCCACCATGCCTGGCTAATTTTTGTATTATTTATTTATTTATTTATTTTTTGTGACAGAGTTTTGCTCTTGTTGCCCAGGCTGGAGTGCAATGGCGTGATCTGGGCTCACTGCAACCTCCGCCTCCCAGGTTCAACCGATTGTCCTGCCTCAGCCTCCCGAGTAGCTGGGATTATAGGCACCCACCACCATGTCCGGCTAATTTTTGTATTTTTAGCAGAGACGGGGTTTCACCGTGTTGGCCAGGCTGGTCTCGAACTCCTGACCTCAGGTGATCCACCCACCTCAGCCTCCCAAAGTGCTGGGATGACAGGCGTCAGCCACCGCGTCCAGCCCACTTTTTGTATTTTTTAGTAGAGATTTGACCATGTTGGCCAGGCTGGTCTCGGACTCCTGCCTCAGGTGATCCGCCCGCCTTTTCCTCGCCAAGTGCTGAGATTACAGGTGTGAGCCACCGTGCCCGGCTGTGTTTGTGTGTTTTCATGCATGCAGGTACACACAGTCTTTGTGTTTGAATGCATATGTATCTGTGCATGCATTCCACGTGTACACACATGTGCATAAATATATGTGCATACACAAATATACATGCATGAGTCTGTATGTGTGCATGCATGTGCCTAGAAGTGCATATTTATGTGCATGCATGTGTGAATGTATGTGTACAAATGTGTTTGCATCAGTGTGTATGTGTGCATGTATGTGCATGCATCTGTGTGTGTGTCAGCCGTTCCCTTTTGAAAGAAGCCCTGCCGGCTGGGTGCAGTGGCTCATGCCAGTAATCCCAGCACTTTGGGAAGCAGAGGTGGGCAGATTGCCCGAGGTCAGGAGTTCAAGACCAGCCTGGCTAACATGGTGAAACCCCGTCTCTACTAAAAATACAAAAATTAGCCAGGCGTGGTGGAGTGTGCCTATAATCCCAGCTACTCGGGAGGCTGAGGCAGGACAATCAGTTGAACCCGGGAGGTGGAGCTTGCAGTGAGCCGAGATGGCGCCACTGCACTCCAGCCTGGACGACAGAGCGAGACTCCGTCTCAAAAAAAAAAAAAAAAAAGAAAAGAAAAGAAAGAGTTGCTGCCCTGGGGGTTTAGCCCGTTCTTGGCTCGAGCTGTATCCACAAACCAGGAAAACACATCCTCTGCGGCACACCAGGAAGCTCAGATGACAAAGCAGTGGAAGGAAGTATAATTACAATGATGAAATCAACACACGGAAATTCCTAAGTGGCTGCAGTTACCGTAACAAGGGGGTACAGGACCTCAGCCTCCTGCACTGGAACTTTCTGCCGCATCCCAGAAAGGCTGGCTCTCCTACACTGTGCTCTGGGGTGGCAGCTGTCTTTTCTGGTTTTTTGTTTTGTTTTGTTTTGTTTTTTCTGAGATGGAGTCTCACTCTTGTTGTCCAGGCCGGAGTGCAGTGGCGCGATCTTGGTTCACTGCAACCTCCACCTCCCACGTTCAAGCGATTCTCCTGCCTCAGCCTCCCCAGTAGATGGGATTACCGGTGTCCGCCACCACACCCAGCTAATTTTTCTATTTTTAGTAGAGATGGTGTTTCACCATGTTGGTCAGGCTGGTCTCGAACTCCTGACCTCATGATCCACCCGCCTTGGCCTCCCAAAGTGCTGGGATGACAGGCGTGAGCCACCGCGCCCGGCCTAACATCTTTTAAAGAACCAAATGGCGTTAGCGTCAGTGGACCTTGCTTGTCTCCAAATTATAAATGGAAGGGGTGAGCCTGGAAAAAGCTGAGCCCCTTGAGGCTGGGGACGGGACTGAGGGCAGCAGGGAAAAGGTAAAATGAGGTTCCAGAGGCCTCGGAGCCCCTTCCTGCCTGGGCAGAGGGACCGCAGCCCACCTCCAAGGCAACAGGCAATCTCTAGAGTCTCCTTTCGGACAGAGCCTGTGTTCAGCTCATGGGCTCACCACACACAGTCACACTTGCCTGTAGGGGCTGTGGTCCAGGAAGATGCCTGAGTCAGAACGTTGGGAAATCTGTGCTCTTAACATTTATTGATTAATATTTTCATTGGCCAGGCGCGGTGGCTCACGCCTATAATCCCAGCACTTTGGGAGGCTGAGGGGGGTGGATTGCTTGAGGTCAGGAGTTCGAGACCAGCCTGACCAACATACAAAACATACTAAACATACAAAATCTCTACTACTCTACTAAACATACAAAGTCTCTACTAAACATACAAAAATTAGCCAGGCGTAGTTGCGGGTGCCTGTAGTCCCAGCTACTCAGGAGGCTGAGGCAGGAGAATTGCTTGAACCCGGGAGGTGGAGGTTGCAGTGAGCTGAGATCGCGCCACTGCACTCCAGCCTGGGCGACAGAGCGAGACTCTGTCTCAAAAAAAACCACCACTTCTATCTTCTAGAACATTGTCACGACCCCAAAAGGAGACTCCAGACCCATTAAAGACCCGTCCTTCCTCTTCCCCAGCCTGTGGCAACCACTCATCCACTTTCTGTCTCTGTGGATTTGCCTGTATCTGGACATAGGGAATAAATGGAATCATACAGACACTATGTATCTTTTTGTATCTGGCCTCTCTCAGGAAGCATGATGTCCTCAGCATTCACCCACATTGCCACCTGTGGCAGAGCCTCGTTCCTTTTCATGGCTGTGTAATATTCCACCGTGTGGCTGGACCACATTATATTTCTCCATTCATCTATAGATGGGTATGAGGACTCTCTCCACCTCTTGGCTAGTGTGAATAAAGCTGCTTATTCCTTTTCATGGCTGTGTAATATTCCACCGTGTGGCTGGACCACATTATATTTCTCCATTCATCTATAGATGGGGTATGAGGGCTGTCTCCACCTCTTGGCTATTGTGAATAAAGCTGCTTGTTCCTTTTCATGGCTGTGTAATATTCCACTGTGTGGATGGACATTATATTTTTCCATTCATCTATAGATGGGTATGAGGGCTGTCTCCACCTCTTGGCTATTGTGAATAAAGCTGCTTGTTCCTTTTCATGGCTGTGTAATATTCCACTGTGTGGATGGACATTATATTTCTCCCTTCATCTATAGATGGGGGTATGAGGGCTGTCTCCACCTCTTGGCTATTGTGAATAAAGCTGCTTGTTCCTTTTCATGGCTGTATAATATTCCACTGTGTGTCTGGACCACATTATATTTCTCCATTCATCTATAGATGGGTACGAGGGCTGTCTCCACCTCTTGGCTATTGTGAATAAAGCTGCTTGTTCCTTTTCATGGCTGTATAATATTCCACTGTGTGGCTGGACCACATTATATTTCTCCATTCATCTATAGATGGGTATGAGGGCTGTCTCCACCTCTTGGCTATTGTGAATAAAGCTGCTTGTTCCTTTTCATGGCTGTGTAATATTCCACTGTGTGGCTGGACCACATTATATTTATCCATTCGTCTATAGATGGGTATGAGGGCTGTCTCCACCTCTTGGCTATTGTGAATAAAGCTGCTTGTTCCTTTTCATGGCTGTGTAATATTCCACCGTGTGGCTGGACCACATTATATTTATCCATTCGTCTATAGATGGGTATGAGGGCTGTCTCCACCTCTTGGCTATTGTGAATAAAGCTGCTTGTTCCTTTTCATGGCTGCGTAATATTCCACTGTGTGGATGGACATTATATTTTTCCATTCATCTATAGATGGGTACGAGGGCTGTCTCCACCTCTTGGCTACTGTGAATAAAGCTGCTAGGAGGGACCTGAGGTTTCACCAGCCATCTGGAACATTCTGAGTCCCGCCAGCCTTTGAAAACCACTGAGAAACACTACAAGCAGGCTGGGGTCCCAGCCCCAAAAGCGGCTCCCCGGCTGGCAGTCAGCTCGCCCTGGGCGTGAGCTCATTGACTAACTGAACCAGCGCTTTCTAATAAACAGAGAACTCTAGCCATGTGTAGGTGTGTACATTTTCTAGCAAGCACACAGAAAAAGCAGAAAGCACTGTCAAATTACTCCTAATGCTATCACCTTTATAAACCCAAGGCATCTAACATGCTATGATGGCTTCAGCGTCCGATCCACTTACAAAAGGGTGAATGAGATCGCAAACATACTTCTCTGGTACCGGGTCATTCTATGTGTGGTGTGGTGCCCACACGGACAGCAGGTCTCAGCAGAAACCTGTTACATGCCAATGCCCCGTGTCTGCCAGCTTGGATTTGGGAACCCACAGTCCACCGCCTCCCCTGCCTGCCCTCTTTTTCCCTCATCCCACCCTGGAGGGGGGACCTTACCTTAAATGGAGATCAAAGTACTGTGTGGAAGAAACAGCCTTCGTGGTTCCAGTTGAGAAGATCTGGGGTGTCCTGATCCTAGGATGTTTCTGATATCTTCCCGTGTGCGCTGAAAGCAGCTTTCCCCGAAGAGAAACCGAAGGTTGTACTCCCCGATTGAGCTGTTTTATAACCTCCAGCTGGGGCCCCACCCCTGAAACTCAGACCCAATAAGGATCTGGCAGTGGGGAGGGGTGGGGGCTGTCAGAGACCCCCTTCTCTCCCACGGGCTGGGATCCTGGGGTCAGCAGCTTCGTAACCATGAACCTGACTTTCCTTGAAAGAAAGACTCTTTCTTTGAAAATTATCATGTTCCCGTTCTCATTTTTTTTTTTTTCTGCAAGTGTTTCTGTTTGCTATAATTAGAATTCTTGCTGGCTATACAGGCAGGGTTGGGCAACTTCCTGACATAGTAAATTCAGCCTTGGAGGCGTGAACGCTGGTGTCCAGGGGCTCCTGCCTGTGTTTCCTCCCTGTCTCGTGGGAAACAGCACCCAGACAGGGAGGTGGCCCCCGGTCTCAGATGACAGATCTTATTAAAGATATGTTAGTGGCCGGGTGCGGTGGCTCACGCCTGTCATCCCAGCACTTTGGGAGGCCGAGGCGGGCAGATCACTTGAGGTCAAGAGATTGAGACCAGCCTGGCCAACATGGTGAAACCCCGTCTCTATTAAAAATACAAAAATTAGCCCAGCGTGGTGGTGAGCACCTGTAATCCCAGCTACTCGGGAGGCTGAGACAGGAGAATCGCTTGAACCTGGGAGGCGGAGGAGGTTACAGTGAACCGAGATCGCGCCACTGCACTCCAGCCTGGGCGACAGAGCAAGACTCGGTCTCAAAAAAAAAAAAAAGATATCTTAGTGGTCAGGGGTGGTGGCTCACACCTGTCATCCCAGCACTTTGGGAGGCCGATGAGGGCGGATCACCTGAGGTCAGGAGTTTGAGACCATCTGGCCAACATGGTGGAAGCCCGTCTCTAGTAAAAATTTAAAAATTAGCCAGGCGTGGTGGCAGGTGCCTGTAATCCCAGCTTCTCTGGAGGCTGAGGCAGGAGAATAGTTTGAACCTGGGAGAGAGGTTACAGTGAGCCAGGATGGCGCCAGTGCCCTCCAGCCTGGGTGATAGAGCAAGACTCCGTCTCAAAAAAAAAAAAAAAAAGATATCTTAGTGGTCAGGTGCGGTGGTTCACACCTGTCATCCCAGCACTTTGGGAGGCCGAGGAGGGTGGATCACCCTGAGGTCAGGAGTTCGAGACCATTCTGACCAACATGGTGAAACCCCGTCTCTAGTAAAAAGAAAAAAGTTAGCCAGGCGTGGTGGTGGGTGCCTATAATCCCAGCTTCTCCGGAGGCTGAGGCAGGAGAATCATTTGAACCTGGGAGGCGGAGGTTACAGTGAGCCAGGATGGCGCCACTGCACTCCAGCCTGGGAAATAGAACGAGACTCCGTCTCAAAAAAAAAAAAAAAAATCTTAGTGGTCAGGCGCGGTGGCTCGCACCTGTCATCCCAGCACTTTGGGAGGCTGAGGCGGGTAGATCACCTGAGGGCAGGAGTTCAAGATCAGCCTGGACAACATGGTGAAACCCCGTCTCTAGTAAAAATTTAAAAATTAGCCAGGCGTGGTGGCAGGTGCCTGTAATCCCAGCTTCTCCCAAGGCTGAGGCAGGAGAATCACTTAAACCCGGCAGGCGGAGGTCACAGTGAGCCGAGATCACACCACTGCACTCCAGCCTGGTGACAAGAGCAAACTCTGTCTCAACAGAAAACAAACAAACAAAAACCCTTAGTAAAGTCCAGCCCTGAATGGGGCACTCACCAACCTGTCCCGGGCTTCTCTTTCCAACGCTGAAATCTGTTATTTCTGTTTACTCAGCACGCGCACTCCCAGACAGCCCTTCCCTTCCCTCTGAATGTATCAACTCTTCTCTGGTTCTCGGCACCCTTCCCAAATTCCACCCCAACCTCAGCCCTTCCCCAGAGCCTCCACCTTGCAGCCCGGCTCCTGTTTTTTTTTTTTTTTTTCTTTGAGACGGAGTCTCGCTTTGCTTGCTCTGTCATCCAGGCTGGAGTGCAATGGTGCGATCTCGGCTCCCTGCAACCTCTGCCCCAGGTTCAAGCGATTCTCCTGCCTCGGCCTCCCAAGTAGCTGGGATTACGGGCACCTGCCACCACGCCCGGCTAATTTTTAAATTTTTACTAGAGACGGGGTTTCACCATGTTGGCCAGATGGTCTCGAACTCCTGACCTCAGGTGATCCACCCTCGTTGGCCTCCCAAAGTGGTGGGATGACAGGCGTGAGCCACCGCACCTGACCACTAAGATATCTTTTTTTTTTTTTTTTTTTTTTTTTTCTGAGATGGAGTCTTGCTCTATCACCCAGGCTGGAGTGCAGTGGCGCGATCTCAGCTCTCCGCAACCTGAGCCTCCCAGGTTCAAGCGATTCTCCTGCCTCAGCCTCCCGAGTAGCTGGGATGACAGGTGCCCGTCACCACACCCAGAAAAGGAAGTTTGAAATGATGGGGTTGTAAATGTGATGTCAACTCATGGCTAACCGCTTCCTTATTTTTTTTTAACTGGATATATTTAACGTACAAACAAGATGTTTTGATACAGAATTAACTCTTAGGCAATGTGCAGGTTACAGACACTGCCACCTCGTGCACTCAAAAATCCAAATACAGGGCGGGGCCCAGTGGCTCACGCCTGTAATCCCAGCTCTGTGGGAGGCCAAGGTGGGTGCATCACCTGAGGTCAGGGGTTCAAGACCAGCCTGACCAACATGGCGAAACTCCATTTCTACTAAAAATACAAAAATGACCCAGGCACGGTGGTACATGCCTGTCATCCCAGCTACTCAGGAGGCTGAGGCAGCAGAATCGCTTGAACCCAGGAGGTGGAGGTTGCAGTGAGCTGAAATCACGCCACTGCACTCCAGCCTGGGCAACAGAGTGAGACTCCATCTGAAAAAAAAAAAAAAATCCAAGTGTGACTTTTAACTCCCCCAAACCGTAACAACTAACAGCCTAGTGTTAACCAGAAGCCTTACTGATAACATAAACAGTTGATTCATACATATTTGTTATGCTCTGTGTATGCTATACTGCATTCTTGCAATTAACTAGGCTACAGAAAAGAATGGTATTAAGAAAACCATGGCGGCAGGCCGGGCGCGGTGCCTCACACCTGTCATCCCAGCACTTTGGGAGGCCGAGGCGGGCAGATCACAATGTCAGGAGTTCAAGACCAGCCTGACCAACATGCTGAAACCCTGCCTCTACTAAAAATTCAAAAATTAGCTGGTTGTGGTGGCACATGCCTGTAATCCCAGCTACTCGGGAGGCTGAGGCAGGAGAATCGCTTGAACCCGGGAGGCGGAGGTTGCAGTGAGCCGAGGTCGCGCCACTGCACTCCAACCTGGGCAACAGAGCAAGAATCCGTCTCAAAAAAAAAAAAAATACAAAAAGTAGCTGGGCATGGTGGCAGGCACCTGTAATACCAGCTACTGAGGAGAATAAGGCAGGAGAACTTCTTGAACCTGGGAGGTGGAGGTTGCAGTGAGCTGAGATTGTGCCACTGCATTCCAGCCTGGGCGACAGAACAAGACTCCATCTCAAAAAAAAAAAAAAATTAATACAAACACCCTGGCATGCTTGGGTCAGTTTTTTTTCCTTGGTAACATCTTACAAAATGAGGGTTGCAATGTTGCAACCTGGAGATTGATACAATCTTACTTGGGTGTTCCCAGTATTACTAAGCATTCAGTTCTAAGTAATTTTATCACATGTGTGGCTCAAGCCTGTCATCCCAGCACTTTGGGAGGCCGAGGTGGGCGTATCACGAGGTCAGAAGATCGAGACCATCCTGGCTAACACGGTGAAACCCTGTCTCTACTAAAAATACAAAAAACAAAAAAAATTAGCTGGGTGTGCTTGTGGGCACCTGTAGTCCCAGCTAGTCAGGAGGCTGGGCCAGGAGAATTTGGCTTGAACCAAGGAGGCGGAGGTTACAGTGAGCCAAGATCATGCCACTGCACTCCAGCCTGGTGACAGAGGAAGACTCTGTCTCAAAAAAAAAAAAAAAAGAAAGAAAGAAAATAGCCCTTTAGATGATCAGTCATTCTCCTATAAAGACACACGCACACGTATGTTTTTGCAGCACTGTTCACAATAGCCAAGACTTGGAACCAACCCAAATGTCCATCAATGATAGACTGGATAAAGAAAATGTGGCACATAGACACCATGGAATACTATGCAGCCATCAAAATGGATAAGATCATGTCCTTTGCAGGGACATGGATGAAGCTGGAAACCATCATTCTCAGCAAACTCACACAGGAACAGAAAAACCAAACACCGCATGTTCTCACTCATAAGTGGGAGTTGAACAATGAGAACACATGGACACAGGGAGGGGAACATCACACACCAGGGCCTGTCGGGGCTTGGGGGACAAGGGCAGTGAGAGCATTAGGACAAATACCTAATGTAGATGACGAGTTGATGGGTGCAGCAAACCACACTGGCACATGTATACCTATGTAACAAACCTGCACATTCTGCACATGTACCCCAGAACTTAAAATAAAATACAAATAGAAATAAAAAACAAAGAAAACAGCCCTTTAAAAACCAACACCTCCCCTCCACCTTGAGTCTGGGGGGATGGGGTCATTTTATTTTATTTTTATTTTTATTTTATTTTTTTAGATGGAGTCTCTCTCTGTCACCCAGGCTGGAGTGCAGTGGTGTGATCTCTGCTCACTGCAACCTCTGCCTCCCAGGTTCAAGAGATTCTCCTGCTTCAGTCTCCCGAGTAGCTGGGATTACAGGCGCCCGCCACCACGCCTGGCTAATTTTTGTATTTTTAGTAGAGACCGGGTTTTGCCATGTTGGCCAGGCTGGTCTCGAACTTCTGACCTCAGGCAATCTGCCGGCCTCCCAAAGTGCTGGGATGACAGGCGTGAGCCACCATGCCTGGTGGGGGCCATTTTATTTATTTATTTACTTACTTATTTACTTATTTATTTATTTATTTTTGAGACAGATTCTTGCTCTCTCGCCCAGGCTGGAGTGCAGTGGCGCGATCTCGGCTCACTGCAACCTCTGCCTCCCAGGGTTCAAGCGATTCTCTTGCCTCGGCCTCCCAAGTAGCTGGGATTACAGGCACCTTGCCATCATGTCCAGCTAATTTTTTTTTTTTTTTTTTTTGAGACGGAGTCTCGCTCTGTCGCCCAGCCTGGAGTGCAGTGGCAAGATCTCGGCTCACTGCAAACTCCGCCTCCCAGATTCAAGTGATTTTCCTGCCTCAGCTTCCGGAGTAGCTGGGACTACAGGCACCTGCCACCACGCCGGGCTAATTTTTGTATTTTTAGTAGAGACAGGGTTTCAGCTTCTTGGTCAGGCTGGTCTCGAACTCCTGACCTCAGGCAATCTGCCGGCCTCCCAAAGTGCTGGGATGACAGGCGTGAGCCACCATGCCTGGTGGGGGCCATTTTATTTATTTACTTACTTATTTACTTATTTATTTATTTATTTTTGAGACAGAGTCTTGCTCTCTCGCCCAGGCTGGAGTGCAGTGGCGCGATCTCGGCTCACTGCAACCTCTGCCTCCCAGGGTTCAAGTGATTCTCCTGCCTCAGCCTCCCGAGTATGGGATTACAGGCAGCTGCCATCATATCCAACTAATTTTTTTTTTTGAGATGGAGTCTTCCTCTGTCACCCAGGCTGGAGTGCAGTGGCAAGATCTCAGCTCACCACAACCTCCGCCTCCCAGCTTCAAGCGATTCTCCTGCCTCAGCCTCCCGAGTAGCTGGGACTACAGGCGCCCGCCACCATGCCCGGCTAATTTTTGTATTTTTAGTAGAGAAGGGGTTTCAGCTTCTTGGTCAGGCTGGTCTTGAACTCCTGACCTCAGGTGATCCATCTGCCTCTGCCTCCCAAAGGGCTGGGATGACAGGCGTGAGCCACGCACCCAGCAGGGGTCATTCTGAAAAACTCCTTGGGCTGGTGGCAGAGGAGGGAGGCAATTGGGAATAGCTTCAGAAGCTTGCGGGAGGGGTGGCGGCCTTGGCAGGACTTGGGCAGGAGGAACAGAAACAAGGAAATGAGAAGGGATGGTGGGTGAGTCTGGGAGATAACACAGATGGGAGACACCCGAAATAGAACCTCCTTAACGCAGCAAGGCGTGCACCTGTGTGTGCAGACCCTCGTATGTGTGCCACCCATGCCAGGAGCACAGCCGACTTTTTCTTTGTTCTTTGAGACGGAGTCTCGCTCTGTCGTCCAGGCTGGAGAGCAGTGGCATAATCTAGGCTCGCTGCAAGCTCCACCTCCCGGGTTCAAGCGATTCTCCTGCCTCAGCTTCCGCAGTAGCTGGGATGACAGGCACCTGCCATCATGTTCAGCTCATATTTTTTTTTTTTTTTTTGATATGGAGTCTTGCTCTGTTGCCCAGGCTGGAGGGTGGTGGTGCGATGTCGCCTCACTGCAAGCTCTTCCTCCTGGGTTCACGCCATTCTCCTGCCTCAGCTTCCCAAGTAGCTGGGATGACAGGCACCTGCCATCATGTCCAGCTAAATTTTTCTCTTTTTTTGGAGACGGAGTCTTGCTCTGTCGCCCAGGCTGGAGTGCAGTGGCGAGATCTCGGCTCACTGCTACCTCTGCCTCCCAGCTACTGGGGAGGCTGAGGCAGGGGAATCACTTGAACCCCGGGAGGCGGAGGTAGCAGTGAGCTGAGATGGTGCCACTGCACTCCAGCCTGGGCAACACAGCAAGACTCCGTCTCAAAAAGAAAAAGAAAAAAATGAGCTGGACATGATGGCAGGTGCCTGTCATCCCAGCTAGGCGGGAGGCTGAGGCATCCCTTGTGAGGATGTTGAGGGGTGCACAGTGGCCAGGTAAGTGGGATGGGACCTGGCTTTGGTTAACCTTCCTCTGGGTTTCCGTCCGCTGCTCTTCCGCAGCCTGGGTGATGGCTGGAGACCTCAGGTCTCCCTCTGGTGACGCAGCCCTCCTGTGTGCCTGCTGGAGCAATCTCGGGCCTTGCCAATCTCCATGCCAGAAGCCGCACCTTGATCACAACATCCTATCCCCCAGTCCTGGAGGTCAGGAGTCTGAGATCAAGATGTCTCAGGGTCGGGCCAGGCGTGATGGCTCACTCCTGTAATCCCAGCACTTTGGGAGGCTGAGGCGGACGGATCATGAGATCAGGAGTTCGAGACCAGACTGGCCAATATGGTGAAACCCCGTGTCTGTTAAAAAATACAAAAATTGTCCAGGCGTGGTGGCGGGTGCCTGTAATCCCAGCTACTGGGGAGGCTGAGGCAGGAGAATGGCTTGAACCCGGGAGGCGGAGGTTGCAGTGAGCTGAGATGGCGCCACTGCACTCCAGCCTGTGTGACAGAGCAAGACTCCGTCTCAAAAAAAAGCAAAAAACAAGAAAACAAAAAAGGTGTCTCAGGGTTGAGCTCCCTCTGGGGGCTCTAGGGGAGGGTCCTTCCTGCCTCTCCCGCCTCCTGGGGGCTCCAGGCATCCCTGGGCTTGTGGCCGCATGACTCCAGTCTCTGCCTCCGTCTCCACGTGGCCTCCTCCTCTCTGTCTGTGTCTCCTTTTCTGTCTCTTAGAAACACACCTGTCATTGCATTTAGGGCCACCCCCCTCCAGAACGATCTCATCTCAAGATCCTTTACTTAACAACATCTACAAAGACCTCTTTGCCATGAAAGAGGGGTCCCAGCATATCCAGCCTGCATTTGCCTGGGATGAATTAAACCAGGAGTAGTCAGTCGGGCACGGAGGCTCAGGCCTGTAATCCCAGCACTTTGGGAGGCTGAGGCGGGTGGATTGACTGAGCTCAGGAGTTCAAGACCAGCCTGGGCAACATGGCGAAACCCTGTCTCTACTAAAATACAAAAAATGAGCCAGGCATGGTGGGGCGCGCCTCTGATCCCAGCTACTCAGGAAGCTGAGACAGGAGAATCGCTTGAACCCGGGAGGCGGAGGTTGCAGTGATCCGAGATCGCGCCACTGCACTCCAGCCTGGGAGACAGAGTGAGACTCTGTTTCAAAAAAAAAAAAAAAAGAAAAAGAAATCTCAGAGACTCAGCCCCACTCCGGGTGACAGAGTGAGACTCCATCTCAAAAAAAAAAGAAATCTCAGAGACTCAGCCCCACTCTGGGTGACAGAGCAAGACTCCATCTCAAAAAAAAAATTGGAAATCTCAGAGACTCAGCCCTACTCTGGGTGACAGAGCGAGACTCCATCTCAAAAAAAAAAAAAATAGAAATCTCAGAGACTCAGCCCCACTCTGGGTGACAGAGCGACACTCCATCTCAAAAAAAAAAAATAAAAAATAGAAATCTCAGAGACTCAGCCCCACTCTGGGTGACAGAGTGAGACTCCATCTCAAAAAAAAAACAAAAAACAAACAAATGTCAAAGACAGCCCCACTCTGGGTGACACAGCGAGACTCCATCTCAAAAAGAAAAAAAAAAAAATAGAAATCTCAGAGACTCAGCCCCACTCTGGGTGACAGAGTGAGACTCCATCTCAAAAAAAAAAAAAAAAAAAAAAACAAATCTCAAAGACTCAGCCCCACTCTGGGTGACACAGTGAGACTCCATCTCAAAAAAAAAAAAAAAAAAAAAAGAAATCTCAGAAACTCAGCCCCCCTTCCCCAGGGATCCCAGGAGTGAGGGGGCTGCAAAGCCTGTGACCGGATGTGTTTTCGCTGGGAAAGTTCGCCAGGAAAGCCCCTCGTCTCAGGGGAATTCCACGGGCAATACTGGGGTCACGGAAACCACTCCTGCCTGGGTTGGACGGTAAAGGCTGCCTGGAGCCAGGAACTAGCCCCACAGGTGCCTGCAAGGACCCTCCTGGGGATGGTGTTGCTGAGACCTTCCGTGACCAGTGGGTCTCTCAGACCACGTGCCCACTCTTTGCTCTTGCCCTGGCTTCTAAGAGGGTGGACGTGCAGGTCTGTCCCGGGGAAATGAGGGATCCTCCAGCCCCCCACCCTCCACCCACCGTGAGGCTGACTCCTGGTTCCCGGCTTCTGCAATGTGGCTGGTTCTGCTACTGCTCAGAGCCCCCCAGGGCAGGGGCCACGGTCTCCGGCAGTTGCAAGACCGACCCACTTCTGTCTGAACGTGAGATACCATCCCCTGGGTTACTGTTAAAAGGGGTCGTGGGGATGAGGGGCTCCAACTGTGCTCATATTTATTTATTTATCTATTTTTTGAGATGGAGCCTCACTCTGTCACCCAGGCTGGAGGGCAGTGGCGTGATCTTGGCTCACTGCAAGCTCTGCCTCCCGGGTTCAAGCGATTCTCCCGCCTCAGCCTCCTGAGTAGCTGGGATGACAGGTGCACACCACCACGCCCAGCTAATTTTTGTATTTTTAGTAGAGACGGGGTTTCACCATGTTGGTCAGGCTGGTCTCGAACTCCTGAACTTGTGATCCGCCTACCTCTGCCTCCCTAAGTGGTGGGATTACAGGCATGAGCCACTGCGCCCAGCCATGCATTGTACCATAGATCTCTTGAATCTATCTATCCTGCAAAACCACCTCCCGGGTTCAAACGATTCTCCTGCCTCGGCCTCCTGAGTAGCTGGGATGACAGGTGCACACCACCACGCCCGGCTAATTTTTGTATTTTTAGTAGAGACGGGGTTTCACCATGTTGGTCTGGCTGGTCTCAAACTCCTGATCTCTGGGGATCCGCCCACCTCGGCCTCACAAAGTGCTGGGATTTCAGGCGTGAGCCACAGTGCCTCGCCTGATATTTTTGTTATTTATTTATTTATCTATTTTTATTTATGTTTTTTTGAGATGGAGTTTTGCTCTTGTTGCCCAGGCTGGAGTGCAGCGGCTCTATGTAGGCTCACCTCAACCTCCACCTTCCTGGTTCAAGCGATTCTCCTGCCTCAGCCTCCTGAGTAGCTGGGATTACAGGCACCCGCCACCACGCCCGGCTAACTATTGTATTTTTAGTAGAGATGGGATGTCACCCTGTTGGCCAGGCTGGTCTCGAACTCCTGACCTCAGGGGATCCACCCGCCTCGGCCTCACGAAGTGCTGGGATTACAGGCGTGAGCCACTGCAACCGGCCTGATATCTTTATTTTTTAAAATTATTATTTTATTTTACTTTATTTTTTTTGAGATGGAGTTTCACTCTTGTTGCCCAGGCTGGAGTGTAGTGGCATGATCTCGGCTCACCTCAACCTCCGCCTCCCGAGTTCAAGCGATTCTCCTGCCTCAGCTTCCCGAGTAGCTGGGATGACAGGTGCGCGCCAACACACCCGGCTAATTTTTGTATTTTTAGTAGAGATGGGGTTTCACCCAGTTGGCCAGGCTGGTCTCGAACTCCTGACCTCAGGTGATCCGCCCGCCTCGGCCTCCCAAAGTGCTGGGATGACAGGTGTGAGCCACTGTGCCCGGTCTGATATCTTTTTTTAAAAAATTTAATTTAATTTAATTTAATTTTATTATTTTTGAGATGGAGTTTCACTCTTGTCACCCAGGCTGGAGTGCAATGGCACGATCTCAGCTCACCTCAACCTCTGCCTCCCAGGTTCAAGCGATTCTCCTGCCTCAGCCTCCCATGTAGCTGGGATTGCAGGCCACCATGCCCAACTAATTTTTATTATTATTATTCTTTTTAGTAGAGACGGGGTTTCGCCATGTTGGCCAGGCTGTTCTCGAACTCCTGACCTCAGGTGATCCGCCCGCCTCGGCCTCCCAAAGTGCTGGGGTGACAGGCGTGAGCCACCGCGCCCGGCCTGATATTTTTTCTATAACTCCATCCTGCTCACTCAGAAGTTTCTCCACAGCTGAGCTCATCCGTAGAGCCACAGCCAGAGTGTCCCAGAGAAACCTTGTTTTGTGATCAGAGGTTCTGAAAACCAAAGCTACCGTCACCGACGGTAATGTGGGCACCGCCTGAGTCACTCAGGGGCTATCGCAGGTGGCACCTTGACTGGTTGGCTGGGGACACGGGGCTTATCTTGGTCACCGGCTCCTGGGGGGCAGGTGGTCACAGAGAGAGCAAATCATCTCTCTTTCACTGGGCAAGTGTCAACTCAGTCTGTCAACACAAAGGAAATCTTTCGAAAGATGCTGGCTGTCAGCACCTGTTCATCGCTCCCCCTGCCTGAACCCAAAGACGTGGATGAAGTTTTGAAATTAAAATCTGTCCGATCAGGAGCCACGGCCTCTTAGGACATGTGTTATTTCTTCATTGTTTTGACCCAAGGTCGGGGTCAGGGTGTTTCTAATTCCCGCGGGAATCTCCTGGCTGGTGTGTGTCTTCAGCACCCACCGCAGGCATTTTTACTTTTCCTTCATAGCACATTTGAGGCATCTGGCCTGGCGAGATTCCCCTGCCTCGCCTTCCCCTCCGCTCCCCTTCCCTCTCCTCCCCACCTCCCTCTCTCCCCTCCCCTCCTCCCCCCCTCCTTCCCGCCTCCCCTCCCCTCTCCTCCTTCCTCCCTCCCCTCCCCTCTCCTTTCCTTTCCTTTCCTTTTTTTATTTGGAGACAGAGTCCGCAGGCTGGAGTGCAGTGGTGCAATCTTGGCTCACTGCAACCTCCATCTCCTGGGTTCAAGCAATTCTCCTGCCTCAGCCTCCCCAGTAGGTGGAACTACAGGTGCCCGCCACCACGCCCGGCTAATTTTTTTGTGTATTTTAGTAGAGACGGGGGTTTCAACACGTTGGCCAGGCTGGTCTCGATCTCCCGACCTCTTGATCCGCCCGTCTCGGCCTCCCAAAGTGCTGGGATGACAGGCGTGAGCCACGGCGCAAAGTATGTTTTGTTTTCAACTCAGGACGGGGCACCAGGTACACCTCTCTGGAAAACCTTTAAAAGAAGAGAGAACCTGGTGTCGGTGGCCAGTTTGGGGCACAGACAGCTGAGTTGTGACCTGAGGGAGGAGGCGGAGAAACCCAACCGTCCTGTGATCGCTGAGTACCCAGTTCTTGGACACAGGGCTCTGACAAGGAGGTCAGACTTTCCTGCCTTTCTTTCCCTCAGGGGTCCTCAGAGTCTGCACCTCCGGGTGAGGACAGCAAAGGGCTTCATGGGTGTAAGCTGCTGACAGCTTTCCCTGCGTGCGTCCACATCTTGCGTGGTCCCGACTCAGACAGGCCTTTGTTAGGTGGCAACGAGAGTGCTTCTTGGTCATGCCCAAGCGGCCCTGCTGGGCAAAAGCAACCTCTCCATCCACAGTGGGGCCAAAGCACTTATGTCCTTTTTCTTTTTTCTTTCTTTCCTTTCTTGCTTTTCTTTCTCTCTTTCTCTTTCTTTCTTTCCTTCCTTCCTTCTTTTCTTTCCTTTCTTTCCCTTCCTCCCTCCCTCCCTCCCTTCCTTCTTTCCCTCCTCCTTCCCTCCCCTCCCTCCCTCCCTGCTTGCTTGCTTGCCCTTTCTCTTTCTTTTTCTTTCTTTTTTCTCTCTCTCTTCTTTCTTTTTCTTTCCTTTCTTTTCCTTTTTCCTTCCTTCCTTCTTTCTTTCTCTTTCTTTCCTTTCTCTTTTTCCTTCCTTCCTTCCTTCCTTTTTCTTAGAGACAGGATCTTGCTATGTGGCCCAGGCTGGCCTCTAACTCCTGACCTCAAGTGATCCTCCAGCCTCTACCTCCCAAAGTGCTGGGATTACAGGCGTGAATCACCCCTCCTGGCCTCTGTTTTGTTTTTGTTTTTGTTTTTAAAGGCAGAGTTACACTCTGTCACCCAGGCTGGAGTGCAGCGGCGTGATCTTAGCTTACTGCAACCTCCACCTCACAGACTCAAGTGATCCTCCCACCTCAGCCTCCCCAGTAGCTAGGGCAACAGGAACATGCTACCATGTCCAGCTAAATTTTTGCATTTTTTTTTTTTTGAGACGGAGTCTCACACCATTGTCCAGGCTGGAATGCAGTGGGGTGATCTTGGCTCACCACAACCTCGGCCTCCCGGGTTCACGCCATTCTCCTGCCTCAGCCTCCCGAGTAGCTGGGACTACAGGCGCCCACCACCACGCCCGGCTAATTTTTTGTATTTTTATTAGAGACGGGGTTTCACCGTGTTAGCCAGGATGGTTTCGATCTCCTGACCTCATGATCTGCCCGCCTCTGCCTCCCAAAGTGCTGGGATTACAGGCGTGAGCCACTGCGCCCAGCCTGCATTTTTTTTAAGAGATGGGGGTCTCACTATGTTGCCCAGGCTAGCCTCAAACTGCTGGATTCAAGAGATCTTGCTGCCTCAGCCTCCCAAAGTGCTGGGATTGTAGGTGTGAGCCACCACACCCAGCCCAGACAGCTTCTAAAGCTCTTCCCACTTCTCGAGGTGCGGTCCATGGAAGCATCACTAGCACCACCTGAGAGCTGCTGGGAGGTCCTTGTGGCCACCACCCAGATGTGAGAATCCGGTCGCCTGAAGGTGGGGGACATTGCTGCCCTCTAGTGACTGACGACATGCTCCTCTCTGCAGCCATCCCTGCCAGTCCCGACTAGTAACTATGGACGTTTAATAACAGGAACTGGGGCCAGGTGCGGTGGCTCACCCTGAGACGGGGTTTCACCATGTTGGCCAGGCCGGTCTTGAACTCCCGACCTCAGGTGATCCGCCCGCCTCGGCCTCCCAAAGTGCTGAAATTACAGGCGTGAGCCACCGCTCCCGGTTCATCTTCAGATTCTTTACTTCATTACATCTGCAAAGACCATTTTATATTTTATTTTATTTTATTTTATTTTATAATTGTAATGTATTGTATTGTATTTTTTTTGAGACGGAATCTCGCTCTGTCGCTCAGGCTGGAGTGCGGTGGCGCGATCTCGGCTCACTGCAACCTCCACCTCCCGGGTTCACGCCATTCTCCTGCCTCAGCCTCCCGAGTAGCTGGGACCACAGGCGCCCGCCACCACGCCCGGCTAATTTTTTGTATTTTTAGTAGAGATGAGGTTTCACCGTGTCAGCCAGGATGGTCTCGATCTCCTGACCTCGTGATCTGCCTGTCTTGGCCTCCCAAAGTGCTGGGATTACAGGCGTGAGCCACCGCGCCCGGCCAATCTTCAGATTCTTTCCTTCATCACATCTGCAAAGACCTTATTTTGAAATAATGTCCCATTCTGAGGTTAACGTGGACATAAATGTTAAGGGTCACTGTTCAACGCACTACAATTTTTGACCTGAAAATCTCTCAGTGGGCAGCTTTGGAGGAAGGACGTCGCTCTGTCCATTGTGTGATTGTTGAGTAGCTGAGCCAGGGGCGTTCAGGAGAACCGTGGCTCCTCCGAGAGCTGCCGCGTGACCACAAAGGGTTCAGTGGGGCCCCACAGCTAAACAGTTCCATGAAATGAGCACTGAACTTGGAGGTGACTCATGGCCCAATCACAGGATGTCATTGAGAAAGAAAAAGATACTTACAGGGTCTTTCTCTGGAGAGCTACCTTTCAAAAAAAAAAAAAAAAAAAACAAACACACACAGTTAAGATGGTAAGTGGGCCAGGTGTGCTGACTGATGCCTGTAATCCCAGCACTTTGGGAGGCTGAGGTGGACGGATCACGAGGTCAGGAGATCGAGAGCATCCTGGCTAACACGGTGAAAGTCCGTCTCTACTAAAAATACAAAAAAAAAAAAAATAGCCGGGTGACGTGGCGGGCACCTGTCGTCCCAGCTACTCGGGAGGCTGAGACAGGAGAATCACTTGAACCTGGGAGGTGGAGGTTGCGTTGACCAGAGATTGCGCCATTGCACTCCAGCCTGGGTAACAGAGTGAGACACTGTCTCAAAAATAAATAAATAAATAAATAATAGGATGTTATTATATTGCCCAGGCTGGTCCTGAAATCCTGGGATCAAGCAATGCTCCTGCCTCAGCCTCCAAAAGTTCTGGGATTACAGGCATGAGCCACCATGCCGGGGTAATTTTGTATTTTTAGTGGAAAAGGGGTTTCACCACGTTGGTCAGGCTGGTCTCGAACTCCCGACCTCATGATGCGATCCACCCACACCTCGGCCTCCCAAAGTGATGCAATTTACAGGCATGAGCCACCGCACCCGGCTGATACTTGGGGCAAGTTTGTGGCCATTCAGAGGCATCATAAGCAGTGTGGCAAAAAAATCTGAGTTGCCTGATGTGGACGTTCTCAGCTACGCTGAAGAAGCGGGGTTCTGCCTTTTTGTGACAGTGCCTACAATACACAATGGTCTTCTTTTTGCAGTCCGTTTAGCTCCACGTTGCTCGCATTTTAAGATTTCGCTTGGTGATGGTCACTGTTTAAGTTAACCCCCAAGCGTGTACTGAAATGCTGTCTGCGTTTCTTTTTTTTTTTTTTTGAGATGGAGTCTCGCTCTGTCCCCCAGGCTGGAGTGCAGTGGCACGACCTCAGCCAACCGCAACCTCTGCCTCCTGGGTTTTTATTTTATTTATTTATTTATTTTTGAGATGGAGTCTCACTCTGTCACCCAGGCTGGAGTGCAGTGGCACGATCTCGGCTCACTGCAAGCTCCGCCTCCCGGGTTCACGCCATTCACCTGCCTCAGCCTCCCGAGTAGCTGGGACTACAGGAGCTTGCCACGTCGCCCGGCTAATTTTTTGTATTTTTAGTGGAGAAAGGGTTTCATTGTGTTAGCCAGGATGGTCTCGATCTCCTGACCTCGTGATCCACCCGCCTCGGCCTCCCAAAGTGTTGGGATGACAGGCGTGAGCCACCGTGCCCGGCCTCTGTCTGCACTTCTTAAAAGGGACTAGAATGGGTCAATCCAAAATATGCCAAGTTGGGGCTGAGCCTATAATCTCAGCACTTTGGGAGGCCGAGGAGGGTGGGTCACCTGTGGTCAGGAGTTCAAGACCAGCCTGACTGACATGGTGAAACCCCATGTCTGCTAAGAAAAATTACAAAAATTAGCTAGACGTGGTGGCGTCTGCCTGTAATCCCAGCTCCTTGGGAGGCTGAGGCACGAGAGTCACTTGAACCTGGGAGGTGGAGGTTGCAGTGAGCTGAGATCGCGCCACTGTACTCGAACTTGGGTGACAGAGTGAGACTCTGTCTCAAAACAAACAAACAAAAAAAAACAGAGATCATAAGGTTGACAAAACAGGCTGGGTGCAGTGGCTCATGCCTGTAATCCCAGCACTTTGGGAGGCTGAGGCGGGCGGATCACAAGGTCAGGGGATCGAGACCATCCTGGCCAACATGGCGAAACCCCGTCTCTACTAAAATACAAAAAAAAAAAAAAAAAAAAATTAGCTGGGCATGATGGTGGGCGCCTGTAGTCCCAGCTACTCAGGAGGCTGAGGCAGGGGAATCGCTTGAACCCTGGAGGCAGAGGTTGCAGTGAGCCAAGACCACGCCATGGCACTCCGGCCTGGGTGACAGAGTAACACTCCGTCTCGGAAAAAAAAAAAAAAGCCACATTGGCATATAAATTCTTCTGAACTGAGGCATTTGAGAATCAACAGATCTAGAAAGAAACTTCTTGGAGCTTCCCTTTTCTGACTAAAAGCAAAAACCTCTGAAAAATGATGAGTGTTGTAAATTCTCTCTCTGGGGAAGTTTTGTGACCACAAAGAAGACAGCATTAGCCGGGTGCAATGGCTCACGCCTGTCATTCCAGCATTTTGGGAGGCCGAGGCGGGTGGATCACCTGAGGTCAGGAGTTCGAGACCAGCCTGACCAACATGCTGAAACTCCATCTCTAATAAAAATACAAACAGGCCGGGCGCAGTGGCTCATGCCTGTAATCCCAGCACTTTGGGAGGCCGAGGCAGGTGGATGACGAGGTCAGGAGATCGAGACCATCCTGGCTAACATGGTGAAATCCCGTCTGTACTAAAAATGCAAAAAATTAGCCAGGCGTGGTGGCGGGCACCTGTAGTCCCAGCTACTCGGAAGGCTGAGGCAAGAGAATGGCGTGAACCCAGGAGGCAGAGCTTGCAGTGAGCCGAGATCGTGCCACTGCACTCTGGCCTGGGGGACAGAGCGAGACTCCATCTCAAAACAAACAAACAAACAAACAAACAAACAAATTAGCCAGGCGTGGTGGCACGTGCCTGTAATCCCAGCTACTCGGGAGGGTGAGGTAGGAGAATCGCTTGAACCTGGGAGGCAGAGGTTGCAATGAGCCAAGATTTTGCCCCTGCACTCCAGCCTGGGCGACAGAGTGAGACTCTGTCTAAAAAAAAAAAAAAAAAAACAGCAAAGGCGTGAAGAATGGCTGTAATTCCAGAACTTTGGGAGGCTGAGGCAGGAGGATCACTGGAGCCTAGCAGTCAAGACCAGTCTGGGTAACATAGTGAGATTCCATCTCTACAAAAAACTTGGGCTAGGCATGGTGGCTCATGCCTGTAGACCCATCACTTTGGGAGGCCGAGGAGGGTGGATCGCTTGAGGCCAGAAGTTGGAGACCAGCCTGGGCAACATAGTGAGACCCCGTCTGTACTAAAAATACAAAAATTAGCCGGGTGTGGTGACGTTCAGCTGTGGTCCCAGCTACTTCAGGAGACTGAGAGAGGAGGATCGCTAAGCCGGGGAGTCTGAGGCTACAGTGAGCCATGATCGTGCACTCCAGCCTGGGCAAAGGAGCAAGATGCTGTCTCAAAAATTTAAAAAGGAGGCCGGGCATGGTGGCTCATGTCTACAATCCCAGCACTTTGGGAGGCCGAGCCGGGTGGATCACCTGAGGCCAGGAGTTCAACACCAGCCTGGCCAACATGGTGAAACCCTGTCTTTACTAAAAATACAAAAATTAGCCAGGCGTGGTGGCGGGCACCTGTAATCCCAGCTACTAGGGAGGCTGAGGCAGGAGAATCGCTTGAACCCGGGAGGCGGAGGTTGTAGTGAGCCGAGATCATGCCACTGTACTCCAGCCTGGGTGACAGACCAAGACTCAGTCTCAAAAAATAAATAAAATAAAATAAAATAAAATAAATAAAGGATCATCATCACCAGGGGGCGAAAGGAAGCTTTGCAATTTTCTTTCTTTTTTTTTTTTGAGATGGAGTCTTGCTCTGTAACCCAGGCTGGAGTGCAGTGGCACGATCTCGGCTCACTGCAAGCTCCGCCTCCCGGGTTCACACCATTCTCCTGCCTCAGCCTCCCGAGTAGCTGGGATTACAGGTGCCCGCCACCATGCCAGGCTCATTTTTTGTACTTTTAGTAGAGATGGGGTTTCACCGTGTTAGCCAGGAGGGTCTCGATCTCCTGACCTTGTGATCTGCCTGCCTCGGCCTCCCAAAGTGTTGGGATTACAGGCGTGAGCCACCGCGCCCGGTCAGCTTTGCAATTGTCTTCCCAGACATCTGCAAACCTCTCCAAAGTCTTTTCTATCCTTTCTCTCAGGAGGGGCTATCGGCGGCTCAGGGGGAGTGGGGCAAAGTCCAACGGCCTGGGGGTAAGAGGAGAAGGTGCAACCACCCTTTGGCCAGTGGAGACAAAAGTTCAGCTTCGGCCTGGCGCAGTGGCTCACGCCTGTAATCCCAGCACTTTGGGAGGCCGAGGTGGGCGGATCACGTGAGGTAGAAAGTTCAAGACCAGCCTGGCCAACATGGTGAAACCCCGTCTCTATTAAAAATACAAAATTAGCTGGGTGTGGTGGCGTATGCCTGTAATCCCAGCTACTTGGGAGGCTGAGGCAGGAGAATCACTTGAACCCGGGAAGCAGAGGTAGCAGTGAGCCAAGATCACGCCATTGCACTCCAACCTGGGCAACTAGAATGAAACTCTGTCTCAAAAAAAAAAGTTAAAAAAAAAAAATTAGCCGGGCGTGGTGGCGGGTGCCTGTAGTCCCAGCTACTCGGGAGGCTGAGACAGGAGAATCGCTTGAACCCGGGAAGTGGAGGTTGCAGTGAGCCGAGATCGCTCCACTGCACTCCAGCCTGGGTGACACAGTGAGACTCTGTCTCACAAAAAAAAGAAAAAAAAAGAAAAGAAAAAAATTAGCCAGTCATGGTTGTGCATGCCTGTCATCCAAGCTACTAAGGAGGCCGAGGTGGGAGGATTGTTTAAGCCTGGGATGTTGAGGCTGCCGTGAGCCAAGAGTCGCCACTGCACTCCAGCCTGGGCAAAGGATCTTCCTAGCAATCTCTTACTTTCCCTCAATAGAATTCCTCTTTTCCCACTCCAGGAGAGAAGATCCAAGCCCCATTAGAATTTCTCTTCTTCCTCTTCTTCCACTCCAAAAGCTTGTACCTCCCTGGGAGCGTGGGTCTTCATTCTGAAGGCTTCTGTGCGTGCACGTTACAGAAATTTGCACGTTACAGAAATGGTGACCTGAGATGATACCATTGCACTCCAGCCTGGGTGACAAGAGCAAGACTCCGTCTCAAAAAAAAAAAATAAAATAAAATAAAAATAAAAAAAGCTGGGCGTGGTGGCTCACGCCTGCAACCCCAGGACTTTGGGAGGCCGAGGCGGGCAGATCACCTGAGGTCAGGAGTTCGAGACCAGCCTGACTGATGTGGAGAAAGCCCGTCTCTACTAAAAATACACAATTAGCCGGGCGTGGTGGTGCATGCCTGTCATCCCAGCTACTCGGGAGGCTGAGGCGGGAGAATCGCTGGAACCCGGGAGGCGGAGGTTGTGGTGACCTGAGATTGTACCACTGCACTCCAGCCTGGGCGACAAGAACAAGACTCTGTCTCAAAAAAAAAAAAAAAAAAAAAAGCTGAGCGTGGTGGCTCACGCCTGTCATCCCAGCACTTTGGGAGGCCGAGGCAGGCAGATCATAAGGTCAGGAGTTCGAGACCATCCTGGCTAACATGGTGAAACCTCGTCTCTACTAAAAATGCAAAAAAAATTAGCCGGGCATGGTGGTGGGCACCTGTAGTCCCAGCTACTCGGGAGGCTGAGGCAGGAGAATGGCGTGAACCCGGGAAGCGGAGCTTGCAGTGAGCCGAGATCGCGCCACTGCACTCCAGCCTGGGCGACAGAGTGAGAGTCCGTCTCAATAAAAAAAGAAAGAAAGAAAATATGCATGTCTTGTTTCTTAGTAATCTATCTAGTTCATTGTTAGTGATTATTCAGCAAACCGTTAGGGGGGCAAGCGTGTTGGCCCCACGCCCTCAACGCCTCTGTGTCTGGGGCGTCGGCTGCTGGTTTTGTGTCCACACAGGAAGACAGAATTAGGGAACTTGCTCCCCACGGCATGACTCAACAGGATGAGAGACGCAGGCACGGATGTAGGAGGTGGTGGTGCTGTTGATCTCATTCAGGAGAACCCAGGCGTTGGGGAGCCCCATGACGCCGGTGTTCCCTCCCGCGTGGATGGGCAGGGGCTGAACGTGAGTCTCCATGGCTCTTCCCGGGCCAAGCCCATCTCCAGGACATACCTTTCTCCTGTCGCTTGTTAGACGCTGTGCACTGAAGACCTAGCCTTACCCAAAGGGAAGTCTTGCCTTGGGTCTTGGCTGGAGGGTGGTGATACCTCAGGTCCTGGAATGGCCCCTGGTAGTATCTTTGCTGGCCTGGGGGCTTTGGATGGTTCACCGTCTAACAATGTGATTTAAGGTGAGGGTCTTGGAACAAGTGAGATCAGTTCCAACTTCCAGGAGGGAGCCTGAGAAATAGCAGATAGATCCCAACTACCTCTCTGTCTGTCTGTCTGTCTATCTATCTATCTATCTATCTATCTATCTATCTATCTATCTATCATCTATCTAATCTATCATCTGTCATCTATCATCTATCTATCTACCTATGTATCTATGTATCTGTCTATGTGTCTATCTATCCATCTGTCTAGCTCTTCTATCATCTATCTAATCTATCATCTATCTATGTATCTGTCTATGTATCTATGTATCTATGTGTCTATCTATCCATTTATCTATTCTATCTATCTATCTATCTATTGATCTATCTATCTGTCTATTGGTCTATCTATGTATCTATCTATATATCTATCTATCTGTCTATCCATCTATCATCTATTTTCTATCAATCATCTATTTATCTATCATCTATCATTTATTATCTATCATCCATCTATCATCAATCTATCCATCATCTATTATCCATCTAGAGTCTATCTATCTGTCATCTATCCATTCATCCATCTATCTATCCATCTATTTATCCATTCATCTATCTAATCTATCTATCTATCTATCTATCTATCTATCTATCTATCTATCTATCTATTATCTATTTTATCTATTTTCTATCTATCTATCTATGTCTATCATCTATCTAAAATTCATCCATTATGGCTGGGCAAGGTGGCTCACGCCTGTAATCCCAGCATTTTGGGAGGCTGAGGCGGGCAGATCACTTGAGGTCAGGAGTTCGAGACCAGCCTGGCCAACATGGTGAAATCCTGTCTCTACAAAAAATATAAAAAATTGGCTGGGGGTGGTGGTGCACACGTGTAATCTCAGCTACTCAAGAGGCTGAGGCAGGAGAATCACTTGAACCTGGGAGGCGGAGGTTGTAGTGAGCTGAGATCGCGCCACTGCACTCCAGCCTGGGTGACAGAATGAGACTCTGTCTCTTAAAACAAAATAAAATAAAATAAAATTCATCTATCATCTATCTATCAAATATCTATCAGTCAATCATGTATCTAGCTATTATCTGTTACCTATACATCTATTCATCTATCATATATATTTTTCATCTGTCATCTATCAATCATCTATCTGTCTTCTATATATATCATCTATTTTTTAAATTTCTTTTGAGACCCATTTTCACCACACCTGTCCTCATCATAGAATCTGTCTCCCCTCCCTCTCTTTTCTCCACCTGCACAACCCTGATCTCACGCAGGTGACCGATGACCCTCCCCCCCACAGTGTGACTCCCACCTGCATGCATCTTATAAACAGTCTTCTCCAGTTTAGGCATGCAAAGGATTGAATGTCTGCATTGCTCTTCCTTTGGTGCAGTGTGGTTGGGCAGGTGCAGTGGGGTTGGGCAGGTGCAGTGCGATTGGGCAGGCACAGTGGGGTTGGGCAGGCACAGAGGGGTTGGGCAAGTGCAGTGCGGTTGGGCAGGTGAAGTGGGGTTGAGCAGGTTCAGTGTGGTTGGGCAGGTGCAGTGCGGTTGGGCAGGTGCAGTGGGATTGGGCAGGTGCAGTGCGGTTGGGCAGGCACAGTGGGGTTGGGCAGGTGCAGTGGGATTGGGCAGGTGCAGTGGGATTGGGCAGGTGCAGTGGGATTGGGCAGGTGCAGTGGGATTGGGCAGGTGCAGTGCGATTGGGCAGGCACAGTGGGGTTGGGCAGGCACAGAGGGGTTGGGCAAGTGCAGTGCAGTTGGGCAGGTGAAGTGGGGTTGAGCAGGTTCAGTGTGGTTGGGCAGGTGCAGTGGGGTTGGGCAGGTGCAGTGGGGTTGGGCAGGTGCAGTGGGATTGGGCAGGTGCAGTGGGATTGGGCAGGTGCAGTGGGATTGGGCAGGTGCAGTGCGGTTGGGCAGGCACAGTGGGGTTGGGTAGGTGCATTGGGGTTGGGCAGGTGCAGTGCAATTGGGCAAGTGCAGTGCGGTTGGGCAGGTGCAGTACGGTTAGGCAGGTGCAGTGTGGTTGGGCAGGCACAGAGTGGTTGGGCAGATGCAGTGGGGTTGGGCAGGCGCAGTGGGGTTGGGCAGGTGCAGTGTGGTTGGGCAGGCACAGAGTGGTTGGGCAGATGCAGTGGGGTTGGGCAGGCGCAGTGGGGTTGGGCAGGTGCAGTGGGGTTGGGCAGGTGCAGTGGGGTTGGGCAGGTGCAGTGCGGTTCTGCAAAAGCTCCCTCTCAGCCAATATTGACAGCCTCTGCCCACCCATTCCTTGGAGAGGGTCCGTAGGTGCCAAAGAACACAGGGGAGGGGCTGATCGCCACAGCCTTCAGGGGCCTCAGTCATCCTAGGCCCTATCTCTGCTGGCTGTTTTTTATTTTTTATTTAATTTTATTTTAATTTAATTTTATTTTATTTATTCATTTATTTTGAGACAGAATCTCGCCCTGTCACCCAGGCCGGAGTGCAATCGCATGATCTGGGCTCACTGCAACCTCTGCCTCCCAGGTTCAAGCGGTTCTCCTGCCTCAGCCTCCTGAGTACAGCAACTGCAATTACAGGTGCCACCACACCCGGCTAAGATTTTGTATCTTTAGCAGAGATGGAGTTTCACCATGTTAGCCAGGCTGGTCTCGGACTCCTGACCTCAGGTGATCTGCCCACCTCGGCCTCCCAAAGTGCTGGGATTACAGGCATGAGCCACTGTGCCTGGCCACAGCTCCTCTCTGTCACCCAGATTGGAGTGCAATGGCGTGATCTTGGCTCACTGCAACCTCCGCCTCCTGGGTTCAAGCGATTCTCCTGCATCAACCTCCCAAGTAGCTGGGATTATAGGTGCCTGCCACCACACCTGGCTTTTTTTTTTGTATTTTTAGTAGAGACGAGATTTTGCCATGTTGGCCAGGCTGGTTTTGAACTCTGACCTCAAATGATCTGCCTGCCTTGGCCTTGCAAAGTGCTGGGATTCCAGGCATGAGCCACTGTGCCTGACCACAGCTCCTCTCTGTCACCCAGATTGGAGTGCAGTGGCGTGATCTTGGCTCACTGCAACCTCTGCCTCCCAGGTTCAAGTGATTCTCCTGCCTCAGCCTCCTGAGTAGCTGGGATTACAGGCGTGTGCCACCACACCCAGCTTTTTTTATTTTTTTTTTTGTATTTGTAGTAGAGACGAGTTTCACCACGTTGGCCAGGCTGGTTTTGAACTCCTGACCTCAAGTGATCCACCTGCCTTGGCCTGGCAAAGCGCTGGGATTATAGGCATGGCTACCACGCCCGGCCTCTGCTGTCTCTTTGACACCGGAGGCCTCTGCTTCTGAGGTAAATAGGGCCTGAGGTCTCTGAAACCCACAGGTTCATACCCAGGAATGTGGTGCTCCCTTGGGGAGGTGGACCTGCTTCCTGGGGCGCCCTGTGGGAGTCTCCTCCTCTCACTTCTTGCAGGCCCAGAGGATTCCACGCTTTTTCTTCCTTGCTGTGTTTTAGACGCTTCTCCCCACCAAGAGCCTGGCTCCATCTCTTCCCCAAGCTTTGACTTGTGAATCAAAAGGTCAGGGGTAGAAGGTTCCGGAAGGCTGCCTCTGCTCCATCGTCAAATCTCCCCTGAAACTCTGAAGCAAGGGGCCGGCTGGGGTTTGCAGGAGGGACGTGGAACACCCACGAGGGAGGAAACAGCTGGCACCTCACCGTCAGATCCATCCCAAGCTCGGCTCTCTCTCGGCTCCAAGTCCTGAAGTCCCCTGTAGGCCCTAGACCACCTGTCAGCCACCATCTCAGTTGATGTTTCGGTATCTGTGGCGATTGAATTACTCACTGATCGTGGGAGGCAAAATAATGTCCCGTAAATATGGCCATGTCCTAATCCCATGTGGGAGACAGAATAATGGCCCCAAAGATGTCCACGTCCTAATCCCATGTGATAGACAGAATAATGTCCCCAAATATGTCCACGTCCTAATTCCATGTGGGAGACAGAATAATGGTCCCAAAGATGTCCACGTCCTAATTCCACGTGGGAGACAGAATAATGGCCCCCAGCATGTTCTTACCTGGATAAGCATGCTGTGGACACATTACAGAATGCTCTCTATGGAAGGAGGACTTTTATTCCAGGGATATTGCCATGGAGAGATGATTCTGGAGTGTCCCCGTGGGCCTGACATGTAATTACAATTGTCCTTATAAGGAACAGGTGTGGTGGTTCACACCTGTAATCCCAGCACTTTGAGAGGTTGAGGCAGGTGGATCACCTGTGGTCAGGTCAACATGGTGAAACCCCATCTCTACTAAAAATACAAAAGTTAGCCAGGTGTGGTGGCAGGTGCCTGTCATCCCAGCTACTCGAGAGGCTGAGGCATGAGAATTGCCTGAACCCGGGAGGTGGAGGTTGTAGCGAGCTGAGATCGTGCCACTGCACTCCAGCCTGAATGACAGAGCGAGACTCCATCTCAAATAATAATAATAATAATTGTCCTTATGAGAGGGAGGCAGGAGAGTCACAGTCCAGTGAGATATGAGGAGTCAACAGCAGGCCTGAGTGACAGCAACCACCAATGAAGAAAGTCAGCCTTTTCTAGATGTGGGAAATGGAGGGAAATGAATTTCCGTCTCGTCTTAGTCTGTTTTGTGTTGCTACAAAGGGATTCCCCAGGCTGGGTGATGTATTTTAAAGAGAGGTTTATTTGGCTGGACGCGGTGGCTCACGCCTGTCATCCCAGCACGTGGAGACGCCAAGGGGGGCGGATCACGAGGTCAGATGGAGACCAGCCTGACCAACAAGGTGAAACCCTGTCTCTACTAAAACACAAAACAAAACAAAAAAAAGTAGCCGGGAATGGTGGCGGGCGCCTGTACTCCCAGCCACTTGGGAGGCTGAGGCAGGGGAATTGCTTGAACTGGGGAGATGGAGGTTGCAGTGAGCAGAGATTGTGCCACTGCACTCCAGCCTGGCGACAAAGCAAGACTCCAACTTAAAAAAAAAAACAAACAGGTTTATTTGGCTGATGATTCCACAGACTGTACAGGAATTGTGCCTTCAGCATCTGCTGCTGAGAAGCTCAACAACTTCCACTCCTGGTGGGAGAGGAAGGGGAGCTGGTGTTACATGGTGGGAGAGGTGGCAAGAGGCAGGGAAGGAGGTACCAGCCTCTTTTTCTTTTTACCTTTTTTTTTTTTGGAGACAGAATCTAACTCTGTTGCCCAGGCTGGAGTGCAATGGCGTGATCTTGGCTCACTGCCACCTCCGCCTCCCGGGTTCAAGCAATTCTGCTGCCTCAGCCTCCTGAGTAGCTGGGACTACAGGTGGCCGCCACCACACCCAGCTAACTTTTTGTATTTTTAGTAGAAGCGGGGTTTCACCATGTTGCCCAGGCTGGTCTCGAACTCATGAGCTCAGGCAATCCACCAGCCTCGGCCTCCCAAAGTGCTAGGATTACAGGCGTGAGCCACCATGCCCGGGCACCAGCCTCTTTTTGATAACCAGCTCTTTCAGGAACAAATAGAGAAAGAACTCACTCATTACTACAAGAAAGGCACCAAGCCATTTATAAGGAGTCCGCCCCCTCTTCATTCAAACACCTCCTGCCAGGTCCCACCTCCAACCCGGAGAACCAAATTTCAAACTGAGATTTGCAAGGGACAAACAACCAAACTATATCATCACTTTGTCCTCCAGAAGGAACCGGACCTACTAAAAACTGGATTTATAACCCAGGGAGGCCTGGCACTGTACAATAATAATTTTTTTTTTTTTTTTTTGAGATGGAGTCTCGCTATGTCATCCACGCTGGAGTGCGGTGTTGTGATCTCGGTTCACTGCAACCTCCTCCTCCCGGGTTCACGCCATTCTCCTGCCTCAGCCTCCCGAGTAGCTGGGACTACAGGCGCCCGCTACCACGTCTGGCTAATTTTTTGTATTTTTAGTAGAGATGGGGTTTCACTATGTTAGCCAGGATGCCCTCGATCTCCTGACCTCGTGATCCTCCCGCCTCGGCCTCCCAAACTGCTGGGATTACAGGTGTGAGCCACCGCGCCCGGCCATCAATTTTTTTTTTTTTTTAAATGTGATGGAGTTTTGCTCTTGTTGCCCAGGCTGGATTGCAATGGCGCAATCTCAGCTCACCAGGTTAGTTATTCAAGGAGGAGGCTACACAGTACCTCAGTAGTTGGGTTGGAAAGAGATGCAAAAGCTTCTTGGAGTCTAAGCATCTTTGCGAAGTATCACTTTTTTTGAGACAGAGAGATGGGGTCTTAGTTTGTTACCCAGGCTGGAGTGCAACGGTGCAATCATAGCTTACTGTCAGCTTGAACTCAAGTGATCCTCCCGCCTCAGCCTCCCAGATAGCTGGCACTACAGGCACAAGCCACCACGCCCAGCTAATTTTTGCCTTTTTTGTAGAGACAGGGTCTTGCTATGTTGCCCAGACTGGTCTTAAACTCCTGTCTCCAGCAATCCTCCAAAGTGTTAGGATTACAGGCATGAGCCACGGCGCCCAGCCAAATATCAGGTTTTTATTATTTATTATTATTGTTTGTTTTGAGATGCAATCTTGCTCTGTCACGCAGGTTGGTGTGCAATGGTGCGATCTTGGCTCACTACAACCTCCGCCTCACGGGTTCAAGCAATTCTCCTGCCTCAGCCTCCCAAGTAGCTGGGATGATGGGCGTCCGCCGCCGTGCCTGGGTAAATTTCTGCATTTTTAGTCCAGATGGGGTTTCACCATGTTGGGCAGGCTGGTCTTGAACTCCTGACCTCAGGTGATCCGCCTGCCTTGGCCTCCCAAAGTGCTGGGATTACAGGCGTGAGCCACCGCGCCTGGCCCCAAATGTCATGTTTTTAAATAAAAACATAGAAAATGATATAAAGGTTCACAGCATCATCAAGAAAACAGTTCCCCCGTGTCGCGGAGGCGGAGATGTCCATGCCATTCCTACACCCTCTGGGTCTCAGGTAATTTCCTTCACGGTCAAGACCTCTTCGCGGTAGCCTTTCCCTTCCTCTGGGGTGAATTCCTCCCAGATGATCTGAGAAAAAGGAGGGTTCAGGCTGTCAGATCTTCACGAGCTCAGCCTGGGACTCAGTGGGCTGTGTTTATTTTCTTTTTCTCCCTCGAGACGGAGTCTCATTCTATTGCCCAGGCTGGAGTGCAGTGGTGTCATCTCAGCTCACTGCAACCTCGGCCTCCCGGGTTCAAGCGATTCTCCTGCCTCAGCCTCCTGAGTAGCTGGGATTACAGGCGCCCGCCACCACAAATTTGACTGATCAGATGAGGCCCACTCTTCCCCCTTTAGACCTTCGACTGATTAGATGAGGCCCACCTTTCCCCCTTTAGCCGCCACCAGCTAAATTTTGTACTTTCAGTGGAGATGGGGTTTTACCATGTTGGCCAGGCTGGTCTCAAACTCCTGACCTCGAGGTGATCCACTCGCCTCGGCCTCCCAAAGTGCTGGGATGACAGGCATGAGCCACTGCACCTGGCCATGGGTTTTTCCTGGGGTAAAGATCTGAGACAGATCCACCCATGGGACCTCATAGTTGACGATGAACAGGGTGGTCTTTGGAAGAGCTTGTGAGCATGAAACCTGGGCAGGGTACAGCAGGTGCTAAGCCCCTGGAGCTGATGGAGCTCAGAGAAGGGAAGGTTGAAGCCTGAAGCCGTCATCCTGGCACCTCGATGTGGGGGACCCCTGGGGGTCAGTGGAAAGCGGGGGCCGGGGAGGAGGCTGGCGTGGGGGTGGAAGGTAATGGAATGACAGATGGCCAGGTCTAGGATGGGGGTGTGCAAGTGGCAACCAGGAGGATGTTACCTATGTGGCAGAGAAGAGGGCGCTGGGGGCAACCCTGGGCTGCAACTGGAGTTCCCCATGGGAGGAAGACACAGCCCCTGAGCTGGAGAGAGGTGGGTGGGAGAGGGCCACCCACGGGGTCTTGGGATGTGGGTCACGCAAGTCTCTCACCCTTAGTCACCCTCTCTGGGGTCTTGCTGTTCAGCCTCTCTCTCGGTCTCTCTGCCTCTTTTCTCTGTCTCCCTCTCTGTCTCTCTTTCCTCCCCCTCTCACCTTCTTCCACCCCCATCTCTGGGTCTCTATCTCCATCTTCCTGTGTGTCTGCCTCTTTTGGGTTCAGTCTCTGTTTCTCTTTCATCTCTTGGCCTTCGTCTCTGATACCCGGCACCAATGACGTGTCCCCGTGACTAGGCTACAGTCCCCAGTTATTGAATGAAACCATGACTCAGCGGCTGCTACGAAGGGGCTTTGTAGATGTCAAGTCCACAATCAGCTGATTTCCAGGAAAAGAGATTGGACTGGAGAATGTGGGTGGGCCTTATCTAATCAGTCAAAGGTCTAAAGGGGGTGGGCCTCATCTAATCAGTTGAAGGTCTGAAGAGGGGTGGGCCTCATCTAATCAGTTGAAGGTCTAAAGGGGGTGGGCCTTGTCTAATTAATAAGCTGAAGGTCTAAAGGGGAAGGGGGGAAGGGTGGGCTTCATCTAATGAGTTGAAGGTCTAAATGGGAAGGGTGGGTCTCATCTAATCAGTCAAAGGTCTAAAGGGAGAAGGGTAGGCCTCATCTAATCAGTCAAAGGTCTAAAGGGAGAAGGGTAGGCCTCATCTAATCAGTCAAAGGTCTAAAAAGGGAAAGGTGGGCCTCATCTAATCAGTTGAAGATCTAAATGGGGGAAGGACGGGCCTCATCTAATCAGTCGAAGGTATAAAGGGGAGGGTGGGCCTCATCTAATCAGTCGAAGGTATAAAGGGGAGGGTGGGCCTCATCTAATCAGTCGAAGGTATAAAGGGGAGGGTGGGCCTCATCTAATCAGTCGAAAGGCTGAAGGGGGAAGGGTGGGCCTCATCTAATCAGTTGAAGGTCCAAAGGAGAAGCGTGGGCTTCATCTAATCAGTCAAAGGTCTAAACGGGGAGAGTGGGCCTCATTTAATCAGTTGAAAGTCTAAAGGGTAAGGGTGGGCCTTATCTAATAAGCTGAAGGTCTAAAGGGGAAGGGTGGGCTTCATCTGATCAGTCGAAGGTCTAAAGGGGAATGGTGGGCCTCATCTAATCAGTCGAAGGTGTAAAGGGGGAAGGGTGGGCCTCATTCAATCAGCCGAAAGTGTAAAGGAGAAGAGTGGGCCTGGTCTAATCAGTCAAACGTCTAAAGGATAAAAGCTGAGGTTCCCCGACAAGAGTTTTATTTCCTTTTTAAAAATTTCATCTCCCACTCTGAGAATGCAGGACAGTTCTGCCTCTGGGATGCAGCATCAGCCCTGGCCTGACTTTCCAGCCTGCCAGCCTACTGCAACATAAGACGCAGTCCCTGAGCCGGAGAGAGGTGGGTGGGAGAGGAGCGCCAATGGGGTCTCAGGGTGCAGGTCACATGGTTCCTCGCCCTTGTTCACCCTCTCTGGGCTCTCGCTGAGACTAAGTCCGACTCCTCTGTCTTCCCTGTCTCTCTCGGTGTCTCTGTGTGTCTTTTATCTGCCTCCCTCTCTGTCTTTTTCCTCCATCTGTCTCTCTCTTCCACTCCCATCCCTTGCTCTCTGTCTCTTTCTGTCTCTCTCTCTCTCTCCCCTCTCTGTGTCCACCTATGTCTCTCTGTTTCTCTCTCTGTCCGTCTTTTTCTCTTTGTCCCTGTCTCTATGTCTCCTTCTCCCTCTCTCTCTCTTTTTCTGTGTCTTTCTCTGTGTCTCTCTGTCTTTGTCTCTCTCCCCTCTCTGTGCCTCTGTTCCTCTCTGTCTCTCTCCTCTCCCTGCTGGGGATGATTTTTTTGTTTTGTTTTGTTTTTGATAGAGAGTTTTGCTCTGTTGCCCAGGTTAGAGTGCAATGGTGCGATCTCGGCTCACTGCAGCCTCCGCCTCCTGGGTTCAAGTGATTCTCCTGCCTCAGCCTCCAGAGTAGGTGGGATTACAGGTGTGCGCCACCACACCTGGCTAATTTTTGCAATTTTAGTAGAGACGAGGTTTCTTCAGGTTGGTCAGGCTGGTCTCGAACTCCCGACCTCAAGTGATCCACCCGCCTCGGCCTCCCAAAGTGCTGGGATGACAGATGTGAGTCACCGCGACCGGCCCCCGCCTGGGTCTTTATGTTTGTTGTTTATCTGTCTCTGTTTCTCCATCTGTGTCTCGTGTCTCTCTCTTTCCTTCTCCCTTTTCTCCCTCCCTCTCTCTGTTTCTCTGTCTGTGTGTCTGCCTTTGTTTCTGTCAGTCTGTCTGCCTGTTTCCCTCTCTTTTGTGTCTCCTCATTCTCTTCTACATTCCTCTCTCTCTCCTCCATCTCTCTCCCTCCATCTTTCTCTGCCTCTGTCTCTTGTCTCTATTTCTGCCTCTCCTCTCTACCTTCTTTTTTCTTTTGAGATGGAGTCTCGCTCTGTCACCCAGGCTGGAGTGCAGTGGTGCGATCTCGGCTCACTGCAACCTCCGCCCCCTGGGTTCAAGCCGTTCTACTGCCCCAGCCTCCCGAGTCACTGGGATTTCAGGCGTACACCACCACACCCAGCTAATTTTTTGTATTTTTAGCAGAGATGGGGTTTCACCACGTTGGCCAGGCTGGTCTCGAACCTCTGACCTCAGATGATCCACATGCCTCAACCTCCCAAAGTGCTGGGATGACAGGCATGAGCCACCGTGCCTGGCCCTCTCTACCGTCTTCTCCTCCTTTTCTTGACCACCACCCTGCCTCAGTTTCTCCTGATGGAGCTCACAGAGATGACTCTGACCCCAACCTTGGAGAAGACCCCGACCCGGGAGAAGGCCCAGGAGTGGGATACAGATTCCAGCCACACCGGTGGTGACGCTGCGGTCCCATCTGGTGGAGAAGCAAGATGGTCGACACCCAGAGGCCGTGTCCCACGCTCCCCACTCCCCACCTTCCATCCCAGGTCACTGCTCCGCCCACCCCTGCCTACCTCGTCTTCCACCTCATGGTTATCATTCAGTTTGTCTTTGATCTGTGGAACTGGCGGGAACAGCCGCTGTATCCTAAGGAACCTGAGACACAGAGAAAAAGTGTGAAGAGAATGAACCCCGGGTCACCAGAGTTCCTTCCATCAACGCCCTGTGCCGAGGGATGCTGCGTGCGGGGTGTCTGCGCTCAACTATGCAAAACTTCACTAAGAATCACCAAGTGACGAAAATCTTAAGGAACTAGGCCGGGTGCAGTGGCTCACACCTGTAATCCCAGCACTTTGGGAGGCCGAGGCGGGTGGATCACTTGAGGTTTGAGACCAGCCTGGCCAACGTGGTGAAACCCCGTCTCTACTAAAAATACAAAAATTAGCTGAGTATCGTGGTGCTTGCCTGTAATCCCAGCTATTCAGGAGGCTGAGGCAGGAGAATTGCTTGAACCTGGGAGGTGGAGGTTGCAGTGAGCCGAGATTGCACCACTGCACTCCAGCCTGGGTGACAGAGTGAGACTCCATCTCAAAAAAACAAAAAAAAATCACCAAATGACAAACATCTTAAGGAACTAGGCCAGGCATGGTGGCTCACACCTGTAATCCCAGCACTTTGGGAGGCGAAGGCGGGTGGATCACCTGAGGTCAAGAGTTAGAGACCAGCCTGGCCAACGTGGTGAAACCCCATCTCTACTAAAAATACAAAAATTAGGTGAGCATCGTGGTGCATGCCTGTAATCCCAGCTACTCGGGAGGCTGAGGCAGGAGAATGGCGTGAACCCGGGAGGTGGAGGTTGCAGTGAGCCGAGATTGCAACACTGCACTCCAGCCTGGGCAACAAGAGCAAAAGTCTGTCTCAAAACAAAAAACAAAAAAACAAACAAACAAAAAAAAACCCACCTCCAACCCAGAAACCACGCTCTTCAAGGCTAGTGGGATCAAGGCAGGCGTTTCCCCTCTGGAGCTCAGCCCTTCAACAGCAGTGACTTCAGACTCCCTGAAGCTGCCCACAGCTGACTGCCTGTTCCATTCCCATCCCTGTGCCCGAGGGGCTGAGGGAAGATTCTAGAAAGATTCCCTGTGAGCATCACTGTGTATTCCTGTAGGATCTCCCGTTTTCTCCGTTCTTTTGTTTGTTTTGAGATGGAGTCTCGCCCTGTCGCCCAGGCTGGAGTGCAGTGGTGCAATCTCGGCTCACTGCAACCTCCACCTCCCGGGTTCAAGCGATTCTCCTGCCTCAGCCTCCCGAGTAGCTGGGACTACAGGCGCCCGCGACCACGCCGGGCTAATTTTTTAGTAGAGACGGGGTTTCACTGTGTTAGCCAGGATGGTCTCGATCTCCTGACCTCGTGATCCACCCGCCTCGGCCTCCCAGAGTGCTGGGATTACAGGCATGAGCCAACACGCCCGGCCAAGGCTGTGTTTCTCTTTCTCAGAGACAGAGACAGAGACTGGACAAAGCGCTTTCCTCCCGGCCTGGCCTGTTTTCATTGGGGAGGCCCAGGTGTTTCACAGGTTACCTTTTAAAGAGGAAGCCGAGGACGATGCCACAGACAAGGGTTCCCACGATTAGGAGCACATAAATGTACACAGAGCCGAGGTTCCCGTCGTCAGAACCTGGAGAGACACACAGGTTTGCGTCTGCGGTGAATCGTTGACGGACATGTGAAAGGAAATTAAATCTCTTCGGGTGTCCAAATGCATTTAGCCAAAGGGAACAGTCAAGCTGAGAACTGGGCCCAGCAAACCTGCCTCCCTGTTTTTGGTTCTTAACTAAGATGGCTCTGAGATGAAAGCAACCTGCCTGCCCTATGTTTTGCCCACAAGGAAATTTCTGGTGAGCTGTTAAAACTTTGCCACCATGGGCCGGATGCGGTGGCTCACGCCTGTCATCCCAGCACTTTGGGAGGCCGACACGGGAGGATCACCTGAGGTTGGGAGTTCGAGACCAGCCTGACCAACATGGTGAAACCCCGTCTCTACCAAAAATACAAAAATTGGGCCAGGCACGGTGGCTCACACCTGTCATCCCAGCACTTTGGGAGGCCGAGGCGGGCGCATCATCTGAGGTCAGGAGTTCGAGACAAGCCTCACTAACATGGTGAAACCTCATCTCTGCTAAAAAAAAAATACAAAATTAGCCAGGCATGGTGGTGGGTGCCTGTAATCCTATCTACCTGGGAGTCTGAGGCAGGAGAATCGCTTGAGCCTGGGAGACGGAGGTTGCAGTGAGCCGAGATTGTGCCATTGCACTCCAGCCTGGGTGACAGAGTGAGACCCTGTGTCAAAATAAATAAATAAATAAAAATATTTAAAAAATGGCCAAGCATGATGCATGTCTGTAATCCCAGCTACTCAGGAGGCTGAGGCAGGAGAATCGCTTGAGCCTGGGAGACGGAGGTTGCAGTGAGCCAAGATCGTGCCATTGCACTCCAGCCTGGGTGACACAGCGAAACTCCATCTCAAAATAAATAAATAAATAAATAAAAATAAAAATACAAAAATTGGCCAAGCGTGATGCATGTCTGTAATCCCAGCTACTCGGGAGGCTGAGGCAGGAGAATCGCTTGAACCCGGGAGGCGGAGGTTGCAGTGAGCCGAGATCGTGCCATTGCACTCCAGCCTGGGTGACAGAGTGAGACCCTGTCTCAAAATAAATAAATAAATAAAAATATTTAAAAAATGGCCAAGCATGATGCATGTCTGTAATCGTAGCTACTCAGGAGGCTGAGGCAGGAGAATCGCTTGAGCCTGGGAGACGGAGGTTGCAGTGAGCCAAGATCGTGCCATTGAACTCCAGCCTGGGTGACACAGCGAAACTCCATCTCAAAATAAATAAATAAATAAATAAAAAGAAAAATACAAAAATTGGCCAAGCGTGATGCATGTCTAATGTAATCCCAGCTACTCGGGAGGCTGAGGCAGGAGAATCGCTTGAACCCAGGAGGCAGAGGTTGTAGTGAGCTGAGATCGTGCCATTGCACTCCAGCCTGGGTGACAGAGCGAGAGTCCGTCTCAAATAACAAAAAATAAATAAACAAAAAAAATTTCTTACAGGTGCAGTCACCCCGGCCCACCAGACACGAATGCACCTCTGATCATCCCTGTACCCCATTTTGTCTGTGTGATCTGGGAGGTAGAGGTGCACCACTGCACTGCAGCTCACAATTTTTCTTCTGTACCCTTTGTTGAGGTGAAAACCGCATACTTCTCAATATCCTGCCCCTTCCCCTTTTCAATTTGGAGCCCTCAAAATCATCTTCAGAGAAAAGCATAGACCTGTCTCCTGGGCAGCCGAGACCTGGCTTTGAAGAGAGCTTCCCCGGACGGGCAGGGTGGCTCACGCCTGTCATTGCAGCACTTTGGGAGGGCGAGGTGGGCAGATCACCTGAGGTCAGGAGTTCAAGAACAGCCTGACCAACATGGTGAAACCCCGTCTCTACTAAAAATACAAAATTAGCCGGGTGTGGTGGCGGGCGCCTGTAATCCCAGCTACTCGGGAGACTGAGGCTGGAGAATTGCTTGAACCTGGGAGGCGGAGATCGCGGTGAGCCGAGATGGCACCACTGCACTCCAGCCTGGGCAACAAGAGCGAAACGCCATCTAAAAAAAAAAAAAAAAAAAAAAGAGGGAGGGCCGGGCACGGTGGCTCACGCCTGTAATCCCAGCACTTTGGGAGGCCGAGGTGGGCGGATCACGAGGTCAGGAGATCGAGACCATCCTGGCTAAAAAACAGTGAAACCCTGTCTCTACTAAAAAAAAAAAAATACAAAAAATTAGCCAGGCGTGGTGATGGGCACCTGTAGTCCCAGCTACTGGGGAGGCTGAGGCAGGAGAATGGCGTGAACCCAGGAGGTGGAGCTTGCAGTGAGCCGAGATTGCGCCACTGGACTCCAGCCTGCGACAAGAGCGAAACGCCGTCTCAAAAAAAAAAAAAAAAAAAAGAAAAAAAGAGGGAGAGAGCTTCCCCTTGGCCAGGGAGCCGGAATGGTGACGGTTTGACCGGACAAAGACTGACTGATTGTTTCCCAGTGGAGCAGAGGGAGGTGGGACTTTAGGAGGGCTATCAGTGGGGTCCTTCTCTGGCTATTAAGGGATTCTAGCTCATCCACCCTGAAAAAAACACCAGCAAAGCAATGTTGCATGACCCCGTATGAGTATGAGACCACCTCCTTCTACTTTTTCTTTTTTTTTTTTTTTTTTTTTTTGAGACAGAGTCTCACTCTGTCACCCAGGCTGGAGTGCAATGGCGTGACCCCAGCTCACTGCAACCTCCACCTCCCGGGTTCAAGTCATTCTCCTGCCCTCAGCCTCCTGAGTAGCTGGGATTACAGGAATGTGCCACCAATCCTGGTTAGTTTTTGTATTTTTTTTTCTTTTTTTTTTTGAGACGGAGTCTCACGCTGTCACCCAGGCTGGAGTGCAATGGCGTGATCCCAGCTCAGTGCAACCTCCGCCTCCTGGGTTCAAGTGATTCTCCTGCCTCAGCCTCCCGAGTAGCTGGGATTACAGGCACCTGCCACAATGCTGGGCTAATTTTGTATTTTTAGTAGAGACGGGGTTTCACCATGTTGGCCAGGCTGGTCTCAAACTCCTGACCTCCGGTGATCCGCCGGCCTCAGCCTCCCAAATTGCTGGGATTACAGGCGTGAACCGCTGCACCTGGCCCTTCTCTGGTTATTAAGGGAGCCAACTCATCCGTCCTGAAAAAACATCAGCAAAGCAATGTTGCGGGACCAAGTACGAGACCACCTCCTTCTTTTGAGCCTCAGCGATAAGCTCAGAGCCTGACACTACTCCCAGCGACGTGCTCAACTCGATCTCAGCGCCCAGGACAGAGCACCTGACCTCTGTGCCTGCTGCAGGGTGGCCGCAGACGGCACAAACATCCCTTACCTCCGCCCAACGCTTACCAAATTCAATGGCTTCACTCCAGGAGCTCCAATTCAAGATGCGGACGTCTGCAGCTCTGATCTTCACACTGTGTTTTGCTCTGGGCTCAGAGCTTGGAAAGTTGTATCTATTTTCCAAATCACCAGAAACATTAATCTTTGGAGGAAAAAAGAAAGTTAGAGATAGGCGTCTTCTGTGTGGAGGAAAAGGTTGCCTTTTTTCGTTCTTTTGTCTTTTAAGTTTTTTTCTCCTTTTCTTTTTTTCTTTTTCTTCTTTTTTTTCTACCACTCTGAATGCACTTGGTCTGATCGGGTCTTCGAAGCTAAGCAGAGTCAAGCCTCGTTAGTATTTCGATGGGAGACAAGTTGGGAAAATTTGGGTGATGTAGGCTTTAAGCTTTTTTATTTTATTTTATTTATTTATTTTTTGAGACGGAGTCTCCCTCTGTCACCCAGGCTGCAGTGCAGTGGCGCGATCTTGGCTCACTACAACCTCCACCTCCAGGGTTCACACCATTCTCCTGCCTCAGCCTCCCCAGTAGTTGGGACTACAGGTGCCCACCACCACGCCCGGCTAATTTTTGTTGTATTTTTAGTGGAGACGGGGTTTCACCATGTTGGCCAGGATGGTCTCGATCTCCTCACCTCGTGATCCGACCGCCTCGGCCTCACAAAGTGCTGGGATTACAGGCATGAGCCACCACGCCCGGCCTCTTTTATTTTATTTTATTTGAGACACTCTCGCTCTGTCGCCCAGGCTGGAGTGCAATGGCATGATCTGGGCTCACCGCAACCTCCGCTTCCCGGGTTCACGCCATTCTCCTGCCTCAGCCTCCCACGTAGCTGGGATTACAGGCGCCCGCCACCACGCATGGGTACGTTTTGTATTTTTAGTAGAGATGGGGTTTCTCCATGTTGCCCAGGCTGGTCTTGAACTGCTGACCTCAAGTGATCCGCCCACCTCAGCCTCCCAAGGTGCTGGGATGACAGGCGTGAGCCACCGTGCCTGGCTAAAATTTTATTTTCTGAAACAGAAATTGTTGGCCAGGTGTGGGGGTGGGTGCCTGTAGTCCCAGCTACAGGCTGAGACTGTAGAATCTCTGTAGGGAGGCTGAGGCAGGACAATCGCTGGGAGGTGGAGCTTGCAGTGAGCCGAGATCGCACCACTGCACTCCAGCCTGGGGGACAGAGCGAGACTCCGTCTCAAAAATAAATACATACATAAATAAATGATTCAGGATCAACAACTGATATTAACAGACCTTCAGACGGATAGTTTAGCAAGGGATATTAAGATCCCCAAGTCTAGCATACTCATCGGACAGAGGAGGATACCGAGGGTCAGAGTGGCCGCGAGACTTGGTAAATACCCGGCAACAGTACTCACTCTAAAAGCATTTTAGAGGGAGACATAATCTCCTTAGACAGTCACTAGAATATATTCTTAACCCACGTAGAGGAAAGAGGAATAAAATGGGAAAATCAGTAGAACAGGCTGAGCATAAATATTCCAACCATTGGGACACGAAGGTTGAGGCCAAGAGCAGACCCTGCCCAGTGAGAACTATGAGGGGGCCCTCACCCGTGTGAGATCTGCATCCTCTGGTTCAGGATCCACCGTGTCCACCCCTGGGCCACACTGGCACTAAGAGTCCCATAAACCAAGACTGTAGGGTTCGTGGAGACTGTAGGGTGACGCTAGGGTTGTGAGTGGTTCAACTGTATGTCGGGCAGAGTATTCTCCTGTCTACACTGGATCCAGGTAGACGTGGGGCAGGCTCTCCTTCTTGTCTACACTGGGTCTAGGGGGAGGTGAGGTGGGGTCTCCTCCTGATCACACTGGGTCTAGGCAGACATAGGTCGTGGGTAGGGGACTATAGGGTTACACTGGGGGTCATGTGGGGTTACACTAGGGGTCGTGAGTAGGGGACTGTAGGGTTCCACCAGAGGTCATGGGTAGGAGAGTGTAGGGGTCGTGAGTAGGGGACTGTAGGGTTCCACCAGGGGTCATGGGTAGGAGAGTGTAGGGGTCGTGAGTAGGGGACTGTAGGGTTCCACCAGAGGTCATGGGTAGGGGACTGTAGGGTTCCACCGGGGGTTGTGAGTAGGGGATTGTAGGGTCACACTACGGCTCCTGAATAGGGGACTGTAGGGTTACTCCAGGGGTCATGAGTAGGAGACTGTAGGGGTCGTGAGTAGGGGACTGTAGGGTTCTGCCAGGGGTCATGGGTAGGAGAGTGTAGGGGTCGTGAGTAGGGGACTGTAGGGTTCTGCCAGGGGTCATGGGTAGGAGACTGTAGGGGTCGTGAGTAGGGGACTGTAGGGTTCCGCCAGGGGTCATGGGTAGGAGAGTGTAGGGGTCGTGAGTAGGGGACTGTAGGGTTCCACCAGAGGTCATGGGTAGGAGAGTGTAGGGGTCGTGAGTAGGGGACTGTAGGGTTCCACCAGGGGTCATGGGTAGGAGAGTGTAGGGGTCGTGAGTAGGGGACTGTAGGGTTCCACCAGAGGTCATGGGTAGGGGACTGTAGGGTTCCACCGGGGGTTGTGAGTAGGGGATTGTAGGGTCACACTACGGCTCCTGAATAGGGGACTGTAGGGTTACTCCAGGGGTCATGAGTAGGAGACTGTAGGGGTCGTGAGTAGGGGACTGTAGGGTTCTGCCAGGGGTCATGGGTAGGAGAGTGTAGGGGTCGTGAGTAGGGGACTGTAGGGTTCTGCCAGGGGTCATGGGTAGGAGACTGTAGGGGTCGTGAGTAGGGGACTGTAGGGTTCCGCCAGGGGTCATGGGTAGGAGAGTGTAGGGGTCGTGAGTAGGGGACTGTAGGGTTCCACCAGGGGTCATGGGTAGGGGACTGTAGGGTTCCACCGGGGGTTGTGAGTAGGGGATTGTAGGGTCACACTACGGCTCCTGAATAGGGGACTGTAGGGTTACTCCAGGGGTCATGAGTAGGAGACTGTAGGGGTCGTGAGTAGGGGACTGTAGGGTTACTCCAGGGGTCATGAGTAGGAGACTGTAGGGGTCGTGAGTAGGGGACTGTAGGGTTCCTCCAGGGGTCATGGGTAGGAGACTGTAGGGGTCGTGAGTAGGGGACTGTAGGGTTCCGCCAGGGGTCATGGGTAGGAGACTGTAGGGGTCGTGAGTAGGGGACTGTACGGTTCCGCCAGGGGTTATGGGTAGGAGAGTGTAGGGGTCGTGAGTAGGGGACTGTAGGGTTCTGCCAGGGGTCATGGGTAGGAGACTGTACGGGTCGTGAGTAGGGGACTGTAGGGTTCCGCCAGGGGTCATGGGTAGGAGACTGTAGGGGTCGTGAGTAGGGGACTGTACAGTTCCGCCAGGGGTCATGGGTAGGAGACTGTAGGGGTCGTGAGTAGGGGACTGTAGGGTTCCTCCAGGGGTCATGGGTAGGAGACTGTAGGGGTCGTGAGTAGGGGACTGTAGGGTTCCGCCAGGGGTCATGTGTAGGAGACTGTAGGGGTCGTGAGTAGGGGACTGTAGGGTTCCGCCAGGGGTCATGGGTAGGAGAGTGTAGGGGTCGTGAGTAGGGGACTGTAGGGTTCCGCCAGGGGTCATGGGTAGGAAAGTGTAGGGGTCGTGAGTAGGGGACTGTAGGGTTCCGCCAGGGGTCTTGGGTAGGAGAGTGTAGGGGTCGTGAGTAGGGGACTGTACGGTTCCGCCAGGGGTCATGGGTAGGAGACTGTAGGGGTCGTGAGTAGGGGACTGTACGGTTCCGCCAGGGGTCATGGGTAGGAGAGTGTAGGGGTCGTGAGTAGGGGACTGTAGGGTTCTGCCAGGGGTCATGGGTAGGAGACTGTACGGGTCGTGAGTAGGGGACTGTAGGGTTCCGCCAGGGGTCATGGGTAGGAGACTGTAGGGGTCGTGAGTAGGGGACTGTACAGTTCCGCCAGGGGTCATGGGTAGGAGACTGTAGGGGTCGTGAGTAGGGGACTGTAGGGTTCCTCCAGGGGTCATGGGTAGGAGACTGTAGGGGTCGTGAGTAGGGGACTGTAGGGTTCCGCCAGGGGTCATGGGTAGGAGAGTGTAGGGGTCGTGAGTAGGGGACTGTACAGTTCCGCCAGGGGTCATGGGTAGGAGACTGTAGGGGTCGTGAGTAGGGGACTGTACAGTTCCGCCAGGGGTCATGGGTAGGAGACTGTAGGGGTCGTGAGTAGGGGACTGTACGGTTCTGCCAGGGGTCATGGGTAGGAGAGTGTAGGGGTCGTGAGTAGGGGACTGTAGGGTTCTGCCAGGGGTCATGGGTAGGAGACTGTACGGGTCGTGAGTAGGGGACTGTAGGGTTCCGCCAGGGGTCATGGGTAGGAGAGTGTAGGGGTCGTGAGTAGGGGACTGTACAGTTCCGCCAGGGGTCATGGGTAGGAGACTGTAGGGTTACACTAGGGGTTGTGAGTAGGGGAGTGTAGGGTTCCGCCAGAGGTCATGGATAGGGAACTGTATGGTTAGTTACACTAGGTGTAGTGACTAGGGGACTGTAGGGTTACTCCAGGGGTCATGGGTAGGGGACTGTAGGTTTATGCTAGGTGTGGTGAGTAGGGGATTGTAGGGTTATGCCAGGGCTCATGGGTAGGGGACTGTATGGTTACGCTAGGGGTCATGAATAGGGAACTGTAGGCGTCGTGAGTAGGAGACTGTAGGATTACTCCGGGGGTCGTGAGTAGGGGACTGTAGAGTTACACTAGATGTGGTGAGTAGGGGACTGTAGGGTTACGCTGGAGGTCATCGGTAGGGGACTGTAGGGGTCATGAGTAGGGGACTGTAGAGTTACATTAGGTGTGGTGAGTAGGGGACTGTAGGATTAAGCTAGGTGGACGTGGGGCAGGGTCTCTTCCTGTCTACACGGGGTCCAGGTGGTTGTGGGACAAGAGCTCCTCCTGTCTATACTGGGTCTCTGTGGAGGTGGGGCAGGGTCTCCTCCTCCTTACACTAGGTGTGGTGAGTAGGGGACTGTAGGGTTACGCTGGAGGTCGTCAGTAGGGGACTGTAGGGGTCATGAGTAGGGGACTGTAGAGTTACACTAGGTGTGGTGAGTAGGGGACCGTAGGGTTACGCTGGAGGTCGTCGGTAGGGGACTGTAGGGGTCATGAGTAGGGGACTGTAGAGTTACACTAGGTGTGGTGAGTAGGGGACCGTAGGGTTACGCTGAGGGTTGTCAGTAGGGTCTGTGGTTTCACTTACCAGTAGGTTTTCCGTGCCAGGCTGGGTATTCTAGAAACAAAACAAAACACAACACAAGGCTCACTGTTTCCATTTCTAAAACACTGTAGATGGTTCACACAGTGTCTCCCCTGGTGTGGGCACCGAATGGGAAGGAGTCCCTGCGGAGTGGCAGGCAGGTCTCCCTCCACAAACCCCGAATCTACAAGACAGGTAGGATGAGGAGCTGCAAACACAGAAGTCTTCCTGGCCAGATATCTTCCTGTAACCCATCCAGAAAGGTCCCACTGGCCTTGGGGCAGGGTGTTCTCCTGTCGTCCAGGTAGACATGGAGCAGGCTCTCCTTCTTGTCTACACTGGGTCCAGGTGGTTGTGGGACAAGATCTCCTCTTGTCTACACTGGCTCGAGGTGGACATGGGGCAGGGTCTCTTCTTGTCTACACTGGGTCCAGGAGGTTGTGAGACAAGATCTCCTCTTGTCTACACTGGATCGAGGTGGACGTGAGGCAGTCTCTCTCCCTGTCTACACTGGGTCCAGGTAGTTGTGGGACAAGAACTCCTCCTGTCTACACTGGGTCTCCATGGAGGTGGAGCAGGGTCTCCTCCTGTCTACACTGGGTGTAGGTGGAGGTGGGGTCGGGTGTCCTCCTATCTACACTGGGTCCAGGTAGACATGGGGCAGGGTCTCCTTCTGTCTACACTGCGTCCAGCTGGAGGTGGAGCAGAGGCTCTCCTTGCTTGTGGCATCGTCCCCCACACCTCCCGGTCCACTTCCTGGTTCCATGGTTGCAGGATCATCCTTGTCCACCCTCCCTGCAACCTCTTTCAAGGTGGCTCCACAGGCCACAGACCCTTCACCTCTTCCTCCGCTACCCGAAGTGCGTTCACCCCAGAGTCACCGCTCACCACCCACGCATCCTTCCCCCAGGCCACTTCCCCGGGATTCCCAGGCTCCTGTGCGGGCGTGTCCCGTACGCCTCCCTCCTGGTGCCCAGCCCCGGGGAGCTCTCACCGACCTTTCTGTGGACGTCCAGCTGGTACTGAAAGTCCAGGTACGACAGCTTCTGATAGGTCCTGGGCTGTTTCCACCGTACGAGGCAGTGCGTCGTGTTGCAACGTACGGTGACATTGCTGGGAGGGTTGAATCGTTCTGTAACGAGGGCGCAGGACACACCCCTGAACCCGAGAGGTCCTGTCTACACTGGGTCCAGGTGGAGGTGGTGCAGAGTCTCCTCCTGTCTACACTGGGTCCAGGTGGAGGTGGAGTAGGTCCTGTCTACACTGGGTCCAGGTGGAGGTGGAGTAGGGACACCTCTTTGACTACACTGGGTCCAGGTGGAGATGGGGCAGGGTCTCCTCCTGTCTACACTGGGTCCAGGTAGAGGTGGGGCAGGGTCTCCTCCTGTCTACACTCGGTCCAGGTGGAGGTGGTGCAGTCTTCTCCTGTCTACACTGGGTCCAGGTGGAGGTGGGGCAGGGTCTCCTCCCATCTACACTGGGTCCAGGTAGATATGGAGTAGAAACACCTCTTTGTCTACGCTGGGTCCAGGTGGAGATGGGGCAGAGTCTTCTCCTGTCTACACTGGGTCCAGGTGGAGGTGGGGCAGGGTCTCCTCCTGTCTACACTGGGTCCAGGTGGAGGTGGTGCAGAGTCTTCTCCTGTCTACACTGGGTCCAGGTGGAGGTGGGGCAGGGTCTCCTCCTGTCTACACTCGGTCCAGGTGGATGTGGACTAGGGACACCTCTTTGTCTACACTGGGTCCAGGTGGAGATGGGGCAGGGTCTCCTCCCATCTACACTGGGTCCAGGTAGATATGGAGTAGAAACACCTCTTTGTCTACGCTGGGTCCAGGTGGAGGTGGGGCAGGGTCTCCTCCTGTCTACACTGGGTCCAGGTAAATGTGGAGTAGGGACACCTCTTTGTCTACTCTGTGTAGGGAAAAGAAAGAGAGATCAGGGGGCTGGGCGCGGTGGCTCACGCCTGTAATCCCAGCACTTTGGGAGGCCGAGGCGGGAGGATCACGAGGTCAGGAGGTCGAGACCATCCTGGCTAACACGGTGAAACCCCGTCTCTACTAAAAATCCAAAAAAATTAGCCGGGCGTGGTGGCGGGTGCCTGTAGTCCCAGCTACTCGGGAGGCTGAGGCAGGAGAATGGCGTGAACCCGGGAGGCGGAGGTTGCAGTGAGCCGAGATCCCGCCACTGCCCTCCAGCCTGGGTGGGCGACAGAGTGAGACTCTGTCTCAGAAAAACAAACAAACAAACAAAAAGAAAGATCAGACTGTTACTGTGTCTATGTAGAAAGGAAGGTAAGAAACTCCATTGTGATCTGTATGTTGAACCACTGTTTTGCCTTGAGATGCTGTTAAGCTGTAACTGTAGCCCCAACACTGTGCTCACAGAAACATGTGCTGTGTCTTGTTAACAATAGGTTTGCAGGCAGCATGCTTGGTAAAAGTCATCGCCATTCTCCATTCTCTATTAACCAGGGACACCATGCACTGCGGAAAGCCGCAGGGACCTCTGCCCGAGAGAGCCCGGGTATTGTCTGAGGGTTCCCCCCACTGAGACAGTCTGAGATATGGCCTCGTGGGAAGGGAAAAAGACCTGACCGTCCCCCAGCCCGACATCCATAAAGGGTCTGTGCCGAGGAGGAAGTCCTCTCGCGGTTGAGATAAGAGGAAGCCCTCCGTCTCCTGCCTGCCCCTGGGAATGGAATGTCTCCGTGTAAAACCCGATCGTACATTCGTTCTATTCTGAGACAGGAGAAAACCGCCCTGTGGCTGGAGGCGAGATATGCTGGTGGCAATACTGCTCTGTGACTCTTTGCTACACTGATGTTTGTGTGGAGAGAAGCATAAATCTGGCCTGCGTGTGCATCCAGGCATAGTAGCTTCCCTTGAACTTATTTGTGACACAGATTCCTTTGCTCATATGTCTTCCTGCTGACCTTCTCCCCACTATCACCCTGTCCTCCTGCCACATTCCCCTTGCCAAGATAGTGAAAATAGTAAGCAATAAATACTGAGAGAACTCAGAGACCGGTGCAGGTCCTCCGTATGCTGAGCGCCGGTCCCCTGGGCTCACTGTTCTTTCTCTATACTTTGTCTCTGTGTCTTATTTCTTTTCTCAGTCTCTCGTCCCACCTGACGAGAAATACCCACATGTGTGGAAGGGCTGGTCGCCTTCACACTGGGTCCAGGTAGAGGTGGGGCAGGGTCTCCTCCTGTCTACACTGTGTCCACGTAAATGTGGAGTAGGGACACCTCTTTGTCTACACTGGGTCCAGGTGGAGGTGGTGCAGTCTCCTCCTGTCTACACTGGGTCCAGGTGGACGTGGAGTAGGGACACCTCTTTGTCTACACTGGGTCCAGGTGGAGGTGGTGCAGGGTCTCCTGTCTACACTGGGTCCAAGTGGAGGTGGTGCAGTCTCCTCCTGTCTACACTGTGTCCAGGTAAATGTGGAGTAGGGACACCTCTTTGTCTACACTGGGTCCAGGTGGAGGTGGTGCAGGGTCTCCTTCTGTCTACACTGGGTAAAGTGGAGGTGGTACAGGGTCTCCTCCTGTCTACACTGGGTCCAGGTGGACGTGGAGTAGGGACATCTCTTTGACTACACTGGGTCCAGGTGGAGGTGGTGCAGTCTCCTCCTGTCTACACTGGATCCAGGTGGACGTGGAGTAGGGACACCTCTTTGTCTACACTGGGTCCAGGTGGAGGTGGTACAGGGTCTCCTCCTGTCTACACTGGGTCCAAGTGGAGGTGGGGCAGCTACCATGTACAGGAGAGATACCCACTGGGGCAGGGGTTCCAGGGTGGGAGGTGGGGATGGGCTTGGTGGGCAGGAGTCACACTTCTGTGAGAGTCCTAAGCCTGAAGAGGCTGGGAACGTCCAACGGGATGAAGGAGTCCACGGGTGGGATGCGGTGGGCTTGGGAAGAGGAGAGCGTGTGGGCATATGGGACTGGCTCCAAGAGGCCAGCCAGGAGCAGGGCACTGGGACACGAAGAGGTGCTGGTGAGGAAGAAATGAAGAAAAAGAGGAAGGAAGGAGGAAATGAGTGAAGGAGAAGGAAGGAGAGGAAGAAGGAAGGAATGAAGAAGGGAGGGAGAGAGGGAGGGAGGGAAGGAAGAAGGGAGGGAAGGAGGAAGGAAGGAAGGAAAGGAGGGAGGGAGGGAAGGAAGGAAGGAAGGAAGAAAAAAGAAGAAAGGCAGAAAGGCAGGGAGGAAGGAAAGAAGGAAGGAGGTAAAGAGGGAGGTCAGGTGCAGTGGCTGACGCCTGTAATCCCAGCACTTTGGGAGGCTGAGGCAGGTGGATCATCTGAGGTCAGGAGTTCGAGACTAGCCCGGCCAAGATGGTGAAACACTGCCTCTACTAAAAATACAAAAATTAGCCGAGCGTGGTGGTGTGCACCTGTAATCCAAGCTACTAAGGAGACTAAGACAGAAGAATCGCTTGAACCTGGGAGGCAGAGGTTGCAGTGAGCTGAGATTGCACCACTGCACTCCAGCCTGGGTGACAGAGCGAGACTCTATCTCAAAAAAAGGAAAGTTAAATCAGCTCAGTTCTAATTTGTTACAGCACCAAAGTTACACAGATTTTTGTTTGTTTGTTTTTGAGACAGAGTCTTGCTCTGTCGCTCAAGCTGGAGTGCAGTGGCACAATCTCACCTCATTGCAACGTCCGCCTCCTAGGTTTGAGTGATTCTCCTCAGCCTTCCGAGTAGCTGGGATTACAGGCACGCGCCACCATGCCCGGCTAATTTTTGTATTTTTAGTAGAGATGGGGTTTCCCCATGTTGGTCAGGCTGGTTTTGAACACCCGATCTCAGGTGATCGGCCCGCCTCGGCCTCCCAAAGTGCTGAGATTACAGGTGTGAGACACCGCACGTGGCCTCAGTTACACAGATTTTAAGGCAAATTCCATTTCACCTATAAACAATAGGAAAATCATATGTGTTATTCTCACCTATTTTCTTTGTGTCCAAAAGTGAATCAAAGAATTGGATGCCAATTTCTCGGCTGGTTCCGTTAACCAGAAAGTAATTGCGAGACGTTAATCCTGACAGGTTATCCAGGTGACATCCCACATGGGTTCCTGAGTCTTGTATGTAATAAGGACACCGGATCTCCCTCCTTCTCCTGAAAGATTAGAAAGTGCTCAGAGAGCAATCAGGAAAACAAAACAAAACACAAAAACACAAAACAAAACAAAAACAAACACAAAACAAAACACAAAAACACAAAACACAAAAACACAAAACAAAAACACAAAACAAAAAAAACCCACAAAAACACAAAACACAAAACAAAAACACAAAACAAAACGAAAACAAACACAAAACAAAACATAAAAACACAAAACACAAAACAAAAACAAACACAAAACAAAACACAAAAACACAAATCAAAAACACAAAACAAAACAAAAACACAAAACAAAACAAAACACAAAAACACAAAACAAAACACAAAACACAAAACAAAAACACAAAAACACAAAACAAAACAAAAACAAACACAAAACAAAACACAAAAACACAAAACAAAACAAAACACAAAAACAAAACACAAAAACACAAAACAAAACAAAACACAAAAACACAAAACACAAAACAAAAACACAAAAACACAAAACAAAACAAAAACAAACACAAAACAAAACAAAACACAAAAACACAAAACAAAACAAAATGAAACAAAAACACAAAAACACAAAACAAAAACAAACACAAAAGAAAACCACAAAACAAAAACACCAAAACACAAACAAAAAAACACAAAACAAAAACAAACACAACACAAAACAAAAACCACAAAACAAAACAAAAACAAACACAAAACAAAACACAAAACAAAACAAAAACAAACACAAAAAACAAAAACACAAAAACACAAAACACCACAAAAACGTGAAACCAAAAAAACACAAAAACAAAAGAAAAACACAGAAACACAAAACAAAACAAGAACACAAAAACACAAGGCAAAACAAAAAGAAACACAAAACAAAACAAAAAACACAAAACAAAACAACAACCAAAAAAACAGGCCAGGTGCAGTGGCTCACGCCTGTAATCCCAGCACTTTGGGGAGGTTGAGGCAGGCAGATCACTTGAGGTCAGGAGTTGGAGACCAGCCTGGCCAGCATGGTGAAACCCTGTCTCTACTAAAAATACAAAAATTAGACAGGTGTGGTGGAGTGCACCTGTAGTCCCAGCTACTTGGGAGGCTGAGGCAGGAGAATCACTTGAACCCTGGAGGGAGGCGCAGGTTGCAGGGAGCTGAGATCACATCACTACACTCCAGCCTGGGCGACAGAGCAAGACTCTGTCTCTAAATACATAGATGTGGCCTGGTGTGGTGGCGGGCGCCTGTAATCCCAGCTACCTGGGAAGCTGAGGCAGGAAAATTGCTTGAACCCAGGAGGTCGAGGTTGCAGTGAGCCGAGGTGGCACCATTGCATTGCAGCCTGGGCAACAGAGCAAGACCATGTCTTAAAAAAAGAAAAAGGAAAAAAAGAAAACCAGCATGATTTTTTCTCCCATCCCTGCATTCCTCATAATTCTTCACATGAGGTGAACACTTACTTTGAGTTTCGTATGTACAAAAAATACTGGACGTCACGGGGGGCCGTCGGACCCCTCGCCCAGGTACAGTTCATTAAATCCGCATTGTAGATGAAACAGGAGAAATTCTGAGCAGCGGTACCCTCCCTTCCTGGGAAGAGGTAGAAACAAAATAATTTTCACTCCGAAGTTCAACGGGATGTACTTTGATGCTGGCGGGGTGGTGGGGCCAGTGCTGTAAACGGATCCCTGAGCTGTCTTGCTTACCTGAATTTGGATAAAGCAGTTTCTGTTGAAATCCTCTTTGACTAGTATTCACGTGAACCTCAAATGTGACTCCTTCATGCAGACAAATTTCACGAAATGTGCACGAACATTCGTTGTTACTGAGCTGAAGAATTGCAACCAGACAGAGCCGATTAGGAAACAACCTTCTGTCTCCTACAGTCTCCCAGGCTGGAGTGCAGTGGCGTGATCTCGGCTCACTACAACCTCCGCCTTCCAGGTTCAAGCAATTCTCCCGCCTCAGCCTCCCGAGTAGCTCGGATTACAGACACCCGCCACCACACCCTGCTAATTTGTGTATTTGTAGTAGAGACAGGGTTTCACCATGTTGGCCAGGCTGGTCTCAAACTCCTGACCTCAGGTGATCCACCCGCCTCGGCCTCCCAAAGTGCTGGGATTACAGGCGTGAGCCACCATGCCCGGCCATGGTATTGGTTTTTACCTGGATTTGGCGACACGCACCTGCCTCCCTTTGTGAAATCATCCCCCTAAGCTTCCTCCGAGGGCTCTGAGTGGATACGCTGAATACCAGCTTGCAGGTGAAAACTCAATCTTATACTCTAGCAGTGCTGAAAGTACCAGACTAGAGGCCAGGTGCCGTGGCTCACACCTGTAATCCCAGCACTCTGGGAGGCCAAGGCGGGTGGATCACTTGAGGTCAGGAGTTCAAGACCAGCCTGGCCAACATGGTGAAACCCCGTCTCTACTAAAAATACAAAAATTAGCCAGGTGTGGTGGCAGGCACCTGTAATCCCTGCTACTCGGGAGGCTGAGGCAGGAGACTCTCTTGAACCCAGGAGGCACAGGTTGCAGTGAGCTGAGATCACGCCAGTGCACTCCAGCCTGGGTGACAGACAGAGACTCCATCCCCCCAAAAAAAGGGTCGGACATAGTGGCTCACACCTGTAATGCCAGCACTCTGGGAGGCCGAGGCGGGTGGATCACTTGAGGTCAGGAGTTCAAGATCAGCCTGGCCAACATGGTGAAACCCCGTCTCTACTAAAAATACAAAAATTAGCCAGGTGTGGTGGTGGGCACCTGTAATCCCAGCTACTCAGGAGGCTGAGGCAGGAGAATCTCTTGAACCCAGGAGGCACAGGTTGCAGGGAGCTGAGATCACGCCAGTGCACTCCAGCCTGGGCGACAGAGCGAGACTCCATCCCAAAAAATAAAGGTCGGACACGGTGGCTCACACCTGTAATGCCAGCACTTTGGGAGGCCAAGGAGGGTGGATCACGAGGTCAGGAGTTGGAGACCAGCCTGGCCAACATGGTGAAACCCCGTCTCTACTAAAAATACAAAAATTAGCCAGGCGTGGTGGCACGCACCTGTAATCCCAGCTACTCAGGAGGCTGAGATAGGAGAATCGCTTGAACCCAGGAGGTGGAGGTTGCAGTGAGCCAAGATCACACCAGTGTACTCCAGCCTGGGCAACAAGAGGGAAACTCCATCTCAAAAAAAAAAAAAAAAAAAAAAAGTATGTCATCTGGGGTAACATAGCAAGACCACCCATCCCTCCGTGTAGCATCTACCTATAGAATTGATTATCAATCTTCCAATCATCTATTATCACCTATCAGTCAATAAATCATCTATCACCTATCTATCGATCATCCATATTTCTCTCTTCCTCTCCCTCCTCCTTCTATCCTTTCTCTGTGTTTCTCCCTCCTTCCCTCCCCTCTCCCCGCTCTTCTGTCTCTGTCTCCTGTGTTCCAAAAACCCTGACCTTAATCCCTTGGGGAACCAGGACGGTGACACACTGACAACGTGACTGACACTTTACTTTTCTCCGTCCTGCTTCCACCACAGACCCAGGGGCACATCCAACTGCATTTGCCAGGATTTCTCTTCTCTTGGGGTAAAATACGGTAACATAGGCTCTGCCTCAGGGAATCAGGCTCTGGTACACATTGTGGACATGAGCTAACAGCACTTTCCCGGTTCCCGTGAGATTATGGCTGTGACATTTCTCCAAATACCACACTTGTGTTGTTTGTGTCTGTGGCCCTCTCGCTTTTATTTAATTGAATTTATTATTTTTTTTTTTTTTTGGAGACAGAGTTTTGCTCTTGTTGCCCAGGCTGGAGTGCAATGGCACCATCTCGGCTCACCGCAACCTCCGCCTCCCGAGTTTCAGTAATTCTCCTGCCTCAGCCTCCCGAGTAGCTGGGATTACAGATGCCTGCCACCATGCCCGACTAATTTTTGTATTTTTAGTAGAGATGGGGTTTCACCATGTTGGTCAGCCTGGTCTTGAACTCCTGACCTCAGGTGATCCACCTGCCTCGGCCTCCCAGAGTGCTGGGATGACAAGCGTGAGCCACCACACCCGGCCTTATTGCATTTTATGAGACAGAGTCTCGCTCTGTCACCCAGGCTGGAGTGCAATGGCACGAGCTCGACTCACTGCAACTTCCACCTCCCGGGTTCGAGTAATTCTTCTGCCCTCAGCCTCCTGAGTAGCTGGGACTACAGGCATGCACCAGCACGCCCGGCTAATTTTGTATTTGTAGTAGAGACGGGGTTTCACCATGTTGGTCAGGCTGGTCTTGAACTCCCGACCTCAGGTGATCCGCCCACCTCAGCCTCCCAAAGTGCTGGGATGACAGGCGTGAGCCGCCGCGCCCAGCCGGCCCTGTTGCTTTTAACTCAGAAAGGGGTGTGTAAAGGACAGGGGTTGAGAATGGGAAATTCGTCTCACCCTGGGTTCCACGACTCTGTTCTTCTTGTCAGTTAAGAAACACTTGCTGAAGGTTGTGTTTTCTTGGCAGTCCCAGCTTAAATTCATCGTCCTGGAGTCAAACCTCACATTGAGACTAGAGGCTGGTGCCACTGTTCGCAGATCTGCAAGGAGCGGGCACTGGGTTCAGAATTTCCTCTTTTCTTTTCCTTTTTTTTTTTTTTTTTTTTTTTTTTTTTTGAGACGGAGTCTGGCTTTGTCTCCCAGGCTGGAGTGCAGTGCTGTGATCTCAGGTCACTGCAAGCTGCAAGCTCCACCACCCGGGTTCAAATGATTCTCCTGCCTCAGCCTCCCGAGTAGCTGGGATGACAGGCGCCGACCACCATGCCCAGCTAATTTTTGTATTTTTAGTAGAGATGGGGGTTTCACCATGTTGGTCAGGCTGGTCTCGAACTGCCGACCTCAGGTGATCCGCCTGCCTCAGCCTCCCGAAGTGCTGGGATAACAGGCGTGAGCCACCGTGCCCGGCCGGCCCTGTTTTCTGTCCTCCCACCCGGCTCTGGGAGGTGAAGTTCAGGGCTGAAGCCTGCTGATTTTCCTCTGTCACCCACATGGCCCCAGGACGTCCCACATCCTCAGGTATCTGTTCCTCCCTTGTCCATCTTCCCTCCTTTTCACAGCCCCCTGGCTGTTTCTGAAAAAGGAGATTTCTACTGCAGAAATATTCAAAAATCATCTGAAGACTGGGGGTGGTGGCTCACGCCTCTAATCCCAGCACCTTGGGAGGCTGAGGCAAAAAGCTGACTTGAGCCCAGTAGGTTCAGATCCCGCCTGGGCAACATAGCAAGATCGCATCTCTTTAAAAAAAATTTTTTTTTAAAAATTTAAATTAGGCAGGTGTGATGGTGCACATCTGTGGTCCCAGCTTGCTCCTTCTCCACATGGAGATGTTTACTGCAGAAATCATCAAAAACTGGCCAGGCGCGGTGGCTCATGCCTGCAATCCCAGCACTTTGGTAGGCTGAGGTGGGCGGATCACCTGAGGTCAGCAGTTCGAGACCAGCCTGGCCAATGTGGTGAAACCCTGTCTCTACTAAAAATACAAAAAAATTAGGTGGACATGGTGGCGGGTACCTGTAATCCCAGCTACTCAGGAGGCTGAGGCAGGAGAATCGGTTGAACCCGGGAGGTGGAGGTTGCAATGAGCCGAGATCGCGCCACTGCACTCCAGCCTGGGAGACAGAGTAAGACTCCATCTCAAAAAAAAAAAAAAAAAAAAAATCAAAAACTAGTCTTGGCAACATAGCAAGATCTCGTCTATAAAATTTAAAAAAAAAAAAATTTAAATTAGCTTGGCATGGTGGTGTATTTCTGCAGTCCCAGCTACTTGGGAGGCTGGAGTGGGAGGATACTTGATCCCAGAAAGCTGAGGCTGCAGTGAGCCGAGATCGCGCCACTGCACTCCAGCCTGGGTGACAGAGTAAGACTCCATCTCAAAAAAAAAAAAAAATCAAAAACTAGTCTTGGCAACATAGCAAGATCTCCTCTATAAAATTAAAAAAAAAATTTAAATTAGCTTGGCATGGTGGTGTATTTCTGCAGTCCCAGCTACTTGGGAGGCTGGAGTGGGAGGATACTTGATCCCAGAAAGCTGAGGCTGCAGTGAGCCGAGATCACGCCACTGCACTCCAGCCTGGGAGACAGAGCGAGATCCTGTCTCAAAAAAAAAAAAAAAAAAAAAAAAAAGAGAGACAGAGAAAGAAAACCGCTTGAATGAGAACAGGCAAAGGCTCTTTATCCAGAGTGATGTGGCTCTGAACACACTTCCCAAATTATGGAACCTTGGCAGTTTAATATAAAGCTGAAGGAATTTGAGAAAATTGCAGAAACAGAAAGCTGTCTTTGTCTGTCTTCCCTGAACCAGGTCACAAAAACCTGGAAATACTTTCCTGAAGCAGAGGCCCTGACACCCTCAGTCAAGAGGGTCCCTCCCGGAAACGCAAATCAAAACCACAATGAGCTATCATTCCACGCCAGTCACAATGGCTGCTATTAAGAAGTCAACAAACAAGAGGCTGGGTGTGGCGGCTCATAGCTGTAATCCTAGCACTTTGGGAGGCCGAGGCACGGGATCACCTGAGGCCAGGAGATTGAGACCAGCCTGGCCAACATGACAAAACCCCATCTCTACTAAAAATACAAAAAAATTAGCTGGGCCTGGTGGCAGGCGCCTGTAATCCCAGCTACTCGGGAGGCTGAGGCAGGAGAATCGCTTGAACCCGGGAGGCTGAGTTTGCAGTGAGCTGAGATTGAGCCATTGCACTCCAGCCTGGGCAACAAGAGGGAGACTCTGAAAAGAAAGAAAAAGAAAGAAGGAAAGAAAGAAAGAAAGAAAGAAGAAAGAGGAAGAAAGAAACAAAGAAGGAGAAAAAAAAAGGAGAAAGAAAGAAAGAAAGAGAGAGAGAGAGGGAGGGAGGGAGGGAAGGAAGGAAAGAAAGAAAAACAATGGAAGGAAGAAAGAGAGAGAGGGAAGGAGGGAAGGAAGAAAGAGAAAGAAAGAAGGGAGGGACGGAAGAAGGAAGGAAAGAAGGAAACAATGGAAGGAAGAAAGAGAGAAAGGGAAGGAGGGAAGGAAGGAAGAGAAAGAAAGAGAAGAAATGAATCAGGAGGGAGAGAAGGATGGAAGGAAGGAGAGAAGGAAGGATGGAAAGAGGGAGGGCAGGAGGAAGAGAAGGAAGCAAGGGAGGGAAGGAAGGAAGGAAGGAAGGAAGGAACGAAGGAAGGAACGAAGGAAGGAAGGAAGGAAGGAAGGAAGGAACGAAGGAACGAAGGAACGAAGGAAGGAAGGAACACTTTGGCCCCATGCAGACATGGGTCCTCATCCTGGCCCCATCACTACCTGGATGGTCGTTGGGTTAAACTGTGGAGGTATCTGAGCCTCCGTTTTCTCATCTGTAGAATGGGTGGATGGGAATTAACAGCAGAAAAGGAGGTGAGAACAAGAGGAGCTCTGAGCTTCTGGTGGGTTGGCTGGTGCTTATTGGGTCCCTCATAAACATTAGAGATGAAATGCAGATGGACCCAGGTATCCAGATGGGTCTCCAGATGCAGGACATCTAAACAGGGGCCGCGGAGAAGGTTCAGCCAGGTTTCCATACTTACCCGATTTCTCTGGGATCAGGAGGAATGCTGGGTGTGGTAACTCACAGAGCAGAAGGCTTGTCACCAGGAGAAGCATGGTGCTGGTCAGAGAGAAGGGAAGAGCTGCAGGAGAGAAAATATCACACAGTGAGAAGGTTGCCTCTCCCAGGACATTCCTGGCAGGGGACCCCAGGGAGGTGATTTGGGGAAACAAACCCAGGATGGTGGTCAGCCGCTGACCTGGTCAAATGAGGGGTCATGGCCAGCTGGGAAGGTCTGCAGGGCCATTATTCTGTCTCCCACATGGGATTAGGACGTGGACATCTTTGGCATCTCAAGATGGTCAATCTAGAGTCAAGCTTCCATGGTTCATGGGTCATGGCTCAGCTGACCTTCATGAGGGAACCCATAGCTGACACTAAAGGCAGGTTCTAACACACTTCAAGGAAATTGCAGTCACTTTCATTCATTTTTCATAGCTTTTACTTTCTGTTAATAATTAGTGGATTTGGGGAAATAAGATAAACGATGGCTCAGGTTTTCATTTTCATAACTTTTGTTTTGTTTTGCTCTTTTGTACTTTTTTTTTCTTTTTTGAGACAAAGTCACGCTCTGTCACCCAGGCTGGAGTGCAGTGGCGCGATCTCGGCTCACTGCAACCTCCACATCCCAGGTTCACACCATTCTCCTGCCTCAGCTTCCCAAGTAGCTGGGACTACAGGCGCCTGCCACCACACCCAGCTAATTTTTTTTTTTTTTTTTTTTTTTTAGTAGAAACAGGCTTTCACCGTGTTAGCCAGGATGGTCTCCATCTCCTGACCTCGTGATCCACCTGCCTCGGCCTCCCAAAGTGCTGGGATTACAGGCGTGAGCCACCGTGCCCGGCCCTGCTCTTTTATATTTTTTAAAAAATCTTGACTTTTGCAACAGCTATAAAAGGAAAGTGAAAAAAAAAAAAAAAAGAAGAGGAAGAAAAAAAGGGTGAGTACATAAAACGACATGAATGAAGTTTAAATACTTATGACTAAGGGAAAGAATCCACTTTGAGATGGCTGCAGACTGAGTCATTCTAACACTTGGACACTGTGGAAAAGACAAAATCATGGAAACAGTAAAAAGATCCGGAGTTGGTTGGCGTTGGGCAGATGGAGGGATGAATACATGGACCTCAGAGGATGTTTAGGGCAGTGAAACTACTCTTATTTGATACTTCTTTATGCAAAAAAGGAAAAAGAAGGAGGAGGAGGAAAGGTGCAGGAGGAGGAGAAGGAGGAGGAGGAGAAGGAAGAGAAGGAGGAGTAGGAGGAAGAGGAGGAGAAGGAGCAGGAGGAGAAGGAGGAGGAGGAGAAGGAGCAGGAGGAGGAGAAGAAGGAGGAGGAGAAGGAGGAGTAGGAGAAGGCGGAGGAGGAGGAGAGGGAGGAGGAGGAGAAGGAGGAGGAGGAGAAGGAGGAAGAGGAGAAGGAGGAGGAGGAGAAGGAGGAGGAGGAGAAGGAAGAGAAGGAGGAGTAGGAGGAAGAGGAGGAGAAGGAGCAGGAGGAGGAGAAGAAGGAAGAGGAGAAGGAGGAGTAGGAGAAGGAGGAGTAGGAGAAGGAGGAGTAGGAGAAGGAGGAGAAGGAGAAGGAGGAGAAGGAGGAGTAGGAGGAGAAGGGGAGCTGGAGGAGGAGGAGCAGGAGGAGGAGGAGGAGGAGAAGGAGGAGGAGAAGGGGAGCAGGAGGAGAAGGAGGAGGAGGAGAAGGAGGAGGAGAAGGGGAGCAGGAGGAGAATGAGGAGGAGGAGAAGGAGGAGGAGGAGAAGGAGGAGGAGGAGAAGGAGGAGGAGGAGAAGCAGGAGGAGGAGAAGGAGGAGGAGGAGAAGCAGGAGGAGGAGGAGGAGAAGGAGGAGGAGGAGGAGAAGGAGCAGGAGGAGGAGGAGGAGAAGGAGCAGGAGAAGGAGGAGGAGGAGGAGGAGAAGGAGAGGAAGGAGGAGAAAAGAAGCTACTCGGTATGATTCTACAAATGGTGGATCCATGTCAATATACTTCTATCCAAGCCCATAAGGAAGAAGAAGAAAAAGGAGGAGGAGAAGGAGGAGGAAGAAGAAGAAGAAGGGGAAAGAGAAGAAGAAGAAAGAAGAGAAGAAGAAGGAGGAGGAGGAAGAGGAGGAAGAGGAGGAAGGGGGGAGAAGGAGGAGGAAGAAGAGAAGGAGGAGGAGCTACAAACTCAACCAATTGTCAACCAGAAAATGTTTAAATTCATTTATAGCCTGGAAGCCCCCACTTTGAGTTGTCCCGCCTTTATGGACCAAACTAATGTATTTCTTTTCTTCTTCTTCTTTTTTTTTTTTTTTTTTTGAGACGGAGTTTCACTCTTGTCACCCAGGCTGGAGTGCAGTGGTGCAATCTTGGCTCACTGCAACCTCCGCCTCCCGGGTTCAAGCGATTCTCCTGCCTCGGCCTCCCAAGTAGCTGGGATTATAGGCGCCCGCCATTATGCCAGGCTAATTTTGCATTTTTAGTAGAGACGCTGTTTTGCCATGTTGGCCAGGCTGGGCTCGAACTCCTGACCTCAGATGATCTGCCTGCCTCAGCTTCTCAAACTGCTGGAATTACAGGCATGAACCACTGCACCCGGCCTTTGTAGCATCTTTAGTTCAAGCATCTGCACCTGGTGGGACCCATCTGTCCACCCTGAGGTTCCTGCTCCAAACCTCCTCTCTGAAAGATTGCGTCTCTCGGCCGGGCACAGTGGCTCACGCCTGTAATCCCAGCACTTTGGGAGGCCAAGGCAGGCGGATCGCCTGAGGTCAGGAGTTCGGGACCAGCTTGGCTAATACGGTGAAACCTCATCTATACTAGAAATACAAAAATTAGCCGGGTGGGGTGGTGGGTGCCTGTAATCCCAGCTACTCGGGAGGTTGAGGCAGGAGAATCGCTTGAACCCAGGAGGTGGAGGCTGCAGTGAGCCGAGATCGCGCCACTGCCCTCCAGCCTGGGTGACAGAGGGAGACTCTGTCTCAAGGAAAAGCAAACAAACAAAAAAAAAAAACGGTTGTGTCTCTCAGACCGTTCCTCTGCAAGAGGAACCTCGCTTGCTAAGAGGAAGTAAAAGCATGTAGGCCACACCTGTTTCTTCTTCTCCTGCCCCTGCCCCCCAACTCATCTGTAGCCCACATGACAGGGATGTGGCCGCTTCCCCCACTGGACTGTGGCACCCCGCTTCTTGGAGCCTGCTTCTGGGTCTTGCAGGTGTTTCTGGGCACTGGACAGACTCTCCTGTGGCACCCTAGAGATGCATGTTCTGTCTGGGTGGGCCTGACCTTGAGATTCAGATACAACTCCCCAGGTGGTGGTAACAGGTGTAGAAGTCCTGTTCCTTGAGACTGGCCCCCTCTGCTGAGTCACTAAATGTTTGGGATATTTGTGTACTTCTCTTGCACTAGTTATTATTATTATTATTAATTATTATTATTATTTTGTAGACGGTCTTGCTCTGTCGCCCAGGCTGGAGTGCAGTGGTGCCATCTCGGCTCACTGCAACCTCCGTCTCCCAAGTTGAAGCCATTCTACTGCCTCAGCCTCCGAGTAGCTGGGACTACAGGCACGCACCAACACGCCTGGCTAATTTTTGTATTTTTAGTAGAGACGGGGTTTCACCATGTTGGCCAGGCTGGTCTCAAACTCCTGATCTCAAGTAATCCCCCTGCCTCGGCCTCCCAAAGTGATGGGATGACAGGTGTGAGCCACTGTACGTACGGCCTTCTTGGTTGACTTATTTATTTATTTTTTGGAGATGGAGTCTCACTCTGTCGCCCAGGCTGGAGTACAGTGGCGCCATCTCGGCTCACTGCAACCTCTGTCTCCTAGGTTCAAGTGATTCTACTGCCTCAGCCTCCGAGTAGCTGGGACTACAGGCACGCACCAACACGCCTGGCTAATTTTTGTATTTTTAGTAGAGATGGGGTTTCACCATGTTGGCCAGGCTGGTCTCGAACTTCTGACCTCAGGTGATCCACATGCCTTGGGCTCCCAAAGTGCTGGGATTATAGGCATGAGCCACTGCACCCAGCCTCTGGATTACCTAGTCTTTCACTATTTTACTTTCATAATAAACTTGCTTGCCCTGAATTTTTTTTTTTTTTAGACTGAGTCTCATTCTGTCACCCAGGCTGGAGTGCAGTGGTGCCATCTCGGCTCACTGCAACCTCCGTCTCCCAAGTTGAAGCAATTCTACTGCCTCAGCCTCCGAGTAGCTGGGACTACAGGCACGCACCAACACGCCTGGCTAATTTTTGTATTTTTAGTAGAGATGGGGTTTCACCATGTTGGCGAGGCTGGTCTCGAAATCCTGACCTCAGGTGATCCACCTGCCTCGGGCTCCCAAAGTGCTGGGATTATAGGCATGAGCCACTGCACCTGGCCTCTGGAGTAGCTAGTCTTCCACTACTTTACTTTCATAATAAACTTGCTCGCCCTGAAATCTTTTGTTTTTTTGAGACTGAGTCTCATTCTGTCGCCCAGGCTGGAGTGCAGTGGTGCCATCTTGGCTCACTGCAACCTCCGTCTCCCAAGTTGAAGCAATTCTACTGCCTCAGCCTCCAAGTAGCTGGGACTACAGGCACGCACCACCATGCCTGGCTAATTTTTGTATTTTTAGTAGAGATGGGGTTTCACCATGTTGGCGAGGCTGGTCTCGAACTCCTGACCTCAGGTGATCCACCTGCCTCGGGCTCCCAAAGTGCTGGGATTATAGGCATGAGCCACTGCGCCTGGCCTCTGGAGTACCTAGTCTTTCACTATTTTACTTTCATAATAAACTTGCTCGCCCTGAAATTTTTTTTTTTTTTTTTGAGACTGAGTCTCATTCTGTTGCCCAGGCTGGAGTGCAGTGGTGCCATCTCGGCTCACTGCAACCTCCGTCTCCCAAGTTGAAGCAATTCTACTGCCTCAGCCTCCCGAGTAGCTGGGACTACAGGCACGCACCACCATGCCTGGCTAATTTTTGTATTTTTAGTAGAGATGGGGTTTCACCATGTTGGTCAGGCTGGTCTCGAACTCCTGACCTCAGGTGATCTGCCCACCTCCACCTCCCAAAGTGCTGGGATTACAGGCATGAGCCACTGCGCCCGGCCTCTGGAGTAGCTATTCTTTCACTGTTTTACTTTTGTAATAAATTTGCTTTGGCTTTGCACTGCTGACTCACCCCGAATTTTTTTTTTTTTTTTTTTTTTTTGAGATGGACTTACTCTATCGCCCAGGCTGGAGTGTAGTGGCATGATCTCCACTCACTGCAAGCATCGCCTCCCGGGTTCACGCCATTCTCTTGCCTCTGTCTCCCGAGTAGCTGGGACTACAGGCACGCACCACCACACCTGGCTAATTTTTGTATTTTTAGTAGAGATGGGGTTTCACCATGTTGGTCAGGCTGGTCTCGAACTCCTGACCTCGTGATCCGCCCGCCTCTGCCTCCCAAGGTGCTGGGATTACAGGTGTGAGCCACAGCGCCCGGCCGCCCTGAATTCTTTCTTGCGTGAGATCCAAGAACCCCCTCTTGGGGGCTGGATCCGAACCCCTTTCCTGTAACACAAGCACCCTTCGTTTATGCTTTAAGGGAAGCATGAGATGGGGTAGGAAGGGGTTATAATGAGCGACTTCTAAGCTTTCTGTCATTTCTTCACCTCTTTTCCCTGTCTTCTCAGCTACTGCGTAAGCTTTATTTATTTATTTAGAGACGGAGCCTCGCTCTGTCTCCCAGGCTGGAGTGCAGTGGCGTGATCTCAGCTCACTGCAACCTCCACCTGCCAGGTTCAAGTGGTCCTCCTGCCTCAGCCTCTCGAGTAGCTGGGATTACAGGCATGCACCACCACGCCCAGCTAATTTTTGTATTTTTAGTAGAGATAGCATTTCACCATGTTGGCCAGGATGGTCTCGATCTCCTGACCTTGTGATCCACCTGCCTCGGCCTCCCAAAGGGCTGGGATTGCAGGCGTGAGCCACCACACCTGTCTGCTACTGTGTATGCTTTCTAGGAGGCCAGGATATGCCTCCCCAGACAAGACTGTGGGAAATCAGTATATGCCACTTTAAAATACATTTCACCCCAAAATATATTTACTTGACATATTTTGAAATGGTCCTGCAAAACTGTCTGTTGGCTGGCCACAGAGGCTCACGCCTGCAATCCCAGCACTTTGAGAGGCTCAGGTGGGTGGATCACTTGAGGACAGGAGTTCAAGACCAGCCTGGACAATACGGTGAAACCCTCTCTCTACTAAAAATACAAATACTAGCCGGGTGTGATGGCGGGCGCCTGTACTCCCAGCTACTCGCGAGGCTGAGGCAGGAGAATCACTGGAACTCGAAAGGCAGAGGTTGCCGTGAGCCAAGATCATGCCACTGCACTCCAGCCCAGGCAACAGAGCAAGACTCCGTCTCCAAAAATTAAAAATAAATAAATAAATAAATATATAAACAAACATAAAACCAAGCTGCTGGCTGGGTGAGGTGGCTCACGGCTGTAATCCCAGTACTTCTGGAGGCTGAGGCAGGCAGATCATGTGAGGTCAGGAGTTCGAGACCAGCCTGGCCAACATAGTGAAACCCTGTGTCTACTGAAAAACAAAAACAAACAAACAAACAAACAAACAAACAAACAAAATTTAGCCAGGCGTGGTGGCGTACCTCTGTAATGCCAGCTACTTGGGAGGCTGAGGCGGGAGAATTGCTTCAGCTCCGGAGGCAGAGGTTGCAGTGAGCTGAGATCGCTCCACTGCACTCCAGCCTGGGCGACAGAGTGAGACTCTGTCACAAAAAATAAAACAAATAAAATAAAATAGCTGGACGCTGTGGCTTACGCCTGTAATCCCAGCACTTTGGGAGGCCGAGGTGAGCAGATCATGTGAGGTCACAAGTTTGAGACCAGCCTGGCCAACATGGTGAAACCCCGTCGCTACTAAAAATACAAAAATTGGCCGGGCGTGGTGGCGGGTGCCTGTAATCCCAACACTTTGGGAGGCTGAGGCGGGCGGATCACGAAGTCAGGAGATCGAGACCATCCTGGCTAACACGGTGAAACCCCTTCTCTACTAAAAATACAAAAAATTAGCTGGGCATGGTGGTGGGCGCCTGTAGTCCCAGCTACTCGGGAGGCTGAGGCAGGAGAATGGCGTGAACCCGGGAGGCGGAGGTTGCAGTGAGCCGAGATCGCGCCACTGCACTCCAGCCTAACAGACTGAGCAAGGCTTCATCTCAAAATAAATAAATAAATAAATAAAATAAAGTAAAATAAGTAAACAAACAAAAACATATAAAACCAAACTGCCGCTCAACCAGCTTGGATACGTGTTCTCAGGATCTCTTTAGACTATTTTCCCTGGGCCTTCTTGCTCACTCATATTTGGCTCAGAATAAATCTCTTTAAATATTTTGCAGTGTTTGGGACGGACTGTCGCTCTGTTGCCCAGGCTGGAGTGCAGTGGCGCGATCTTGGCTCACTGCAACCTACGCCTCCTGGGTTCAAGCGATTCTCCTGCCTCGGCCTCCGGAGTAGCTGGGACTAGAGGCAACTGCCACTACACCCGGCTAATTTTTGTATTTTTAGCAGAGATGGGGTTTCACCATGTTGGCCAGGCTGGTCTGGAACTCCTGACCTCATGATCCCCCCGCCTCAGCCTCCCACAGTGCTGGGATTACAGGCTTGAGCCACTGCGCCCGGCCGGCTCTTTTTTTTTTTTTTTTTGACAGGTTCATGCGTCTCTTCTGCCTGGAGACCCTTCAGGAGGATGTGCCTTGTCACGCTGCTTCAGGAGGATGTGTACTGTCTCAGAGGGAACGTGACATGTTAAATTTGTCATAGGTCAGACAGTTCCTCATTCAGATTCTTCTGCCCTGAGTTCTCACTTCTATCCTGGTTCATCATTATGGAGCAAAACATTTCAGTTCTTTAGACTTCACTTAAAAAAAAGAAAATCCCCAACCACATTACCGACAGGCCGAAGGAAGCACGTACAGGGTTCTACGCAAACATCGCCGCTTCTCGGATCTGCTGTCTCCACGGATTTTCCTGCTGTAAACTGTGAAAGGTAAATAAGTCTCAGGACCCCAAAATCATGAAAGGTTATAGTGGAAACTGTCTTAGGCAAACCTGCCTCGCATTTTATTCGTAAATAAGGTACTACAAAGGTTTTAAAAATTACATACCAGGGCTGGGCGCCATGGCTCACGCCTATAATCCCAGCACTTTGGGAGGCCGAGGCAGGTGGATCATTTGAGGCCAGGAGTTCGAGACCATCCTGGCCAACATGGTGAAACCCCGTCTCTACTAAAAATACAAAAATTAGCTGGGCGCGGTAGTGGGTGCCTATAATCCCAGCTACTCAGAAGGCTGTGGCAGGAGAATAGCTTGAACACGGGAGGCGGAGGTTACAGTGATAGTGAGCTGAGATTGCACCATTGCACTGCAGCCTGGGTGACAGAACAAGACTGGATCCCCAGCTCCCTCCCCGCCAAAAAAATGTATGAAAGCAAATTGTGCCCTGTGTATCCACAGCACCTGTCATCGCGATTTCCTGAGGCTCTGTCATGGGCAGGCGTCCTTAACCTCGGCAAAATGAACTTTCTAAATGGACTGAGACCTGTCTCAGATACCTCTTTTTTGGTTTACAGGACATTTTGCACTCACGGAAAATTATGCAACATCTTTGCGTTTTGTCTGTACCGCTTATACTTTTTTCTCTTCTTCTTTTTTGTGTTTACAGAATGAGTTTTCTTTCCCCTTTCTGGAAATTTTCGGCTGATCCTAAAATAGAGGCCGCCAAGCTTCCTTCTCAGATTCAAAGCAAGAATGATGGAGAGTGAGGGAAATCATGATATTTTACCCCAACACAGGGCTCCACGGTATAACAAGGATTTTTAATGAAAAACCCTTTCATGCCGGGCGCGGTGACTCACGCCTGTCATCCCAGCACTTCGGGAGGCCGAGGCGGGCAGATCATGAGGCCAGGAGATCGAGACCATCCTGGCAAACACAGTGAAACCCCATCTCTACTAAAAAAAAAAAATACAAAAAAAAAAAAAAAAATTAGCTGGGCGTGGTGGCGGGCGCCTGTAGTCCCAGCTACTCGGGAGACTGAGGCAGGAGAATCACTTGAACCTGGGAAGCAGAGGCTGCAGTGAGCCAAGATTATGCCCCTGTACTCCAGCCGGGAGCAGTGGTTCACGCCTATAATCCCAGCACTTTGGGAGGCCGAGGCGGTTGGATCACCTGAGGTCAGGAGTTCAAGACCAGCCTGGCCATCACAGTGAAACCCCATCTCTACTAAAAAAAAAACAAAAAACAAAAAACAATTATCTGGGCACGATGGCTCATGCATATTACGCCAGCTATTTGGAAGGCTGAGGAGGCAGGAGAATCGCTTGAACCTAGAAGACGGAGGTTGCAGGGAGCCAAGATTGCACCACTGCACTCCAGCCTTGGAAACAGAATGAGACCATCTTAAAAGAAAAAAAAAATACAACTAAGAAACATATTTTGGGGCAACATATGTTGTTTTTTTTCTCTGTCTTGTAACGTTTGCCAGAGTCAGGTTGGAAAGTAAGTCACGATATACAGGGTTCAATAAATCCCATTTGATGAGAATTTATGGTTTGTAGGGCTTGCCTCCTCAGACCTCTTAGATAGGAATTTGGGCAAGATAAAAAAAGTCAGAGGCCCGGTGTGGTGGCTGGTGCCTATAATCCTAGCACTTTGGGAGGCTGAGGCGTGTGGATCACTTGAGGTCAGGAGTTCGAGACCAGCCTGGCCAACCTGGTGAAATGTTGTCTCTACTAAAAACACAAAAATTACTCAGGCAGTAGTGGTACGTGCCTGTAATCTCAGCTACTTGGGAGGCTGAGGCAGGAGAATTGCTTGACCTTGGGAGGTGGAGGCTGTGGTGAGCTGAGATTGTGCCACTGTACTCCAGTCTGGGCGACAAAGTTAGACTCCATCTAAAAAAAAAAAAGAAAAAAAGAAAGAAAAAAAAAAAGAAAAAGAAGAAGCTAGGTGCAGTGGCTCATGCGTATAATCCCAGCACTTTGGGAGGCCGAGGAGGTTGGATCACCTGAGGTCAGGAGTTCAAGACCAGCCTGGCCAACATGGTGAAACCCCGTCTCTACTAAAAATACAAAGAAAATTAGCTGGGCGTAGTGGCGGGTGCCTGTAATCGCAGCTACTCGGGAGGCTGAGGCAGGAAAATCGGGTGAACCCAGGAGGTGGAGGTTGCAGTGAGCTGAGATCGCACCACTGCACTCCAGCCTGGGCGGCAGAGTGAGATGCTGTCTCAAAAAAATAAAATAAAATAAAATAAAATAAAGAAAAAAATCAGAGTTCAGTCCGCAGTAGAAATTATATATTGCTCCTCAATAGAATTCCTCTTTCCCCCCAACCCTATAACCTTTTTTTTTTTGTACCAGGATCCAATCCCCTATCCTTCTGTAGTCTCAATGTGGTGTACTAGCTTCTGAACCTCATTGTGGGGTGGAGTCCTCATTCTGAAGAATCTTGTGTATACACATTCTATAAATGTGTAAATCTGGCTGGGTACAGTGGTTCACGCCTGTAATCCTAGCACACTGGGAGGCCGAGGCAGGCGGATCACCTGAGGTCAGGTGTTCGAGACCAGCCTGACCAATATGGAACAACCCTGTCTCTACTAAAAATAGAAAAATTAGCCAGGCATGGTAGCACACGCCTGTAATCCCAGCTACTGGAGAGGCTGAGGCAGGAGAATCAGTTGAACCTGGAAGGTGGAGGTTGCAGTGAGCCGAGATCATGCCAGTGCACTCCAGCCTCGGTGACAGAGCGAGACTCCGTCTCAAAAAAAAAAAAGAAAAAAAAAGTGCATGTCTTTTCTCTTATTAATCAATCTGCCTCATGTCTGTCATCTACAGCAAACCTACAGGGGACCAAGAGCTTTCAGCCCTCGAGAAGAGCTTCTCGAGTTTAAACCAAAAATCTAAAGAGTGAAATCCGGCCGGGCTCCGTGGTTCATGTCTGTAATCCCAGCCCTTTGGGAGGTCAAGGTGAGCGGATCATTTGAAGTCAGGAGTTCCAGACCAGCCTGGCCAACATGGTGAAACACCATCCCTACTAAAAATACAAAAATTAGCCGGGCATGGTAGCACACACCTGTAATCCCAGCTACCCAGGAGGCTGAGGCAGGAGAATCACTTGAACCCGGGAGGCGGAGGTTACAGTGAGCCGAGATCGCACCACTGCACTCCAGCCTGGGCAACAGAGCAAGATACTGTCTCCAAAAAAATAAATAAATAAATTCAAAAATTAGCTGGGCATGGTGGCACGTGCCTGTAATCCTAGCTACTCAGGAGGCTAATGCAGGAGAATTGCTTGAACCCGGGAGGTGGAGGTTGCAGTGAGCGGAGATTGCACCACTGCACTCCAGCCTGGGCGACAGAGCAAGACGCTGTCTCCAAAAAAAAAAAAAAAAAAAAAAAATACAAAAATTAGCCGGGCGTGGTGGCAGGTGCCTGTAATCCCAGCTACTCAGGAGGCTGAGGCAGGAGAATTGCTTGAACCCAGGAGGCGGAGGTTGCGGTGAGCAGAGATCGCGCCACTGCCCTCCAGCCTGGGCGACAGCACGAGACTCTGTCTCAACAAAAAGAGTGAAATGTGATTTAGCACACCTATAAAACGCGCAACAAGCTGTCCAAATCCAGACTCTTAGTACCCCAATCTGGGTGGTAACTTAAGATGCTTCATTTCTGTCTTTTTTAAAATTTGTAATAATTTAATCTTTTTTTTATACACGAGGGATGGGGGAATCTTACGATGTTGCCCCGGGCTGGTCTGGAATTGCTGTGGCCTCAAGCAATCCTCTGTCACCTCAGCCTTCCAAAATATTGGGATTACAGGCGCCCGCCACCACGCCCCGGCTAATTTTGGGTATTTTTAGTAGAGATGGGGTTTCACCCTGTTGGCCAGGCTGGTCTCGAACTCCTGACCTCAGGTGATCCGCCCACCTCAGCCTCCCAAAGTCCTGGGATTACACCACGCCCAGCTTAGAGGGACTCCATCTAGAATAGGGGCTGGGAACAGGGAGGCTGGGACAGGCTGGGCAGCATTCCCTGGAGGTCAGCCATTCCTGACGCAAGATATGTGAACAGATCAATACTGTTTACTAAACAGACCGAGGACTGAACAGACACAGAAACCTCCTGATGTGTTGATATCTTCAGAACAAAAGCTTTCATAGTGTGAGAATCCGTTTTGCTTTAAAAATGATAATATTGGGCCAGGCGCGGTGGCCCACACCTGTCATCCCACCACTTTGGGAGGCTGGGGCAGGAAGATAGATTGAGTCTAGGAGTTCAAGACCAGCCCGGGAAACACAGTGAAACCCTCGTCCCTACAAAAATACAAATATTTGCCAGGAATGGTGGCATTTGCCTTTGACCCAGCTACTCGGGAGGCCGAGATGGGAGGATTGCTTGAGCCCAGGAATTCAAGACAGCAGTCAGCTGTGATTGCACCACTGCCCTCCAGCCTGGATGACACAGCCAGATGATCTCAAAATAATAATAATAAAAAATATATAATATGTATATATACAATATTGATTACTGCAAAAGATAGTCATGACAAAGATGAATCCTTTATCAGTCACCCTTGTAGTGGAGCATCTCTCCCCACGACTTTTTTCTTTTAGTTATCTTTTTTTGGGGACAGAGTTTTGCTCTTGTTGCCCAGGCTGGAGTGCAACGGTGCAATCTGGGCTCACTGCAACCTCCGCCTCCCGGGTTCAAGCGATTCTCCTGCCTCAGCCTCCCAAGTAGCTGGGATTACAGGCACACACTGCCACACCTAGCTAATTTTTTCTATTTTTAATAAAGGTGTGGTTTTGCCATGTTGGCCAAGCTGATCTCGAACTCCTGAGCTCAGGTGATCCGCCCGCCTCAGCCTCCAAAAGTGTTGGGATTACAGGCATGAGCCACCGTGCCCGGCCCCCCTTTACTATCTTAATAAGCTTGCTTTCAGTTTGCAATGTGAACTTGCCTCCAGTTCTTTCTTGGGCAAGATCCCAGAACCCGTTCTTGAAGTCTGGATCAGGACCCCTTTCTAGTAACTAGTAACACCATCACACTCCCTCCCCCTTTCAGCTCTGCGTTCATCTCTTTTCATCTCTTTTTTTTTCTTTTTCTTTTTTTTGAGACAGAATCTCGTCTTGTTGCCCAGGCTGGAGTGCAGTGGTGCAATCTCAGCTCACTGCAAGCTCCGCCTCCCGGGTTCAAACGATTCTCCTGCCTCAGCCTCCTGAGTAGGTGGGATTACAGGTGCCTGCCACCACCATGCCCGGCTAATTTTGTATTTTTAGTAGAGACGGGGTTTCTCCATGTTGGCCAGGATGGTCTCGAACTGTCGACCTCAGGTGATCCACCCGCCTCAGTCTCCCAAAGTGCTGGGATTACAGGCGTGAGCCACCACGCCCGGCCGCGTTCATCTCTCGAAACGGCTTCCGGATGCCACAGATAGCTGTGAATTCACGTGATAATTCCGTGCTAGATACTACACCCCAACGCCCTGTAGCTTAGCAATGTACAGCCAATCATTAATCAATTGTTTTTTTCTGTAAACCAACGAGAATTCCCAGCAAACAGCTTCACAGAAGCCCCCTCCCTGTCCTCCAACAACACCTCCCTCTTTTTATTTTATTTTATTTTTTTAATTTTGCCTTTAAAAACCTGCATATAACAAAGGCAGAAGACAACTCATATGCAAGGTTCCTTGGCTCTCAGTCTTCTGGGCCGCTGTCCCCACTTCGGCTCGAGCCAACGTTTGAAATCTTATGTTCCAGTTCAGTCTCTTTCTTTTCTATCGACAGACACAGCAGAAACATGTACCCGGGTGACTCGACATGCTCAAAGACCACAGAAGGAAAGAACTTAGCTTACCCCCACGGCATCCGCTTCCTCTCCTTCCACCTGCTTTTCTTCTCTCGGAGACTCCCGCTTCTGAGTAGCTCCCTTCAGAGTTCCTCTGTGTCATCATACACTCCCTGCCCCTCCCTCCCCTGCTTCCTCATTTCATAGGATTGGGAAACCTGTAATTGCTCCGTGAGTTCATTGGCTCCTGACCTCGTCTCCAAAGACTGGCCCGTGGAACAGCTCAAGTGTGAGTCCCACACACATCTACACACACACACCTGCACACACATGTATGTCTGCACACACATCTGCACACACAGACCTGCACACGCACACATTCCCACACGCCCGCACACACGTGCACACACACTCCTGCACACATGCTTGCACGCGTGTGCATGTTTGCACACACACCTGCACACACAGACCTGCACACACACACATCTCCACACACCTGCACACAGTGCGCACGGGCGTACACACAGCTACACACACATCTGCACACACACCTGCACACATATGCATGTCTGCACACACAACTGCACACACAGACCTGCACACACACATCCCCACACACCTGCACACAGTGCACATGGGCATACACACAGCTACACACATATCTGCACACACATCTGCACAAACAAGCACACTGGCACAGTCCTGCACACACACCTGCACACACATACATGTCTGCACACACATCTGCACACACAGACCTGCACACTCACACATCCCCACTTTCCTGCAGGCACATGCATGTCTGCACACACAGACGTGCGCACACATCCCCACACACCTGCACACAGGGCACATGTGTGTACACACAGCTACACACACACATCTGCACACACACCTGCACGTACGTCTGCACAAACAAGCACAATGGCACACACACTTGTCTACACACGCACATCTGCACACACACCTGCACACACATGCATGTTTGCACACACATCTGCACACACAGACCTGCACACACATCCCCACACACCTGCACACAATGCACATGTGCATACACACAACTACACACACATCTGCGCACACACCTGCACACACATGCATGTCTGCACACACAACTGCACACACATCCCCACACACCTGCACACAGTGCACACGGGCGTACACACAGCTACACACACATCTGCACACACATCTGCACAAACAAGCACACTGGCACAGTCCTGCACACACACCTGCACACACATACGTCTGCAAACACATCTGCACACACAGACCTGCACACTCACACATCCCCACTTTCCTGCAGGCACATGCATGTCTGCACACACAGACGTGCGCACACATCCCCACACACCTGCACACAGGGCACATGTGTGTACACACAGCTACACACACACATCTGCACACACACCTGCACGTACGTCTGCACAAACAAGCACAATGGCACACACACACTTGTCTACACACGCACACCTGCACACACACCTGCACACACATGCATGTCTGCACACACAACTGCACACACAGACCTGCACACACACATCCCCACACACCTGCACACAGTGCACATGGGCGTACATAGAACTACACACACACATCTGTACACAAGCACATCTGCACACACACCTGCACACATATCTGTACACACACACACCTGCACACAGTGCACATGTGCATATACACAAGGACACATGCACATCTGCACACACATCTGCAAACACACACCTGCACACACATCTGTACACACACACACCTGCATACACATGCATGTCTGCACACACAGACCTGCACACACACGCATGTCTGCACACACAGACCTGCACACACACATCCTCACACACCTGCACACAGTGCACATGTGCATACACACATCTGCACACACACACATGCACACACACCTACACGCACGTCTGTACACACACCTCCATACACATGCATGTCTGCACACACAGACCTGCACACACACATCCCCACACACCTGCACACAATGCACATGTGCATACACACAACTACACACACATCTGCACACACACCTGCACACACATCTGTACACACACACACACCTGCATACACGTGCATGTCTGCACACACAGACCTGCACACACACATCCCCACACACCTGCACACAGTGCACCTATCCATACACACAACTACACACACATCTGCACACGCCTCTGCACAAGCATATTGGTGTACACACACCTGCACAGACACTTGCACACACACAAATACAGATGCCTTTTGTGCTGTCTACAAAATCATAAGAAACATCACGCAGGCCAGGGGCAGTGGCTCACTAAAAAAAAAAAAATACAAAAATTAGCCAGGCGTGGTGGCGAGTGCCTGTAATCCCAGCTACTCAGGAGGCTGAGGCAGGAGAATCCCTTGAACCCAGGAGATGGAGGTTGCAGTGAGCTGAGATGGTGCCATTGCCCTCCAGCCTGGGCAACAAGAGCAAAACTCCGTCTCAAAAAAAACAACCAAACAGACTGGACATGTGTTACGATACTAACAGTTGGCGCCTAAACAAAGCATAGGGCTTCATGCACATGCAATGGAAAACACCTGGATAGCAACATCAGCAAAGGTGAAAGATGGCTGACCAGGCTGCACCTCTACCGTCTTAGCCTCCCCATTCCTGCAGGAGCTGTCTTAGTCCATTCATGTTGCTGGAAAGGAATACCTGAGGTTGGGTAATTGATAAAGAAGAGATCATTGGCTGGGCGCGGTGGCTCACGCCTGTAATCCCAGCACTTTGGGAGACCGAGGCAGGCGGATCATGAGGTCAAGAGATCAAGACCAGCCTGGCCAACATGGTGAAACCCCATCTCTACTAAAAATACAAAAATTAGCTGGGTGTGGTGGCGTGCACCTGCAGTCCCAGCTACTTGGGAAGCTGAGGCAGGAGAATCAATTGAACCCGGGAGGCGGAGCTTGCAGTGAGCCGAGATGCTGCCACTGCACTCCAGCCCGGCGACAGAGCGAGACTGTGTCTCAAAAAAAAAAGAAGATTATAAATCATGCTGCTATAAAGACACATGCACACATATGTTTATAATGGCACTATTCACAATAGCAAAGACTTGGAACCAACCTAAATGTCCAACAACGATAGACTGGATTAAGAAAATGTGGCACATATACACCATGGAATACTATGCAGCCATAAAACATGATGAGTTCATGTCCTTTGTAGGGACAGGGTTGAAGCTGGAAACCATCATTCTGAGCAAACTATCGCAAGGACAAAAAACCAAACACCGCATGTTCTCACTCATAGGTGGGAATTGAACCATGAGAACACATGGACACAGGAAGGGGAACATCACACACCGGGGACTGTTGTGGGGTGGGGGGAGGGGGGAGGGACAGCATTAGGAGACATACCTAATGCTAAATGACGAGTTAATGGGTGCAGCACACCAACATGGCACATGGATACATATGTAACAAAGCTGCACGTTGTGCACACGTACCCTAGAACTTAAAGTATAATAATAATAAAATTTTTAAAAAAAGGTAAAAAAAAAAAGAGATTATTTATTCGGCTCATAGTGGTTCTCCAGGTTGTCCAGGAAGCGTGGTGTTTGGACCTGCTTGTGGTGAGGACGTCACGCTGCTTCCAGTCATGACAGAAAGTGAAGGGAAGACATTGTGTGTGGAGAGACCACATGGGCAGAAAGGAAGCAAGAGAGAGCGGGGGGAGGTGCCAGGGTCTTTTCAACAACCAGCTCTCCTGGAAACTGAGAATGAGAACTCACTCATGACTATGGGGGCAGGACCAAGCCATTCATACGGGATTCACCCACATGGTTTAAACATCTCCCACCAGGTCCCACCTACCACACAGGGGGTCAAATTTCAACATGAAACCTGGCAGGACCAAACAAACCGTATCCAAACTGTAGCATGCTGCCTCTCTCCAGAATTGATGTAGAGAAGGTTATCTCCCAAGAGCTCAAGCAGGTGGCTCACGAAGGCTGCTGGAAATGGCCACCATGGTGGATCTTCTTGTGAATGGCTCATACTTTGTTGCTGACATCGATGTAGAGAAATTTAACTTTCCAAGAGTTCAACCAGATGGCTTACCAAGGCTCAAACTGCAAACTATAGTGGGTCTGCTTGTCAATGGCTCATACCCTGTTTCTGACTTTCACCATTCATGTAGAGAAGTTTGTCTTTCCAAGAGCCAAATCAGATGACTCACCAAGGCTGCTGGAAGTGGGCACAATAATGGGCCTTTTTGTCTTTAATGAATCATGCCCTGTTGTTGACATCAATGTAAAGAAGTTTATCTTCCCAAGAATTCAACCAGATGGCTCAGCCAGGCTGCTGGAACTGGGCATCATGGTGGATCTTTTTGTCAAAGGCTCATATCTTCTTGTTGACATTGATGTAGAGAAGTTTATCTTCCCAAGAGCTCAACCAGATGGCTCAGCCAGGCTGCTGGAACTGGGCATCATGGTGGATCTTTTTGTCAAAGGCTCATATCTTCTTGTTGACATTGATGTAGAGAAGTTTATCTTCCCAAGAGCTCAACCAGATGGCTCAGCCAGGCTGCTGGAACTGGGCATCATGGTGGATCTTTTTGTCAAAGGCTCATATCTTCTTGTTGACATTGATGTAGAGAAGTTTATCTTCCCAAGAGCTCAACCAGATGGCTCAGCCAGGCTGCTGGAACTGGGCATCACGGTGGATCTTTTTGTCAAAGGCTCATATCTTCTTGTTGACATTGATGTAGAGAAGCTTATCTTCCCAAGAGCTCAACCAGATGGCTCAGCCAGGCTGCTGGAACTGGGCATCACGGTGGATCTTTTTGTCAAAGGCTCATATCTTCTTGTTGACATTGATGTAGAGAAGTTTATCTTCCCAAGAGCTCAACCAGATGGCTCACCCAGGCTGCTGGAACTGGGCATCATGGTGGATCTTTTTGTCAAAGGCTCATATCTTCTTGTTGACATTGATGTAGAGAAGTTTATCTTCCCAAGAGCTCAACCAGATGGCTCACCCAGGCTGCTGGAACTGGGCATCATGGTGGATATTCTTGTCAAAGGCTCATATCTTCCTTTTGACATTGATGTAGAGAAGTTTATCTTCCCAAGAGCTCAACCAGACGGTTCACCAAGGCTGCTGGAACTGGCACTGTTATACTACTTCTTGTCAATGGCTCACACCTTGTTTCTGAGTTTCACCATCAATGTGGAGAACTTTAAATTCCCGAGTTCAACCAGATGGCACACCAGATGCACACCGTGATATAATGGCTCGTATCTCACGGCTCACTCCCAGCTTAGGGCCAGATCCATTCAATTGTATTCATCCGACCCTCACAAAGCACCTTAAGCATTTTTCTTTTCTTTTCTTTTTAGACGGAGTTTTGCACTCTCTCCCAGGCTGGAGTGCAATGGTGCAATCTCGGCTCACTGCAATCTCCGCCTCCCGGGTTCATGCGATTCTCCTACCTCAGCCTCCTGAGTAGCTGGGATTACAGGCACCCGCCACCACACCTGGCTAAGTTTTTGTATTTTTAGTAGAGACGGGGTTTCACCATGTTAGCCAGGCTGGTCTCTATCTCCTGACCTTGTGATCCGCCCGCCTCGGCCTCCCAAAGTGCTAGGATTACAGGTGTGAGCCACTGCACCCCGGCCTGAAGTGAGTTTTTCTTGTTGTTTTCTGTTCCTGGATGGGATGGCAGAACTGGTTTTGCCAGATGGCCAGTCTAGGTGGTGTCAGCCGATCCGCCAGATGCAGGCTCTGCAAAACATCTCAAGCATCGATCTTAGTTTTACAACAGTGACATACTCCTGCAGGAGCCCTAAACTGTAATTTCTAATTTTGTAGCTAATTTGTGAGTCCTGTGAAGGCAGACTGGACCTTAGCTCTTAGGGAAAGGGGCTGTTTTCCATTTTGTTTCAGAATTACACCACGAACTGAATTTCTTCTCTTTTTTTTTTTTTAATTTTGAGAAGGAGTCTCACTCTGTCGCCCAGGCTGGAGTGCAGTGGCGCGATCTCGGCTCACTGCAAGCTCCACCTCCTGGGTTCACGCCATTCTCCTGCCTCAGCCTCCCGAGTAGCTGGGACTACAGGCGTCCACCACCACACCAAGCTAAGTTGTTGTATTTTTAGTAGAGACTGGGTTTCACCATGGTTGCCAGGCTGGTCTCGATCTCCTGACCTCGTGATCCGCCCGCTTGGCCTCCCAAAGTGCTGGGATTACAGGCGAGTCACCGCATCCGGCCTCACAGTTGGGTTTTATACATTCTAGGGATACATAAGAAATCAATCAACATAAGCAAGATGGGCCAGGGGCAGTGGCTCACACCTCTGACCTCAGGTGATCTGCCCCTGTCTGCCTCCCAAATGGCTGCATTCTTTTGAGTTTCTGGTTAGCCTCTCTAAAGGAGGCAATTAGATATGCATCTATCTCAGTGAGCACAGACGGTCACTTTGAATAGAATGAGAGGGAGAGGCCCTAAGCAGTTCCCAGCGGGGCCCAGAGATTTATTTTTCTTTCTTCTCGCCCAGGCTGGAGTGCAGTGGCTCGATCTGGGCTCACTGCAAGCTCCACCTCCCGTGTTCACGCCATTCTCCTGCCTCAGCCTCCTGCGTAGCTGGGACTACAGGCGCCCGCCACCACGCCTGGCTAAGTTTTTGTATTTTTAGTAGAGATGGGGTTTCACCGTGTTAGCCAGGATGGTCTCGATCTCCTGACCTCGTGATCCGCCCGCCTCGGCCTCCCAAAGTGCTGGGATGACAGGCGTGAGCCACCGCGCCTGGCGATTTATTTTTCTTTCACAAGGGACATCAGCTTTCGTGGAAGGGGCTAGAAGCAGGTGAAGGAGGAGGTGGGTTGGGGAGGAGGTGGAGTAGGGGAGCAGGGGAGCTGGGGAGAAGATTGAGTTGGGGGAATGCAGAGATAAGAAATAAAAGCTCTGGGCTGGCCGCGGTGGCTCACGCCTGTCATCCCAGCACTTTGGGAGGTGGAGGCGGGAGGATCACCTGAGGTCAGAGGAGTTACAGACCAGCATGGCCAACATAGTGAAACCCTGTCTCTACTAAAAATAGAAAAATTAGCCGGGCATGGTGGCAGCCACCTGTCATCCCAGCTATTCGGGGGGCTGAGGCAGGAGAATTGCTTGAACCCGGGAGACAGAGGTTGCAGTGAGCTGAGATCGCACCATTGCACTCCAGCCTGGGGAACAGGAGCGAGAGACTTTGTCTCAAAAAAAAAAAAAAAAGAAAAAAAAAGAAAAAGAAAGAAAGAAAAGAAAAAAAGAAAAGAAAAGAGAAAAGAAAAGAAAAAAAAAGAAATAGAAGCTCTGCTCTCAGGGGAATGGGATTAAGGGGCAAGGAGGGGGGCTCAGCTTCCCCAGGGAGAAACCATTCAGCTGTGGGGAGGGGTCTGCAGAGCACCTGCCCTCTGCCGGGTTGGGAGCATTGATGATGCTGCCAGAGAGCTTCTCATTCAGGCTGTTCTTTGTTCTCTACATGACAGAAAGCGCCCCTCACAGGGGTCTCCCTGGGGCACCGTGATCAGAATGATCCTGTCCAGATAACTCCTTCCCAACTGGAAATTCTCCATGACAAAAAGCTCAAGCTTCTGGTCCAGGCTCGCTGGCTCACGCCTGTAATCCCAGCACTTTGGGAGGTTGAGGTGGGCAGATCACGAGGTCAGGAGTTCAAGACCAGCCTGGCCAACATGGTGAAACACCATCTCTTACTAAAAACACCAAAGAAATATTAGCCGGGCGTGATGGCGGGCGCCTGTAATCCCAGCTACTCGGGAGGCTGAGGCAGGAGAATCACCTGAACCTGGGAGGCGGAGGTTGCAGTGAGCTGAGTTCATGCCACTGCACTCCAGCCTGGACGACAAGAGTGAAACTCCATCTCAAAACATAAAACAAAACAAAACAAAACAAAAACAATCTCTTGCTGACCGGGCTCATTGACTGACGCCTGTAATCCCAGCACTTTGGGAGGCCGAGACAGGTGGATCAGTTGAGGTCAGGAGCTCGAGACCAGCCTGGCCAACATGGGGAAACACCATCTCTACTAAAAATATCAAAAAAAGGCCGGGTGCAATGGCTTACCCTGTCATCCCAGCACTTTGGGAGGCCGAGGGGAGCGGATCACCTGAGGTCAGGAGTTCGAGACCAGCCTGACCCACAGGGAGAAACCCCGTCTCTACTAAAAATACAAAAATCAGCTGGGTGTGGTGGTGGGCGCCTGTAATCCCAGCTACTCGCGAGGCTGAGGCAGGGGAATCGCTTGAACCCGGAAGTGGAGGTTGCAGTGAGCTGAGATCGTGCCACTACACTCCAGCCTGGGTGAGGAGAGTGAAACTCCATCTCAAAACATAAAACAAAAAAAAAAAACAACAAAAATCTCTTGCTAACCGGGCGCAGTGGCTCACGCCTGTAATCCCAGCACTTTGGGAGGCCGAGAGGGGTGGATCACTTGAGGTCAGGAGTTCAAGACCAGGCTGGCCAACATGGTGAAACCGTGTCTCAAATAAAAATACAAAAACAAAAAAGAAAAATTAGCCGGGCGTGGGGGCAGGCACCTGTACTCCTAGAAACTCAGGAGGCTGGGGCAGGAGAGTCTCTGGAACCTGGGAGGCAGAGGTTGCAGTGAGCCGAGATTGTGCCACTGCATTCCAGCCTGGGCAACAAGAGTGAAACTCCGTCTGAAAACATAAAAACAAAACAAAAGAAAAACCCTGTTTCTGACCGGGCGCAGTGGCTCACGCCTGTAATCCCAGCACTTTGGGAGGCCGAGACGGGTGGATCACTTGAGGTCAGGAGTTCGAGACCAGGCTGGCCAACATGGCAAAACCCTGTCTCTACTAAAAATACAGAAACAAAAAAAGAAAGAAAAATTAGCCAGGCGTGGTGGCAGGCACCTGTACTCCCAGAAACTCGGGAGGCTGAGGCAGGAGAATCTCTTGAACCCGGGAGGCGGAGGTTGCAGTGAGCCGAGATCGTGCCACTGCACTCCAGCCTGGGTGACAAGAGTGAAACTCCGTCTCATAACAAAAACCAAAAACCAAAAAACCCTCATTCCTCTGGAGCCCACAGAACTTCCAGAACCAAAATCCCATGGCCCAGAGGGGTCGGTTTCTACTTCTCTAGGACCGAGGATTACCTGGAAGCTGTGAGTTGCAGGATTTCAAATCTCCCTTGTCTGGCAGTTTATCCTAAAGGTTAGTGGCTGAGAGAAAGGTTCTGAGAACAGATGAGAAACAGGCTTTCCAAGAAACGGAGACTGGGTTTCCCGCTCTGCATGCTCTTCTGCCCACAGAAAGAATTCCCCACGTCTTATTATTCTCCCAGGTTTGGGCCAAAAACTCCGAAACTGATGTCCTTTTCAGAGGCTACTTATTAGCTACTGTTTTGTTTTGTTTTGTTTTGTTTTTTGAGACGGACTCTCGCTCTGTTGCCCAGGCTGGAGTGCAGTGGTGCAATCTCGGCTCACTACAACCTCCGCCTCCCGGGTTCAAGCGATTCTCCTGCCTCAGCCTCCCAAGTAGCTGGGATCACAGGCATGTGCCATCACGCCTGACTAATTTTTTTTTTTTTGTATTTTTAGTAGAGATGGGGGAAGAGGGGGCTCACCGTGTTAGCCAGGCTGGTCTCGAACTCCGGACCTCAGGTGATCCGCCTGCCTCTGCCTCCCAAAGTGCTGGGATTACAGGCATGAGCCGCTGTGCCGGCCTGTTTTGTGAATCTTATGATCTTGGTTTTCACGTGAATGCTGCTCAGCTGTGCCTGAATTCTAAAGGCAGGAGGCTGTAATGAGGCATGTCCGGCCCCACTTTCCATGACGGCCTGAAGTGGACTTTCAGGTTAACTTTTTTTTTTTTTTTTTTGAGACAGAGTCTCACTCTGTCACCCAGGCTGGAGGGCAGTGGCGCAATCTTGGCTCACTGCAAGCTCTGCCTCCTGGGTTCACTCCATTCTCCTGCCTCAGCCTCTTGAGTAGCCGTGATTACAGGCACCTGCCCCCACGCCAACCTAATTTTTTGTATTTTTAGTAGTGACGGGGTTTGACTATATTGGCCAGGCTGGTCTGGAACTCCTGACCTCATGATCCCCCCGCCTCGGCCTCCCAAAGTGCTGGGATTACAGGCGTGAGCCACCGCGCCCGGCCTTAACTTTCAAATGTCCTTAGTTGAGGGAAGGGATCCATTCAGATAGTTGAGCAAGCATTCAAATTTTATTTGTGGTTTACATTAGTGATAACAGGAGCCTGTGGAGATGCTATAAACCTCTGTTTTTTCTCTTCTTTTCTCTTGTTTTTTTTTTTTTTTTTTTGAGACAGGGTCTCACTCTGTCCCCCAGGATGGAGTACAGTGGTGTGATCTCAACACATTGCAATCTCTGCCTCCGGGTTCAAGTGATTCTCATACCTCAGCCTCCTGAGTAGCTGGGATTACAGGCATGCAGCGACATGCCCAGCTAATTTTTGTATTTTTAGTAGAGACGGGGTTGCACCCTGTTGGCCAGGCTGGTCTTGAACTCCTACCTCATGTGATCTGCCTCTCTTGGCCTCGCAAAGTGCTGGGATGACAGGCTGGGATCATGGTATCCAGGCAATTTTTTTTTTTTTTTTTTTGAGACAGAGTCTCGCTGTCTCCCAGGCTGGAGTGCAGTGGCACGATCTTGGCTCACTGCAAGCTCTGCCTCCTGGGTTCACGCCATTCTGCTGCCTCAGCCTCCAAGTAGCTGGGACTACAGGCGCCCGCCAACACGCCCGGCTAATTTTTTGTATTTTTAGTAGAGACGGGGTTGCACCCCGTTGGCCAGGCTGGTATCGAACTCCTACGTCACGTGATCCGCCTGTCTTGGCCTCGCAAAGTGCTGGGATGACAGGTTGGGATCACCGTGCCCGGGCAATTTTATAAAAAAACTTATCTGTACACACAAAGTCTCACTATGTTGCCCAGACTGGTCTCGAACTCCTGGGCCCAAATGATCTGTCTGCAGAAAAACCACAGAGTGATACATGATCTTGGCAGATTCTTTTTTTTGAGACTGAGTCTCACTCTGTCACCCAGGTCGGAGGGCAGTGGTTTGATCTCAGCTCACCGCAACCTCCACCTCCCAGGTTCAAGCGATTCTCCTGCCTCAGCCTCCTGAGTGCAGCTGGGATGACAGGCACACACCACCACGCCTGGCTAATTTATGTAGTTTTAGTAGAGACGGGGTTTCACCATGTTGGCCAGGATGGTCTCGATCTCTTGACCTCGTGATCCACCCGCCTCGGCCTCCCAAAGTGCTGGGATGACAGGCGTGAGCCACCGTGACAGGCGTGAAACTGTTCATTTTTAAGCTTAGGTTTAACACAGTCTGGACACCTGTGTAGAAGCAGAATTGGTGGAAAAAGGCCTGATCTAAGGCTAATGAATGAGTGAGGAAATCCAGCCAGGCCTGTCTTTCTAGATTCTTCTTGGTGTCTCTCAGCAGAGCTCCTTTTCTTCTGGGTGTGGGGCAGAAGAAAAGAACGGAATTCCTGTTCCTCTCTGGAATGGAAATCTTAGGATCTTCAGACAAACAAGGGAGGTCATGGAATTTCCTTATGGCCAGTTTTTACACAGAAAAGGGGAGGGAAAATCAGAGTCCTATTTTTATTTATTTATTTATTTTAGACGGAGTCTCGCTCTGTGGCCCAGGCTGGAGTGCAGTGGCACGATCTCGGCTCACTGCAAGCTCCGCCTTCCGGGTTCACGCCATTCTCCTGCCTCAACCTCCCATGTTGGCCAGGCTGGTCTTGAACTCCTGACCTCAGGAGATCCGCCCTCCTCGGCCTCCCAAAGTGCTGGGATTACAGGCTTCAGCCACCGCGCCCGGCCTAACACAGATCTTAAGTCTGAAAAAGAAATATTTACAATTGGCTGGGTCCGGTGGCTACAAAAAATACAAAAAATACAGAAATTAGCCAGGCACGGTGGCACCTGTAATCCCAGCTACTTGGGAGGCTGAGGCAGAAGAATCACTTGAACCCGGGAAGCGGAGGTTGCAGTGAGCCGAGATCATGCTACTTCACTCCAGCCTGGGTGATAGAGCAACACTCTGTCTCAAAAAAAAAAAACAAAAACAAAAACAAAAGGAGAAACATTTACAATCTAGTCTCTCTGAAGCCTGCTCCCTGGAGGCGTCATCTGCTTGATAAAACCTTGGTCCCCAAACCCTATACCATTATAACCCAGACATTCTTTTCTATTGATAATAATTCTCGGCCAGGCACAATGGCTAACGCCTGTCATCCCAGCACTTTGGGAGGCCGAGGAGGGTGAATCACCTGAGGTTGGGAGTTCGAGACCAGCCTGACCAACATGGAGAAACCCCGTCTCTACTAAAAATACAAAATTAGCCGGGCGTGGTGGCGGGCGCCTGTAGTCCCAGCTACTAGGGAGGCTGAGGCAGGAGAATCGCTTGAACCCAGAAGGCGGAGGTTGTGGTGAACCGAGATCACGCCATTGCACTCCAGCCTGGGCAACAGAGCAAGATTCCACCTCAAAAATAAAATAAAACAAATAGGCCGGGCGCAGTGGCTCACACCTGTAATCCAAGCACTTTGGGAGGCCGAGGCAGGCAGATCACAAGGTCAGGAGATCGAGACCATCCTGGCTAACACGGTGAAACCCTGTTTCTACTAAAAATACAAAAATTAGCCGGGCATGGTGGCGGGTGCCTGTGGTCCCAGCTTCTTGGAAGGCTGAGGCAGGAGAATTTCTTGAACCAGGGAGGCAGAGTTTGCAGTGAGCTGATACCATGCCACTGCACTCCAGCCTGGGTGACAGAGTGAGACTCCACCTCAAAAATAACCCCATCTCTACTAAAAATACAAACTTAGCCGAGCATGGTGGTGCATGCCTGTAATCCTAGCTATTCGGGAGGCTGAGGCAGGAGAATCGTTTGAACCCGGGAGGCAGAGGTTGCAGTGAGCTGAGATCATGCCACCGCACTCTAGCCTGGACAACAAGAGTGAAACTCCATCTGAAAAAAAAAAGAAAAATTATTTCAAACAATTACCAATCACAAAATGTTTAAATCTACCTATTACCTGGGAGCGTTTGCTGTGAGCTTCCCCATTTTTCCGGACTGAAGCAATGTGTGTCTTAAATATGTTTGATTCATGTCTCACGTCTACCTAAAATGTACAGAAGCAGCCCAGCCTGGTGTGGCTCCCGTCTGTCATCCCAGCACTTTTGGGAGGCCGAGGCGGGCGGATTGCCTGAGCTCAGGAGTTGGACACCACCCTGGGTATAGTGATGAAACCCTATCTGTACTAAAAATACAAAAAATTAGCTGGGCATGGTGGTGCGTGCCTGTAATCCCAGTTAGGAGGCTGAGGCAGGAGAATCACTTGAACCCGAGAGGCAGAGGTTGCAGTGAGCTGAGACCGCGCCACTGCACTCCAGCCTGGGCAACAAGAGGGAGGGAGACTCCATCTTAAAAAAAAAAAAAACAATAATACAAATACAAATACAAAAATTAGCCAGGTGTGGTGGTGCGTGCCTGTAATCCCAGCTACTCAGGAGGCTGAGGCAGGAGAATCGCTTGAACCCTGGAGGTGGAGGTGGCAGTGAGCTGCAATTGTGCCATTGTACTCCAGCCTGGGCTACAAGAGTGAAGCTCTGTCTCAATAATAATAAGAAGAAGAAATAAGAAAAAAAAGAAATTAACACAGTTGCATTTTTCCACGTTTTTCTTGATTGTTTCAGATGGGAGGGTAAAGTGCATTTCCATGATTCCATCTTGGCTGAACGTAGACTTCTCTGTCCCTACTTTTATCACCATCCCACAGCCCACCATGGACATGCAGCTGTAATCCCTGTAATCCCACCTACTCAGGAGGCTGAGGCAGGTGAATCGCTTGAACCCTGGAGGTGGAGGTTGCGATCAGCCGAGATCTTGCCACTGCACTCCAACCCGGCAACAGAGCAAGATTCCCTCTTTAAAAAAAAAAAATTGAGATGGTGATAGAGTTTGTATGTTTGTACCCTCCAAATATCATGTTGAAATGGGATCCCCAATGTTGGGGGGTGGGGTCTGGTGGTAGGTGTTTGGATCATGGGGTGAATCCCTAGTAAATAGCTTGGTGCAGTCCCCAAGGTAATGAGACAGTAAATGAGCTCTCCTCTGTGAATTCGTGTGAGAGTTTGTTCTTTTACCATCCTGGCTAACATGGTGAAACCCCATCTCTACTAAAAATACACAAAATTAGCCGGGCGTGGTGGTGGGCACCTGTAGTCCCAGCTACTTGGGAGGCTGAGGCAGGAAAATGGCATGAACCCGGGAGGTGGAGGTTGCAGTGAGCCGAGATTGCGCCACTGCACTGCAGCCTGGTGACAGAGTGAGACTGTCTCAAAAAAAGAAAAAAGCCAGGCGCAGTGGCTCACGCCTGTAATCCCAGCACTTTGGGAGGCCGAGGTGGGCGGATCACGAGGTCAGGAGATTGAGACCATCCTGGCTAACATGGTGAAACCCCGTCTGTACCAAAAATACAAAAAAAAAATTAGCCAGACGCTGTGGCAGGCGCCTGTAGTCCCAGCTACTCAGTAGGCTGAGGCAGGAGAATCGCTTGAACCTGGGAGGCGGAGGTTGCAGTGAGCCAAGATCGCGCCACTGCACTCCAGCCTGGGCAACAGAGTGAGACTCCGTCTCAAAAAAATAAAAAAGACCCTGGCTTCTCTCTCGCTTCCTTTCTCACCATGTAATTCCTTCTACCCCTTTGCCTTGCACCATGACTGGAAACCCTCCGCCTCCAGTTCTCAGTTCTCCACTTTCCTCGTATGTCACCTTCAGATGACATTGAGCATTTGTTTATTTATACTTCCCTGCCTTTCCAGAAACAATGGTCCTGTGAATCTTTAACCTCCAGTACTAAGGCCAGAACGTGGCCCTGAGGAATGTGTTCAAAGGACTGAGCTCTGAGATTCATCCCAGCACCTGTAAGCGGCTTCCTGTAGGTGCCTGTCCTGGTCTGTGAACCTGGGGATGGTGATATCTTTTGCTTGATGGACACATGGCCCAGAGAATGTCACTGCTTTTACAGACATAGCCTTGTCTGTGCCATCTGCTTGTTCCTTGCTGGGAAGCCCCAGTTCTTTGCCTTCTGCCATGACTGGAAACCCTCCGCCTCCAGTTCTCCGTTCTCTGCTTCCCTCATACGTCACCTTCAGATGATATTGAGCATTTGTTTATTTATACTTCCCTGCCTTTCCAGAAACAATGGTCCCGTGAATCTTTAACCTCCAGTACTAAGGCCAGAACGTGGCCTGGAGGGATGTGTTCAAAGGACCGAGCTCTGAGATTCATCCCAGCACCTGTAAGCGGCTTCCTGTAGGTGCCTGTCCTGGTCTGTGAACATGGGGATGGTGATATCTTTTGCTTGATGGACACATGGCCCAGAGAATGTCACTGCTTTTACAGACATGGCCTTGTCTGTGCCATCTGCTTGTTCCTTGCTGGGAAGCCCCAGTTCTTTGCCTTCTGCCATGACTGGAAACCCTCCGCCTCCAGTTCTCAGTTCTCCGCTTCCCTCGTACGTCACCTTCAGATGACATTGAGCATTTGTTTATTTATACTTCCCTGCCTTTCCAGAAACAATGGTCCCGTGAATCTTTAACCTCCAGTACTAACGCCAGAACGTGGCCCGGAGGGATGTGTTCAAAGGACCGAGCTCTGAGATACATCCCAGCACCTGTAAGCGGCTTCCTGTAGGTGCCTGTCCTGGTCTGTGAACCTGGGGATGGTGATATCTTTTGCTTGATGGACACATGGCCCAGAGAATGTCACTGTTTGAACAGACATAGCCTTGTCTGTGCCATCTCCTTGTTCCTTGCTGGGAAGCCCCAGTTCTCTCTTTAGAATGAGGGATGTGGGCCAGGCAGGGACTTTCTGACCTGAGTTTCCTCTTAGCTGAAAACTGTGGTTCCTGGTCTCCTTCACCTCCCTTTTCTCAGGGGCAGGGATGGGTACCAGGAGGGGGGGTGGTATGAGGTAAAGCTCAGAGACAGACTTTAGATGGTGGGTTGGGCGAGGTGGCTCACACCTATAATCCCAGCACTTTGGGAGGCCGAACAGGGGCATTTAATAAATCTACACATGGGCCGTGCGCAGTGGCTCACACCTGTAATCCCAGCAGTCTGGGAGGCCGAGGCAGGCAGATCACTTGAGGTCAGGAGTTCGAGAGCAGCCTGGTCATCATGGTGAAACCCCATCTCTAACAAAAATACAAAAAAAATAGCTGGGTGTGGTGGCAGTTGGCTGTAATCCCAGCTACTCGGGAGGCTGAGGCAGGAGAATCGATTGAACCTGGGAGGTGGCCGTTGCAGTGAGCTGAGATCATGCCATTGCACTCCAGCCTGGGCAACAAGAGTGAAATTCTATCTCAAAAAATAAATAAAATAAAATAAAAATAATAAATTCACAAGTCGTGATTTTCCTGGAAAATGTTGATGCTGTTGGGAAGGAGAGAAGTCTGAGGACTCAGATAAGCCTGTTCTGCCTCTGAAGCAGCTCGGCGTTGTAATAAGTAAAGGCACCAGTGGGAAAAGTCTCAGGGTGTTGTCTGCTGAAGCAGACTCAATGAGTTTTCCTGTGTGGGGTGGTGGGAAGGTTGGCAGGTAGACCACAAGGCAAATTAAGATAAGCTGGTGACTCCGGCCTTTGGAACAAAGAAATGGAAAACTACAGCCCCAGGCCGGGAGTGGTGGCTCAAGCCTGTAATCCCAGCACTTTGTTTATCATTATTATTTTGAGAGGGAGTCTTCCTCTGTCACCAGGCCTGAGTGCAGGTGGCGCGACCTCTGCTCACTGCAATCTCTGCCTCCCGGGTTCACGCCATTCTCTTGCCTCAGCCTCCTGAGTAGCTGGGATTACTGGCGTGCATCACCATGCCTGGCCAATTTTTGTATTTTTAGTAGAGACGGGGTTTCACCATGTTGGCCAGGATGGTCTCGAACTCCTGACCTCGTGATCCACCCGCCTCGGCCTCCCAAAATGCTGGGACTACAGGCGTGATCCACCACACCCGGCATCTATCTATGTGTCTGTCTATCTATCTATCTATCTATCTATCTATCTATCTATCTATCATCTATCACTTATCTATCCTATCAATTATCTACCCTATCATCTATCAATTATCTATCATCTGTCTACCTATCACCTACCATCTATCATATCTATAATGATTACTTATTATATCAATTAATCTTCTATTACATCTATTATTTGTCTATGCTCTCTTTGTATCTACTCTCTCTATATATCTATATGGATAGATATCTATGTATATCTATATGGATATATCTATGTGGATATATCTGTGGATATATCTATATGGATATATCTATGTGGATATACCCATATGGGTATATCTATGTGGATATACCCATATGGGTATATCTATGTGGATATACCCATATGGGTATATCTATGTGGATATACCCATATGGGTATATCTATGTGGATATACCCATATGGGTATATCTATGTGGATATACCCATATGGGTATATCTATGTGGATATATCCATATGGGTATATCTATGTGGACATATCTATATGGATATATCTATATGGATAGATATCATAATCATTTATTATATCTATCATCTCAGTTTTATCTATCTATATGTCTATCTATCATCTATCTACCTATCACCTATCATATCTATAATGATCACTCATTATATCAATCGATCTTCTATTCCATTTATTATCTATGTCCCTCTATCTTTGTATCTACTCTCTCTAGATATCTATCTAGATATCTGTCTATATAGATATCTACCTAGATATCACCTATCATAATCATTTATTATATCTATCATCTAAGTTTTATCTATCTATATGTTTATCATCTATCACCTACTATCTATCGTATCTATAATGATCACTTATATCAATTAATCTTCTATTCCATCTATTATCTATGTCTCTCTTTGTATCTACTCTCTCTATATCTATATAGATATCTATCTATATAGATATGTATCACCTATCATAATCATTTATTGTATCTATCATCTAAGTTTTATCTATCTATATGTCTACCATCTGTCTATCACCTACCATCTATCATATTGATAATGATCACTTATTATATCAATCGATCTTCTATTCCATCTATTATTTATGTGTCTTTCTATTTACTCCCTCTATATATCTATATAGATATCTATGTATCTATCACCTATCATAATCATTTGTTATATCTATCATCTAAGTTTTATCTATCTATTGATCTATCTATCATCTGTCTACCTATCACCTATCATCTATCATATCTGTAATGATCACTCATTATATCGGTCCATCTTCTCTTCCATCTATTATCTGTCTATCTGTCTATCTATCTTTCTATCTACTCCATCTATCTATCTATCTATCTATCTATCTATCTATCTATCTATCTATCTAGCTATCTATCTAGCTATCATCTATCTATGTATCATCTATCTATAACAGTGGTTCACAGGCCAGGGAGAATTCTACCCCCAGGGGAAACTTGGCAATGTCTAGAGACAATCACAAGAGAATGACAATCTGTGGACACCCTTGGTGTCAGTCCTGGGAAGTTTGCTCCTGGCCCCCGGTGTGTGGATCCCAGGACGGCTGCTCAACACCCACCAGTGCCCAGGACAGCCCCACCACAGAGAATCCTCCCGCTCCCAATGTCAGCAGTGCCGAGGTTGAGAATGCCCCATCCTGCATGTTGGGGACAATATCAGTTTGCTTTTCCCTTTTCTTTTTTTTCTTGAGATGGAGTCTCGCTCTGTCATCCAAGCTGGAGGGCAGTGGTGCGATCTCGGCTCACTGCAACTTCCGCCTCCCGGGTTCAAGCGATTCTCCTGCCTCAGCCTCCTCAGTAGCTGGGATTACAGGCACCCACCGCCATGCCCGGCTAATTTTTGTATTTTTAGTAGAGAAGGGGTTTCACTGTGTTGGCCAGGCTGGTCTCGAACTCATGACCTCGTGATCAGCCCACCTCAGCCTTAAAGTGCTGGGATGACAGGAGTGAGCCACCGTGCCAGCCTCAGTTTGTTTTTCTGCTGATACTGGCTCACTTTCCCTGTGGCCACACATTCTTCTGTCCACAGACCATCCCTCCAGCCACAGAAGGGAGGAGGGTGTGACCCCAACCCCTTATCTAGCAACAGAAGGAGCTGTGGTAGGGCAGCTCCTCAGAAGCCGGAAATCTGCAAGCTCTCGGGGGAGGGTGGAGCCCAGCGCGTTGTAACATCTCTTTTTCCCCGAAGAGGAAGCACAGACTATCAGGCCTGTTTCCAAATCTCAACTTCCTGACCCGGCTTACCTTCAGGCTTTAACAAGCTCCCAGCCTCCTCCTAGCTGGCTCTGGCTAAAGCTGGAGTCCAGGAACCTCAAATAGCCTAGAGGCTCTCTCCAGGGCTTGAGTAGCACCAGGAAGGGCCACGTGGTCTGCGCTGGACAGAGACCTTCCTGGGGTGCAACGTGACACTTCCTGCCCCAGAGGCAGCTCCAGCAGAAACAGCTGCAGGCATCCCCAGCAATCCTCATCCCAAGCTCCTTCCACAGCTCACAGCGTCCGTGATGCGGGATCAACACAACCTGCTGGCTATATTTGAGGCTTGCCAGATAGCCTGGCTCCTGCATTCTTGCCTCGGGATTCCCGTTGTGATCTGCTTTTTCCAGTCCTTTCTGGGACCCCTTTCATTGCTGACAGCCGCTGGGGGCTGAACCGGCCAGGGCTGAATCTGCAGACGTGTCCAAGGCGCGTCCCAGAGCAAGGGCTTGGTGGGGGGGGGGGTCAGGGACCCGGGGCCTGTCGTTTAATGAGCTCTCACGGACACTTTAAGCCCATTTATGCCGGAGGTTGCAAGTTTTTTTGGTGTAAAAAACCAGATCTTGGCGATGACCTTCAGCCTTCAGACAAGCTTAGCGTTCCAATAATGGAACGCTAGGCATACACGGGTTCCTCATGAGCTCTCCCCCCAGGAAAACCCGAAGGCTCAGGGGCGGCCTTTCTGCAGCTGAGGACACGCAGAGGCAGAAGACGGGAGACGCGCCTCGATCGCGGCCCCAAAGTATATACGTTGAGTTCCAAACGCCTCTGGTCTCCGGGAATGACGCCTCGTTTGGAATTAAGGCCCTTGCAGATGTAATTAGTTAAAAGAAAGGCGCCGGGGCCCAGCCGTTAATTCAGTACCGCCCGCGTGGAAATCCGAGCCTGGCTGCGCCTTTGGAATTCCAGGGGTGGGGGAGGGATTCCAGGGGTGGGGGAGGGATTCCTTTAACCCTTTCTTCTCCGGATCGCTAGTAACGAATCAAGCACCCAGGACAGTGAACCCTGCCAGAAACAAGAAGCAGAAAAGTGACAGCTGTGACTAACCCTGGAATCCCTCCCCTCCACCTCCACAAGAAAAGTCCGGGGTTTTCCGGCACCCCTCAACTCAAGGGGTGGGTAGTACAGGCTGTCTCCTCTCCTCTCCTCTCGTCTCCTCTCCTCTCCCCTCCTCTCGTCTAGTCTCCCCTCCCCTCCCCTCCCCTCCCCCCTCAACTCTACGAGTGGGTAATACAGGCTGTCCTCTTCTCTTTTCTTTTCTTCTCCCCCCTCCATTCCCCTCCCCTCCCCTCTCCTCCTCTCCCCTCCATTCCCCTCCCCTCCCTTTCCCCCTCAAGTCAACGGGTGGGTAGTACAGGCTCTTGTCCTCTCTTCTCCTCTCTTCTCTTCTCCCCTCCCCTCCCCTCCCCTCCCCTCCCCTATCCTCCCCTCCCCTATCCTCCCCTCCCCTATCCTCCCCTCCCCTCCCCTATCCTCCCCTCCCCTATCTTCCCCTCCCCTATCCTCCCCTCCCCTATCCTCCCCTCCCCTCCCCTCCTCTCCCCTCCTCTCCCCTCCCCTCTCCTCTCTTCTCTTCTCTTCACCCCTCAACTCAACGGGTGGGTAGTACAGGCTGTCTCTTCTCTTCTCTCTCTTTCTTTTTCTTTCTTTCTCTTTCTTTCTTTTCCTTCTTTCTTTCTCTCTCTCTCTCCCTCCCTCCCTCTCTCTCTCTCTCTCTCTCTCTCCTTCCTTCCTTCCTTCCTCCGTCCCTCCCTCCCTTCTTTCTTTCTTGAGATTCTTTTCTTTTCTTTTTTGAGATAGAGTTTTGCTCCTGTTGCCCAGGCTGGAGTACAATGGCGCGATCTCGGCTCACGGCAACCTCCGTCTCCCAGGTTCAAGCGATTCTCCTGCCTCAGCCTCCCGAGTAGCTGGGATTACAGGTGTGCACCACCACGCCCAGCTAATTTTTTGTATTTTTAGTAGAGACGGGGTTTCTCCATGTTGGCCAGGCTGGTCTCGAACTCCTGATCTCTGGTGATCCACCCACCTCAGCCTCCCAAAGTGCTGGGATTACAGGCGTGAGCCACCGCGCCTGGCTCGAATAATTTCTTGCACGACATCCAAGAACCCTCTGTTGAGGTCTGCATTGGGACCCCTTACACTGTGGGTTTTTTTTTTTTTTTTTTTGATGGAGTCTCGCTTTGTTGCTCAGGCTGGAGTGCAGTGGCGCGATCTTGGCTCGCTGCATCCTCTGCTTCCTGAGTTCAATCGATTCTCCTGTCTCAGCCTCCCGAGTAGCTGGGATTACAGGCACCCGCCACCACCCCCGGCTAATTTTTTGTATTTTTAGTACAGACGGGGTTTCACCATGTTGGTCAGGCTGGTCTCGAACTCCTGAGCTTGTGATCCGCCCGCCTGATTTTTTTTTTTTTTTAGAGCACTGTAAGCTCCGCCTCCCTGGTCATGCCATTCTCCTGCCTCAGCCTCCCGGTAGCAGTGACTACAGGCGCCTGCCACCACCCCCGGCTAATTTTTTGTATTTTTAGTAGAGACAGGGTTTCACCATGTTGACCAGGCTGGTCTCGAACTCCTGACCTCGTGATCCGCCCGCCGGATTTTTATTACCGTATTTATTCAAATCCCGGAACCTTAAGCCACGCAATTTCTTTTTGGGGACTCGACTGCCACCTGCTGGCCATGCCTATGTTTGCAGGCGTGCGGTGCCGGGAGAATGAGGCTTGGAGTCCTCATTTGTAGGGTGTGTAGTTTCTTGGGGTGGACAGAACAAACCGAGGGCCTTAAAACAACTGGAATGTATCCTCTCTGAGGCCTGCAGACCAGGAGTCTTGAGATCCAGGTGTCTCAGGACTGTGCTCCCTCTGGAGGCTCTAGGGGAGGGTCCTTCCTGCCTCTCCCAGCTCCTGGGGGCTCCAGGCGTCCCTGGGTTTGTGGCCGCCTCACTGCAGTCTCTGTCACCATCTCCACGTGGCCTCCTCTGTGTCTGTGTCTCCTCTTTGTCTCTTATGGGGTCACCCCTCATTGGATTTAGAGTCCAACTCCAATGCAAGGCGATTTCATTTTGAGATCCTTCCCTTAAACACATCTGCAAAGACCCTATTTCCAAATGAGGTCCTATTCACGGATTCTAAGGTTTAGGACCTGGACATGTCTTTGGGGGATCCCCATTCAACCCACTGCAGTTTGGTTTGGTTCCTTTTAGAAGCTCTAGGGGAGGATCCTTCCTGCCTCTTCGAGCTCCTGGGGGCTCCAGGCGTCCCTGGGACTGTGGCCACCTCACTGCAGTCTCTGCCTCCGTCTCCACGTGGCCTCCTCCCCTGTCTGTGTCTCCTCTTCTGTCTCTTTTTTTTTTTTTTTTTTTTTTGAGATGGAGTCTCACTCTGTCGCCAGGCTGGAGTGCAGTGGCTCGATCTTGACTCACTGCAACCTCCGCCTGCCGGGTTCAAGCGATTCTCCTGCCTCAGCCTCTGGAATAGCTGGAATTACAGGCGCCTGCCACCACGCCCAGCTAATTTTTGTATTTTTAGTAGAGACAGGGTTTCACCATGTTGGCCAGGCTGGTCTCGATCTCCTGGCCTCAGGTGATCCGCCTGCCTCGGGCTCCCAAAGTGCTGGGATTACAAGCGTGAGCCACCGCGCCCGGCCCCTTCTGTCTCTTAGACCTACACTCATGGGATTTATGACTCACCTTAATCAAAAATGATGTCATCTCAATTTACATTTTAATTACATTTCCAAATAAGGTCCCAATATTCACAGAGACTGGAAGTTGGGAACTCAACGTACATTTCACCCCTTAACAAATTATCCTGCTGCATCTCCCATCTTCTGCTTCTTCTGCTCGTCGTCGGCCACGGAAAGGCTGCCCTGGAGCTTTCAAGTTTGCCTGGCTGGAGAGCTCATTAATAACCCGTTTATAGGCTGGGCGCAGTGGCTCACGCCTGTCATCCTAGCACTTTGGGAGGCCAAGGCAGGTGGATCACCTGAGGCCAGGAGTTCGAGACCAGCCTGGCCAACATGGTGAAACCCTGTCTCTACTAAAAATACAAAAAAAAAAAAAAAAAAAAAAAAAATTAGCAGGGCATGGTGGTGGGCGCCTGTAGTCCCAGCTACTCGGGAGGCTGAGGCAGGAGAATCACTTGAACCCGGGAGGTGGAGCTTGCAGTGAGCCGAGATGGTGCCATTGCACTCCAGCCTGGGGGACAGAGCCAGACTCTGTCTCAAAAAATAAAAAATAATAAAAAATAACCCGTTTATAGGCCGGGCGCGGTGGCTCACGCCTGTCATCCCAGCACTTTGGGAGGCCGAGGCGGGTGGATCACCTGAGGCCAGGAGTTCGAGACCAGCCTGGCCAACATGGTGAAACCCCGTCTCTACTTAAAAGACAAAAGTTAGCCGTGTGTAGTGGCAGCTGCCTGTAATCCCAGCTACTCGGGAGGCTGAGGCAGGAGAATCGCTCGAACCCGGGAGGCGGAGGTTGCAGTGAGCGGAGATCATGCCATTGCACTCCAGCCTGGGTGACACAGCGAGATTCGGTCTCAAAAAAAAGAAAAAAGGAATTACAGGCATGAGCCACGTTGCCCGGCCATAGATGGGTTTAAAGCGTCTCTGCAGAGTTCATTAAACTGCAGGCCCCCAGGCCCCCTGAGCCCACCCAGCCCTTGCTCAGGGACACGCCTTTAATTTGGAAGTTTTGGACACTAGGGGTCAGAAGCATCCTCTGCAAATTCAGCTTTGGCTGGCTCAGCCCCCCCCAGCAGCTGTCGGCGATGAAAGGGCCGCAGGAGGGGCTGGAAAAGCCTCTCTGTATCCCGCAGCACTTGGAGACCCAGTGTCCCCCGGGGCTGGAGTCAAGCTGTCTCGCCAGCCTCAAAGGTGACCAGAGGCTTGTGTTAATCCCACACCTGGGACGCAGTGAGCTGTGGAAGGAATTTAGGATGAGGATACCTGGGATGTCTGGGGCTCTCCCTTCCCTTCCCTTCCCTTCCCTTCCCTTCCCTCCCCTTCCCTCCCCTCCCCTCCCCTCCCCTCCCCTCCCCTCCCCTCCCTCTCTTTCCCTCCCTCCTTCCTTCCTTTCTCTTTCTTTTTCTTTCTCCTTCCTTCCTTTCTTCTTCTTTCCTTTCTCTTTCTCTTTCTTTCTTTCCTTCCTTCTCCTTCCTTCCCTTCCCTTTCCTTCCTTCCTCCCTTTTCTTTCTTTCTCTTTCTTTCCTTCCTTCTTCCTTCCCTTCACATTCCTTCCTTCCTCTCTTTCCCTCCCTCCCTGCTTCCTTCCTTTCTTTTCTTTCTTTCATTCTTTTTTCTCTGTTTCTTTCTCCTTCTTTCCTTCATTTCTTTCTCTCTTTCTCTTTCTTTCTTTCTCTCTTTCTGTCTTTCTTTCTCTTCCTCCTTCTTTTCTTTGGAGCCTTGCTCTCTCACTCAGGCTGTACTGCAATGGCACAATCTCGGCTCACTGCAACCTCCGCCTCCCGGGTTCACGCCATTCTCCTGCATCAGCCTCCTGGGTAGCTGGGATTACAGGCACCCGCCACCACGCCTGGCTAATTTTTTGTGTTTTCGGTAGAGACGGGGTTTCACCAAGTTGGCCAGGCTGGTCTCGAACTCCTGACCACGTGATCCGCCTGCCTCAGCCTCCCAAAGTGCTGGGATTACAGGCGTGAGCTACCGCGCCCAGCTAGGAAGGTCTCTTTCTGGGAACTACCTCCCTGTTGAGCCAAGCCCAGGAGAGCCTTTGTGTTTTACGTGCTGGACCTTTAGCCAAAGCCCATTAGAAAGAGGCTGGGAGCTTGTTACCACGTGAGGGTTTCAGAAATTCATTCTGAACTGACAACTTGCACAGGTATCCCCTGGCCCCCTCAGACAGTACCCCTTCCTGACTGGATACCCCCGGCGGTATTTGAACCAGCTGTGAAAATCTAGGTAGCTTGCTTTTTTTTTTTTTTTTTTAATGGAGTTTTCACTCTTGTTGCCCAGGCTGGAGTGCAGCGGCGTGATCTCAGCTCACTGCAACCTCCGCCTCCCGGGTTCAAGCGATTCTCCTGCCTCAGCCTCCCAAGTAGCTGAGATTACAGGTGCCCACCACCACATCTGGCTGATTTTTGTATTTTTAGTAGAGACGGGGTTTCACCATGTTGGCCAGGCTGGTCTCAAACTCCTGACCTTTGGTGATCCACCCGCCTCAGCCTCCCAAAGTGCTGGGATGACAGGCGTGAGCTGCTTGTGAGTTGCTTGTTGTTTCTATTTCCTGGTGTTTGCAGAACCGGCTCTGCCTGAAAACTCTCAGCGTCCTTATCTCCTGGAGTTATCTTGTATGTTGGTGCCTTGGAAACCCCCTTCCCACCTCCAGCACTTGGCTTGAAAAATCTTCACAAGAAAAGAGAAATCAGATGCCTTCAAGAAGGCCAGGACGCTCTCTGGTTTGCTAAGTTTTGACAAAACATCCTGGGCTGGGAGACCCGCAAACCGGGGTGTAACTCCCACATGCTGGGTCCTTCCTGGGCGGGGAGGGTGGGGGGACCTTCCTGGGTTGGGGAGCCTCCCAGTACCTTTGCCAGCCAGCCCCCCTGCTCTTTCCTCCTGTGGGGTTCGGCCCTAGGCCTCAGGGCATATTCTCACACCCCGAAAGCAAGCACTGAGTGGGAAGCCACAGGTGGGATGACTCAGCTGGGAAGAGGAGGGTTGCTGTGTGTTTTTGTTTTTTTTTAAATTTTTTTCAGATGGAGTTTCACTCTTGTTGCCCAGGCTGGAATGCACTGATGCGATCTCGGCTCACTGCAACCTCCGCCTCCCGGGTTCAAGCGATTCTCCTGCCTCAGCTTCCCGAGTAGCTGGTATTACAGGCGCCTGCCACCATGCCTGGCTAATTTTTGTATTTTTAGGAGTGACAGGGTTTCACCATGTTAGTCAGGCTGGTCTCGAACTCTGACCTCAAGTGATTCACCTGCCTCGGCCTCCCAAACTGCTGGGATTACAGGCGTGAGCCGCCGCGCCTGGCCCTTTTTATTTTACTTATTTTTATTTTTTGTATTGTTTTGAGGCGGACTTTTGCTCTTGTTGTCCAGGCTGGAGTGCAGTGGTGCGATCTCAGCTCACTGCAACCTCTGCGTCCTAGGTTCAGGTGATTCTCCTGCCTCAGCCTCCCGAGTAGCTGGGATTACAGGTGACCGCCAAAAACCCTGGCTAATTTTTGTATTTTTAGGAGTGACGGGGGTTTCACCATGTTAGTCAGGCTGGTCTCGAACTCTGATCTCAAGTGATTCACCTGCCTTGGCCTCCCAAACTGCTGGGATTACAGGCGTGAGCCACCGCGCCTGGCCCTTTTTATTTATTTACTTATTTTTATTTTTTTTATTTTTTTGAGGCGGACTTTCGCTCTTGTTGCCCAGGCTGGAATGCACTGGTGCGATCTCGGCTCACTGCAACCTCCGCCTCCCGGGTTCAAGAGATTCTCCTGCTTCAGCCTCCCGAGTAGCTGGTATTACAGGCGCCTGCCACCATGCCTGGCGAATTTTTGTATTTTTAGGAGTGACGGGGTTTCACCATTTAGTCAGGCTGATCTCAAACTCCTGACCTCAAGTGATTCACCTGCCTTGGCCTCCCAAAGTGCTGGGATTACAGGTGTGAGCCACCGTGCCCAGCCCTATTCATTTATTTATTTATTTAATTTAATTAAATAATTTATTATTTATTTTGAGGCAGACTTTCGCTCTTGTTGCCCAGGCTGGAGTGCAGTGGCGTGATCTCAGCTCACTGCAACCTCTGCCTCCCGGGTTCAAGTGATTCTCCTGCCCCAGCCTCCCTAATAGCTGGGATGACAGGCATGCGTCACCACGCTTGGCTAATTTTATTTATTTATTATTATTTTTAAAATATATTTTTCTAAGACAGAGTGTTGCTCTGTCACCCAGGCTGGAGTGCAGGAGTGCAATGGCGTGATCTGGGCTCACTGCAACCTCTGTCTCCTGGGTTCAAGCGATTCTCCTGCCTCAGCCTCCCGAGTAGCTGGGATGACAGGTGCCCGCCACCACGCCTGGCTAATTTTTGTATTTTTAGTAGAGACGGGGTTTCACCGTGTTAGCCAGGCTGGTCTCAAACTCCTGACCTCAAGTGATCCGCCTGTCTTGGCCTCCCAAACTGTCGGGATTACGGGCATGAGACACCGCGCCCGGCCCACAGTTCCAGGAAAAAATGCAGGAGAGAAAATGTGATGAGGTTACTGCATTTCTGATCGTCACCCCATGGATGGTCTTCACCCCAAATCTCCATCCCTCAGAGAGAGACCCCCACTCACCCCAAATCTCCATCCCTCAGAGAGAGACCAACACTCACCCCAAATCTCCATCCCTCAGAGAGACCCCCATTCACCCCAAATCTCTATCCCTCAGGGACCCCCCCACTTACCCCAAATCTCCATCCCTCAGAGAGAGACCCCACTCACCCCAAATCTCTATCCCTCACAGAGACCCCCGCTCACCCCAAATCTCCATCCCTCAGAGAGAGACCCCACTCACCCCAAATCTCTATCCCTCACAGAGACCCCCGCTCACCCCAAATCTCCATCCCTCAGAGAGACCCCCATTCACCCCAAATCTCTATCCCTCAGGGACCCCCCCACTTACCCCAAATCTCCATCCCTCAGAGAGATCCACACTCACCCCAAATCTCCATCCCTCAGAGAGAGACCCCACTCACCCCAAATCTCTATCGCTCACAGAGACCCCTGCTCACCCCAAATCTCCATCCCTCAGAGAGAGACCCCCCACTCACCCCAAATCACCCCTCCTGCAGAGGCCTTCACTCACCCCAAATCTCCACCATGCTCCAGAGACCCCACTCAGCCGGCGAACTCCGCGAGGCTGGGGCCGTGATCCTCTGGGATGGGGCCGTGGCCGACTGTTCAGTGGTCCTAGGCAATTCAGGGATCTTTATGGATGTCTTGTCTTGTCTTTTCTTTTTCTTTTCTTTTTTTTTTGAGATGGAGTCTCGCTTTGTCACCAGGCTGGAGTGCAGTGGTGTAATCTTGGCTCACTGTAACCTCCACCTTCCAGGTTCAAGCGATTCTTCTGCCTCAGCCTCCCGAGTAGCTGGGATTACAGGCACATGCCAGCACGCCCGGCTGATTTTTGTATTTTTAGTAGAGATGGGGTTTCACTGTGTTGGTCAGGCTGGTCTCGAACTCCTGACCTCAGGTGATCCACCCGCCTCGGCCTCCCAACGTGCTGGGATGACAGGCGTGAGCCACTTCTCCCGGCCTAATTTTTGTATTTTTAATAGAGACAGGTTTTTGCCATGTTGTCCAGCTGGTCTCAAACTCCTGACCTCAGGCTGAGGTGATCCACCCGCCTCAGCCTCCTAGAGTGCTGGGATTACAGGTGTGAGCCACTGTGCCCGGCCTAATTTTTGTATTTTTAATAGACACAGGTTTTTGCCATGTTGGTCAGGCTGGTCTCAAACTCCTGACCTTAGGTGATCCACCCGCCTCGGCCTCCCAAAGTGCTGGGATCACAGGTGTGACTCACCGCGCCTGGCCAGAGTTTGGCTCTTTTTTTTCTTGACAACACCCAGCACCAGAGGACGGGTCTGGAGGCTTCCCTGTCGTATCCGTGCGTCAGCGCCGTGGGTGGGTGGGAATATTCCTAGAAGATACTGCTATCATCATGGGAGGCCAGACCGCAGTGAGCCAGGCCTGGCCGTGACGTTGGAACCCACGGGCAGATCCCTCAAAGACCACATGCAAATCAACTGCAGGTCAACTTCCCTGTCTCAGCTCCCCAGAACCCCACCTCTGCCCCGGGGCCGCCCGGCATACGGGGAACTTAGGCAGAGGGGAAGTGGGAGTGGAGAGAAACCGCAGCTAAATGGAGCCGAAATGTCTCATTTTGGCAAATTTTCCAAAGCCCGGGATCCTCTGAAGTTACGCCCTTCCCAGACCGCAAGACGAGCCGGCCTCCTGGTTAATTCACCTGTCTCTTACTTTTGTGTTTTTTTAATTTTTTTTAATTAATTTATGTTTATTTTTATTTTTTGAGACAGAGTCTCACTCTGTCGCCCAGGCTGGAGTGCAGTGGTGCGATCTCAGCTCACTGCAACCTCCGCCTCCCGGGTTTAGCCATTCTCTTGCCTCAGCCTCCCGAGTAGCTGGGACTACAGGTGCCCGCCACCACGCCCGGCTAATTTTTTGTATTTTTAGTAGAGACGGGGTTTCACTATGTTGGCCAGGCTGGTCTCGAACTCCTGACTTCGTGATCCACCCTCCTCGGCCTCCCAAAGTGCTGGGATGACAGGCGTGAGCCACTGCGCCCGACCGAATATTTTTTTTTTATGTTTGAGGATGAGTGGGTTTTTCATTGCAATGACAGGTCTCAGTACATTTATTTTATTTATTTATTTATTCATTTATTTTAATTTTGTTTTGAGACAGAGCTCTCTGTTGCCCAGGCTGCAGTACAACGGTGTGATCTCGGCTCACTGCAACCTCTGCCTCCGGGGTTCAAGCGATTGTCCTGTCTCAGCCTCCCGAGTAGCTGGGATTACAGGCGTGCACCACCACGCCCAGTTCATTTTGTATTTTTAGTAGAGACGGGGTTTCACCAGGTTGATCCGGCTGGTCTCCAACTCCCGACCTCAGGGGATCAGCCCACCTTGGCCTCCCTAAGTGCTGGGATTACAGGCATGAGCCACCGTGCCCGGCCTTTATTTTATTTATTATTTTATTTTTTGGAGACAGAGTCTCGCTCTGTCGCCCAGGCTGGAGTGCAATGACGTGATCTCGGCTCACTGCAACTTCCACCTCCCTGGTTCAAGCGATTCTCCTGCCTCAGCCTCCCGAGTAGCTGGGATGACAGGCGCCCACCACTACGCCCAGCTAATTTTTGTATTTTTAGTAGAGACGGGGTTTCTCCAGGTTGGTCAGGCTGGTCTCTAACTCCCAACCTCAGGTGATCCACCCGCCTCGGCCTCACTAAATGCTGGGATGACAGGCATGAGCCACCGCACCCGGCCTGTTTTATTTTATTTTTTGAGATGGAGTTTCAGTCTTGTCATCCAGGCTGGAGTGCAGTGGTGTGATCTCGGCTCACTGCAACCTCCATCTCCTGGGTTCAAGTGATTCTCCTGTCTCAGCCTCCCAAGCAGCTGGGATTACAGGCACCTGCCACCACGCCTGGTTAATTTTTTTTATTGTTTTCTTTTGAGGCAGAGTCTAACTCTGTTACCCAGGCTGGAGTGCAGTGGTATGATCTTGGCTCACTGCAACCTCTGCCTCCGGGTTCAAGAGATTCTCCTGTCTCAGCCTCCTGGATAGCTGGGATTACAGGCACCCGCCACCACACCCGGCTAATTTTTGTATTTTTAGTAGAGATGGGGTTTCACCATGTTGACCAGGCTGGTCTTGAACTCCTGACCTCAGGTGATCCGCCCACCTTGGCCTCCCAAATTGCTGGGATTACAGGCGTGAGCCCCCATGCCCGGCCGCAGGTCTCAGTTAATTTAGAAAGTTTATTTTGCCAAGGTTGAGGACGTGAAGATTCGTCCCTGTGACGCAGCCTCAGAAGGTCCTGATGACAGATGCCGAGGGTGGTCCGGGCGCAGCTTGGTTTCATACATTTTAGGGAGATGTGAAACATCCATCAGTGTGGGTAAGATGAACATTGCTTCAGTGTAGAAAGGCGGGGGATAAGGCCGGGAGTGGTGGCTCACGTGTGTAATCCCACCACCCACCACCAAGCCTGGCTAATTTTTGTATTTTTATTTATTTTTATTTATTTATTAATTTTTGTATTTTTTGTATTTATTTTTTTTGTATTATTTATTTAATTTTTGTATTTTTATTTATTTTGTATTTTATTTTATTTGTATTTTATTTTATTTATTTTGTATTTTTATTTATTTTGTTTTTTATTTTTTCAATAGAAACTGTGCTACTTTATTAAAATACTGAGTTTTATTTCACATGTATGTTTTTGTCTCCCCACCATTTCCACGTCTGACCACTGCTACGACTATGTACTATCGTAAGATTCCGTACGTACTTAACACCAAGCAAAGGTGGCCGGGCGCGGTGGCTCACGCCTGTCATCCCAGCACTTTGGGAGGCCGAGGCGGGTGGATCACGAGGTCAGGAGATCGAGACCAGCCTGGCCAACATGCTGAAACCCCGTCTCTACTAAAAATACAAAAATTAGCCGGCCGTGGTGGCGGGCGCCTGTAGTCCCAGCTACTCAGGAGGCTGAGGCAGGAGAATGGCGTGAACCCGGGAGGCGGAGGTTGCAGTGAGCTGAGATCACGCCACTACACTCCAGCCTGGGCGACAGAACGAGAGTCCGTCAAAAAGAAGAAGAAGAAAAAGCAAAGAGTGGAGTTCCATCTTTAAAAACTAAACAGGCATCTTGGACAACACATTCTTGGCAACGGAACCAGGACATTTCTCAAACATGGTAGGGAAAGTTCTTACTCTGCATTGTAAAAAGGACAGCCAGATATCAACTGCTACAGAAATGAAATAAGATGGAAAATTTTTAACAAATTGTTTAACCTATTTTCTTTTTTTTTTTGTTTGTTTTTTGTTTTTTGTTTTTTGTTAATTTTTTTTTTATTGATAATTCTTGGGTGTTTCTCACAGAGGGGGATTTGGCAGGGTCATGGGACAATAGTGGAGGGAAGGTCAGCAGATAAACAAGTGAACAAAGGTCTCTGGTTTTCCTAGGCAGAGGACCCTGCGGCCTTCCGCAGTGTTTGTGTCCCTGGGTACTTGAGATTAGGGATTGGTGATGACTCTTAACGAGCATGCTGCCTTCAAGCATCTGTTTAACAAAGCACATCTTGCACCACCCTCAATCCATTCAACCCTGAGTGGACACAGCACATGTTTCAGAGAGCACAGGGTTGGGGGGTAAGGTCACAGATCAACAGGATCCCAAGGCAGAAGAATTTTTCTTAGTGCAGAACAAAATGAAAAGTCTCCCATGTCTACCTCTTTCTACACAGACACGACAACCATCTGATTTCTCAATCTTTTCCCCCTTTCCCCCCTTTCTATTCCACAAAACCGCCATCGTCATCATGGCCCGTTCTCAATGAGCTGTTGGGCACACCTCCCAGACGGGCCCAGAGGGCAGAGGGGCTCACTTCCCAGTAGGGGCGGCCGGGCAGAGGCGCCCCTCACCTCCCGGACGGGGCGGCTGGCCGGGCAGAGGGGCGCCTCACTTCCCAGTAGGGGCGGCCGGGCAGAGGCGCCCCTCACTTCCCGGACGGGGCGGCTGGCCGGGCGGGGGACTGACCCCCCCCACCTCCCTCCCGGACAGGGCGGCTGGCCGGGCAGAGGGGCTCCTCACTTCCCAGTAGGGGCGGCCGGGCAGAGGCGCCCCTCACTTCCCGGACGGGGCGGCTGGCCGGGCGGGGGACTGACCCCCCCCACCTCCCTCCCGGACGGGGCGGCTGGCCGGGCAGAGGGGCTCCTCACTTCCCAGTAGGGGCGGCCGGGCAGAGGCGCCCCTCACCTCCCGGACGGGGCGGCTGGCCGGGCGGGGGGCTGACCCCCCCACCTCCCTCCCGGACGGGGCGGCTGGCCGGGGAGGGGGCTGTCCCCCCCACCTCCCTCCCCGACGGGGCGGCTGGCCGGGCAGGGGGCTGTCCCCCCCACCTCCCTCCCCGACGGGGCGGCTGGCCGGGCGGGGGCTGACCCCCCCCCACCTCCCTCCCGGACGGGGCGGCTGGCCGGGCGGGGGGCTGACCCCCCCACCTCCCTCCCGGACGGGGCGACTGGCCGGGCGGGGGCTGACCCCCCCACCTCCCTCCCGGACGGGGCGACTGGCCGGGCGGGGGCTGACCCCCCCCCACCTCCCTCCCCGACGGGGCGGCTGGCCGGGCAGGGGGCTGACCCCCCCACCTCCCTCCCGGACGGGGCGACTGGCCGGGCGGGGGCTGACCCCCCCACCTCCCTCCCGGACGGGGTGGCTGGCCGGGCGGGGGGCTGACCCCCCACCTCCCTCCCGGACGGGGTGGCTGCCGGGCGGAGACGCTCCTCACTTCCCAGATGGGGTGGCTGCCGGGCGGAGAGGCTCCTCACTTCTCAGATGGGGTGGTTGCCAGGCAGAGGGTCTCCTCACTTCTCAGACGGGGCGGCCGGGCAGAGACGCTCCTCACATCCCAGACGGGGTCTCGGCCGGGCAGAGGCGCTCCTCTCATCCCAGATGGGGCGGCGGGGCAGAGGCGCTCCCCACATCTCAGACGATGGGCGGCCGGGCAGAGACGCTCCTCACTTCCTAGATGTGATGGCGGCCGGGAAGAGGCGCTCCTCACTTCCTAGATGGGATGGCAGCCGGGCGGAGACGCTCCTCACTTTCCAGACTGGGCAGCCAGGCAGAGGGGCTCCTCACATCCCAGACGATGGGCGGCCAGGCAGAGACACTCCTCACTTCCCAGATGGGGTGGCAGCCGGGCAGAGGCTGCAATCTCAGCACTTTGGGAGGCCAAGGCAGGCGGCTGGGAGGTGGAGGTTGTAGCGAGCCGAGATCATGCCACTGCACTCCAGCCTGGGCACCATTGAGCACTGAGTGAACGAGACTCCCAAGCTATTTTCTTAAAGGAAAAATATGGCCGGGCGGGGTGGCTCACACCTGTAATCCCAGCACTTTGGGAGGCCGAGGCAGACGGATCACTTGAGGTCAGGAGTTCGACACCAGCCTGGCCAGCATGGTGAAACCCCATCTCTTCTAAAAATACAAAAATTAGCCAGGTGTGGTGGCGGGGGCCTATCATTCCAGCTACTAGGGAGGCTGGGGCAGGAGAATCACTTGAACCCGGGAGGTGGAGGTTGCGGTGATCCGAGATCATGCCACTGCACTCCAGCCTGGGCGACAGAACGAAACTCTGTCCCAGAAAAAAAATAAAAAAAAAGATAAAAGATTGTGAATTCAGATCAAGGTTCTTTTGAAATCCTAAGGTGGCTGCCCTTAGAGACAATAGATGACAAATGTTTCCTATTCAGACCTTTATTATTTATATATTTATTTACTTATTTTTTAAATTTTTTTGAGATGGAGTCTCGCTCTGTGGCCCAGGCCGGAGTGCAGTGGCACGATCTCTGCTCATTGTAACCTCCGCCTCCCGGATTCACACCATTCTCCTGCCTCGGCCTCCTGAGTAGCTGGGACTGCAGGCACCCTCCACGCCCGGCTAATTTTTTGTATTTTTAGTAGAGATGAGGTTTCACCCTGTTAGCCAGGATGGTCTCGATCTCCTGACCTCATGATCCGCCCGCCTCGACCTCCCAAAGTGCTGGGATGACAGGCGTGAGCCACCGCGCCCGGCCCTATTCAGACCTTTAAAAGCTGCTAGACTCTCCGCTAATGTCTTCAGGATTGGGAGGGCCTGGAAGAAAAAGATCTAACTACGTCAAAAGAGATTCTTTACAGATGCCAGTTTCCCCCCACAAAGGACAGCTCTGCGGGGCCATTTCCAAATATAGCAAAGGAACATGTTTGGGGGCAAAATATTTTGCCTTGCTTCTTTGTCACATAATGTGATACCACAGCCCGACCGTAAAGTAAGTCATGATATATAGCGATAAATAAAACCCACTGAATGAAAACTTATGATTTGTAAGGCGTGACTCCTGATTACACAGGAACTTGGGCAAGATAAAGAATCAGATCTTAGTCCTCGGTGTCAATGTACCACCTTCTTCTTTTCTGTTTTTTTTTTTTTTTTTTTCTTTTTGACAGTATCTCACTCTTTCGCCCAGGCTGGAGTGCAGTGGTGCGATCTCGGCTCAGTGCAACCTCCACCTCCCGGGTTCAAGAGATTCTCCTGTCTCAGCCTCCCGAGTAGGTGGGACTACAGGTGCGTGCCACCATTCCCAGCCTAATGTACCACATTTTCTTTTTTTCTTTCCTTTTTTTTTTTTTTTTGGCGCTCTGTCCCCCAGGCTGGACTGCGGTGGCGCGATCTGGGCTCACCGCAAGCTCCGCCTCCCGGGTTCACACCATTCTCCTGCCTCAGCCTCCCGAGTAGCTGGGACGACAGGCGTCCGCCACCACGCCGGGCTGATTTTTTGTATTTTTAGTAGAGACGGGGTTTCACCGTGTTAGCCAGGCTGGTCTCCTGTTACCCAGGATGGTCTCGATCTCCTGACCTGGTGATCCACCCATCTCGTCCTCCCAAAATGCTGGGATTACAGGTGTGAGCCACTGCACCCGGCCTCTAATGTACCGCATTTTCTTTATCCAATGGTGGTTGCATCTTTTCCTTCCTTCCTTCCTTCCTTCTTTCCTTCCTTCCTTCCCTCCCTCCCTCCCTTCCTTCTTTTTTTTTTCTGACGGAGTTTTGCTCTTTCACCGAGGATGGAGTGCAATGGTGCAATCCCGGCTCACTGCAACCTCTGCCTCCTGGGTTCAAGTGATTCTCCTGCCTCAGCCTCCTGAGTAGCTGGGAATACAGGCACCCACCACCACGCCCGGCTAATTTTTGTATTTTTAGCGGACACGGGGTTTCACTATGTTGGCCAGGCTGGTCTCGATCTCCTGGCCTCGTGATCAGCCCGCCTCGGCCTCCCAAAGTGCTGGGATTACACGCATGAGCCTTGGCGTCTAGCGTAGTTTATCAATAATGTTATACTATCCCTTCCCTTCTCATTCACCATGCCCCTTGCAAACCCCCTCCCGTGCTAACAATAGAGAACCACGTTTTGCTGTAATTTTCCATTACCTACCCAACTCCTATAAAGCCACAACTTCCCCATCTCCCTTCGCTGACCGTCTCTTCGGACTCAGCCTACTTGCACCCGAGTGAACAAACAGCTTTATTTTGCTCACACAAAGCACCTGGCCAGTGGTTGCCTCTTATCTTGGACATTTCACCTCGCTGGTGTTTAGATCACACGTTTGTAATGCAGGCACGGATCGGCCGGGCGCAGTGACTCACGCCTGTAATCCCAGGACTTTGGGAGGCCGAGGCGGGCGGATCACGAGGTCAGGAGTTTGAGACCAGCCTGGCCAACATGGTGAAACCCCGTCTCTACTAAAAATATAAAAAATTAGCTGGGTGTGTGGGTATGCACCTGTAATCCCAGCTACTCGGGAGGCTGAGGCAGGAGAGTTGCTTGAACCCGGGAGGTGGAGGTTGCAGTGAGCTGAGATCGCGCCCCTGCACTCCAGCCTGGGCGACAGAGCGAGAGTCCGTCCCGAAAAAAAGAAAATACAGTCACAGATTCAGGTCTCCCTGACAAGTCTGTAGTAGGGAGCGAATAAAGCCATACATCTCAAGATGCAAGCCCAGCGCTGAGCCACACGCAATGTTCTGAGCCCCTTGATCTCTGCAACCGTTGATTTTTATCACAAAGCAGAAGGAACTGCAAGAAACGGTTTGCAATTCAGATCAGAGAGACTTTCGCAGACCTGCCACACAGAAGGAGGCCTTCTCTTTCATTCTATCTCATTAGGAAATGTATTTATTCATTCTAATTCATACATAAAAATTTGAAGTCCTAAAATTTGAGACAGGTCTCATTTAACTTCGAAAGCTTCTTTTGCCAAGGCTGAGGATGTGTTTCCGTGACACAGCCTCATGAGGTCCTGATGACACGTGCCCATGCTTCGGGTACAGCTTGTTTTGGTTTTTTGGTTTTTTTTTTGTTTGTTTGTTTTGTTTTTTTTTGAGATGGAGTCTCACCCTGTTACCCAGGCTGGAACACAGTGACATGATCTCAGCTCACTGCAACCTCCACCTCCCGGGTTCAAGCAATTCTCCTGCCTCAGCCTCCCAAGGAGCTGAGACTACAGGCACCTGCCACAACACCCCAGCTAATTTTTGTATTTTTAGTAGAGACGGGATTTCGCCATGTTGGCCAGGCTGGTCTCCAACTCCTGACCTCAGGTGATCCGCCCGCCTCGGCCTCCCAAAGTGCTGGGATTACAGGTGAGAGGCACCCACGCCCGGCTGATTTTTTTTTTTTTTTTTTTGAGACGGAGTCTCACCGTGTTGCCCAGGCTGGAGTGCAGTGACACGATCTCAGCTCACTGCAACCTCCGCCTCCCGGGTTCAAGCGATTCTCCTGCCTCAGCCTCCCGAGTAGCTGGGACCACAGGCGCACATCACCATGCCCGGCTAATTTTTTGTATTTTCGTAGAGACGGGGATTCACCGTGTTAGCCAGGATGGTCTTGAACTCCTGACATCACGCAGTCCACCCGCCTTGGGCTCCCAAAGTGCTGGGATTACAGGCTGGAGCCACTGCACTTGGCCATTTTTTTTTTTTTTTTTTCCTGAGACAGAGTCTCACCCTGTTGCCCAGGCTAGAGTGCAGTGACATGATCTCGGCTCACTGCAACCTCTGCCTCCTGGGTTCAAGCGATTCTCCTGCCTCAGCCTCTTGAGTAGCTGGGATTACAGGCATGCACCACCACGCCTGGCTAATTTTTGTATTATTAGTAGAGATAGGGTCTCACTATGTTGGCCAGGCTGGTCTCGAACTCCTGACCTCAGGTGATCCACCCACCTCGGCCTCCCGAAGTGCTGGGATTACAGGCATGAGCCATCAGGCCCGGCCTTACAGCTTGGTTTTATACTTTTTTCTTTTTTGAGATGTTGTCTCTCTCTGTCGCCCAGGCTGGAGTGCAGTGGCGTGATCTCCGCTCACTGCAACCTCCGCCTCCAGGGTTCAAGCGATTCTCCTGCCTCAGCCTCCCGAGTAGCTGGGACTACAGGCGCCCGCCACCACTTTTGGCTAGTTTTTGTATTTTTAGTAGACACTAGGTTCACACTGTTGACCAGGCTGTTCTCAAACTCTTGACCTCAGGTGATCTGCCTGGCTCAACCTTCCAAAGCGCTGGGATGACAGGCGTGGGCCACTGCGCCCAGTTCATTGTATGCATTTTTTTTTTTTTTTTGAGACGGAGTCTCACTCTGTCACCCAGGCTGGAGTGCAGTGCCGCGGTCTCGGCTCACTGCGACCTCCGCCTTCTGGGTTCAGGCGATTCTCCTGCCTCAGCCTCCCGAGTAGCTGGGATTACAGGCACCTGCCACTACATTTGGCTAATTTTTTTTTTTTTTTTTGTATTTTTAGTAGAGACAGGGTTTCACCATGTTGGCCAGGCTGGTCTTGAACTCCTAACCTTAGGTGACCCACCCGCCTCGGCCTCCCAAAGTGCTGGGATGACAGGCGTGAGCCTCCGCGCCCGGCCTTTGTTTTATGCATTTTAAGGAGACATGAGATGTGAATTAATATATGTAAGAAGTACACTGGTTCTGTGCAGAAAGGCAGGGATGACTTAAAGCAAGCAGGGGGCTCCCAGGTCCGAGGTAGGTGAGAGACCGATGGCTGTATTCCTCTGAGTTTCTGATAAGCCTCTCGAAAGCAGGCAATCAGAATATGCATCTATCTCCATGACCACAGGGTTGACTTTTTATAGAAACGGAGGCAGATTTGCCCTGAGCACCTCCTAGCTTGAATTTTCTCTTTAGCTTAGTGATTTTGGCCAGGCTGGTCTCCAACTCCTGACCTCAGGTGATCCACCTGCCTCGGCCTCCCAAAGTCCTGGGATCACAGGCGTGAGCCGCCACGCCCGGCCCCTGCTCAGTTTTTCTTTAAACCTGAACTTCTCTACAAACAAAAAGACAAACAAACAAAAAACCATTGAATGAAAAAAGAAAGTCAGTCTGAGATGGCTACAGACTATGGCTGCAACTATAAGACATTCTAGAAAAGGCAAAACTGTCCGGGCACGGTGGCTCACGCCTGTCATCCCAACACTTTGGGAGGCCGAGGTGGGTGGATCACCTGAAGTCGGGAGTTCAAGACCAGCCTGGCCGACATGGGGAAACCTCGTCTCTACAGAAAACACAAAATCAGCCGGGCTTGGTGGCGGGCACCTGTCATCTCAGCTACTCGGGAGGCTGAGGCAGGAGAATCGCTTGAACCTGGGAGGCAAAGCTTGCAGTGAACCCAGATCACGCGACTGCACTCCAACGTGGGAGACAGAGTGAGACTCTGTGTCAAAAAAAAAAAAGAAAAGAAAAGAAAAGAAAAAGAAAGCAAACTTATGCAGACAGTAAGATGATCAGGGGTGGCCAGAGGTGTCAGGCAGGGAGGAATGAACAGGTAGAACTCAGGGGATTTTTAGAGCAGTGAAACTCCTCCATTTGATCGTATAATGGTCCATCCAACGTCACTATATGTTTGTCCAAACGCACAGAACTTACAACAGCAACAAAGAACTCTTTTTTTTTTGAGATGGAGGCTCGCTCTATCGCCCAGGCTGGAGTGCAGTGGCGCGATCTCAGCTCACTGCAAACTCCACCTCCCAGGTTCACGCCATTCTCCTGCCTCAGCCTCCCGAGTAGCTGAGACTACAGGCGCCCGCCACCACGCCCGGCTAATTATTTTTGTATTTTTAGTAGAGATGGGGTTTCACCATGTTAGCCAGGATGGTCTCAATCTCCTGACCTGGTGATATACCCGTCTCGGCCTCCCTAAGTGCTGGGATGACAGGCGTGAGCCACCGCGCCCGGCCAACAGCAACAAAGAACTCTAACATGGGCTGGGAGTGGTGGCTCACACCTGTCATCCCAGCACTGGGAGGCTGAGGCGGGCGGATCACCTGAGGTCAGGAGTTCGAGACCAGCCTGACCAACATGGTGAAACCCCGTCTCTAGTAAAAATACAAAAATTAGCCGGGCGTGGTGGAGGGTGCCTGTAGTCCCAGCTACTCGGGAGGCTGAGGCAGGAGAATGGCGTGAACCCAGGAGGCGGAGGTTGCAGTGAGCTGAGATCGCGCCACTGCACTCCAGCCTGGGCGACAGAGTGAGACTCTGTCTCAAAAAAAAGAACTCTAATGTGAACTGTTATTGACTATTCTGTTCATAATATATCAGTATTAGTTCATGGATTGTAACAAACACACCAAGCTGAGGCAGGGTGTTCACCATAGACGAAGCTGTGAGCTGGGGAGAGGATATATAAGAACTTTCTGTACTTTCTGCAAATTTTGCTCTAAACCTAAAAACACTCTAAAAATAGCCTGTATATTTTTTTAAGAAAACCACTTCTGTAGTTTCCCTTCATAGTCTTTGTAGTTGCCTTCGTGGATCTCCAGGATTTCTGGTCACGATGTTTACACATTACCTATAGGAGGTTTTCTTTGGAATAACTCCACACTTTTCCAAAAAAAAAAAAAAAAAAGGCAGTTGATGGTAAATCAAGGGTAGGAAAATGGTTGAACAGAGAGGTGAAGGACCATTTACTTAATTACATTATTATTATTATTTTATAACAATAAAGGAATAGGGCCGGGCGCAGTGGCTTATGCCTGTAATCCCAACACTTCGGGAGGCCGAGTTGGGTGGATCATCTGAGGTCGGGAATTCGAGACCAGCCTGGCCAACATGGTGAAACTCCATCCCTACCAAAAATAAAAAAAATTAGCCGGGCCTGGTGGTGCATGCCTGTAATCCCAGCTACTTGGGAGGCTGAGGGAGGAGGATCACTTGAACCCAGGAGGTGGAAGTTGCAGTGAGCCGAGATCATGCCATTGCACTCCAGCCTGGGCAATGGAGTGAGACTCCAATTCAAAAAAATAAATAAATAAAATAATAGTAATATCCATCCATCCATCAACCCACCCACTCACTCACCCATCTATCCATCCATCCACCCATTCATTCATTCATCCATCCATCCATCCATCCATCCATCCATCCATCCATCCATCATTATAATGTTTGTTAAGAGTTTTATGATTTTGTCTGGGAACGGATCTGAGCTTCTGGAAAAAAAATATAGATGTCAGAGGCCCCTTCAGTGGCCAGAGGATATCTCACCTATGGATGGCATGAGATGGGGGAGTGTTGGCAAGACACTCTTCTGTGGGTCCAAGAATTAAGCATTGTCTATAGACCAAATAAAGTAGGACACATATTCTCAGCTGGGAGGTGAGCAAGACTTGTGGACTCACCCATCCCATCTACACATTCACCCACTCATCCACCCATTCCTCAATCCATCCATCCGCCTACCCATCCACTCACCCATCCTCTCATGTATCCATCCATCCATCCATCCATCCATCCATCCATCCATCCATCCTTCCATCCATCCACTCATCCACCCATCCACCCATCCATCCTCTCATGTATCCATCCATCCATCCATCTATCCATCCACCTACCCATCCGCTCACCCATCCTCTCATGTATCCATCCATCCATCCATCTATCCATCCATCCATCCATCCACCCATTCCTCAGTCCATCCGTCCATCCATCCAATCCATCCATACCCCCATCCATCCACCAACTCATCTATTTATCTACCAACTAATCTATCCACCCATCCATCCATCTATCCATCCATCCATCCATTTACCCACCCACTCACCTATCTATTCATCTGTCCACCCACCCATCCACCCATTCCTCAATCCATCCATCCACCCATCCATCCACTCACCCATCCTCTCATGTATCCATCCATCCATCCACCCACCCATCCACTCACCCATCCTCTCATGTATCCATCCATCCATCCATCCATCCATCCATCCATCCATCCACCCATTCCTCAATCCATCCATCCATTCATGCCCCCATCCATCCACCAACCCATCTGTCTAATAGATAGATCATCCATCCTCTCATGTATCCATCCATCCATCCATCCATCCACCCACCCATCCACTCACCCATCCTCTCATATATCCATCCATCCATCCATCCATCCATCCATCCATCCATCCATCCATTCATGCCCCCATCCATCCACCAACCCATCTGTCTAATAGATAGATCATCCATCCTCTCATGTATCCATCCATCCATCCATCCATCCATCCATCCACCAACCCATCTATTTATCCACTGACTCTTCTATCCACCCATCCATCCATCTATCCATCCATCCATCCACCCACTCACCCATCTATTCATCCATCCACCCACCCATCCACCCATTCCTCAATCCATCCATTTATCCATTCACCCATCCATCCACTAACCCATCTATTTATCCACCAACTCATCCATCCATCCATCCACCCATCTATCCATTCATCCACCCATGCACCCACCCATCCATTTATCCATCCATCCATCCATCCAACCACCCACCCACCAACTCATCCATCCATCCATCCATCCATCCACCCACCCACCAACCACCCATTCATTTATCTATCCATCCATCCATTCACCCACCCATCCATCCATTCCTCAATCCATTCTTGTATCCACTCATCCATCCACCAACCCATCTATTCATCCACCAACCCATCTAACCATCTATCCATCCACCCACTCTTGCATTTATCCATCCATCCATCCATCCATCCATCCATCCATCCATCCATCCATTTACCAACCCATCTATTCATCCACCCACTCATCTATCCATCTGTTCATCCATCCATTAATTCATCTACCTATCCATCTACCCATCCATCCATCAATCTATCCATTCATCTACTCCTCCCTCCCTCCCTTCCTCCCTCCACCCACCCATCTATCTGACAATTCATATATCAATTTATTTATTTATTATTTTTTGTTGAGATGGATTCTCACTCTGTTGCCCAGGCTGGAGTGCAGTAGTACAGTTCTTGGCTGTACCCAGCCCAGAACAAAATCTTGCCTCAAACAAATGAAATCACAACAGACTCCTAGCATCATCCTGTGCTATAAAACACTGCTGTGGCAGGGCGCGGCGGCACACGCCTGTAATCCCAGCACTTAGGGAGGCCAAGGCGGGTGGATCATGAGGTCGGGAGTTCGAGACTAGCCTGGCCAACATGGTGAAATCCCGTCTCTACTAAAAATACAAAAGTTAGCCTGACGTGGTGGCGGGCAACTGTACTCCCAGCTACTCAGGAGGCTGAGGCAGGAGAATCGCTTGAACCCAGGAGGCGGAGGTTGCAGTGAGCCGAGATCTCACCATTGCACTCTAGCCTGGGTGACAGAGCAAGACTCTGCCTCAAAAAATAAAATAAAATAAAATAAAACACTGCAGTACTATGCATATAACCGTTCCCTCTGCTGGAGTGGGGAAACCCTTCTGTTATGGTTGCCCTGAAGAGCAAATACTCCTTTTTTTTAAATTTAATTGAGCTGAGTAGCTGTAATAATCCATTTTCAGGAACCACACGTTTCTGTCTCCGTGAAAGACCCATTTCTCCAGATCACAATTCCTCAGTCTCAGAAGGACCAAGGTGAACCCTGGTTATGTATTTTGACTTGGGATTGGCCTCTGCAGCCTGCAGGTCTCCCCTCGTTATCAGCCTACAATTGTCTCCGCTTCCTGTGTAAAATTCCTGAAATCACAGCCCCCAGAAGTCAACTGGAGAAGAGCTGGAAGCTCCAGTGTCCCTGGGGCATTGGGGACAATGGAGGGTTGGGACGGGGAGGGGAATCCTCACAGCAAGGTGGAGTCAATTGGCTTTGGCTCGGCACTTAATCTGATAGGAAACCACACTGCTCACGGCAGCAAGCCCCTATTTCTTTTTCATGATTAGATTCAGCTGGTCTGGCAGATTTTTCGAAACAGAAACAGCTAGAGATAAGAGATCACCTCACAATGTACATTTTGACTCAATTCAATACAGAAAGTGTTTGACATTTAAGATTGAGGCTTTACCCTGGCGATGAGGAGACCGAATCTTGAGTTAAAGCCGAGAATGAAGTTTTTGTTTTTTTGAAGTAACACTAGCCTGTATTTTATTTTTTTAATTTTTATGTAATTTAAAAAAATTTTTTTAAAAAATATTTTAAAAAATTTTTAAAATTTTATTTATATACTTTTTTGAGACGGAGTCTTGCTCTGTCACCCAGGCTGGAGTGCAGTGGTGCAATCTCGGCTCGCTGCAACCTCCACCTCCCGGGTTCAAGTGATTCTCCTGCCTCAGCCTCCCGAGTAGCTGGGACTACAGGCGCCCCCAATCACGTCGGGCTAATTTTTGTATTTTTAGTGGAGACGGGGTTTCACCACATTGACCAGGCTGGTCTCAAACTCCTGACCTTGTGATCCGCCCACTTCGGCCTCCCAAAGTGCTGGGATTACAGGTGTGAGCCACTGCGCCAGGCTGCTTTTCTTTTTTTTTGAGATGGAGTCTCACTCTGTTGCCCAGGCTGGAGTGCAGTGGCTCGATTTCGGCTCGCTGCAACCTCCACCTCCCGGGTTCAAGTGATTCTCCTGCCTCAGCCTCCCAAGTAGCTGGGACTACAGGCGCCCCCAATCACGTCAGGCTAATTTTTGTATTTTTAGTAGAGACAGGGTTTCACCATATTGGCCAGGCTGGTCTTGAACTCCTGACCTCAGGTGATCCACCCACCTTGGCCTCCCAAAGTGCTGGGATTACAGGCGTGAGCCACCCTGCCCTGCCAGTAGACTTTGTTTAAAGGAGGTACCTATTGTGGAGAAAGAAAGGTGGGTGCAAATGCTTCACAGAGCCCTTTTCCCAAACCCCCAGGAGAGCTGGAGTACACTTTGTCTTCCATTGAGTCTGGGCTAACCCATGGTTTGCTTTGGCCAATAGAATGGGGTGGAAATGAAAGTCATGTGAGCGAACCTTCCGGAATGTTCTGGTTCTATCAGCCTTCCAGCACAAATGGGCTGAGTCTCCGCCCAGCTTCCACATATGTAAGTCAACCATCCAGAAGATTCTGCACCAAGTAAGTCTGCACATAGATAGATACAGCCCAAGTCTAGCTCTCAACTGACCTGCCTAGCTTCCAGGTGAGCTTCCAAATCAATGGGCCCTTGAGAATGTTCTGAGGTTTGCAGATAGATAGGGTCCAAGCCAAGCTCTCAGCTGACTTTCCACTCAGCCTCCAGGTGGGCTTCCAAATGAATGGGCCCTTGAGAATGTTCTGGACGTATTAAGTTTGTAGATAGATACGGCCTGAGTTAAGCACTATCAGATGACACTCAGCCCAGCTTCCAGGTATGTGAAGGAACCATCTAGAATGTTCTGGATCCATTAAGCCAGCAGATAGGTACGGCCCAAGTCAGCTGACACACAGCCCAGCTTCCAGGTATATGAGTGAGCCATCTAGAATGTTCTGGATCCATTAAGCCAGCAGATAGACACAGCCCAAGTCAAGTCCTTAGTTGAACTTCAGCCCAGCTACAAGACATGTGATTGAACCAACTAGAACACACCTGCCCAATCAATCCTCCAGTTTCCTACAGCCCCAGTCAACACCACATGGAGCAGAAGAACCTCCCAGCTGAGCCCTGTCAGCCCTCAGAATCACACCACATAACAACAAGTTGGAGTTCCTCAATGCCTCTATGTTTCCAGGTTAATGTGTCACATGACAATTGATAACCAAAACAATCCCCTCACTCAGGATTAGTAAAAAGCAATCTATGGAAGAAATTAGAAAGGCCTTCTTAGAGCAGCTGTTCCATGTTGAGCTGCATTGGAAGAGATGTTTGATGGCTGCCATCCTCCTGTTTTCCTCCCAGCTGACTCATTGTCCATGCCTGCTATTGTGAAACACAAACAACAGAATATTGGTTTGTGGTTTGGGATAAAGATGATGAAGAAAAAGGAAGCGGGGCAGTTGGGTGTGTGTCATCTGCATGACAGACAAGGATGACCTTCAGAACGTGCGTAGAATAAGTTTCCACTCTGGAGTCCAGAAAGGAGGACGTGCTTTGCCTGCCCCTTCAGACCTTAATGCCCCCAAACGTATACCCTTGTAAAGGGAAAAGCCAGAGCACTGAAGTGGCTGACGAATTTCCCCGTATTAGATATGAGTTCTAAGTTTCTTTTCAAAGAGTTAATATGTTAGTATGTTCAATCGTTTGCCTTCTACTTTTTAACTTCCTTGTAAAGCAAACTTTTTCGATCACCTGCTCCACCCTGACTCATTCCGATTACATGCTATCTGCTCTTCCCTGACTCCCCCCAAAGCACTCACCCCGTCACTCTCTTTAAATTAGCCAATCGTTATTAGTTTAGCCTGTGCGGTCTAACCCTAGCCAACAGAGGAACGACACAGCACAGGGGCCACGTACGTCAGGGATAAGGACCCCTTCCCCTCCCTTGTCCAGCTATGCACTTGCCATTGTTCCATCTGTACGGGACACCCTTCTATAGAAGTACCTTGCCTTGCTGAGAATTAAAAAGAAAATTTTATATTTGAGTGCTATTCCTTTTGTGGCACTGAAACTTTACATATAACACCTGGCAGCCAGGCATGGTGGCTCATGCCTGTAATCCCAGCACTTTAGGAGGCTGAGGTGGGTGGATCACCTGAGGTCAGGAGTTTGAGACCAGCCTGGCCAACATGGTGAAACTCTGTCTGTACTAAAAATACAAAAATTAGCTGGGCATGTTGGTGGGTGCCTGTGCTCCCAGCTACTCAGGAGGCTGAGGCAGGAGAATTGCTTGAACCCAGGAGGTGGAGGTTGCCATGAGCCGAGATTGAGGCACTGCACTCCAGCTTGGGTGACAGAGTGAGACTCCGTCTCAAAAACAAACAAAAAAACAAACACACCTGGCAGTTCATCTTGTTCGCCCAACTCCAGCAAGCGTGTTCTTCCCACGGTATCACCCTTCCCAGAGTCGTGTCTTTCATTCTGTGTTTCAGTGGAAGGAGCTATGAAGCGCGGGGGAAATGCGCTTAGTAATTGACAAGGAGGTGCAAGGGAACTTGATGTATTCCAAGTTTCTCATCATGCATTACGGGTTCCCCCAAGAGCAAATACTCCTTTTTTTAAATTTAATTGAGCTGAGTAGCTGTAATAATCCATTTTCAGGAACCATGTGTTTCTGTCTCCATGAAAGACCCATTTCTCCAGATTACAATTCCTGAGTCTCAGAAGAACTAAGGTGAACCCTGGTTGTCTAGTTTGACTTTGGATTGGCCTCTGTGGCCCGCAGGTCTCCCCTTGTTATCAGCCTACAATTGTCTCCTCTTGTTGCGTAAAATTCCTGAAATCACAGCTCCCAGAAGGCATTTGGAGAAGAGCTGGAAGCTCCAGTGACCCTGGGGCGGCGCTGGGGACAATGGAGGGTTGGGACGGGAGAGGAAGGGAGGTCTCTCTCTCAACTTTCAGTGGACATTTGGAAAAGGATGGAGACGTTTTTGCTTGTCATGACTTGGTGGGGGATACTGCTGACATTTACTGGGTATGGTCTAGACGTTTGCCCCACATCCCCCAATGCACAGGACGGCCTCACAGCAGAGAACGACGCAGATGAGAATATCCTGGGCGGAAACAGCTTCAAAGTTGAGAAACCCTGACTTAGCGTGAGAAATTCTCTTTATCTTGTGTTCTTTCTCTCTATCTATCTATCTATTTATCTATCTATCAATCATTCATCTATCATTTATCTATCCATCCATTCATCTATTCATCCATACTTCTTTCTATCTACATATCAATTAATATCATCTATCCATTTATCCATCTATTCATCCATTCTGCTACCTATCTATGTATCTATCGTCTAACGATTTATCCATCTATTCATCTATTTATCCTATCTATCACCTATCTACCCATTCATTAATCTATTTATCTATGTATCTATCATCTATCTAATCACTTTTCTGTCTATTCATCTATCTAGCAATCCATTCTATCATCTATGTATGTATCTATCATCTATCCATTCATCTATCCATGCATCCATATACGTATCCATCTATTTATCCATCCATCATCTATCTACCCCTCCATTCTTCTATGTATCTATTAATATCATCTATCTACCCATTTATCTTTCTATTCATCTATTCTTCTACCTTTCTATCTATATATGTATCTATCATCTATCTAACCATTTATCCATCTATTCATCTATCTATCTATCTATCCACCTATCTTTTTTTTTGAGACAGAGTTTCACTGTTTCGCCAGGCTGGAGTGCTGTGTTGTGATCTCAGCTGACTGCAGCCTCAGCCTCCTGGGTTCAAGCGATTCTCCTGCCTCAGCCTCCTGAGTAGCTGGGATTACAGGCAGGCACCACCACACCAAGCTAATTTTTGTATTTTTAGTAGAGACAGGGTTTCACCGTGTTGGCCAGGATGGTCTCGATCCCTTGACCTTGTGATCTGCCAGCCTCGGCCTCCCAAAGTGCTGGGATAACAGGTGTGAGCCACCGCGCCTGGCCCATTCAATCTATCTATCTATGTATCTATGTATCTATGTATCTATCTATCTATGTATCTATCTATCTATCTATCATCTATCCACTCATTCATCTATGTATGTATCTATGTATGTATGGATGGATGGATTTATATAGCTATCTATCAACTATCTACCTACTCATTTATCACCTTTGCATCTATGTATTTACCTATCATCTTTCTATCCATTCATCTATGTATCTATCTGTCATCTATCTATCCATTCATTTACCTATGCTTCTTTTTTTTTTTTTGAGACGGAGTCTCGCTCTGTCACCTAGCCTGTAGTGCAGTGGTGTGATCTCGGCTCACTGCAACCTCTGCCTCCCAGGTTCAACCCATTCTCCTGCCTCAGTATCCCAAGTAGCTGGGACTACAGGTGCCCGCCACCACACTCAGTTTTTTTTTTTTTTTTTTTTGTATTTTTAGTAGAGACGGGGTTTCACTGTGTTCGCCAGGATGGTCTCAATCTTCTGACCTCGTGATCTGCCTGCCTTGGCCTCCCAAAGTGCTGGGATTACAGGTGTGAGCCACCGCATCCGGCCCACATTTATCTATGTTTATCTATCTATCCATTCATCTATCTATCTGTCATCTATCCATTCATCTATGTTTCTATGTATCTATGATCTATCCATTCATCCATCTATCTATCCATCTATCCATTCATTTATCTATTATCTATGTACCCACTTATCTATCATCTACCTACCCACTCATTGATCTATCTACCTTTGTATCTATGTATCTACCTATCATGTATCTATCCATTTGCCTATCTATCTAGCTATCTGTCATCTATCCATTCGTTTATCTATATATCTATGTATCATCTATCTTTCCATTCATCCGTGTATCCATCTATTTATCCATTCATTTATCTATCTATCTATCATCTATTTATCTATCCATCCATCATCTATCTATGTACTCACTCATTCAGGTATGTATGTATGTATGTATGTATGTATGTATCTATCTATCTATCTATCTATCTATCTATCATTTATCTACCCACTTATCTATCTACCCACCTTTGTATCTATGTATCTACCTATCATCTATCTATTCGTCTATGTATCTAATCTATCTGTCATATCTATCCATTCATCTATGTATCTATGTATCTATCTATCCATTTATCTATCATCTATCTATCCATCTGTCATATCTATCTATCTGTCTATCTATGTCTATCATTTATCTACCCACTTATCTATCATCTATTTACCCGCCTCTCATTCTTCTACCTTTGTATCTACCTACCTATAATCTATCTATTCATCTATCCATCTATTTAATCTGTCATATCTATCCATTCATCTATCCATTTATCTATCATCTATCCATCCGTCATCAATCTCTATCTACCCACTTATCTATCATCTATTTACTCATTCATCTATCTACCTTTGTATCTATGTATCTACCTATCGTCTATCATCTATCCATCTATCTATCTAATCTGTCACATCTATCCATTCATCTATGTATCTATGTATCTATCTATCCATTTATCTATCATCTATTTATCAATCTGTTATTTATCTATGTATCTAATCTATCTGTCATATCTACCCATTCATTTATCTATGTATCTGTGTATCTATATATCTATCATCTATCTATCTATCTATCTATCTATCTATCTATCTATCTATCGCTCTATGTAGCTATGTATGTATCTATCTATCGCTCTATGTAGCTATGTATCTGTCTATATATCTATCTATCTATCATCTATCTATCTATCTATCTATCTATCTATCTATCTATCTATCGCTCTATGTAGCTATGTATCTGTCTATATATCTGTCTATCTATCTATCTATCTATCTATCTATCTATCTATCTATCTATGGCAGCGATTTACAATGAGGAGTGATTTCACCCCCCAGGGAACCCTTGGCAACCTCAGTGGAATTTTTGGTTGTCACAGCAAGAGCTGGGAGGGGCTGCTGACATTTAGTGGGTGGAGGTCATGGACACTTCTCAGCATCCTATGAAGCATAACACAGCCCACACAACCAAGAATTATCCAGCTAAAATCTCACGAGGGTAGAGGTCAAGAACCCCTGGGTAAGTGAGATGCCAAGGCTGGGTTTAGGGGCTTCTTCCTTTACGCCTGAAGGTCCTCAGTCCGAAAACCTTCCTGACCACAGAAATCAGCAGTTCTGCCTCTGCCCTTCCTCCCCCTCCAATTCCCTTTTCCTTTCCTTTTTTCTCTCTCTTTTTTTTTCTTTTTTGTGAGATAGAGTCTCATTCTGTCACCTAGACTGGAGTGCAGTGGCACGATCTTGGCTCACTGCAACCTCCACCTACTGGGTTCAAGCAATTCTCTTGTCTCAGCCTCCCAAGTAGCTGGGATTACAGGCATGCACCACCACACCAAGGTAATTTTTGTATTTTTAGTAGAGACAGGGTTTCACCACATTGACCAGGCTGGTTTCAAACTCCTGACCTTGTGATCCACCCGCCTCAGCCTCCCAAAGTGCTGGGATTATAGACGTGAGCCACCGTGACTGGCTGCTTTTCTTTTCTTTTTGAGACAGAGTCTCACTCTGTTGCCCAAGCTGGAGTGCAGTGGCTCGATCTCGGCTCACTGCAAGCTCCGCCTCCTGGATTCAAGTGATTCTCCTGCCTCAGCCTCCCAAGTAGCTGGGATTATAGGTGCCTGCCACTACGCCTGGCTAAATTTTTTGTGTGTGTATTTTTAGTAGAGACGGGCTTTCACCATGTTGGCCAGGCTGGTCTCGAACTCCTGACCTCAGGTGATCCACCCACCTCGGGCTCCCAAAGTGCTGGGATTACAGGCGTGAGCCACCGCATCCGGCCAACAAATGTATCTTGAATGAATGTTGAATGAAGCCAGTTCTGACACCTGTAGAAGCAGAACTCGTGGAGGGTCCTGGGCAGAGATGCTTCCTTTTTTTTTCTTTTTTTTTTTTTTTTGAGATGGAGTCTTGCTCTGTCACCAGGCTGGAATGCAGTGGTGTGATCTTGGCTCACTGCAACCTTCGCCTCCTGGGATCAAGTGATTCTCCTGCCTCAACCTCCTGGGGAGCTGGGATTATAAGTGCATGCCACCATGCCCGGCTCATATTTGTATTTTTAGTGAAGACGGGGGTTCACCATGTTGGTTTCGAACTCCTGACCTCAGGTGATCCTCCCGCCTCAGCCTCCCAAAGTGCTGGGATTACAGGCACCCGCCACCATGCCCAGCTAATTTTTGTATTTTCAGTAGAGACAGGGTTTCACTATGTTGTCCAGGCTGGTCTTGAACTCTTGGCCTCAGGTGATCCACCCGCCTCGTCCTCCCAAAGTATTGGGATTACAGGCATGAGCCACCGCGCCCGGCCACTTCCCCTTTTCCCAGCGCTCACCATGACCATGTCCAGAGCATACGTACTTATTTAAGCTTCGTCTCGTCCTACAGAACGCATTCTTCACGAGGGCAGGGAGTCCTGTCTGTTTGTAGGCCAACCTCCTTTCTCTCTCTCTGCAGACTTGCCTACTTTGCATGCGACAGTATCTACTGTCCAGTAGTAACAGTGGACGTTGATTGGGGGCTGAATTCAGAACAATGCTCAATGTTTTATGTATATTATCACTTTGTCTCTCTGAGCTAGGTGATATTATTGTCACCTCCCCAGTGCCTGGGAGATAACAGACCCTCAACAAATGTATCTTGAGTGAGTATTGAATGAAGCCATTTCTGTCATCTGTAGAAGCAGAAGTTGTGGAGGGTCCTGGGCAGAGATGCTTTTTTTTTTTTTTTTTTTTTTTTGAGACAGAGTCTTGCCCTGTCACCAGGCTGGAATGCAGTGGTGCCATCTCGGCTCACTGCAACCTCCGCCTCCCGGGTTCCAGCGATTCTCCTGCCTCACCCTCCCGAGCAGCTGGGATAACAGGTGCATGCCACCACGCCTGGCTAATTTTTCTATTTTTAGTGGAGACAGGGTTTCACCATGTTGGTCTCTAACTCCAGAAGTCAGATGATCCTCCCGCCTCAGCCTCCCAAAGTGCTGGGATTACAGGCACCTGCCACCACGCCTGGCTAATTTTTGTATTTTTAGTAGAGACGGAGTTTCTCCATGTTGGCCAGGCTGGTCTTGAACTCCTGACCTCAGGTGATCCTCCCGCCTCGGCCTCACAAAGTGCTGGGATGACAGGCATGAACCAATGAGCCCGGCAGGAGATGGTTCTTGAGGCTCACACTTCCTTCTTGTCCCCTACTCTCTACAGGGTTCCGTGAGACATGGTATTCTGGTCAACGTTGTCATCTAACCTTTCACACTGTGTCATTATTTGGATTATTTTATCTCTTCCATGACGAACCATGGAGCTCAGAGCTCTCAATAATGAAAGCATTGGGCGGGGCGCGGTGGCTCATGCCCATCATCCCAGCATTTTGGGAGGCTGAGGCTGGCGGATCACGAGGTCAGGAGATCGAGACCATCCTGGCTAATATGGTGAAACCCTGTCTCTACTGAAAATACAAAAATAAGCCGGGCGTGGTGGTGGGCACCCGTAGTCCCAGCTACTCGGGAGGCTGAGGCAGGAGAATGGCGTGAACCCTGAAGGTGGAGCTTGCAGTGAGCAGAGATCACACCACTGCACTCCAGCCTGGGCGACAGAGCAAGACTCCGTCTCAAAAAAACAAAAAACAAAAAAACAGAAAAACAAAAAAGGAGCCAGGTGTGGTGGCAGGTGCCTGTAATCCCAGCTACTCGGCAGGCTGAGGCAGGAGAACTGCTTGAACCAGAGAGGCAGAAGTTGCAGTGAGCTGAGATTGCACCATTGCACTCCAGCCTGGGCAGCAAGAGAAACTCCGTCTCAAAAAATAACCCCTCAAAAACAGAAAAACAAAAAATCAGCCAGGTGTGGTGGCAGGTGCCTGTTGCTTGAACCCAAGAGGCAGAAGTTGCAGTGAGCTGAGATTGCACCATTGCACTCCAGCCTGGGTGACAGAGGGAGACTCTCCACCTCAAAAAAACATAAAACAAATGTTAGTGGTCTCAAACTGGTCACTCACGGTTAATCCAATCTTCCTGCTGTCAAGCAAAAGAACACCTAAAATTCTTCCGTCACGTACTGGAGAAAGATCCTGCATTTGTGCTCTGAAAGTCCCCAAACCGCATCTCTAAACAGTTCCCACAATCACTTCTGCTTTGCTTGTACGAAGGAGTGGTGGCAACCAACAGGAATCACCTGCTCTGCCTGGCACACTTGTGTTTTGACCGCAAGGAATCTCCAGGCATGAGCCGAGATCTTTTAAGATGACATGTCTGTTCCAACCAGCTCTCTCCAGACTTTTATTTATTCACTTATTTATTTATTTATATATTTTGAGACGGAGTCTTGCTCTTGTCGCCCAGGCTGGAGTGCCGTGGCACGATCTCAGCTCACTGCCAACTCCGCCTCCCGGGTTCACGCCATTCTCCTGCCTCAGCTTCCTGAGTAGTTGGGATAACAGGCACCCACCACCACGCCCGGCTAATTTTTGTATTTTTAGCAGAGACGGGGTTTCACCGTGTTGGCCAGGCTGGTCTCGAACTCCTGACCTCAGGGGATCCTCCGGCCTCGGCCTCCCAGAGTGCTGGGATGACAGGCGTGAGCCACCGTGCCCGGTCCTCTACAGTCTTAAACTGGGGCCCCATCTACCCAGCATATGCTACCATCACAGTGTTTGTGGTGTTACGAGGAGAATGCCTACAAGCTTGAGTCCCTTGGTCTGGGAAGCTGGTCAGCGGCAAAGGTGAACTCTGCGTTTGTCTGAAGACAGATGAACTATGAAGTCTCTGGATGTCCAGCCCAGCTTGGGTGCAGAGTATATCACAGAACACTGACCACACAACTGCACACTCATCCACGAGTCTCATCATTTAGCAGAGAGCAAGAATTCCGGGCTTAGAAAGTTAGCATGTCATATTTTTTTTTTTTTTTTGAGACAGAGTCTCGCTCTGTCAACAAGGCTGGAGTGCAATGGTGTGACCTTGGCTCGCTGCAACCTCTGCCTCCTGGGTTCAAGCGATTCTCCCCGTCTCAGCCTCCTGAGTAGCTGGGATTACAGGTGCGTGCCACCACGCCTGGCTAATTTTTGTATTTTTTTTTTTAGTAGAGACAGGGTTTCGCCATGTTGGCCAGGCTGCTCTGTGATATGCTTTCAAGCAAAGCTCAGGCCAGGTGCGGTGGCTAACGCCTATAATCCCAGCACTTTGGGAGGTCGAGGCGGGTGGATCACCTGAGTCCAGGAGTTTGAGACCAGCCTGGTCAACATGGTGAAACCCCGTCTCTATGAAAAATACAAAAATCAGCAGGGTGGGTGGCATGCATCTGTAATCCCGGCTACTAGGGAGGTTGAGGCAAGAGGATTGCTTGAGCCAAGCTGTTTGAGGCTGTGGTGAGTCCTGATTGCACCACAACACTCCTGCGTGGGTACCAGACGAACACCTTGTCTCAAAGAATAGGAAAGAAAAGCTGGGCACGGTGGCTCACGCCTATAATCCCAGCACTTTGAGAGGCTGAAGCGGGCCGATCACTTGAAGTCAGGAGTTTGAGACCAGCCTGGCCAACATGGTGAAACCCCATCTCTACTAAAAATATAAAAATTAGCCAGGCGTGGTGGTGGGCGCCTGTAATCCCAGCTACTCAGGAGGCTGAGGCAGGAGAATCGCTTGAACCCGGGAGGAGGAGGTTGCAGTGAGCCAAGATCGTGCCACTGCACTCCAGCCTGGGTGACAGAGAGTGAGACTCCAGCTCAAAAAAAAAGAAAGGAAAAGCAAGAGAAAGGAAGGGGAGGTGGGGAGGGGGAGGGGAGGAGAGGGGAGGGGGAGGGGAGGAGACGGAAGGGGGAGGGAGAGGGGAGGGAGGAGGGGGTGGGGGGAGGGGGGAGGGGAAGGGAGGGGAGGGGATGTACACATCTACGTATCCATCTATGCATGCATCCATCCACCCATCCACCTATGTATCTGTTCATCCATTTATCCATCCATCCACCCACCTATCCACACATCCTTTCATCCACTTATCCATCCATCCATATACCATCCATGGAGGGGAGGGGAGGGGATAGGTGGAGGGGGTGGGGGAAGGGAGGGGGACAAAAGATGAGGGGATGGGAGGGGGATGGGAAGGGAGGGGGTGGGGTGGGGGGGAAGGGGAAGGGAGGGGAAGGGAAAGGAAGGGAAGGGAGGGGAGGGAAGGGGGAGGGGAGGGAAGGGGGAGGGGAGGGGGAGGGGAGGTGGGGAGGAGGAGGGGAGGGGAGGAAAGGGAAGGGGGAGGGGGAGGGGAGGGAGGAGGGGGTGGGGGAGAGGCAGAAGGGAAGGGAGGGGAGGGGAGGGGATGGAGGGGAGGGGAGAGGGGAGGGGGAGGGGAAGTGAAAGGAAGGGAAGGGAGGGGAGGGGAGGGGGAAGGGGAGGGGAGAGGGGGAAGGGGAGGGGAGAGGGGAGGGGAGGGGAAGGGAAAGGAAGGAAAGAGAGGGGAGGGGAAGGGGGAGGGGAGGGGAGTGGGGAGGGAATGGAGGGGAGGGGAGGGGAGGGGGAGGGAGGGAAGGGAATGGAGGGGAGGGGGAGGAGATGGGGGAGGGGGAGGGAAGGGGAGGGCTCAGCTCAGCAGTGTGCGTGGCAGTCCTGATCCTGGATTGATTGTGTGTGTGTGTGTGTGTGTGTGTGTGTGTGTTCTTGACAAGTGTATCTTTGAAAATCAACTGTCACTGTGCTTCCTGCCTGTAATCATTTCCCTAGTTTCCTTTCTGACTTTTTAAAATCGATGGTGACCTCTGCTTATGAGTCATGAGTGATCTGTTCGTTGTAGGTCCCTGAGGACCTCACTCTCCACTCCTGTTTCAGGCATGGGGCGGCTGGTTCTGCTGTGGGGAGCTGCCGTCTTTCTGCTGGGAGGCTGGATGGCTTTGGGGCAAGGAGGAGCAGGTAATTATTTAAACACCCTCTTCTTGTTGTATTTTGGTTTGTGGTTTGCTTTGCAACCAGGCACTCTTTATTTTGTAAAACTTAAACAATGAGCATGGAGGTTTCTTTCTTCTTTTCTTTTTTTTTTTTTTTTTTTTCCGGGTTCAAGCAATTCTCCTGCCTCAGCTTCTCAAGTAGCTGGGACAAAACATATTTATAAGTAAATACATGAATATTAAGTATACTTATTGCTCCCGGAATATCCACTGCTTATATGAGCTTTCGGTGGCCAGAACTAGGAACTGTATGTGTGCGTGTGTGTGTCTATCTATTGATTGATTGATTGGTAGATATATTCATTTTTAATCTATCCATCAATGTATCTCATCTATCTTTTCCCATTAATCACCCATCCATCCACTATCCATCCATCTATTATTCATTGATCCATCCACTAATATATCCATCCACCCATCTATCAAACGATTCATCCACTCATACATTCACCCACCCATCAACCCACCCAGCCATCCGTCCACCCAACCTTTCATTCACTCATCCATCCATCCACCATCCACCCAGCTGTTATCTATCCATCCTCCCATCCACCCATCTATCATCCATCCATCCATCCATCCACCCATCCACCCATCCATCCACCAATACATCCATCCATCCATCCACCCATCCACCCATCCATCTACCAATACATCCATCCATCCATGCATTCACCCACACTTTTATCCACTTATCCATCCATCCATCCATCCACCCATCCATCCACCAATACATCCATCTATCCATGCATTCACCCACACTTTTATCCACTTATCCATCCATCCATCCATCCATCCACCCATCCACCCATCCATCCACCAATACATCCATCCATCCATGCATTCACCCACACTTTTATCCACTTATCCATCCATCCATCCATCCACCCATCCATCCACCAATACATCCATCTATCCATGCATTCACCCACACTTTTATCCACTTATCCATCCATCCATCCATCCACCCATCCATCCACCAATACATCCATCTATCCATGCATTCACCCACACTTTTATCCACTTATCCATCCATCCATCCATCCATCCACCCATCCACCCATCCATCCACCAATACATCCATCTATCCATGCATTCACCCACACTTTTATCCACTTATCCATCCATCCATCCATCCATCCATCCATCCATCCATCCATCCACCCATCCACCCATCCACCCACCAATACATCCATCTATCCATGCATTCACCCACACTTTTATCCACTTATCCATCCATCCATCCATCCATCCATCCATCCACCCATCCATCCACCCACCCACCCATCCATGTACACATCTACGTATCCATCTATCCATGCATCCATCCATCCATCCATCCATCCATCCATTCACCTATGTATCTGTTCATCCATTTATTTATCCACTGACTCACTCATCCACCCACCCATCCTTTCATCCACTTATCCATCTATCCATCCATCCACCAACACATCCATCCACCCACCCATCAAACCATCCATCCACCTATGCATTCACCCACACTTTCATCCACTCATCCATCCATCCATCCACCCATCCATGTACACATCTATGTATCCATCTATCCATGCATCCATCCACCCATCCACCCATTCACCTGTGTATCTGTTCATCCATTTATTCATCCATCCACTCACCCATCCACCCACCCATCCACTTGTCTTCCACCTATACACCCACCTGTCCATTGATTCATCCATCTACCTACCCATCCCTATCTATCTGTGTCTGTCTGTCTAACTATTTCTATCATCATCTATATAATTCTATCTATCTAACATTACCATTTATCTATCTATCTGTATCTATCTATCCTCCAGATACCTCCACTTAGAACCCAACATGACAAGGTTCACTGTACCCCATCTTTCCAAACCTGTAACTGACTTCTTTGACAGTGAGAGACTTGGCCGGGCGCTGTGGCTCATGCCTGTAATCCCAGCACTTTGGGAGGCCGAGGTGGGCGGATCACAAGGTCAGGAGATGGAGACCATCCTGGCTAACACGGTGAAACCCCGTCTGTACTAATACAAAAAATCAGCCGGGCATGGTGGCAGGTGCCTGTAGTCCCAGCTACTTGGGAGGCTGAGGCAGGAGAATGGCATGAACCCGGGAGGCAAAGCTTGCAGTGAGCCGGGATCGCACCACTGCACTCCAGCGTGGGCGACAGAGCGAGACTCTGTCTCAAAATAAAAAAAAGAGACTTGGCTTTCATTATGCAAAATATCATTACATGTTTGCTCAATTCTAAAATATTTCCATTGTCCCTGTTCGGAATTACAAACCCAGACCTCTTGAAACATCAAACCTACTGAAGTCTATGCAACCTTCCTAGCAAACGTAGAAAGTCTTCTTTACGGTTGGCCCATTTCTTTTCTTTTCTTTTCTTTTCTTTTCTTTTCTTTTTTTTTTTTGATAGGGAGTCTTGCTGTGTCACCCAGGCTGGAGTGCAGTGACACGATCTCGGTTCACTACAACCTCTGCCTCCTGAGTTCAAGCCATTCTCCTGCCTCAGCCTCCCAGGTAGCTGGGATTACAGGTACCCACCACCATGTCCAGCTCATTTTTTTGTGTTTTTAGTAGAGACGGGGTTTCACCATGTTGGCCAGGCTGGTCTCGAACTCCTGACCTCGGGTGATCCACCCGCCTCGGCCTCCCAGTGTTAAGATTACAGACGTGAGCCGCTGCACCTGGCCAGTCCATTTCTGAAGTTGGTGTGTGTGGTGTTTTGAGAAAGACAGTAAGGTGGATCGATGGGGACAGTTTCCGATGCCACCTTAGGTATCCACAGGGGATGTGTTGTTGGATACATGATTGATCTATACAGATACATCTGTGCATGGCACTAGTGGGTGAACTTACCTTTTGCAAAAACAAAAACAAAAGCAGCCGGGCGCGGTGGCTCACGCCTGCAATCTCAGCACTTTAGGTGGATGAGGCGGGCGGATCACGAGGTCAGGAGATCGAGACCATCCTGGCTAACACAGTGAAACCCCATCTCTACTAAAAGTACAAAAAATTATCCAGGCATGGTGGCGGGCACCTGTAGCCCCAGCTACTCGGGAGGCTGAGGCAGGAGAATGGCGTGAACCCGGGAGGCGGAGCTTGCAGTGAGCCGAGATTGCGCCACTGCAGTCCAGCCTGGGTGACAGAGTGAGAGTCTGTCTCACACAATACACTACACTACACTACACTACACTACACTACACTACACTACACTACAATACAATGCAATACAATGCAATACAATACGTCAGGCGCGGTGGCTCACGCCTGTAATCCCAGTACTTTGGGAGGCCGAGGCGGGTGGATCATGAGGTCAGGAGATCGAGACCATCCTGGCTAACACGGTGAAACCCCGTCTCTACTAAAAATACAAAAAATTAGCCAGGTGTGGTGACAGGTGCCTGTAATCCCGGCTACTCGGGAGGCTGAGGCAGGGGAATCGCTTGAACCCGGGAGGCGGAGGTTGCAGTGAGCCGAGATCGTGCCATTGTACTCCAGCCTGGGCAACAGAGTGAGACTCTGTCTCAAAAAGAAAAATAAATTTAAAAAAATAAAAAAATAGAGTTGCCTCACCGTGAACTTCATGCGTCTCTCTGTGTCTAGCAGAAGGAGTACAGATTCAGATCATCTACTTCAATTTAGAAACCGTGCAGGTGACATGGAATGCCAGCAAATACTCCAGGACCAACCTGACTTTCCACTACAGGTAAGTGGCCCCCAGAAAGCGAACCCCACGCCCAGGGGGCTCAAAATCGCTCTTCTGAGCCGTCAGCGATTGGGAATGCTTGAGAACAAAAGTGTAAAGCATCAGACTGTGCAAGCCGGAATGTTTGTTCTGTGAAACCCTCAGCCCTCACCACAACCACAATCTCATTGCCCCAAACCTTCTTGCCAAGGGATGGCTGACTCACTGTCAAAATCAACTACATTCTTTTTTTTGTTTGTTTTTATTTTGAGTCGGAGTCTCACTCCGTTGCCACGCTGGAGTGCAGTGGCGCAATCTCGGCTCACTGCAACCTCTGCCTCCCGGGTTCAAGCCATTCCCCTGCCTCAGCCTCCCGAGTAGCTGGGATTACAGGCACCTGCCACCATGCCTAGCTAATTTTTGTATTTTTAGTAGAGATGGTGATTCACCATATTGGTCAGGCCGGTTTCAAACTCCTGACCTCATGTGATCCACCTGCCTCAGCCTCCCAAAGTGCTGGGATGACAGGCGTGAGCCACGGCATCCGGACTGAAAATCACCTAGATTCTTCACGGGAGATTAACAGAGAGTTTTGTTCACCCAGAGCTCTGGGTGAACTTTAAGTCTTATCTGCTAGGCAGCCGGGGAGGGAAAGACTCAGTCTCTGAAACATTTCACAGCCTTACCCGGGGCTACCCCCAACCCTGTGTCTCCCTGATGTGACTTTATTTTTATTTTTACTTTGGCTTAGTTAGACACCCAGAAGTATGCGTACGAACATTGCAGGAAGGGTTTTTCCAATAAATTTAATCATGGGTGGATGATTCTTCAGTTTGATAACAAAAGAGATAAACGGCAAAGCGTACAGAACAGGGAAATTTTAAAACGAAGTTATTTGGAAAATAAGACTCACCGTTGGGAGACCGAGGTGGGTGGATCATCTGAGATCAGGAGTTCCAGACCATCCTGGCCAACATGGTGAAACCCCAACTCTACTAAAAATACAAAAACTAGCCGGGCGTGGCGGCAGGTGCCTGTAATCCCAGCTACTCAGGAGGCTGAGGCAAGAGAATCGCTTCAACCTGGGAGACGGAGTTCACGGTGAGCCGAGATTGCACTCCAGCCTGGCCGACAGAGCGAGACTGTCTCAAAAACAAAACAAAACAAAACAAAAACCTCACAAAAAGAAAAAAAAAAGTGCTGGATTTTGCACGTAGTTGCAGAATTCAGCTCAGTTTCTTCCTCTGTAAAAGGGGCAGTTCTTGGGGGGGGTGTTGGCTCATGCCTGTTATCCCAGCACTTTGGGAGGCTGAGGGGGGGGGGGGTGGATCACCTGAGGTCAGGAGTTCAAGACCAGCCTGGCCAACATGGTGAAACCTCGTCTCTACTAAAAATACAAAAAAATTAGCCGGGCGCGGGGGCGTGCGCCTGTAATCCCAGCAACTTGGGAGGCTGAGGCAGGAGAATCGCTTGAATCCGGGAGGCAGAGGTTGCAGTGGGCCGAGATCACGCCATTGCACTCCAGCCTGGGCAACAAGAACAAAACTCTGTTTCAAAAAACAAACGAACAAATAAAAAAACGGCCGGGCGCGGTGGCTCACGCCTGTAATCCCAGCACTCTGGGAGGCCGAGGCGGGTGGATCACCTGAGGTCAGGAGATCGAGACCAGCCTGGTCAACATGGCGAAATCCCATCTCTATTAAAAACACAAAAATTAGCTGGGGGTGGTGGTGCGTGCCCGTAATCCCAGCTACTCAGGAGGCAGAGGCAGGAGAATCGCTTGAACCCGGGAGGCAGAGATTGCAATGAGCCGAGATCGTGCCACTGCACTCCAGCCTCAGGGACAGAGCGAGACACCATCTTAAAAAAAAAAAAAAAAAAAAAGCCGGTGTGGTAGCTCACACCTCTCATTCCAGCAGTTTGGGAGGCCAAGGTGTATGGATCACCTGAGGTCAGGAGTTCCAGACCAGCCTGGCCCCAACATGGTGAAACCCTGTCTCCAGTAAAACTACAAAAATTAGCTGTATATGGTGGCAGGTGCCTGTAATCCCAGCTACTCAGGAGGCTGAGACAGGAGAATTGCTTGAACCCGGGAGGCAGAGGTTGCAGTGAGCTGAGATCGCGCCATTGCACTCCAACCTGGGCGACAAGAGCAAGACCCCATCTCTAAATAAATAAGACATGCTTTTTTGTTTTGTTGCTGAATGGTCATCGTTTTAAACCACAGATTCAACGGTGATGAGGCCTATGACCAGTGCACCAACTACCTTCTCCAGGAAGGTCACACTTCGGGGTGCCTCCTAGACGCAGAGCAGCGAGACGACATTCTCTATTTCTCCATCAGGAATGGGACGCACCCCGTTTTCACCGCAAGTCGCTGGATGGTTTATTACCGTAAGTATTGTAAAGCCAGCTCACCATGCTTTTCAGTACTTCCTTCAGCTTATTACCACAAGGACTGAAAACCAAGCTCATGCAAATCGCCGGATCCATGATTACCGTTAACTATTGAGAAGCAAGCTCACCATGCCTTTCAGTACTTCCTGCAGCTTATTACTGTAAGTAACGAAAAACCAAGCTCCAGCCAGTCGCGGGATCAATGATTCCCGTAACTATTGAAAAGGAAGCTCAGCATAGTTTTCAGTACTTCCTTCAGCTTATTACCGTAAGTACTGAAAAGCTCACGTAAATCGTCGGATCCATGATTACCGTAATAATTGAAAAGCAAGCTCAGCACGCTTTTCACTACTTCCTTCAGCTGATTACCGTAAGTACCGAAAAGCAATCTCATGATAGTCGCTGGATCAATGATTACCGTAACCACTGAAAAGCAACCCAGCCTACTTTTCGCTACTTCCTTCAGGTTATTACCATAAGTACTGAAAAGCTCATGCAAATTACCGGATCCATGATTACCATAACTATTGAAAAGCAAGCTCACCATGCTTTTCGTACTTCCTTCAGCTTATTACCATAAGTACTGATAAAGCAAGCTCATGCAAGTCACTGGATCAGTGATTACCGTAGCTATTGAAAAGCAAGCTCACCATGCTTTTCAGTACTTCCTTCAGCTTATTACCATAAGTACTGAAAAGCAAGCTCTAGCAAGTCGCAGGATCAGATTCCCGTAACTATTGAAAAGCAGCCCAGCATCCTTTTCACTACTTCCTTCAGCTTATTGCCATAAATAAAAAAGCTCATGCAAATAACCGGATCCATGATTACCGTAACTATTGAAAAGCAAGCTCAACATGCTTTTCAGTATTTCCTTCAGCTTATTACCATAAGTACTGAAAAGCAAGCTCTCGCAAGTCGCGGGATCAATGATTACCATAACAATTGAAAAGCAAGCTCAGCATGCTTTTCAGTACTTCCTTCAGCTGATTATCATAAGTACCGAAAAGCAAGCTCTCGCAAGTCGCGGGATCAATGATTACCGTAACGATTGAAAAGCAATCCCAGCACACTTTTCAGTACCCCTTCATCTCCTTACCTTCAGTTACTTTCAGTTAAGTTCTGAAAATCAAGCTCATGGACCATTGGCCACTAGAGCCCGGTGCCCAGCTCCTCACTCCAAGTGGGAAGAAACCGGCCTTCCAGGAAGTTCCCTCTTACACGCACACTGGTTGGGGATTGAATCTGCCCCCAGTGGGGAGACCAGATGACCCCGGGAGACTGTGATTTAAGGGAATGAATTAAAGGCGGGGCGCGGTGGCTCACGCCTGTAATCCCAGCACTATGGGAGGCCAAGGCGGGCGGATCACTTGAGGTCTGGAGTTCGAGACCAGCCTCACCAACATGGTGAAACCCCATCTCTACAAACAAACAAACAAACAAAAAATTAGCCGGGCTGGTGGCGCATGCCTGTAATCCTAGCTGTTCGGGAGGCTGAGGCAGGGAAATTGCTTGAACCTGGGAGGCAGAGGCTGCAGTGAGCCACGTTGGTGCCACTGCACTCCAGCCTGGGCGATTTATAAATTCATTATTTAAAAATAAATAAGGCCCAGGGTGGTGGCTTACCCCTGTAATCCCGGTACTTTGGGAGACCAAGGCGGGCGGATCACTTGAGGTCTGGAGTTCGAGACCAGCCTTGCCAACGTGGTGAAACCCCGTCTCTATTAAAAATAATTTAAAAAAAATTAGCCAGGCGTGGTGGCACACGCTTGTAATCCCAGCTACTCGGGAGGCTGAGGCAGGGAAATTGCTTGAACCCGGGAGGCGGAGGCTGCAGTGAGCCAAGACGGTGCCACTGCACTGCAGCCTGGGCGATTTATAAATTTATTATTTAAAAATAAATAAGGCCCAGGGCGGTGGCTCTCCCCTGTAATCCCAGTACTTTGGGAGGCCAAGGCAGGGGGATCACGTGACGTGGGGAGTTCGAGACCAGCCTGACCAACATGGAGAAACTCCATCTCTATTAAAAATACATAATTAGCCGGGCTTGGTGGTGCATGCCTGTAATCCCAGCTACTCGGGACGCTGAGGCAGGAGAATCTCTTGAATCTGGGAGGCGGAGTTTGTGGTGAGCCGAGATCGCGCCATTGCACTCCAGCCTGGACAACAAGAGTGAAACTCCATCTCAAATAAATAAATTCATTAAATTAAATAAGGGAATTAATTAGAGATGCTCTCTGGTGCCCTGCCTACACACACACACACACACACACACACACACAGAGTGAGCTGGAAATACTCTCTCATCCTCATCCCACTCACTGGATGTTCTCTCTTTTTTTTGAGAGAGAGGGTCTTGCTCTGTTGCCCAGGCTGGTTTTCTTATGTGCGTTGAGAACTGGCTGTTAAGTCTCGGGCGAGGAAATGAGGGACAAATGTAGGGAAACCCTGTTTCCAAAATGTTTATTCTTTATCCTAGAATTCTGTAAGGCTGGGTTTCTTTTTTACTTTTTTATTTTTTAGAGGTAGGGGAAACGGATCTGTTTGAGAATCCGGTGAGAACTATGAACTCTTTATTCGCGAAATTACTTACAGATACTGGGTGCGTTTCCTGGGCTATAATAGGTCACCACAAACTGGAGGCTTAAAACAGCAGAAATTTATTCTCTCCCAGTTTTGAAGCCCATGAGTCTGAGATGGAGATTTCTGAGAGCCGCATTCCCTCTGGAGGTTCTAAGGGAGGATCCTTCCTGCCTCTCCCAGCTCCTGGGGGCTCCAGGTGTCCCTGGGCTTGTGGCCGCATCACTCCAGTCTCTGCCTCCGTCTCCATGTGGCCTTCTCCTCTGTGTCTCCTCTTCTGTCTCTTACAAGGGCACCTGTCATTAGATTTAGGGGACACCCTACTCCAGGATGATCTCACCTCAAGGTCCTTCACCTAATTACATCTGCAGAGAGCCTATTTCCAAATCCGGTCTCATTCCAGGTCCTGGGCTTTAGGATGTGGACAGATGTTTCTGGGGGCCACTGTTCCATTCAGTATAATTATATTCAGTTCCTTCCAGGGTTCTAGGGGAGGCTCCTTCCTACCTCTCCCAGCTCCTGGGGGCTCCAGGCATCCCTGGGCTTGTGGCCCCATCACTCCAGTCTCTGCCTCCGTCTCCACGTGGCCTCCTCCTCTGTGTCTGCATCTCCTCCTCTGTCTCCGAGAAGGACACCTGTCATTGGATTTAGAACCCTTCCTTCTCCAGTATGACCTCATCCTAACTAACTGAATCTATAATGATCCTAACTAACTGAATCTATAATGATCCTTTTTTTTTTTTTTTTTTTTTTTTTTGAGATAGTCTCGCTCTGTCACCCAGGCTGGAGGGCAGTGGTTCAATCTCGGCTCACCGCAACCTCCGCCTCCCCGGTTCAAGCGATTCTCCTGCCTCAGCCTCACTAATAGCTGGGATTACAAGCGCTGGCCACCATGCCTGTATTTTTAGTAGAGACGGGGTTTTAGCATATTGGCCAGGCTGGTCTCGAACTCCTGACTTCAGGTGATCCACCCGCCTCGGCCTTCTAAAGGATCTTATTTTTAAATACAGTTCCATTCTGAGTTTCTGGGGAGTTGGGATTTTAACATATATTTTTGTGGGGGACTTAATTTAGCCCGTAACAGACACACAGGACATTTTCCGCAGAATTTTAGAGAGTTCCTTCCTTCACAAACCTACAGGTTCTCGGAGCTCTGGTGGAAGCTTCTCCTATAAAAGTAATGAGGACGGGTGAACCCCGAGACACCATAAGGTATTAAGGGGAGGAGGGGTACAGGCTAGAGAAAGGGGATGAGGTCAGCCTGTCACAATCAGCTCAGAGAGGAGGGACGTCGCTTCCGTTATTTCTTCTTCTCAGTGAAACCCAGTTCCCCGAAGCACGTGAGATTTTCGTGGCATCAGGATGCAGTGACGGTGACGTGTTCTGACCTGTCCTACGGGGATCTCCTCTATGAGGTTCAGTACCGGAGCCCCTTCGACACCGAGTGGCAGGTGAGCCGGGCGGCCGCGACTCAGGGCGATGGTGGCTGAGCGTCCCCCAGGTGCGGGCTGTGGGATTCGCTGTTTCATCAGACCTCGCTCCCCTCTGTCTACACCTTCCTGAATTCCACTCTGCTGTATCTTCCTGAGAGAGCTCTAGTCCAGCTTGGCTTTTTCATGTTTCTCTCTGTGTCTCTGAGGGGTCTCCAGAGAAAGAGAACCAATAATATGTCTGTCTGTCTGTCTATCAATCTATTTATCTATCTATCTATCAATCTATCTATATCATTCTATTTTATCTCTACCTCTATCTATGTATCTATATCATTCTATTTCCCTCTCTTTCAATCTATCATCTATCTATCTCATTCTATTTTATCTCTATCCCTGTCTTTCAATCTATCTCATTCTATTTTATCTCTATCTCTGTCTTTCAATCTATCATCTATTTTATCTATTAACTCTCTTTGTTCTATCTATCTCTCTATGGCTCTATCCATATCTATTTTATCTACCAACTCTCTTTTATCTATCTATGTATGGTCAATCTTCTATATATATCATCCCTATCTCTATGTAGTTCAACTATCTATCATCTCTATCTAACTACCTACCCATTATCTCTATTCTACCATCTACTATCTTATCTATGTATTTATCTATCTATGTATGTATCTATACATCTATCATCTATCCGTCTCTATCTATCTAAGTATCATCTATCTATCTACTCTGTATCATCTGTCTGTCTGTCTCTCTATCTAATGTATCATCTATTTATCTCTCTATCATCTGTCTATGTATCATCTATCTCTCTATCATTGCTCTATCATCTATGTATCATCTATCTCTCTCTCATCACTCTATCATCTATGTATCATCTATCTCTCTCTCATCGCTCTATCATCTATGTATCATCTATCTATCTCTCTATCATCTGTCTATGTATCATCTATCAACTCTGTCATCTCTCTGTTTTATCTATGTATCTATCATTTCTTTATCTGTCTACCTCTAGTCCTATCTCTACCTGTATCTCTACACACCTGTCTCTCTACACACACACACACACAGACACACAAACACAGGCACACAGGCACACACAGACATGCACAGACACACACAGACACACACAGGCACACACACACAGTCATGTGCTGCCTAACGACCTGTTGGTCATCAGCAGACTGCATGTACCACGGTAGTCTCCTATGATTATCACACAGCTGTCCTATGCAGCTGTCCCAATTATTTTCTTCTATACCATATTTTTCCTGTACCTTCTCTATGTTTAGATACACAAATACTTACCCTTGCATTAGGTTTGTCTGCAGTATTCAGTACAGTAACATGCTGTATGGGTGTGTAGCTGAAGAGCAATTTACTATACAGCCTAGATGTGCAGCAGGCTAGACCAGCTAGGTGTGTGTAAGTAAACTCTAGAATATTCTCATAATGAAGAAATCACCTCACAATGCATTTCCCAGAACATGTCCCCATCGTTAAGCAATGCATGACTGTATATCTACCTATATGTGTGTGTACACACACACATATACACACACATATATGTACGTACCTTGTGTACACAGCTTATATATACATATATACACATGCATATACACACATATAGATACACAGCTTATATACACACATATATACATACCTTATCTATGCATATTTATACACACGTATATACACATCTTATATACACACACATATACACACACACACAGCTTATATACACATATATATACCCACACATATATACATACCTTATATATGCATATTTATACACACGTATATACACATCTTATATACACACATATATACACACACACAGCTTATATACACATATATATACCCACACATATATACACAGCTTATATACACGTATATATATGTATATATGCACCTTATATACACAGCTTATATACACATATTTATACACACGTATACACACACCTTATATAAACACATATACACACATATACACAGCTTATATACACATATACACACACATATATACATACCTTATATACACATATTTATACACATGTACATACACATCTTATATACACACATATATATACACACATATGTGCACAGCTTATATACACGTATATATACACATATATATGCACCTTATATACACAGCTTATATACACATATTTATACACACGTATACACACACCGTATATACACACACATACACACATATACACAGCTTATATACACAGCTTATATACAGGTATATATACACACATGTATATACACACATGTATAGATACACAAACTTTATATATATACACACACAGCTTATATACAATACATATACACATATATACACACCTTATATACACACATATATACACACACATATATACAGAGCTTATATACACAGCTTATATACACATATATATACACACGTATATACACACCTAATATACACAGCTTATATATACACATATATACACACCTTACATACACAGCTTATATATACACATATATACACACACATATAGATACATAGCTTATATATACACATATATACACATCTTATATACATAGCTTCTATACACACAGATATACACACACCTTATACACACAACTTATATATACACAATTATATATACACACCTTATATATACAGCTTATATATACACACATATATAAATATACATATAGAGATATCTTATTGGTACATATATCTACAAACATATATAAACTATATATGTATAAACTGATACATAGAATAGAACATTCATCTGTATCTTTATATCCATTTATATCTGTAAAGATATGTAGATACAGGCTGGATGCAGTGGCTCACACCTTTAATCCCAGCACTTTGGGAGGCCGAGGAGGGTGGATCACCTGAGGTCAGGAGTTCAAGACCAGCCTGGCCAACGTGGTGAAACCTCATCTCTACTAGAAATACAAAAATTAGCCAAGCATGGTGGTGCCTGTAATCCGAGCTACTCGGGAGGCTGAGGCACAAGAATTGCTTGAACCCGACAGGCAGAGGTTGCAGTGAGCCGAGACCGCACCACTGCACTCCAGCCTGGGCAACAGAGCAAGACTCTGTCTCAGTAAATAAATAAATAATATATTAAAATAATAATAAAGTAAATACAGGCCAGGCACAGTGGCTCATGCCTGTAATCCCAGTACTGTTGGAGGCCAAGGCAGGAGGATCGCTTGAGCCCAGGAGTTGTTGACCAGCTTGGGCAACAGAGTGAGACCCCATCTCTTTTTCTTTTTTTAGACACAGTCCCGCTCTGTCACCCAGGCTGGAGTGCAGTGGTGCGATCTCTGCTTGCTACAACCTTCGCCTCCCAGGTTCAAGCGATTCTCCTGCCTCAGCCTCCCAAGTAGCTGGGATTACAGGCACCCGCCACCACGCCTGGCTAATTTTTGTATTATCAGTAGAGACGGGGTTTCTCCATGTTGGCCAGGCTGGTCTCGAACTTGCGACCTCAGGTGATCCACCCGCCTCAGCCTCCCAAAGCGTTGGGTTTACAGGAGTGAGCCACTGTGTCCGGCCTCGCGGCTCCATTCTTGAAGTCAGCGAGACTGTGAACCCTCCGGAAGGAAAACTCTGGACAGACAGGTTACATCACTAATCATTGTGTGTGTGTGTGTGTGTGTGTGTGTGTGTGTGTGTGTGTGTGTGTATGTTTCTCCAGTCCAAACAGGAAAATACCTGCAACGTCACCATAGAAGGCTTGGATGCCGAGAAGTGTTACTCTTTCTGGGTCAGGGTGAAGGCTATGGAGGATGTATATGGGCCAGACACATACCCAAGCGACTGGTCAGAGGTGACATGCTGGCAGAGAGGCGAGATTCGGGGTAATGCTTGTTACGCGGCAGTGTCCCATAGCCTTGTCACCAGGCTGGAGTAGGCATAGCCACTGCCTTCCCGGGAGGTGGGAGGGAGGGTGTCCTGCCTTCGAGGTGGGAGGGAGGGTGTCCTGCCTTCCTGGGAGGTGGGAGGGAGGGTGTCCTGCCTTCGAGGTGGGAGGGAGGGTGTCCTATCTTCCCGGGAGGTGGGAGGGAGGCTGTCCTGCCTTCGAGGTGGGAGGGAGGGTGTCCTGCCTTCCTGGGAGGTGGGAGGGAGGGTGTCCTGCCTTCCTGGGAGGTGGGAGGGAGGGTGTCCTGCCTTCCTGGGAGGTGGGAGGGAGGGTGTCCTGCCTTCGAGGTGGGAGGGAGGGTGTCCTGCCTTCCTGGGAGGTGGGAGGGAGGGTGTCCTGCCTTCGAGGTGGGAGGGAGGGTGTCCTGCCTTCCCAGGAGGGTGTGTCTGAGCAAGCTCAGCCTTCTGTCATCCTCCAGGGCCCCATCTGAAAGTAATTCCTCTCCTTGTTTCATTCTCGGGCTGCTTTCACTTGGGAGAGTTTTCTTTCTTTTGTTTTTTTGAGAAACATTCTCATGGTGCCCAGGCTGGAGTGCAGTGGCGCGATCTCGGCTCCCTGCAACATCTGTCTCCCACGTTCAATCGATTCTCCCGCCTCAGCCTCCCGAGTGCCTGGGATTACAGTGTACACGCCACCACACCTGATTAAATCTTTTTATTTTTTATTTTTTTATTTTTATTTTTTTTTAGAGGGAGTCTCAGTCTGTGGTCCAGGCTGGAGTTCAGTGGCACGGTCTTGGCTCACTGCAACCTCCGCCTCCCGAGTTCAAGTGATTCTCCTGCCTCAGCCTCCCAAGTAGCTGGGACTACAGGCACGCACCACCAAGCCCGCCTAATGTTTGTATTTTTAGTAGGGATGGCGTTTCCCCATATTGGCCAGGCTGGTCTCGAACTCCTGACCTTGTGATCCGCCCGCCTCGGCCTCCCAAAGTGCTGGGATTAAAGGCGTGAGCCACCGCGCCCGGCCTTTGACGTATGTTTTCAGGGGGCATGATTTAAGGAGCACAGCCACCAACACACGAAAGCAAGCTCTCATATGCTGTAAACACCTCCAGCAACCAGAAGCCTCCAAAGGCTACATGTTGGACCTGCCCTTACTTCCTCGGGGTGGCTGTGGGATGTGTTGTTGTCCAGAGACACGGTGTCTCTTTCCAGGATATTTTCCATAGGAATGAAAATTTGCTGACACTAACATTCATTAAAAAAAAAAAATAGGTCCATCTCTACTAAAAATACAAAAATTAGCCCGGTGTGGTGGCGGATGCCTGTCATCCCAGCTGCTCGGGAGGCTGAGACAGGAGAATCGCTTGAGTCCGGGAGACGGAGGTTGCAGTGAGCTGAGATGGAGCCACTGCACTCCAGCCTGGGCAACAGAGTGAGGTTCTGTCTCAAAAAAAAAAAAAAAAAGTAAAAGATTTGCTGACACGAATATTTACAAAAAACAAAAACAAAACAAAAAACAAACAACGAGAACCAAGAAAAAAAAACGAACACCAAAAAATGAGGGAGACTGGTTAGGGATGAGATGTAACATCACGTTGAAAACGTACAGCCGCACGTCATGTTGAAAACTGACAGCCGCCTTTTCATTTTGTTTCAGATGCCTGTGCAGAGACACCAACGCCTCCCAAACCAAAGCTGTCCAAATTTATTTTAATTTCCAGCCTGGCCATCCTTCTGATGGTGTCTCTCCTCCTTCTGTCTTTATGGAAATTATGGAGGTAAGGATGACTCCTGCCGCCCGTGGGTGGAGGGACCTGCTTGCACAATGTCTGTGAAGTACGAAAAAAGATTAATCGCCTGATAGAGTCATTTCCCTGGGCCTCAGTTTCCATACAATGCCCACTCTTCTGATGGTGGATTATAAGAAATTTCGGAGGGGCTGGGCATGGTGGCTCACACCTGTCATCCCAGCACTTGGGGAGACCAAGGCAGGCAGATCACGAGGTCACGAGTTCGAGACCAGCCTGGCCAATATGGTGAAATCCCATCTCTACTAAGAATACAAAAATTAGGGTCAGGCACGGTGGTTCACGCCTGTAATCCCAGTATTTTGTGATGCCAAGGCAGGTGAATCATAAGGTCAAGAGATCGAGACCATCCTGGCCAACATGGTGAAACCCCGTCTCTAATAAAAATACAAAAAGTAGCCGGGTGTGGTGGCGTGCACCTGTAATCCCAGCTACTCGGGAGGCTGAGGCAGGAGAATTGCTTGAACCTGGGAGTCGGAGCTTGCTGTGAGCGGAGATTGCGCCACTGCACTCCAGCCTGGGCGACAGAGCGAGACTCTGTCTCAAAAAAAAAAAAAAAAAATTAGCCCTGCCGGGTGTGGTGGCTCATGTCTGTAATCCCAGCACTTTAGGAGGCCGAGGCAGGTGGATCACCTGAGGTCAGGAGTTCGAGACCAGCCTGGCCAACATGAAGAAACCCCACCTCTACTAAAAATATAAAAATTAGCCGGGTGTATAATTATATATATTTATATTTATATATAATTATATATATAAATATATAAAAATATATATAATATATATTTAATTTATATATAAAATATATATAAATATATTTAATGTAATCTATATAAAAATATATAAATACATATTTAATTTAATCTATATAAAATATATATTTAATTTAATCTATATAAAAATATATAAATATATAATTTAATATATAATATATATAATTTAATATATAATATATAAATATATATAAAATTATATAAATATATATATAATATAAAAATATATATATATTTATAAAAATATAAAAATTAGCACCTGTAGTCCCAGCTGCTCCGGAGGCTGAGGCAGGAGAACCGCTTGAACCCAGGAGGCAGAGGTTGCCATGAGCTGAGATTGCACCATTATACTCCAGCCTGGGCGACAAGGGTGAAACTCTGTCTGAAAAAAAGGAAAAAATAAAATTAGCTGGGCGTAGTAGCGTGCACTTGTAGTCCCAGCTATTTGGGAGGCTGAGGTGGAAGGACGGCTTGAGCCTGGGAGTTTAAGGCTGCAGTGAGCTGTGATTGCACCACTGCACTCCACCCTGGGTGACAGAGCACGATCCTGTCTCTCAAAAAGAAAGCTAAAGAAGTCCAGGTAAGCTGTGCAACTTGGTGAGGGCAGCAAGAAGAATGGTCCAAGATCTAATATTGTCTTTGCTCCATCTCTCACTGAATTTTTGGCTTTGAATCCAGTGAGAGTTCTAGACGAAACAATATTCTTTCAGACCACAGAGAACTTTTCAAAAATGTGAGGTTGAGTCATTTTCTTATTTATTGATTTATTTATTTCTGTATTTATTTTGAGACGGAATCTCACTCTGTCACCCAGGCTGGAGTGCAGTGGCGTGATCTCGGCTCACTGCAACCTCTGCCTCCCGAGTTCAAGCAATTCTCCTGCCTCAGCCTCCCCAGTAGGTGGGAGGTTGAGTCATTTTCTTATATATTTATTTATGTATTTATTTTGAGACTGAGTCTCACTCTGTCACCCAGGCTGGAGTACAGTGGCATGATCTCGGCTCACTGCCACCTCCGCCTCCCAGATTCAAGCAATTCTCCTGCCTCAGCCTCCCGAGTAGCTGGGACTACAGGTGCGCGCCACCACACCTGGCTAATTTTTGTATTTTTAGTAGAGACGGGGTTTCACCGTGTTGGCCAGGCTGGTCTCGAACTCCTGACCTCAGGAGATCCGTCCTCCTCGGCCTCCCAAAGTGCTGGGATGACAGGCGTGAGCCACCACTCCTGGCCAACCTTCTCTTCTTATAAAGACCTCAGCCCTGTTGAAACAGAACCCTCCCTAGTGACCTCATTTTACTATCATCACCTTTTTAGAGACTCCCCATCTCCAAATATAGTCTCGTTGTGAGGTCGGTGATTAGAACTTCAACATAGAAACTTTCAGGAATGAGGGTCCCATTTCAGCCCATCCTATCGACAAGGTGGAAATAATCACATATTTAATGCAAATCTGCTGTGTGCACAGGACGTGGCTCACTGTCCGTCACACCTTATCCTGGTGGGAACTTTTATTTTTTTAAGACTGAGTCTCACTCTGTCACCCAGGCTGGAGTGCAATGGTGTGATCTGGGCTCACTGCAAACTCCACCTCCCAGGCTCAAGCGATTCTCCTGCCTTAGCCTCCCAAGCAGCTGGGACTACAGGCATCTGCCACCACACCCGGCTAATTTTTGTATATTTTGTTTTTTTTGAGACGGAGTCTAGCTCTGTTGCCCAGGCTGGAGAGCACTGGTGTGATCTTGGATCACTGCAGTCTCCGCCTCCCAGGTTCAAGTGATTCTCCTGCCTCAACATCCCAAGTAGCTGGGACTACACGCAGACGCCACCACACCCAGCTAATTTTTGTATTTTTTTTGAGATGGAGTCTCGGTCTGTTGCCCTGGCTGGAGAGCAGTGGCACAATCTCAGATCACTGCAACCTCTGCCCCCCAGGTTCAAGCGATTCTCCTGCCTCAGCATCCCAAGTAGCTGGGATTACAGGCAGACGCCACCATGCCCAGCTAATTTTTGTATTTTTTTGAGACGGAGTCTCGCTCTGTTGCCCCAGCTGGAGTGCAGTGGTGTGATCTCAGCTCACTGCAACCTCTGCCTCCCAGGTTCAAGTGATTCTCCTGCCTCAGCCTCCCGAATAGCTGGGATTACAGGCATCCGCCACCACACCTGGCTAATTTTTGTATTTTTTTTTTTTTTTTTTTTTTGAGATGGAGTCTCGCTCTGTCGCCCAGGCTGGAGTGCAGTGGCGCAATCTCGGATCACTGAAACCTCCACCTCCCGGGTTCACGCCATTCTCCAGCCTCAGCCTCCCGAGTAGCTGGGACTACAGGTGCCCACCACCACGCCCGGCTAATTTTTTTTTGTATTTTTATTAGAGAGGGGATTTCACCATGTTGGCCAGGCTGGTCTCAAACTCCTGACCTCAGGTGATCCATCCGCCTCAGCCTCCCAAAGTGCTGGGATTACAGGCGTGAGCCACCACTCCCGGCCTCCTGATGGGAACTTTATGAGGACCCCAGAGGCAGGGTCCCTGGGGAGCGGGAGGAGACACATGTGTCCATGTGGAAGGCCCCGCTCTGCCATTCTTGGTCTGTCCCTGGGGTCCATGCCCTGTAGGTGCTTCTTGCCAACCCTTCCTGCGGGGCTGTGGCCGACCTGACCACGCTCTCCGTCTCTATTTCAGAGTGAAGAAGTTTCTCATTCCCAGCGTGCCAGACCCGAAATCCATCTTCCCCGGGCTCTTTGAGATACACCAAGGGAACTTCCAGGTATCCGCCCTCTCCTTGTGTCTCTTCTCCTCTCCACCAAGCAGGTGCCCCTCTGCCTGCATTCCTATCTCTCTGAGCGCGACCTTTTTAGAGAATGACATTAACAGCCGGGCGCAGTGGCTCACGCCTGTCATCCCAGCACTTTGGGAGGCCGAGGTGGGAGGCTCACTTCAGGTCAGGAGTTCGAGACCAGCCTGGCCAACATGTGAAACCCCATCTCTACTAAAAATACAAGGATTAGCCGGGCGTGCTGGCTCACTCCTGTAATCCCAGCGACTCTGGAGGCTGAGGCAGGAGAATCGCTTGAACTGTGGAGGCAGAGGTTGCAGTGAGCTGAGATTGTACCACTGCACTCCAGCCTGGGTGACAGAGTGAGACTCTGTCAAGAAAAAAAAAAAGAAGGAAGGAAGGGAAGGAAGGAGGGAGGAAAGGGGGAGAGAGGAAGGAAGGAAAGAAAGAAAGAAAGAAAGAAAGAAAGAAAGAAAGAAAGAAAGAAAGAAAGAAAGAAAAGAAAAGAAAAGAAAAAGAAAGAGAAAAAGAAAGAGAAAGAAAAAAGGAAAGAAAGAAAAAAAGAAAAGGAAGAAAGAAAGAGAGAGAAAGAAGGAAAGAAAGAAAGGAAGAAAGGAAGGAAGAAAGAAAAATGGTTTGATCTCGGCTCACTGCAACCTCCACCTCCCAGGGTCAAATGATTCTCCTGCCTCAGCCTCCTGAGTAGCTGGGATGACAGGCGCCCGCCACCACACCTGGCTAATTTTTTGTATTTTTAGTACAGATGGGTTTTTTCACCATGTTGTCCAGGCTGGTCTCAAACTCAAGTCCACCCACCTTGGCCTCCCGAAGTGCTGGGATGACAGGCGTGAGCCACCGCGCCTGGTTTTTGTGTCCTATGTGTTGATTTTAATGCTGGTCAGCTGTGTCAGAATTTCAAAGGGAAGAGGGTATAAAGAAGCATGTCCAACTCTGACTTCCCATTATGGCTCAAACTAGGTTTTTTTTGTTTTTTTTTTTTTTTTGAGACGGAGTCTCGCTCTGTCGCCCAGGCTGGAGTGCAGTGGCGGGATCTCGGCTCACTGCAAGCTCCACCTCCCGGGTTCACGCCATTCTCCTGCCTCAGCCTCCCAAGTAGCTGGGACTACAGGCGCCCGCCACCACACCCGGCTGATTTTTTGTATTTTTCGTAGAGATGGGGTTTCACCATGTTAGTCGGGATGGTCTCGATCTCCTCACCTCATGATCCACCCACCTTGGCCTCCCAAAGTGCTGGGATTACAGGTGTAAGCCACTGCGGCCGGCTGGCTCAAACTAGGTTTTAACTTAACTTTGGAATCACCTTGGCTGACTGGAGAGTCCGTCAGTCTGTTGGAGGGCTTAGAATTTTATTTTTGGGGGCCAGGCACGGTGGCTCGCACCTTTGGTCCCAGCACTTTGGGAGGTCGAGTCGGGTGGATCACCTGAGGTCGGGAGTTCGAGTCCAGCCTGACCAACATGGTGAAACCCCGTCTCTACTAAAAATACAAAATTAGCCGTGTGTGGTGGTGCACGTCTGTAATCCCAGCTACTCAGGAGGCTGAGGCAGGAGAATCGCTTGAACCGGGTAGGCGGAGGCTGCAGTCAGCCGAGATCACGCCGTTGCACTCCAGCCTGGGAAACAAGAGCGAAATGCCGTCTCAAAAAAAAAAAAATTTATTTTTGGTTTACAAGGGTATTGGTGTCAGAGCTCCTGGATGCCCCAAACAAGAGCTTTGTAGGGGCTTAGACCTCCCAGATGAGAGGGCTTTCCTGTTCCATTGGGAATGGTGTTGTTTCTTGGGAAGAAAGAAAGAGAGAAAGAGAGAAAGAAAGAAAGAGAAAGAAAGGAAAGAAAGAAAGAAGGAAAGAAAGAAAGAAAGAAAGAAAGAAAGAAAGAAAGAAAGAAAGAAAGAGAAAAGAAAAGAAAGAGAGAGAAAGAAAGAGAAAGATGTCCAGGGATGTCTGTGGTGGGTACCGTCTGTACGGATGCTCAGGACGCTGTGTGTGGTGTGTCCACTGTGTTTGAGCTAGAATGTTCTTCCTGGTAGGAGTGGATCACAGACACCCAGAACGTGGCCCACCTCCACAAGATGGCAGGTGCAGAGCAAGAAAGTGGCCCCGAGGAGCCCCTGGTAGTCCAGTTGGCCAAGACTGAAGCCGAGTCTCCCAGGATGCTGGACCCACAGACCGAGGAGAAAGAGGCCTCTGGGGGATCCCTCCAGCTTCCCCACCAGCCCCTCCAAGGCGGTGATGTGGTCACAATCGGGGGCTTCACCTTTGTGATGAATGACCGCTCCTACGTGGCGTTGTGATGGACACACCACTGTCAAAGTCAACGTCAGGATCCACGTTGACATTTAAAGACAGAGGGGACTGTCCCGGGGACTCCACACCACCATGGATGGGAAGTCTCCACGCCAATGATGGTAGGACTAGGAGACTCTGAAGACCCAGCCTCACCGCCTAATGCGGCCACTGCCCTGCTAACTTTCCCCCACATGAGTCTCTGTGTTCAAAGGCTTGATGGCAGATGGGAGCCAATTGCTCCAGGAGATTTACTCCCAGTTCCTTTTCGTGCCTGAACGTTGTCACATAAACCCCAAGGCAGCACGTCCAAAATGCTGTAAAACCATCTTCCCACTCTGTGAGTCCCCAGTTCCGTCCATGTACCATTCCCATAGCATTGGATTCTCGGAGGATTTTTTGTCTGTTTTGAGACAGAGTCTCACTCAGTTGCCCAGGCTGGAGTGCAGTGGCGCGATCTTGGCTCGCTGCAAGCTCTGCCTTCCGAGTTCAAGCGATTCTCCTGCCTCAGCCTCCTGAGTACCTGGGATTATAGCTGCCCGCCACCACGCTCGGCTAATTTTTGTATTTTTAGTAGAGATGGGGTTTCACCACGTTGTCCAGGGTGGTCTTGAACTCCTAACCTCAGGTGATCCACCCGCCTTGACCTCCCAAAGTGCTGGGTTTACAGGCGTGAGCCACTGTCCCCAGCATTTTTTTTTTTTTTTTGAGACGGAGTCTCACTCTGTTGCCCAGGCTGGAGTGCAGTGTCACGATCTCGGCTCACTGCAACCTCCACTTCCCATCAAATGATTCTCCTGCTTCAGCCTCCCGAGTAGCTGGGATTACAGGCGGCCGCCACCACACCCGGCTAATTTTTTTTTTTTAGTAGAGACGGGGTTTCGCCATGTTGGCCAGGCTGGTCTCGAACTCCTGACCTCAGGTGATCCTCCTGCCTTGGCCTCCCAAAGTGCTGCGATTACAGGTGTGAGCCACAACCACCAGCTCTCAGAGGAATTTTTTTTGTTTGTTTTTTGAGACAGAGTCTCGCTCTGTTGCCCAGGCTGGAGTGCAGTGGCAGAGTGTTGGCTCATTGCAACCTCTGCCTCCCGGGTTGAAGTGATTCTCCTGCCTCACCCTCCTGAGTAGCTGAGACTACAGGCGCCCGCCACCACGCCCGGCTAATTTTTGCATTTTTAGTGGAGACGGGGTTTCACCACGTTGACGAGGCTGGTCTCAAATTCCTGACCTCTGGTGATCCACCCGCCTCAGCCTCCCAAAGTGCTAGGATGACAGGCTTGAGACATCTCATCTGATTTTCAGAGGATTTTTTTTTTTAAACAAAGAGTAAAGCATTTCATCTTTTTTTTTTCTTTTTTTTGAGACGGAGTCTTGCTCTGTCGCCGAGGCTGGAGTGCAGTGGCATGATCTTGGCTCACCGCAAGCTCCGTCTCCCGGGTTCACGCCATTCTCCTGCCTCAGCCTCCCGAGTAGCTGGGACTACAGGCGCTCACCACCATGCCCGGCTAAGTTTTTGTATTTTTAGTAGAGATGGGGTTTCACCGTGTTAGCCAGGATGGTCTCGATCTCCTGACCTCGTGATCTGCCTGCCTTGGCCTCCCAAAGTGCTGGGATTACAGGCGTGAGCCACCGTGCCTGGCCAGCAACCTTATAGTATATATATACACACACACTATATATATATATATATACACACTATATATATATACACACTATATATATATACACACACTATATATATACACACACTATATATATACACACACTATATATACACACTATATATGGATGTATAGATATATATATAGTGTAAATATATATACACACTATATATATAGATGTATATATAGATGCTAATAGTGGATAGCAATCTTATAGTGTGTGTTATCAATGTTACAGAGTGCATATATATGTATACATATACAAATACATATACATATACATATGCAAATACATATACAAATACATATACATATACAAATACATATACAAATACATATACATATGCAAATACATATACAAATGCATATACATATACATATACAAATACATATATATACACATATACATATACAGTTTCTACTTACAAAGTGAGAACCTGCAGTGTTTGGTTTTCTGTTCCTTTGTTAATTCTCTTAGGATAATGCCCTCCAGCGGCATCCAGGTTGCTGCACAGAACCTTATTTCCTTCATTTTTATGGCTGTGTAGTATATTCCACAGCGTATAGCGTGGAAGGAAAACATCTTGGGCCCCTTCCAAATCAGGAAGCTAAAAGGAAAATTCAAGCTGGGAACTGCTACAGGCAAACCTGCCTCCCATTGTACTCAAAGTCACCCCTCTGCTCAGTGAGATAGACCCACATCTGATCTCCTCCTTCAAAAAAGGTTATCAGAAACTCAAAACAGTGCAACCATCTGTCTCCCACCTACCTGTTACCTGGAAACCTGCTCCTGGCTTTGTGCTGTCCCTGCCTTTCTGGGCGGAAACAAAGGTTCTTTTTTTTCTGTTTTCTTTTATCTTTTTTTCTGAGACAGAGTCTCACTCTGTCACCCAGGCTGGAATGCAGGGGCACGATCTTGGCTCACCGCAACCTCCGCCTCCCGGGTTCAAGCGATTCTCCTGCCTCAGACTCCCAAATAGGTGGGATAACAGGTGCCCGCCACCACACCTGGCTAATTTTTGTATTTTTAGTAGACACGGGGTTTTGCCATGTTGGCCAGGCTGGTCTCAAACTCCTGACCTCAGGTGATCCACCTGCCTCAGACTCCCAAAGTGCTGGGATGACAGGCGTAAGCCACCACGCCTGGCTAATTTTTGTATTTTTAGTAGAAACGGGGTTTCACCACGTCGGCCAGGGTAGTCTCGAACTCCTGACCTCGTGATCCACCTGCCTCGGACTCCCAAAGTGCTGGGATGACAGGTGTGAGCCGCTCAGCCCTTCCTGTATCTCTCTTTTTTTTTTTTGAGACGGAGTCTCACTGTGTCGCCCAGGCTGGAGTGCAGTAGCGTGATCTTGGCTCACTGCAAGCTCCGCCTCCCTAAAATGTATAAAACCAAGCTGTGGCCGGTCACAGTGGCTCACGCCCGTCATCCCAGCACTTTGGGAGGCCGAGGCGGGCGGATCACTTGAGTTCAGGAGTTCAAGACCAGCCTGGGCAACGTGATGAAACCCCGTCTCTACTAAAAATACAAAAATCAGCTGGGCGTGGTGGCGCGTGCCTGTAATCCCAGCTACTCGGGAGCAGGAGAATTGCTTGAACCAGGACCTGGGAGGCGGAGGTGGCAGAGAGCCGAGATGGTGCCACTGCACTCCAGCCTGGGCTACAGAGTGAGACTCCAAACCACCTCTACCCCTACAAAAAAAAACTCAAAACAAAAAAAACCAAGCTGTGCCCCGACCTGTCTCAGGTTTTCTAGGTTTATACATTGTTGCAAATGAAGCCGAGATTGTGCCACTGCATTCCAGCCTGGGCGACAGAGTGAGACTCCCCTAAAAAAAAAAAAAAAAAAAATTACACACAAAAAAAGAATTAACGCAGAAACAAATGATCGCTACTCAACAGTTGTCCAGCCACCAGAGTGCACTGAACAAAGGAGACAGAGTTATTTACAACCTGACACATCTAACCTACTGCTGCATCCACTTTCCATTGACTGGAATAGGACCTCACATTTCATACTTTACCCAATTGGCTATTAGTTTAAAACTTTTTTTTTTTTTTTTTCTGGGACGGAGTCTTGCTCTGTCACCCAGGCCGGAGTGCAGTGGTGCGATCTCGGCTCCCTGCAAACTCCGCCTCCCGGGTTCAAGCAATTCTCCTGCCTCAGCCTCCCGAGTAGCTGGGATTACAGGCACACACCGCCCCACTCAGCTAACTTTTTTTTTGTATATTTTGCATGTAAGTGTATATTTAAAAGTAAGTGTATATAATATACACTATGTATAAAAATAAGTGTATACAGGCGCAGTGGCTCACGCCTGTCATCCCAGCACGTTGGGAGGCCGCTGTGGGTGGATCTCCTGAGCTCATGAGTTCGAGACCAGCCTGGCCAACATGGTGAAACCCCGTCTCTATCAAAAATATAAAAATCAGCCAGGCGGTGGTGGCGAGCACCTGTAATCCCAGTTACTCAGGAGGCTGAGGCAGGAGAATCGCTTGAGCTCGGGAGGCAGAGGTCGCAGTGAGCAGAGATGTTGCCACTGAATTCCAATCTGGCGACAGAGCAAGACCCTGTCCCTGCTCCCCCCGACAAAAATAAAATAAAAATAAATCTCTATTCTACCCATGGCGGGAGCTTACGTAGGTGTTTCTCCAGGGCATCCGTCTTTTTTTTTAGGTGCATTTTTGCTCTTGTCGCCCAGGCTGGAGTGCAGTGGCACGATCTCGGGTCACTGCAAGCTCCGCCTCCCGGGTTCGAGCCATTCTCCTGCCTCAGCCTCCCAAGTAGCTGGGATGACAGGCACCCGCCACCATACCCGCCTAATGTTTAAAGATAAAAGTCAGAAAAGTGATTAAATGGGAACCCAGGGACTCAGGTTTAGGGTCACGATGACAGTGTTCACCCCACAGCAAGCCGATGACCACGTTGTCTTTTTTCCTCAGTGGGGTACTGGAAATTGAGTTTTAAGGCTGTCCGCAGTGGCTGACGTCTGTAATCCCAGCACTTTGGGAGGCCGAGGCGGGTGGATCACTTGAGGTCAGGAGTTCGAGACCAGCCTGACCAACATGGCGAAACCCTGTCTCTACTAAAAATACAAAAATTAACCGGGGGTGGTGGCAGGTGCCTGTTATCCCAGCTACTCGGGAGGCTGAGGCAGGAGAATTGCTTGAACCCGGGAGGCGGAGGTTGCAGTGAGCCGAGGTCTCCCAGCTACTCGGGAGGCTGAGGCAGGAGAATTGCTTGAACCCGGGAGGCGGAGGTTGCAGTGAGCCAAGGTCACACCATTGCACTCCAGCCTGGGCGACAAGGGCGAAACTCCGTGCCCCCCTCCATCCTGCCCCCCAAAAAACCCCCGGCAGAAACAGCCCCGCAGAGCATGTTCTAGAGAATTAGTCATGAGTCACAGATGCTATCTCTCCTTTGGGGAACATTGTGAATCAGAGGGAGGCCCCTGTCCCTCTCCTCTGAAATAATCATTACTTCTGATCAGTAGCAGACATGGCAGGTTCACAGCCGAAAGCCCTAGGTGAAAACCTGGGTGTTCCCGGCCCCGAGTGTGACTTAAAAAGGCAGATAACAAAGAACCGAGAAGCCAGGTGCAGTGGCTTACTCCTGTCATCCCAGTACTTTGGGAAGGCTGGGCTGGGAGGATCCCTTGAGCGCAGGAGTTCAAGACCAGCCTGGACAACACGGCAAGACCCCATCTCTACAAAAAATAATAATAAAAGAAAATTAGCTGGGTGTGGTGGCTAATTTTTGTGATACACTCAGTATTGTCTGAAGATTTTTGCAAAAAAAAAATGTATTTTCAAATGAGCAGATTCCATCTCATAAAAGAAACTACTGGCTGGGCGCAGTGGCTCGCGCCTGTCATCCCAGCACTTTGGGAGGCCGAGGCCGGTGGATCACGAGGTCAGGAGTTCAAGACCATCCTGGCTAACGGGGTGAAACCCCATCTCTACTAAAAATACAAAAATTAGCCAGGTGTGGCGGTACCCGCCTGTAATCCCAGCTATTCGGGAGGCTGAGGCAGGAGAATCGCTTGAACCAGGGATGCAGAGGTTGCAATGAGCCAAGATCGTGCCGCTGCACTCCAACCTGGGTGACAGAGCAAGACTCCATCTCAAAAAAAAAAAAAAAAAAAAAGATATCTTAGTGGTCAGGTGTGGTGGCTCACGCCTGTCATCCCAGCAGTTTGGGAGGTCGAGGCGGGCAGATCACTGGAGGTCAGGAGCTCCAGACCAGTCTGGCCAACACGGTGAAACCCCGTCTCTACTAAAAATACAAAAAAATAGCCGTGCATGGTGGCGGGCATCTGTAGTCCCAGCTACTCGGGAGGCTGAGGCAGGAGAATTGCTTGAACTTGGGGCAGAGGTCGCAGTGAGCCGAGATCACACCACTGCACTCTGGCCTGGGCGAGAGTGAGACTCCATCTCAAAAAAAAAAAAAAAAGATATCTTAGTGGTCAGGTGTGGTGGCTCACGCCTGTAATCCCAGCACTTTGGGAGGTCGAGGCGGGCGGATCACTTGAGGTCAGGAGCTCAAGACCAGCCTGGCCAACACGGTGAAAGCCCGTCTCTACTAAAAATACAAAAATTAGCCGGGTGTGGTGGCGGGTGCCTGTAATCCCAGCTACTCAGGAGGCTGAGGCAGGAGAATCGCTTGAACCTGGGATGTGGAGGTTGCAGTGAGCCGAGATCGTGCCACTGCACTCCAGCCTGGGTGACAGAGCCAGACTGTCTCAGAAAAAAAAAAAAAACCACCCCTATGGCAGAGATATAATCACTGGCATACACCTAAAAGTTGTGGAAAGTTCTGTGAATCACCATCCACATCATGGAGTATTTATAGATTTTTTAACTCACTGTGTCAAAGCAGTGGGTTATACAATGTCTCCTTCCCCAAATTCATGTTCATGCTGTCCTTAAGAATGAGAGTTTATTTGGAAATAGGGTCTTTGCAGGTGTTATCTTAAGGTAAAGATCTTGAGATGAGATCATCCTGGAGTTGGGTGGGTCCTAAGTGCAATGACAGGTGTCCTTCTAAGAGACAGAAGAGGAGACAGACACAGAGGAGAAGGCCACGTGGAGATGGCAGCAGAGACTGGAGTGAGGCGGCCACAAGCCCAGGGATGCCTGGAGCCCCCAGGAGCTGGGAGAGGCAGGAAGGATCCTCCCCTAGAGCCTCCAGAGGGAAGTGGATACACCTGTAGTGAGTTGAACTGTGGTCCTCCCTAAAGAGGTGTTCATGTCCTAATCCCCAGAACCTGTGAATGGGACCTTATTTGGAAAAGTGGTCTTTGGAGATACAGTTAAATGTAGGATATCGAGATAATCATTCTGAATTATCTGGGTGGACCCTAAATCTAATGACAAGCGTCCTTGTAAGAGACAGAAGAGGAGACAGACACAGAGGAGAAGGCCACGTGGAGACGGAGGCAGAGACTGGAGTGATGCGGCCACAAGCCCAGGGATGCCTGGAGCCCCCAGGAGCTGGGAGAGGCAGGAAGGATCCTCCCCTAGAGCCTCCAGAGGGAAGTGGATACACCTGTAGTGAGTTGAACTGTGGTCCTCCCTAAAGAGGTGTTCATGTCCTAATCCCCAGAACCTGTGAATGGGACCTTATTTGGAAAAGTGGTCTTTGGAGATACAGTTAAATGTAGGATATTGAGATAATCATTCTGAATTATCTGGGTGGACCCTAAATCTAATGACAAGCGTCCTTGTAAGAGACAGAAGAGGAGACACAGACACAGAGGAGAAGGCCACGTGGAGACGGAGGCAGAGACTGGAGTGATGCGGCCACAAGCCCAGGGATGCCTGGAGCCCCCAGGAGCTGGGAGAGGCAGGAAGCACCCTCCCCTAGAGCCTCCAGAGGGAACTGGGTACAACTGTAATGGATTGAATGGTGACCCCAAAACATACGTTTATGTCCTACCCCCCAGACCTATGAATGGGACTTTATATTTGGAAATAGGGTCTCCACATATGTAAGAAAGTTAAGGATCTTGACATGAGACCATCCTGGAGTAGGGTGTCTTCTAAATGCAATGACAGGTGTCTTTCTAAGAGACAGGAGACACAGACACAGAGGAGAAGGCCACGTGGAGAGGGAGGCAGAGACTGGAGTGATGCAGCCACAAGTCCAGGGACGCCTGGAGCCCTCAGGAGCTGGGAGAGGCAGGAAGGACCCTCCCCTAGAATCTTCAGAGGGAACACAGCCCTGTCCACGCATTGGTCTCAGACTCCTGCTCTCCAGGACTGGGAGACAATAAATGTGTGTTGTTTTAGCCCCTGGTTTGTGGTCATTTTTTTTTTTTTTTGAGACAGAGTCTTGCTCTGTTACCCAGGCTGGAGTGCAGTGGCAGGATCTCAGCTCACCGCAACTTCTGCCTCCCAAGTTCAAGTGATTCTCCTGCCTCAGCCTCCCAAGTAGCTGGGATTACTGGCGTCGGCCATCACGACCGGCTAAATGTTGTATTTTTAGTAGAGAGGAGGTTTCTCCATGTTGGTCTGGCTGGTGTCGAATTCCTGACCTCAGGTGATCCACCTACCTCGGACTCCCAAAGTACTGGGATTACAGGCGTGAGCCACTGTGCCTGGCCATTGTGGTCATTGTTTATGGCAGCCCTAGCACTGCTGCCATAAAAAATGGGGGAAGGTCATTTTTTACGTGGGGGAAGGTCAGCTGGGCTCTTTAGGGGCAGGGGACTCCACTTGCCCTTCTATGACCCTGCTGGAAGTGGGGCATTTGTCAATGACAACAGGGAGAGGTGGAGGCTTGAAGCTGAGTCTTGTAGGAGCCGTGGCCTCGGTTGGGGATGGCGTCCCAGGGTGGGATGCTTCTGTGACTATTTTATTTATTTTATTTTATTTTATTTCATTTCATTATATTTTATTTTATTTTATTTTATTTTATTTATTTTATTTTATTTTATTCTATCTTATTTTATTTTATTTTATTTTTATTTTATTTTATTTTATTATTTATTTTATTTTATTTTATTTTATTTTATTTTATTTTATTTTATTTTATTTTATTTTATTTTTATCTTATTTTATTTTATTGACAGTCGTGCTCTGTTGCCCAGGCTGGAGTGCAGTGGCGCAATCTCAGCTCACTGTAACCTCCGTCTCTCAGGTTCAAGCCATTCTCCTGCCTCAGCCTCCACAGTAGCTAGGATTACAGGCACCGGCCACTACGCCAGGCTGATTTATGTATTTTTAGTAGAAACGGGGTTTCGCCATGTTGGCCAGGCTGGTCTCAAATTCCTGACCTCAGATGATCTGCCTGCCTCGGCCTCCCAAAGTGCTGGGATTATAGGCGTGAGCCATCATGCCCAGCCTGTGACTATTGTTATACTTAAATATCTCTAACTCAGGAATTTGACATGAAACAGGTGCCCTGCGGAAGGTTACAAAGGCAGAATCCTGGAAGCATGAAGTAACAAGTTAAATGGGCCGGGTGCGGTGGCTCACGCCTGTAATTCCAGCACTTTGGGAGGCCGAGGTGGGTGGATCATCTGAGGTCAGGAGTTCGAGACCAGCCTGACCAACACGGTGAAACCCCCGTCTCTACCAAAAGTACAAAAATTAGCCGGGTGTGATGGTGGCACCTGTCATCCCAGCTACTCGGGAGGCTGAGGCAGGAGAATCGCTTGAACCAGGGAGGTGGAGGTTGCAGTGAGCCGAGATCGCACCGCTGCACACTCCAGCCTGGGCCACAGAGCAAGACTCCGTCTCAAAACAACAACAAGAATAAACAAACAAAAAACCAAGTTAAATGAAACCAGCAGCCTGACATTTCCTAAGAAAGCTTTGACCCTTGTTCTCTGAGCCCTCCCCGGCCCCCTGTTTCGAGACCGTGTGCTGCAGCCAGCAAAGAGGGAAGCCACACTGTTTCCTGAGGCTTCTGAGCAGTTGGACATGTGCTGATTCTCAAAAAAGAAGATAGGAAGCAGCACATGACGATTTCAGCTCACTGCAACCTCTGCCTCCCGGGTTCAAGCAATTGTCCTGCCTCAGCCTCCTGAGGAGCTGAGATTACAGGCAACCGCCACCACGTCTGACTTATTTTTGTAATTTTAGTAGAGACGGGGTTTCACCGTGTGAGCCAGGATGGTCTCGATCTCCTGACCTCGTGATCCGCCCGCCTCGGCCTCCCAAAGTGCTGGGATGACAGGCGTGAGCCACCCTGCCGGGCCACACCTGGATAATTTTGTATTGTTAGTAGAGATGGGGTTTCGCCATGTTGGCCAGGATGGTCTCGAACTCCTGACCTCGCGATCCACCCACCTTGGCCTCCCAAAGTGCTGGGATTACAGGTGTGAGCCACCGCGCCCGGCCTTTTTTTGTTTTTTTTTTTTTTTGTTTTCTTGAGACAGAGTCTGGCTTTGCTGCCCAGGCTGGAGTACAGTGGCTTGATTTCAGCTCACTGCAACCTCTGCCTCCTGGGTTCAAGCGATTTTCCTACCTCAGCCTCCTGAGTAGCTGAGATTACAGGCAACCGCCACCACGCCCAGCTAGTTTTTGTATTTTTAGAAGAGACGGGGTTTCACCATGTTGGACAGGCTGATCTCAAACTCCTGACCTCTGGTGATCCACCTGGCTTGACCTCCCAAAGTGCTGGGATTACAGGTGTGAGCCGCTGGGCCTGGCATATTTTATTTTTTTTCTTGAGACAGAGTCTCACTCTGTCGCCAGGCTGGAGTGCAGTGGCTCAATCTCGGCTCACTGCAACCTCTGCCTCCCAGGTTCAAGCGATGCTCCTGCCTCACTCTCCTGAGTAGCTGGGATTACAGGCATGCACCACCACACCTGGCTAATTTTTGTATTTTTAGTAGAGACGGGGTTTCACCATGTTGCCCGGGCTGGTCTCCAACTCGTGACCTCAGGTGATCCACCTACCTCGGCCTGGCCACTGTTTTCTTTGTTGTTTAAATGGAGATGAAATTTGCATCAGGGAAATGCAGATTAAAATCACACTGAGACATCATCTTGCCCCAGGCAGAATGACCATTATTAAAAAGTTAAAAAAAAATATTGGCATGAGTGTGGTGAAAAGAGAATGCTTTATATATTCCTGGGGGGAACGTAAATTAGTACAAGCTCTAGAAAAAACAGTATGGAGGCCGGGCACGGTGGCTCACCCCTGTCATCCCAGCACGTTGGGAGGCCGAGGTGGGCGGATCACCTGAGGTCAGGAGTTCGAGACCAGCCTGACCAACATGTGGAAACCTCGTGTCTACTAAAAATACAAAATTATCCAGGTGTGGCCGGGCACGGTGGCTCACGCCTGTCATCCCAGCACTTTGGGAGGCCGAGGCGGGCGGATCACGAGGTCAGGAGATCGAGACCCTCCTGGCCAACATGGTGAAACCCCGTCTCTACTAAAAATACAAAAATTAGCCGGGCGTGGTGGTGGGCGCTTGTAGTCCCAGCTACTCGGGAGGCTGAGGCAGGAGAATGGCTTGAACCTGGGAGGTGGAGGGTGCAGTGAGCTGAGAGTGCACCACTGCACTCCAGCCTGGGCAACAGAGTGAGACTCCATCTCAAAAAAAGAAAAAAGAAAAGAATAGACTGAAATAGAGATTTCTACGAAACACCGCTGGATGAAGGCCTCAACCCTGTTTTGGGACTTGGTGACCATTGCTTGTGTCCATCTTCAATTGAGTTCAAATTTAATGTTTAACTTTTCCTCCACACAGCTGTGACAACCTTTTGACATTTTCTTCAACTGAAAAAAAAAATCTCATAAAATGAGTATTTAGGGGCTAGAGACGGTGCCCCCATGCGCTTGCCAAAAACTCCATGAATTTAAGATGAAAAAAAAAATCGCATAAAATGAGTATTTGGAGGCTAGAGACGGTGCCCCCATGCGCTTGCCAAAAACTCCATGAATTTAAGATGAAAAAAAAAATCGCATAAAATGAGTATTTGGAGGCTAGAGACGGTGCCCCCATGCGCTTGCCAAAAACTCCATGAATTTAAGACGTGCTGAGCTCTGTGGGTTGAGAGATTCCCTCCAAGGCTGAAGTTAAAATCGCTTTTTACCAAGTTCTTAGAGGCAAAGTCCACTTAGACACACATACTCACGCATTCATGTTATTAAAAAAAAAATCGTGGCTCCTGCCATTGCAAAGAACAGTTAAATTTTACAAGCGAGCAAGCAATTTTCTATTTTCTTCTTGGCCGAGCCTTATTTCTGGACCCTCTGTGGATCTTGCCTGGGCTGCTGAAGTCACGCACGCTTTGCAGAAAGAAAGTTACGCCTCCTCCTTGCCCTGGCTCCGTGCCTGGCTTTTGCAACTGGGTGGTCGCGACCTGTAATGCTGGAAACACCAGCTTCAAAAAGAAAAAAACAAAAAAACCCCTTAGTTGCACAGGGGACGTTGAGAACCTTTTAATTTCTGCATCGTTAGCGTGTATGCGTTTGCATCCGAAAGCCCTTGGAGGGAAAGGGTCGTAAACGTGGCTAGGAAGATTGTGTTTTTCCTACAGCAAAGGTATTAGTGCATATGTCATTTCATGCTCACACACGTCTTAGGAATTCTGCGGCAATTACACACGTCTCTGGATTTCCTCAAACATAAAACGTGGAGGGTGTTGACGGATGAGCTGCCTCGGTGGCCTTCAGCTATTTTTCTGTGATATAATAATAATAATAAATAATATTTTAAAATAGTATAATAATATATAATTATATATAATAATATAATATAATTATATAAAATAATATAATATAATTATAATATATAATTATATATAATAATATAATATAATTATAATATATAATTATATATTAATAATATAATATAATTATAATATATAATTATATATTAATAATATAATATAATTATAATATATAATTATATATTAATAATATAATATAATTATAATATATAATTATATATTAATAATATAATATAATTATATAATATATAGTATATATAATATAATATAATTATAATTATATACAATAATATAATATAATTATAATTATATACAATAATATAATATAATTATATCATATACAATAATATAATATAATTATATTTTATACAATAATATAATATAATTATATTTTATACAATAATATAATATAATTATATTATATACAATAATATAATATAATTATAATATACAATATATAATTATATACAATAATATGATATAATTATACTATATAATTATATACAATAATATAATATAATTATACTATATAATTATATGCAATAATATGATATAATTATACTATATAATTATATGCAATAATATAATATAATTATACTATATAATTATATGCAATAATATAATATAATTATACTATATAATTCTGTACAATAATATAATATAATTATAATATGTAATATATGATTATAATAATATAATATAATTATAATATATAATATATAATATAAATATAATATAATTATAATATGTAACATATTATATATAATAATAATGTAATATAATTATAATATATAATATATAATAATACATATTATAATAATATAATATAATTATGATACATAATATATAATAATACATATTATAATAATATAATATAATTATAATATATATAACCTATAATAAAATATAATAATATAATTATAATATATTATAGAATAATATATTATCATATAGATTATATAGAATAATATATTATTATATAGATTATATAGAATAATATATAATATTATTATATATTATATTATATAGAATATATAATAATATAATATAATTATAATAATATATAATAATATATATAATAATATAATAATAATAATTTTTTTTTGAGACAGAGTCTCGCTCTGTCACCCAGGCTGGAGTGCAGTGGCACAATCTTGGCTCACTGCAACCTCTGCCTCCCGGGTTCCAGTGATTCTCCTGCCTCGGCCTCCTGAGTAGCTGGGATTACAGCCTGCCACGCCACCCGGCTAATTTTTGTATTTTTAGTAGAGACGGGGTTTTACCATGTTTTCCAGGCTGGTGTCGAACTCCTGACCTCAGGTGATCTGCCCACCTCGGCCTCCCAGAGTGCTGGGATGACAGGTGTGAGCCACTGCACCCAGCCGATTATTATTATTATTTATTTTGAGATGGTGACTTACTCTGTCAGCCAGGCTGGAGTGCAATGGCGCGATCTTGGCTCCCTGCAACCTCTGCCTCCCGGGTTCAAGCCATTCTCCTGCCTCAACCTCCCCAGTAGCTGGGATTACCGGCGTGCACCACCACGCCTGGCTAATTTTGTATTTTTAGTAGAGACGGGGTTTCATCGTGTTGGTCAGGCTGGTCTCAAACTCCTGACCTCGGGTGATCCACCTGCCTCGGCCTCCCAGAGTGCTGGGATGACAGGCGTGAGCCACCGCGCCCCGGCCTGTCCTCTGTTAATAAACGTGCTTTTGCTTTGCACTGTCTTGACTGGCCTTGAATTCTTTCTTGCACGAGATCCAGGAACCTCTCTTGGGGTCTGGACCGGGACCCCTCCTTTTCTGTCACAAAACCAGGCACAGGAGTCCCTGAAACTGTAGGAAGACCAGTCGCAGACAAAACTCCTCAGACACCGGATTAAAGAAGGAACAGGTTTTTTATTCGGCCGGGAGCGTCGGCAGACTCGTGTGGTAAGAGCCGAGCTCCCCGAAATAGAAATTCCTAGCACTTTTAAGGGCTTACAACTCTAAGGGGTCCATGTGAAACGGTCATGATAGATCAAGTAAGCGTGAGGAACGTGACTGGGGGCTACATACATCAGCTAACAGAACAGAAAGTTTCACAGTGCTTTCTCATACGATGTCTGCAATTTACAGATAGCACCAGTAGTTTTGGTCAGGGGTTAATATTATATTATTTTATAATAATAATATATTATTATTATTTTATAATAATAATATATTATTATTATTTTATAATATTTTATTGTTATTTTCTTATAATATTTTATTATTTTCTTATAATATTTTATTATTATTTTATTATATTTTATTATTTTAATAATAAAATATAGATATTATATTATAATAATATTATAATATATTATTATAATATTATTATAATATATTATAGTATATATTATTACAATATATTATTATAATATTATTATAATATATTATAATATAGATTATGATATATTATAATATATATTACGATATCTATTATAATAATATATAATAATATATTATAATATATATTATAATAATATGATTATAATATATATTATAATGATATTACATTATAATATATTATTAATAATATTATGATATTATATTATTAATAATATTATAATATTATAATATTATATTATAATATTATAATATTATAATATTATATTATAATATAATATATCAGTATATTATAATATAATATTATAATAATATAATATATCATTATATTATAATATAATATTATAATAATATAATATATCATTATATTATAATATAATATTATAATAATATAATATATCATTATATTATAATATATTATAATAATATAATATATTACATTATTTTATATATTATATTATTTTATATATTATTATATTATATTTATTATAATATAATATATTATAATATCTATAATATTTATATTTACATATTATAGGTAATATAGATATTATCATATAACAATAAAATATTGTAATAAAATATTATAAATAAAAAAAGTCATCTGGCTATTTATCTTACTTCTGTTTGTTTCCAACTTTTTGCTTTCTCCGTTTTGTCCTGTCTTACAAACTAGGGAGAAGGGGAAGTGGGGGAGAAGCTGGGAAGGACAACAGGAGAAGTGGTGGTCTCATTTCATAAAACCAGGCACATGAGTCCCTGGTCCCTGGTAAGACAAGGTGTGATGAGGAAGTGGCTTAATTGGGAAGAGGTTTTCTCATCTGTCCTTCTTCTCACTGGCTTTCGTTTCAGAAATCTTTGTGACAAAGCCCCATGTTTTGAGGCGGTGTGTTCTGCAGCCTTTGCAGGGCAAAGGAAAGCAGGTGAGAAGAAGGAGAGATGAGGAAACCTCTTCCCGATTAAGGTGCTTTGATTCCAAGGAAGTTCCCGCTACGGAACCTGCTGCTTGTTCCAGGTATATTCCTTTTTTTTTTGTAGTCAGCTATTTAATGAGGTTCTTAAGACATTTAGAACACCAATTTGTGAGGATAGATTCCATTCGTCAGGACAAACACAGATCCTAGGTAGCCCTGGAGCTGAGGAATAGCTTTGATTTTTGGTGAAATCTGTGCGTCCACAGCTTTCTAATCAATCTCACGCTGCTACATAATCTCATATTTCTCTTTTTCTGTGTCGACGATGGCACCTTCCTGGTGTCTGGGCTTCTGCAGCTGCTGCTTCTTGAAGTAAGCATCAGTAAGATGTTTTGGGATTTTTACATTGCTGATACCGATTTTGGTTGAGGTGGCAATGACAAATTTCTGGTGCGTTCTTCGTGGAGGGACTCGATTGAGGACCAGAGGTCCAGTCACGAGTAACAAGCCACTAGCCAGCTGCTTCAGGAAAACCATCACTCTCCTGGTGTCTGGGCTTCCACAGCTTCTTCTTCTTCAAGTCAGCATCACTAAGATGTTTTGAGATTTTTACATTGCTGATACCGATTTTGGTTGAGGTGGCAATGACAAATTTCTGGTGCGTTCTTCGTGGAGGGACTCGATTGAGGACCAGAGGTCCAGTTACGAGTAACAAGCCACTAGCCAGCTGCTTCAGGAAAACCATCACTCTCCTGGTGTCTGGGCTTCCACAGCTTCTTCTTCTTCAAGTCAGCATCACTAAGATGTTTTGAGATTTTTACATTGCTGATACCGATTTTGGTTGAGGTGGCAATGACAAATTTCTGGTGCGTTCTTCGTGGAGGGACTCGATTGAGGACCAGAGGTCCAGTTACGAGTAACAAGCCACTAGCCAGCTGCTTCAGGAAAACCATCACTCTCCTGGTGTCTGGGCTTCCACAGCTTCTTCTTCTTCAAGTCAGCATCACTAAGATGTTTTGAGATTTTTACATTGCTGATACCGATTTTGGTTGAGGTGGCAATGACAAATTTCTGGTGCGTTCTTCGTGGAGGGACTCGATTGAGGACCAGAGGTCCAGTTACGAGTAACAAGCCACTAGCCAGCTGCTTCAGGAAAACCATCACTCTCCTGGTGTCTGGGCTTCCACAGCTTCTTCTTCTTCAAGTAAGCATCACTAAGATGTTTTGAGATTTTTACATTGCTGATACCGATTTTGGTTGAGGTGGCAATGACAAATTTCTGGTGCGTTCTTCGTGGAGGGACTCGATTGAGGACCAGAGGTCCAGTCACAAGTAACAAGCCACTAGCCAGCTGCTTCAGGAAAACCATCACTCTCCTGGTGTCTGGGCTTCCACAGCTTCTTCTTCTTCAAGTCAGCATCACTAAGATGTTTTGAGATTTTTACGTTGCTGATACCGATTTTGGTTGAGGTGGCAATGACAAATTTCTGGTGCGTTCTTCGTGGAGGGACTCGATTGAGGACCAGAGGTCCAGTCACAAGTAACAAGCCACTAGCCAGCTGCTTCAGGAAAACCATCACTCTTGCCCATGTGGCCTCCAGTGAGGAGGATCCGAATGGTCCCGGGCATAATGCTGGCTCGCCGTTTTCTCACGTGCTAACTGGTACATCTTCAGTAGGATTGTCGTACCCAGGCGAGTTAGTGAGAACGCCACACTTTGAGACGAATTAAGAGTCCTTTATTAAGCCGGCGGCCAAAGAGACGGCTAACGCTCAAAATTCTCTCGGCCACGCGGAAGGGGCTCGATTAACTTTTATACCTAGGTTTAGGAAGGGGAGGGGGACTCAAATGTAATAATTCTAGAGAAGTAAAAACATGCAAGAATGAAAAAAATCAAAAGGGTTACAGAGTGATAAACAACTTAAAAGACAAATGGTGACAAGAAGAGCAACGGTAGCAGGTGCAAGGTTCTAAATCTTTCATTATAATTAGATATACGGTCTATGCAGGACACAAACTGAAGGTTTTATGTTGTTATCTCTTGGAGGAAAATTCCTGGGGAACTTCATACATTGTGGGTGCCAGTACCTTATTAGTTAATTGGGCTCGTTTGAAATGCTGAGGATCTGTTTACCCAGGCCAACTCCTTAGGAAAGGGGGTTGGGTGAGGAGCCCTTAGAGTCTTGAAAATTAAGTGGTCAATTGGAGTTTGTCCGGCTTTCCCACCTAGAGAGAGTCTCATTTACATGAGAAGCAGGTCTAGGTGATTAAAGAGACAAGCAGAACAATATTCAAAGTAACAAGTTAAAGTAAAAACAAGGGTAGGCATTTCAGGATAATACCTAGGCATTTTGCGAAGTTTAACCACGCGGGTACCTCCGTCCTTGTCACCGCCAACTGGTTGTGTAACGGTCGCAAGAACCTTCTCCTTCTTTTTCTTTTCAACGTTGGATTTAGTGGCTGAGTACTTCCTCTTGTACACGGCCTTCCCGGAATACACGGGAGATATAGGGATTGCCTGCCAATTCCTCTGACAAGGACACGGTTGTGGCTGCAATGGGGCTTCCTCTTCTTGGGCCTTTTAGCCTTGAGGTGACGGTTTTTCACCTCGCCACCAGCATCAGCCTTCTTGGCTTCAGGTTTCTTCTCTTTAGTATCTGCCTTCTCAACTTTTTCACCTGCCATCGTGCAAGATGGGAAAGAGAGTTTCCAGGGATATTCTTAAGGAAGGAGACCAGTACTCCTCCTGCTGCCATCGTCCCCTCACCTTGCCTAGTTCACAAGACAGGAGGAGAGAAAAAGCAAGAAGTTGGAAAAAAAAACAAAAAAAAAACCCACAAAAGTAATGTAGCAGGACGAGCCTCAGACAAAACCTCTCAGACACCAAGCTGTAGAAGGAAGGGCTTTATTCAGCTGGGAGCATCGGGAAGCTACTGCCTTAAAATCCCAGCTCTCCAAATGCACAATTTCTGTCCCTTTTAAGGGCTCACAACACTAAAGATTTTACATGAAAGGGTCGTGATTGATTTGAGCGGGCAAGGGGTACGTGACAGGGGCTGCGTGCACCTGTGGTCAGAGAGAAACAGAACGGGGCAGGGAGTTTCGCAGTGTTCTTCTATACGACGTCTGGAATCTATGAATAACATCGGTTTCTAAGTTATGAGTTGAGTTTTAACTACTGGGTTTAGGGCCGGCAGCCCCAGGCCTGGTTTCGGGCCTGGCGCCGGGCTGCCTGTCTTTGATCTCACTTCCTTGCTGTTTTCTTAAAACAGGTAATGAGTATAAAACAACATAAAACAATATGAGAGGGTCTCTCTCTTCCCTCAGTGAAGGGGTGGCCTGCCCCTCCACACCTGTGGGTATTTCCAGTCGGGTGGGACGAGAGACTGAGAAAGAGAAATAAAACACAGAGACAAAGTATAGAGAAACAACAGTGGGCCCAGGGGACCAGCGCTCAGCATACCAAGGACCTGCACCGGCACCGGCCTCTGAGTTCCCTCACTTTTTATTGATTATTATTTTCATTATTTCAGCAAAAAGGAATGTAGTAGGAGAGCTGGGTGATAATAAGGAGAAGGTCAGCAACAAACATGTGAGCAAAAGAATCTATGTCGTAATTAGGTTCAAGGGAAGGTACTATGACTGGACGTGCACATAGGCCAGATTTATGTTTCTCTCCACCCAAATATCTCAGTGGAGTAAAGAATAACAAAGCAGCATTACTGCAAACATGTCTCACCTCCCACCATAGGGTGGTTTTTCTCCGATCTCAGAATTGAACAAATGTACAATCGGGTTTTATACCGAGACGTTCAGTTCCCAGGGGCAGGCAGGAGACAGTGGCTTTCCTCTATCTCAACTGCAAGAGGCTTTCCTCTTTTACCAATCCACCTCAGCACAGACCCTTTACGGGTGTCGGGCTGGGGGACGGTCGGGTCTTTCTCATCCCACGAGGCCATATTTCAGACTATCACATGGGGAGAAACAATACCCCGCTTGGACAATTGGACAATACCCGGCTTTCAAGGGCAGAGGTCCCTGCGGCTTTCCGCAGTGCATCGTGCCTCTGGTTTATTGAGACTAGAGAATGGCGATGAGTTTTACCAAGTATACCGCTCGTGAACATTTTGTTAACAAGGCACGTCCTGCACAGCCCTTGATTTCATAACCTCGATTTCATAAACCTTGATTTCCTACAACACATGTTTTTGTGAGCTCCAGGTTGGGTCAAAGTGGCTGGGGCAAACCTACACATTAACAACATCTCAGCAAAGCAATAGTTGAAAGTACAGGTCTTTTTCTAAATGGACTCTCTTATGTCTCTCCTTTCTCCATAGACACGGTCACAGTCTGATTTGTCTTTCTTTTCCCTACACCTCAGTAAGATAAGTAGCCAGACACCCTTGGCACCACCGCCCAGCCCTAGGAGTTAAAAAAAGTAAAAATAATAACATCAACCCCTGACCTAAACTACTTGTGTTATCTGTAAATTCCAGACACTGTATGAAAAAAACATTGTAGAACTTTTTGTGCTGTTGGCTGACGCGTGCAGCCCCCAGTCACATTCCCCACGCTTGCTCCATATATCACGACTCTTTCACGTGGACCCCTTAAAGCTGTAAGCCTTTGAAAAGGCCAAGAATTTCTTTCTCGGGGAGCTCGGCTCTTAAGACGTGAGTCTGCCGACGCTCCCGGCCGAATGAAAACCTGTTCCTTCTTTAATCTGGTGTCTGAGGAGTTTTGTCTGTACAGGCTCATCCTGCTACATTCTTAGCATGCTGGGCACACAGCAGGGGAGAGGAAAACTCTAGACCTGGGTTGGCTTCTGAACAAGCACATCTGTCTTGAGGCACGTGGGACCCTGTACTGTAAAATAATGCCAAGGCCGGGCGCGGTGGCTCACACCTGTCATCCCAGCACTTTGAGAGGAAGGGGCAGGTGGATCACCTGAGGCTGGGAGTTTGAGACCAGCCTGACCAACATAGAGAAACCCTGTCTCTACTAAAAATACAAAATTAGCCAGACGTGGTGGTGAGCGCCTGTAATCCCAGCTACTCGGGAGGCTGAGGCAGGAGAATTGCTTGAATCCGGGAGGCGGAGGTTGCAGTGAGCCCAGATTGCGCCATTGCACTCCAGCCTGGGCAACAAGAGCGAAACTCCGTCAAAAAAAAAAAAAAGAAAAAAAAGATTTCCCAAAGGAAGGAAGACAGTTCAGCAAATATTAAATAATAAAAGGATCAAATAAAAATGTTAAACAACCAGGGGGAGGGGGGAAGGATAGCATTAGGAGATATACCTAATGCTAAAGGACGAGTTAATAGGTGCAGCACACCAGCATGGCACATGTATACATATGTAACAAACCTGCACGTTGTGCACATGTACCCTAAAACTTAAAGTATAATAATAAAATTAAAAAAAATAAAAGCTGCACATACACTGAAAAAAAAAAAAGTTAAACAACCAAAATTAGAGCAGAAGCACCTAGCGAATTCTTTTATGCTGCCGTTCACCAGGAAAGCAAGAAATGCATTTGAAAGACAATTTCCACGAAAGCAAGAAATGCATTTGAAAGACAATTATCACGGAAGCAAGAAATGAATTTGAAAGATAATTTCCAAGAAAGCAAGAAATGCATTTGAAAGACAATTATCACGGAAGCAAGAAATGAATTTGAAAGATAATTTCCAAGAAAGCAAGAAATGCATTTGAAAGACAATTATCACGGAAGCAAGAAATAAATTTGAAAGCCAATTTCCACGGAAGCAAGAAATGCATTTGACAGACAATTATCACAGAAGCAAGAAATGCATCTGAAAGACAATTATCACGGAAGCAGGACATGAATTTGATAGACAATTTCCGCGGAAGCAAGAAATGCATTGGAAACACGATTTCCCTTCCCCCTTCCTCCTCCCTTCCCCCTCCCCCACTTCTCCTCCTCCCTTTCTCCTCCCCCTCCTCCTCCCTCCTCCTCCTCCCTCCTCCTTTTCTTCTCCACTTCTCTTCTCCTGCCCCTCCTCCTCCTACCTTCCTCGTCTCCCATCCTCTTCTCCCCCTCCACCTCCTCCTCCCTCCCCCTCCCTGTCCTCCTGCTCTTCTCCTCCTCTTCCCTTCCCCTCCTCCTCCTCCCTCGTCCTCACTTCCTCTTCCCTTCTCTCCCTCCTCCCACCTTCCTCTCCTCCTATCCTCTTCTCCTGATCCCCCTCCTCCTCCCTCCACCTCCTCCTTCTCTTTTTCTCCTCCTCTTCCCTTCCCCTCCTCCTCCATCTCTCCTTCCTCCTTCTCCCCTCCTCCTCTTCCTCTTTCTCCTCTTTGTTTTTCCCTCCCCCTACTCTTCCTCTCCCTCCTCCCCTCCCCATTCCCTTCTCTTTCTAGTACCATTCCCATTTACATTTTACAAACAGTTCCTCCAGTTCCACAGAAAAAACTATTGAAATGTTGATTTGAATTACATGAGACCTACAAGTGAATCTGAAGACTCCATCAGCCGCCTTAAAATATTGAGTCTCTTAATCGTTATGCACGTGTATTGCACTTTCTCTCCCTTTATACGATTTATTGTAAAGTTTGTTTTTAAGTTTCTATTGAGGCCGGGCGTGGTGGCTCACGCCTGTAATCCCAGCACTTTGGGAGGCCGAGGTGGGTGGATCACCTGAGGTCAGGAGTTCGAGACCAGCCTGGCCAACATGGCGAAACCCCATCTCTACTAAAAATACAAAAAGTAGCCGGGCGTGGTGGTGGGTGCCTGTAATCCCAGCGCTACTCGGGAGGCTGAGGCAGCAGAATCGCTTGAACCCAGGAAGGAGGTGGAGATTGCAGTGGACTGAATCATGCCGCTGCACTCCAGCCTGGGTGACAGAGCGAGACTCTGTCTCAAAAGGAAAGAAAGAAAGAAAGAGAGAGAGAGATGGAGGGAGGGAAAGAAAGAAAAGAAAGAAAGGAAAGAGAGGAAGGAAGAAAGGAAGGAAGGAAGGAAAAGAGAGAAAAAGAAGGAAGGAAGGAAAGAGAGAGACTGAGGGAGGGAAAGAGGAAAGAAAGAAAGGAAAGAAAGAAAGGAAGGAAGGAAAGGAAAGAGAGAAAAGAAAGAAAGGAAAGAAAGGAAAGAAAGAAAGGAAGGAAGAAAGGGAAAGAGAGAAAAGAAAGAAAAAAGAGAGAGATGGAGGGAGGGAGGGAAAGAGAAAAGAAAGAAAGGAAAGAAAGGAAGGAAGGAAGGGAAAGAGAAAAGAAAGAAAAGAAAGAAAGGAAGAAAGAAACAAAGAAAAGAAAAAGGAAGAAAGAAAGAAGAAAGAAAGAGAGAAGGAGGGAGGGAGGGAAAGAGAGAAAATGAAAAGAAAGGAAGGAAGAAGAGAGAAAAAAAGAAAAAGAAAGAAAGAAAAGAAAGAAAGAAAGAAAAAGAAAGAAAAGAAAGGTATTGGTTCGGTCCACAAAGGTGAGACAATTCAAACTGGGGCCTTCCAGGCTATCCGTGAATTGAAACATTGGTTGACAACTGGTTGAGTTTGTTTAAGACCTGGGATCCATAGAAAGGAAATGTTTGGGTTAAGATAAGAGATTGTGGAGACCAAGGTTCTTTTGAGGTCTCATAGTGGCTGCCCTTAGAGACAGCAGAAGACAAATGTTTCCTGTTCAGACCTTGACAAGCTTACTAGACTCCTAGATAATCTCTTTAGGATTGGGAGGGCCTGGAAGAAAAAGATCTAGCTATGTGAATACAGATTCTCTGCAGATGTGAATTTCCCCCCACAAAGAACGGCCTTCCAGGGCCATTTCGAGATATGGCAATGAAATATATTTTGGGGATAAGTATTTTGATTTTTTTTCTTGTCTCATAATGTGATGCTGGAGTCAGGTTGGAAAGTAAGTCATGGTATATAAGGTTAAATAAAACCCATCGGATGAGAATGGATGGTTTGTAGGGCACAACTCCCCAGACCCCTTAGATAGGAATGTGGGCAAGATTTAAAAATGTGTATACATTAACTATATATATTTAATATATATAAAATATATAATATGTACTTTATATATAATATATATATTATATATATAATATATATAATATATAATATAAATATATATAATATAAAATATATATAAATATATTATAAGTATATATTATATATAATATGTATTATAATTAATATATATTAATTATATAATATATAAATATCTTAATATATATTAATTATAATATATTAATAATACTATATAATATAATATATTATATATATTTTTATTTAATATATAATATATAATATATAATGTTATATATAATAGATAATAGATAATAGATAATGTATATAATATATACATTATATATAATGTATATATTTATTTATTTATATATATCAAGAGCCAGGCCTGTAATCCCAGCACTTTGGGAGGCTGAGGCAGGCGGATCATCTGAGGTCAGGAGTTCGAGACCATCCTGGCCAACATGGAGAAACCCCATCTCTACTAAAAATACAAAAATTAGCTTGGTGTGATGGCGCACACTTGTAATTCCAGCTGCTCGGGAGGCTGAGGCAGGAGAAACGCTTGAACCCGGGAGGCGGAGCTTGCAGTGAGTTCAGGTGGCACCATTGCACTCCAGCTTGGGCAACAAGAATAAAACTCTGTTTCAAAAAAAGAAAAACAAACAAACAAACAAAAAAATACTCCGGGCACGGTGGCTGATGCCTGTAATCTCAGCACTTTGGGAGGCCGAGGAGGGTGGATCACCTGAGGTCAGGAGTTCGAGACCAGCCTGACCAATACGGTGAAACCCCGTCTCTACTAATAATACAAAAATTAGTCACGCGTCGTGGCGGGCGCCTGTCATCCCAGCTACTTGGGAGGCTGAGGCAGGAGAATCGCTTGAACCCGGGAGGCGGAGGTTGCAGTGAGCCCAGATCGCGCCATTGCACTCCAGCCTGGGTGACAAGAGCAAACGCCCGTCTCAAAAAAAAAAAAACAAAAAAAAAAACCAGAGCTTCATTCTCAGAACATTTATATACATAGTTTTATCAGTTTTTATTTCTCACGAAGTTTTGCCCAGCAGCGCAATTGTGGATCCTATTTTATTTTAAAGAAGGCTTTGTTGTCAGAGAACAAACACCTCTCTGACTCTGGCAAGCTGCAAGAGTGGGAAGTCCCAGGTAACGGGATTATCCATAATTCTGCAAGCAGCCTTCATGAGCCAGGCTCCAACGCTTTGCACAAAACCACCGCTTAAATCTCGCTGGCCCCAAGCGACGTTCAGCTACAAGAGCAAAACCAGACAGCAGGAAGCCCTGTCTTCCGAAGAAAGGGGGTTGGGGGAAGCAAAAATGCCTCATATTTCACAGCGTATGAAAGAAAAAAATTACAACGTGTGGACTGCTCACTGACAGATAAAATAGGGTTCCCATTGTTAAAGAAAAACAGCACTTCCTCTGAGAAGGCCTGCCAGACATTTAGGAATTACTAAATTCGGAGTGTGTGGCGTTTCTTAAAGACACGTGTATGAGATGTAGGAATCATCCTAAATTAATTAATAAATTTAAGTAATTTATTAAACACTTCATGCACTTTATTAATTAAATCAATTAATAAAATTAATTTAATTAATAAAACAATTAAATCAGTTAAGAAAGTAATTTGATTAATAAATTCTTTTATTATATAATTAATTATAAGTAATTAATAAATAATTAAATTTATAAATAATTAAATTTATCAATTATTTATTTATTAATACTTGTCAATAATTAAATTTATCAACTAACTTATTAATATACAATTAATTAATTAATTAATATTTATTTAATTAATATTTATAATTATTAATAGCTATAAATGTTTATATAATTAATTTTATATAAAATTATATATAAATTTAATATAAAATTAATTATATATAAAATATATAATATTTATATTTGTATAATTAATATTTATATTTATTTGTTTATTAAATTAATATTTAATTATTTAATTATTTAAATATTTATATTTATTTATAATTAATTTAATATAAATAAATAAATAAATTAATTAATTAATTTAATTACTTCATTAATTAAATTAATCAATAAATTTAATTACTTCATTAATTAAATTAATTAATTTAATTTAATTACTTCATTAATTAAATTAATTAATTTAATTATCCTTATTATAAATTTAATCATCTCAATTAAATTTAAATTAAATTAAATCCTAATTAAATTAATTGGGATAATAAACCACCTAAATGCATTTGTCTGGAACTGGCATCTCCCGCCCGGGGTGGAAGTCCCTTGAACTGCAAAAAGCAAAAGGCGTTCTCAGATTCTCAGAGCCTGGGCAACATTTGTGCGAGACATTTGTGCCGTCACCTGCCTGCTCCGAGAGGGCTGACCAGGAGCAAGGGGCCGGGTCCGGCTGTAAATCACTGGCCCGTCTGGTTGTCAAACAAAAGCAACCCCTTCTTTTAGAATTTCCTGTTTTCAGACTTTCTGTGAGCATTTGCAACAGGCTGGCGGGTGCAGGCAACCAGGCGTTAGGATGCTGTGGCTGTTGCAGAATTTAACTCTGCGTCCTAAGAATGAATGGCGTTCGTTCTGAGTTTCTGCCAGTTCTGCAAAAACAGCCATTCAGAGATGAAGAAAACCGGGGGCAGATACTTGAACGATAGTTTTTTTTTTAAATTGCATTATTTTTATTTGTATTTTTTATTTTTACTATTTTTTATTTTATTTTTTATTTGTATTTTTTTCATTGTATTTTAAAAATTGTATTATTATTATTATACTTTAAGTTCTAGGGTACATGTGCACAACGTGCAGGTTAGTTACATATGTATCCATGTGCCATGCTGGTGTGCTGCACCCATGAACCATCATTTAACATTAGGTATATCTCCCAATGCTATCCCTCCCCTCTCTCCCCACCCCACAACAGGCCCCGGTGTGTGATGTTCCCCACCCTGTGTCCATGTGTTCTCATTGTTGAACGATAGTTTTAAAGTGAGGTGAGTCAATAGAACTAGGAATACGGCTCAAGGACCCTGAATTTGAATGATAGTTATTTTATTTTATTTTTGAGATGGAGTCTCGCTCTGTCGCCCAGGCTGGAGTGCAGTGGCGCGATCTCAGCTCGCTGCAACCTCAGCCTCCCGAGTACCTGACATTCCGGGCGACTGCCACCAAACCCGGCTAAGTTTTGTATTTTTAGGAGAGATGGGGTTTCCCCATGTTGGCCAGGCTGGTCTCGAACTCCCAACCTCAGGTGATCCAACCGCCTCAGCCTCTCAAAGTGCTGGGATTACAGGCGTGAGCCACTGCACCTGGCCTCTTTTCTCTGTTCTGTTCTGTTCTGTTCTGTTCTGTTCTGTTCTGTTCTGTTCTGTTCTCCTCTCCTCTCCTCTCATCCTCTCCACTCCTCTTCTCCTCTCTCGCTTCCCTCCCTCCCTCCCTTCTCTCTTTCTTTATCTCCTTCCTTCCTTTCTCTCTCTCTCTCTTTCTTTCCTTTCTTCTTTCCCTCTCTCCCTCCCTTCCTCCCTCTCTTCCTTCCTTCTCTCTATCTCCTTCCTTCCTTTCTCTCTCTCTTTCCTTTCTTCTTTCCCTCCCTCCGTCCCTCCGTCCCTCCCTCCCTCCCTCCCTCCCTTCCCTCCTTCCTTCCTTCTTTCCTTCCTTCTTCTTTCTTTCCTTCTTTCTTCCTTTCTTTTTCTTGTCTTACTCTGTTGCCCAGGCTGGAGTGCAGGGGCACCATCTGGGCTCACTGCAAACTCCGCCTCGTGGGTTCGAAACGTTCTTTTGCGTCAGCCTTCAAAGTAGCTGGGACTACAGGTGCACGCCACCACATCTGAATAATGTTTTCATTTTTTGTAGACACAGGATCTTGCTGTGTTGACGAGGCTGGTCTCAAGCTCCTGGGCTCAAGGGATCCTCCCTCCTCTGGCCTCCCAAGGTGGTGGGATTAGAGGCGTGAGTCATGGCGCCCGGCCCTACTATGAATTTCTACAGTTACATACTTATGTCCCAAAAAGGAAACACTGGGAAATATCCTTTGCATCGTGGCTGGGTCTGCAGTGATGGTACCTGTGTGTCAATGGGGTCAGTTTTTATTTATTTTATTTGATCTTTTATTTTATTTTTATTTATTTATTTATTTCGAGACGGAGTCTCCCTGTGTCTCCCAGGCTGGAGTGCAATGGCACAATCTCAGCTCACTGCAACCTCCGCCTCCTGGGTTCAAGTGATTCTCCTGCCTCAGCCTCCCGAGCAGCTGGAATTACAGGCACCTGCCACCACGTCCGGCTAATGTTTGTATTTTTAGTAGAGATGGAGTTTCACCATGTTGGTCAGGCTGGTCTCGAACTCCTGACCTTGTGATCCACCCACCTCGGCCTCCCGAAATGCTGGCATTACAGGTGTAAGCCACCACGCCCAGCCCTTCCTTCCTTCCTTCCTTTTCTTTTCCTTCCTTCTTTCTTTCTTTCTTTTCTTTCTTTCTTTCTTTTTTCTTTCTTTCTCTTTTCTTTCTTTCTCTTTCTTTTTCTCTCTTTCTTTTTCTTCCTTTCTCTCTTTCTCTCTTTTTTCTTTCTCTCTTTCATTCTCTTTCTTTCTTTAATTCTTTGTTTCTTTCTTTCTCTCTCTCTCTCTCCTTCCTTTCTCTCTCTCTTTCTCTCTTCCTCTCCTCCTTTCCTCTTTCCTTCTTTCTTTTCTTTCTTCCTTTCTTTTTCTTGTCTTGCTATGTGGCCCAGGCTGGAGTGCAGTGGTGTGATCTCAGCTCACTGCAGCCTCAACCTCCTGGGCTGAAGTAATACCCCCCGCCTCAGCCTCCAGAGTAGCTGGGACTGCAGATGGGCACCACCCCAGCCACCTAATTTTACATTTCTTTTTCGGAGGTGAGGCCTTGCTATGTTTCCCAGGCTGGTCTCAAACTTCTGGCCTCGAGCAATACCCCCATCACAGCCTCCCAAAGCGCTGAGATTACAGGAGGGAGCCACCGTGCCTGGCATTGACCTGAAATCTCGGAACACCTGTTGGTGATGGGCACAGACAGGCCCTGCTCTACCTTTCGAGGTAGAGTCTTGTCCTGACCCCCTTTTTAGAAAGAGGGGCCGGTAAGAGATCAGTTGGTATTCACAGCAGCTGCCTGAAATCTTCCCACTCCCCACATTCACTCTACACCCCCATGACCGCACAATGCATCCTCCATGCAGATGACTTAGCATGCTACATTCCACACGCACGTGCACCAGCTGTGGGCATAATGCAATTTATTAAGGATGGGTTTTTTTTTGACATATGTGCAAAAGGCAGTATGGGTGCCCAAATATCAATGAGGCCTGTCTATATTATTTTTTAAATTATATATATGTGTATATATGTATATATGTGTATCTATGTGTATATGTGTATATGTGTATATATGTATATATGTGTGTATATATGTATATATGTGTATATGTGTATATATGTGTATATGTATATATGTATATATGTGTATGTATGTGTATATATGTATATGTATATGTGTATATATGTATATATGTGTATATATCTGTATATGTGTATCTATGTGTATATGTGTATATATGTATATATGTGTGTATATATGTGTATATATGTATATATGTGTACATGTGTATATATGTGTATATGTATATATGTATATATGTGTATGTATGTGTATATATGTATATGTATATGTATATGTGTATATATGTGTATATATGTATATGTATATATGTATATATGTGTATATATGGTATATGTATATACACACACACACACACGTGTATATATATATATGTATATATATATTTGTTTTTTAGATAGAATTTCACTTTCGTTACCCAGGCTAGAATGCAATGGTGCAATCTCCGCTCACTGCAACCTCTACCTCCCAGGTTCAAGCAATTCTCCTGCCTCAGCCTCCCAAGTAGCTGGGATTACAGGCACCTGCCACCACGCCCAGCTGATTTTTGTATTTTTAGTTGAGATGGGGTTTCACCACATTGGCCAGGCTGGTCTTGAACTCCTGACCTCGTGATCCACCTGCCTCAACCTCCCAAAGCGCTGGGATTACAGGTGTGAGCCATTGCACCTGGCCCTATTTTATTTTATTTTATTTTATTGACTACATTATCATAAGAGAATTGGGTCCAGTTTTGACACCTACTGATGTGGTTTGGCTGTGTCCTCACCCAAATCTCATCTTGGACCCTAGCTCCCATAATCCCTCTGTATCGTGGGAGGGACCTAGTGGGAGAGAATTGAATCGTGGAGGCAGTTTCCCCCGTACTGTTCTCAGGGTCGTGAATACGTCTCACAAGGTCTGATGCTTTATCAGCGGTTTCCCTTTTCCCTCGGTTCTCTCTCTTTCTGTCTCTTGTTCTCTCTCTGTCTGTCTCTCTGTCTGTGTGTTTCTCTCTCTCTGTCTCTGTCTCTCTCTGTCTCTCTCTCTCTGTTTCTCTCTGTCTCTGTCTCTCTGTCTCTCTCTCTCTGTCTCTGTCTCTCCCTGTCTCTGTCTCTCTCTCCCTGTCTCTCTGTCTCTCTCTTTCTCTCTGTCTCTGTCTCTCCCTGTGTCTCTCTGTCTGTCTGTCTCTCTGTCTGTCTCTCTGTCTCTTTCTCTCTGTCTCTTTCTCTCTGTCTGTCTCTCTCTGTCTCTCTCTCCCTGTCTCTCTGTCTCTCTCTTTCTCTCTTTCTGTCTCTGTCACTCTCTTTCTGTCTCTATCTCTTTCTCTCTGTCTCTGTCTCTCTCTTTCTGTGTCTCTCTCTCTGTCTCTCTCTCTTTCTGTCTCTGTCTCTCTCTGTCTCTCTGTCTGTCTCTCTGTGTCTCTCTGTCTCTGTCTCTCTGTCTCTCTTTGTCTCTCTGTCTGTCTCTCTGTGTCTCTCTGTCTCTGTCTCTCTGTCTCTCTTTGTCTCTCTGTCTGTCTCTCTGTTTCTCTCTGTCTCTGTCTCTCTCTGTCTCTGTCTCTCTGTCTCTGTCTCTCCCTGTCTCTCTGTCTCTCTCTCTCTGTCTCTGTCTCTCCCTGTGTCTCTCTGTCTGTCTCTCTTTGTCTGTCTCTCTGTCTCTTTCTCTCTGTCTCTTTCTCTCTGTCTGTCTCTCTCTGTCTCTCTCTCCCTGTCTCTCTGTCTCTCTCTTTCTCTCTTTCTGTCTCTGTCACTCTCTTTCTGTCTCTATCTCTTTCTCTCTGTCTCTCTCTTTCTCTCTGTGTCTCTCTCTCTTTCTCTCTGTCTCTCTCTCTGTCTTTCTGTCTCTGTCTCTGTCTCTCTGTCTCTCTGTGTCTCTCTGTCTCTCTTTGTCTCTCTGTCTGTCTCTCTGTGTCTCTCTGTCTCTGTCTCTCTCTGTGTCTCTGTCTCTCTTTCTCTCTCTCTCTGTCTCTCTCCCTCTGTCTGTCTCTCTCTTTCTGTCTCTCTCTGTCTCTTTCTCTCTGTCTCTCTCTCTCTCTGTCTCTCTGTCCCTGTCTCTCTCTCTCTGTTTCTGTCTCTCTCTGCCTCTTTCTCTCTGTCTCTGTCTCTTTCTCTCTCTGTCTCTCTGTCCCTGTCTCTCTTTCTCTCTCTCTTTCTGTCTCTCTTTCTGTGTGTCTCTCTCTGTCTCTGTGTCTCTCTGTGTCTCTGTCTCTCTCTCTCTGTCTCTCTGTCTCTCTTTCTCTCTGTGTCTCTCTCCCTCTGTCTGTCTCTCTCTCTCTTTCTGTCTCTCTCTGTCTCTGTCTCTCTGTCTCTGTCTCTCTCTTTCTCTCTGTTTCTGTCTCTGTCTCTCTCTCTCTCTTTTCTTGTCTGCTGCCATAGAAGATGTGACTTTTGTCGTCCCCTATGTGGAACTGTCAGTCCATTAAACCCCTTCCTGGCTGGGCGCGGTGGCTCACGCCTGTCATCCCAGCACTTTGGGAGGCCGAGGCAGGTGGATCACCTGAGGTCAGGAGTTCGAGACCAGCCTGATCAACGTGGTAAAACCCCGTCTCTACTAAAAATACAAAAATTAGCCGGGCGTGGTGGTGGGTACCTGTAGTCCCAGCTACTCAGGAGGCTGAGGCAGGAGGATCGCTTTAACCCGGGAGGCGGAGGTTGCGGTGAGCCGAGATTGCGCCACTGCACTCCAGGCTTGGCGACAGAGTGAGACTCTGCCTTAAAAAAAATAATAAAAATAAAAACAATAAAAAAATCCTCTTTTCTTTATAAATTACCTGGTGTTGGTATGATTTTATCAGCAGCCTGAAAAGGGACTAATACTAGACCGCCCTCCTTTACTCATTCACTACCCACCACACTCAACTCTGTTACCTCCCTGATTAGCCAGCAGCCTCCCTGACATCCGAATGGACAGAGACTGGTCTGCTACTCTGAGAAAGGTGGGGTCAATGTTACATTGTTAACTGCAGAGACAGCGTCCTCGTCTGCACAGCCTTTGACCCTGAAGACCGCAAAGCCTGTTTCCACTTGTCTTGTTAGGGTTGTTACGGGATCTGGTGCAACCTGGGCTCACCGCAACCTCTACCTCCCGGGTTCAACCGATTCTCCTGCCTCAGCCTCCGGAGTAGCTGGGATTACAGGCACCCACCACCACACCCGGCTAATGTTTGTATTTTTAGTAGGGATGGGGTTTCACCACGTTGGCCAGGCTGGTCTCGAACTCCCGACCTCAGATGATCCACCCGCCTCAACCTCCCAAAGTGCTGGGATGACAGGCGTGAGCCGCCGTGCCCGGCCTTTATTTTATTTATTTTTTTTCTTAGACAGAGTTTCACTCTTGTTGCCCAGGCTGGAGTGCAGTGGTGCGATCTCCACTCACTGTAACCTCTACCTCTCGGGTTCAAGCAATTCTCCTGCCTCAGCCTTCCGAGTAGCTGCGATTACAGGCAGCTGCCACCACACCCAGCTAATTTTTGTATTTTTAGTAGAGTCAGGGTTTCACCGTATTGGCCAGGCTGGTCTCAAACTCCTGACCTCAGGTGATCTGCCTGCCTCGGCCTCCCAAAGTGCTCAGGCATGAGCCACCTCACCTGGCCCTGTTTTTTTGTTTTGTTTTGTTTTGTTTTGTTTTGTTTTTGAGACAGAGTGGCACTCTTGTTGCCCAGGCTGGAGTGCAGCGGTGCGATCTGTGCTCACAGCAACGTCTACCTCCTGGATTCAAGCAATTCTCCTGCCTCAGCCTCCTGAGTAGCTGGGATTGCAGGCAGCTGCCACCACGCCAGGCTAATTTTTTTTTGTATTTTTAGTAGAGACGGGGTTTCATCATGTTGGCCAGGCTGGTCTCGATCTCTTGACGTCATGATCTACCCACCTCGGCCTCCCAAAGTGCTGCGATTACAGGCGTGAGCCACCGCGCCCGGCTAATTTTTGTATTTTTAGTAGAGATGGGGTTTCACCATGTTGGTCAGGCTGGTCTCGAACTCGTGACCTCATGATCCACCCACCTCGGCCCCCCAAAGTGCTGGGATGACAGGCGTGAGCCACCGCACCTGGCCACCAGGGAGTCTATGCTTGTCTGTAAAACTGGTCTGCGACCTCTCAGAAAAGCCTTCAGTTTTACTGGTAACTTGTTTTGTTTCACAAACCGGGTAGACGGTGAAGGCGTTGCTCCTCAAATCGCCACTTGGTGGCAGCCAATACCTACAACTTCCAGTGTTGCTTTTGATTTTTCTCTCTTTTTGAGATGGAGTTTTGCTCTTGTCACCCAGGCTGGAGTGCAGTGGTGCGATCTCAGCTGACTGCAACCTCCGCCTCCCGGGTTCGAGTGATTCTCCTGCCTCAGTCTCCCGAGTAGTTGGGATTACAGGCGCACGCCACCACGCCTGACTAATTTTTGTATTTTTAGTAGAGACAGGGTTTCACCATGTTGGTCAGGATGGTGTCAAACTCCTGACCTCAGGTGATCCGCCTGCCTCAGCCTCCCAAAGTGCTGGGATGACAGGCGTGATCCACCACGCCTGGCTAATGTTTGTATTTTTAGTAGAGACCGGGTTTCACCATGTTGACCAGGCTGGTCTCGAACTCCTGACCTCAGGTGATCCACCCACCTGGGCCTCCCAAAGTGCTGGGATGACAGGCATGAGCCATCGCACCAGGCCGAGCGTTGCCTTTTGGTAATACAAGTGTGAAAACTCAGAACCGCAGAGCTTCTCTAGCTGCCCTGACAGGAACACACCTCCATGGCCCCAGTCTCAATGGTGTAGGGACTGTTGGAAGAGCTTAGTGATAAGGAAATGATTCCAAATGAAGTTCCATCTTCTTAAAACTGCAATTCCGATTCTGATGTGACTTTTTTTTTTTTTTTTTTTGAGATGGAGTCTTGCTCTGTCACCCAGGCTGGAGTGCAGTGGTGTGATCTCGGCTCACTGCAACCTCCGACTCCCGCGTTCGAGCGATTCTCCTGCCTCAGCCTCCCAAGTAGCTGGCATGACAGGTGCCCGCCACCACACCCGGCTAATTTTTTTAAAAATTATTATTATCTTTCAGACGGAGTCTCACTCTGTAGCCAGGCTGGAGTGCAGTGGCGCCATCCTGGCTCGCTGCAACCTCCGCCTCCTGGGCTCAAGTGATTCTCCTACCTCAGCCTCCTGAGTAGCTGGGATTACTGGCGCCCACGACCACAGCTGGCTGACTTTTGTATTTTTAGTAGAGACCAGGTTTCACCATGTTGGCCAGGCTGGTCTCGAACTGCTGACCTCAGGTGATCCGCCTGCCTCGGCCTCTCAAAGTGCTGGGATGACAGGCGTGAACCACCGCGCCCGGCCCAATTAAGAGAGGTTTAATTTTGTACGTGGGTCCTATCGGCCACAGGCATGGATGCTGCATAGTTGTTTGGTTTCGGAGATTGAAATGGGCATCCTTTTACTGGGGCAAGAGGAGTGTTTCGGAGGTAAGAACCTTCACTGAGGGTTTGTCCTGCACACTGTCTGACCCTTAGGACTTTTTTTCAGGCCGGTTGCGGTGGCTCATGCCTGTCATCCCAGCACTTTGGGAGGCCGAGGCGGGAGGATCACGAGGTGAGGAGATCGAGACCAGCCTGGCCAACATGGTGAAACCCCGTCTCTACTAAAAATACAAAAAAAAAATGGGCTGGACGTGGAGGCTCACATCTGTCATCCCAGCACTTTGGGAGGCCGAGGCGGGAGGATCACGAGGTGAGGAGATGGAGACCAGCCTGGCCAACATGGTGAAACCCCGTCTCTACTAAAGATACAAAAAAAAAATGGGCTGGACGTGGAGGCTCACATCTGTCATCCCAGCACTTTGGGAGGCCGAGGCGGGAGGATCACGAGGTCAGGAGATCGAGACCAGCCTGGCCAACATGGTGAAACCCCGTCTCTACTAAAAATACAAAAAAAAAATGGGCTGGACGTGGAGGCTCACACCTGTCATCCCAGCACTTTGGGAGGCCGAGGCGGGCGGATCACGAGGTCAGGAGATCGAGACCAGCCTGGCCAACATGGTAAAACCCCATCTCTACTAAAAATACAAAAAATTAGCCAGGTGTGGTGGCGGGCGCCTGTCGTCCCAGCTACTCGGGAGGATGAGGCAGGAGAATCACTTGAACCCGGGAGATGGAGCTTGCAGTGAGCCAAGGTCGCATGACGGCACTCCAGCCTGGGCGACAGAGCGAGACTCCGTCTCAAAAAAAACAAAGTTTCTTTTAGTGCTGAGCAAAACCACAATTGAGAATTGATCACCATCATTATATCCACTCAACAGAAAACCAGGAGAGGCCAAATGCAATAAAAGGACAGAGGTCTTTACCTCTGCGTTTGCAGTTTAGGGCTTTGGATAATCCAAGCAAATAGCGCCTGTTCAGAATTTTCCAGGAGACGGAAACTTTGCAGTAGAATTAAGCCCCATAAAAATATTATTAAAAATCATGTGCAATGAAATGTCCCCTTTTCTTCAGACTTAAATAATTCAAAGTTTCCTTTTTTAAACAGACACACACACACACAGAGAACACAATCATATACAGGTTAACCAAATATTGCATAAAGTTTCTGCAATTCAGAGTCTGCTGTAATTTACCTAATACAGGTAAAACTCATTAATGCTCAAATTCTACAGGTGGGATTTATGGTTATATAATTTCTTAATGCCCTGACTCTTTCCAGTTAAAATGCTGAAGATTTGTTCCTAGTCTTCTTGGGGACCCTTGTCGATGGCTTTGGTAAAAGTCATGTGATTGCATTTTTTTTTTTTTTTTTTTTTCTGAGACAGAGTTTCGCTCCGTCACCCAGGCTGGAGTGCATTGCTGTGATCTCGGCTCACTGCAACCTCCGCCTCCCGGGGTCAAGAGATTCTCCTGCCTCAGTCTCTTGAGTAGCTGGGATTACAGGCACCTGCCCCCACGGCCACCTAATTTTTTGTATTTTTAGTAGAGACGGGGTTTGACTATATTGGCCAGGCTGGTCTCGATCTCCTGACCTCGTGATCCGCCCGCCTCGGCCTACCAAAGTGCTGGGATTGCAGGCGTGAGCCGCCACGCCCGGCCTGTGATTGTATTTTTAACATCTCGACATTTCTCAAAGCTTTTCTCTTCCAGCCCATTGGTTTCTGAAGGTTTCCTAAAAACATCAGCCGGGCGTGGTGGCCGATGCCTGTAATCCCACTTACTCAGGAGGCTGAGGCAAGAGAATCGCCTGAACCCAGGAGGCAGAGGTGGCAGTGAGCTGAGATCCCACTACTGCACTGCAGCCTGGGCGACGGAGTGAGACTCTGTTTCAGAAAAGAAAAGAAAAAAACAGAAGAAAAGAAAGGGGAGAGGAGGGGAGGAGAGGAGAGGAGAGCATCTAAGCAACTCAACTGGTGTGATGGGGAAGCAGGGAGGGGAGGGGAGGGGAGGAGAGGAGAGGAGAGAAGAGGGGAGGAGAGGAGAGGGGAGGAGAGGAGAGGAGGGGAGAGGAGAGCATCTAAGCAACTGAAGTGGTGTGATGGGGAAACAGCGAGGGGAGGAGAGGAGGTAGGGGAGGAGGGGAGGGGAGGGGAGAGGAGAGCAGAGCAGCCATGCGCCCACAGCAGGAAATCTAGGTGCAGTCTTGGGTCAGCACGACCCCAGAACCAAAGTTGTCACGATGTCTCTGTCCATATTAGGGATCCGTGAAAACTCAAAAACAGAATTAGCTACATTCCTCCAGGGTGGTTCCAGACATCAAAGCTTTCAACATGAGGAATTCCTGACTCGGAGACTCCAGCCTCATTCCATGTACGGCCAAATTCCCGCAGGAAAGAAGGTGGTTTATATTATTCTTAAGTAAGGTTTTATTACATCCTGAGGGCAACTGTGATTCAGAGCGGGCTTGCTTTGTAGCAAGGAATATTACAGTGAACGTTAGTGAACAATGAAAGAATCAGATGAACTTTTGCATATAAACTTCTTTTTAAAAATGATGGTCAAAAATACATCATGTAAACTTTACCGTCTTAACCACTTTGAAGTTTATAGTTTTGTGGCATTAATGACATTCACACTGGCCAGCCGCGGTGGCTCACGCCTGTCATCCCAGCACTTTGGGAGGCCGAGGCGGGCGGATCATGAGGTCAGGAGTTCAAGACCAGCCTGGCCAACATGGTGAAACCCCGTCTCTACTAAAATACAAAAATTAGCCGGGCGTGGTGGCGGGCGCCTGTAATCCCAGCTACTCAGGAGACTGAGGCAGGAGAATCGCTTGAACCCGGGAGGCGGAGGTTGCAGTGAGCTGAGATCACGCCATTGCACTCCAGCCTGGGCAACAGAGGGAGACTCTGTCTAAACAATAAAATAAAATAATGAAATAAAAATAAATAAATGAATTAAATACTCTACTTCTCAGTATACATTTATGGATTTATTATTATTATTATTATTATTATTTTAGATCAAGTTTCAGCGATTCTCCTGCCTCAGCCTCCCAAGTAGCTGGGATTACAGGCGCCCACCACCACGCCCGACTAATTTTTGTATTTTTAGTAGAGATGGGGTTTCGCCATGTTGGCCAGGCTGGTCTCGAACTCCCGACCTCAGGCGATCCGCCTGCCTCAGCCTCCCAAAGTGCTGGCATTACAGGCTACAGGCGTGAGCTCCTGCACCCAGTGTCATAGAATCTTAACTTTTTTTTTTTTTAAGTGGAGCGTTGTTCTGTAGCCAAGGCTGGAGTGCAGTGGTGCGATCTTGGCTCACTGCAACCTCCGCCTCCTGCGTCCCGGTTTAAGCAATTCTCCTGCCTCAGTCTCCTGAGTAGCTGGAATTACAGGCACACGCCACCACACCCAGCTAATTTTTGTATTTTTAGTAGAGACGGGGTTTCCCTGTGTTAGCCAGGCTGGTCTCGAACTCCTGACCTCAAGTGATCCACCCTCCTCGGCCCCCCAAAGTGCTGGGATGACAGGCGTGAGCCACCGCGCCCGGCTAATCTTGTATTTTTAGTAGAGATGGGGTTTCCCTATGTTGGCCAGGCTGGTCTCGAACTCCCGACCTCAAGTGATCCACCCTCCTCGGCCCCCCAAAGTGCTGGGATGACAGGCGTGAGCCACCGCGCCCGGCTAATCTTGTATTTTTAGTAGAGACGGGGTTTTCCTATGTTGGCCAGGCTGGTCTCGAACTCCCGACCTCAGGCGATCCACCCTCCTCGGCCTCCCAAAGTGCTGGGATGACAGGCGTGAGCCACTGTGCCCAGCCTGTTTAATTCATGTAAACCTTCATTTCTCATCCTAAATGTCTCTTGTAAAAAAAAATACACTCTCAGCCAGCTGGAGAGATTGAAGACACGCAGAGCAAAAAAAGCCAATGTGGCTTTGGAGGTCGAGGCACAGACTCCTGTGAATCGATTTTGGTCGTGCCTCGATTGGCCAGCTGTGATGGGGAAGCTGTGACCCTCATCATCTCGAGACAGAGGGGTTCCCAGAAGGCAGGCTCTCCTGCCCCAGACTCCAAGGCTGCAAGTTCTGAATCCGGGAAAAGTGGAGGCATTGCCAGGGTGAAATGCACCCTCTCCGTCAGCCCCAGTTGGCACGGCCTCCAGAGGCTGGAGAGAGACCACGGTCTCCCTCCCTCCCTCCTCCCAGCTCCCTCCTTCGTCCTTCCAGGCACAGTGGCCCTTTTAGGACTCACTTTCCCTCACCCCAGCTCCTGGGGGTCTGCGGAGGCCCTGACAAGCCCCAGCTATTGCTGCTGTGTGCACCGAGGCAGGACCAGCCAGGAAAGGTCTTTAGCGGCGACCTGGGCTCATAATTAATGACCTGACCACCAAGGTGAGAAGCCAGGGACGCGCTGGCTAAATAGTTGATTGTTTTGGGGAAAATAAATAAAAGAACTGTTCTGTGGTTACCTCCCCCTCTCCCCCTACTTTTTTTTTTTTTTTTTTAGAAGGAAGGTTGGAAGATGTTAGTGAAAGGGAAGCTTCTGTACCAACCCTGCTAGAAGGACCGTCTGTTAAGTGGGAAATTTGCCCCCCGGGCCTATGGACCCTGTGCAGGAGAAAACCATGATTTCCCAAATGGCATCTGGGTTGCAGACACGGGCTCAGCCCCACCGCAACTGGAAGGCCGGCCTCAATGTGCTCTTTTCCGGGTGCAAAATCCTGACTTCAGAAACGGAGAAAGAGGTGGGTCTTGGTCTCTCTCTCTCTCTCTCCTCTCTCTCTCTTTCTCTCTTTCCCTCTCTCCTCTCTCTCTTCTCTTTCTTTCTCTCTCCTGTGTCTCTCCTCTTTCTCTGTCCTCTCTCTCCCTCCTCTTTCCCTCTTTTCTCTCTCTCCTCTTTCCCTCTTTTCTCTCTCTCCTCTCTCTTTCTCTCTCCTCTTTCTGTGTCCTCTCTTTTTCTCTCTCCTCTCTCTTCTCTCTGTCCTCTCTCCTCTCTGTTTCTCTCTCCTCTCTCTCTCTCCTCTTTCTCTGTCCTCTCTCTCTCTCCTCTCTTTCTCTTTCTATCTTTTCTCTCTCTTCTCTCTCTCTCTCGTCTCTCTTCCGCTTTCTCCTCTCTCTTCCTCTCTCTCCCTGGGACATAAATGGCTACAGGATATTCTGAGTTCCAAAGTATCATCACCCATGGGTAAAACTCTCAGAGTCAGGGAGACATCAGTGGTGAGAGGTCCTCAGCCAGGGGCGATTCTGCACCCGCAGAGGACACTGAGCACTGTCTGGAAATTACCTTTAGTTGTCAGAACTGGGATAGGGGGTGCTCCTGGGGCCCGGTGGGCGAGCCCAGAGATGCTCCTCAGCATCCTACAGGGCACAGGACGGCCCCATCACAGAGTCAGTCATCCAGCCCTAAATGTCAGCAGTGCTGAGGCTCAGACACAAGACACTCCGTCTCTGCATCTGTCTCCCTATTTTTCTTTTTCTTTTCTTTTCTTTCTTTCTTTCTTTCTTTCTCTCTTTCTTTCTTTTTTCTTTCTTTCTTCTTTTTCTCTTTCTTTCTCTTTCTTTTTCTCTTTCTTTCTTTCTTTCTCTTTCTTTCCCTTCCTTCCATCCTTCCTTCCTTTCCTCTCTCTTCTTTCTTTCTCCTTCTTCTTTCTTTCTTTCTCTCTCTCTTTCTTTCCCTTCCTTCCATCCTTCCTTCCTTTCCTTTCTCTCTTTTCTTTCTTTCTTTATTTCTCTCTCTCTTTCTTGCCCTTCCTTCCATCCTTCCTTCCTTTCCTTTCTCTCTCTTTCTTTCTTTTCCTTTCTTTCTCTTTCTTTCTTCCTTTCTTTGATGGAGTTTCACTCTCATCTTCCAGGCTGGAGCGCAATGGCACGATCTCAGCTCACTGCAACCTCCTTCTTCCAGGTTAAAGTGATTCTCCTGCCTCTGTCTCCCAAGTAGCTGGGACTGTAGGTGTGCACCACCATGCCCGAGTAGCTGGGATTGTAGGTGTGCACCACCACGCCCGGCTGATTTTTGTATTTTTAGTAGAGATGGGGTTTCACCATGTTGGCCAGGCTGGTCTCAAACTCCTGACCTCGGGTGATCCGCCCGCCTCAGCCTCCCAAAGTTCTGGGATTGCAGGTGTGAGCCACCACGCCCAGTCCCTGTTTATTTTTCTGTCATTTATTTATCTATCTATCATGTATCTATTTTTTTCTATCTATCTCTATCCATCTATTTTTCTATCTTTGTATCATCTATCTCTATCGATCTATCCATCACCTATCATCTATTTATGTATCTGTCATCTATCTATGTATCTATCTCTATCCATCTATTCCGTATCCATCTATTATCCATTTCTCTATTTTTCTATATTATCTATCTATCTATCTATCTATCTATCATCTCCATCATCTATCTAGCTATCTATCTATCATCTATTTTTTGTATTTTTCTACCTATGCATCCATTTTTCTTTACTTTCTTTTCTTTTTTCTTTTTTTTTTTTTTGAGACAGAGTCTTGCTCCTGCCACCCAGGCTGGAGTGCAGTGGCATGATCTTGGCTCACTAAAACCTCTGCTTCCTGAGTTCAAGTGATTTTCCTGCCTCAGCATCCCAAGTAGCTGGGACTACAGGAACCCGCCACCACACCCAGCTAATTTTTGTATTTTTAGTAGAGATGGGGTTTCACCATGTTGGTCAGGCTGGTATCGAACTCCTGACCTCAGGTGATCCGCCCGCCTCGGCCTCCCAAAGTGCTGGGATGACAGGCGTGAGCCACCGTGCCCGGCCTATGCATCCATTTTTCTATGTATCTATTTATCTATCTGTTTGTTATCTACTATCTCTCTATCTATATTGATACTGACTCCCAACTGCAGATAATTCTGCTCTAAGGTGCCATCGGGCAGTATTTACGGTCATTTTTCATTTTTTGTTGCCCTCACTGGGGAGTGGGTGGTTTTGGAACCTGGTGGGTGCAGCCCAGGGACACTGCTCAACACCCTCCAGTGCCCAGGATGGCCCCACAGCAAAGAATCTTCCAGCCGCAAATGTCAGCAGTGCTGAGGCCAAGAGCCCCTCTCCAGCTTAGTTTGATCTGAGTACATCTCAGCAACTAGCAATCCTGTCTCCGGGTGAAGTTTCTCTCTGTGTGTAAAGGTAGCTTTGCACCCAGTCTTTAAAGAAGTTTGCTTTAGAACTGAATCTACTACTACAAAAAGAATTATTATTATTATTTTTTGGCTCTTCACCACTGTCATTTAAAAGAATGTTCTGGGCTGGGCATGGTGGCTCACAGCTGTCATCCCAGCACATTGGGAGGCCAAGGTGGGTGGATCACTTGAGGTCGGGAGTTCAAGACCAGCCTGGCCAACATGGCAAAACCTTGTCTCTACTAAAAATACAAAAATTAGCTGGTCATGGTGGCAGGTGCCTGTGACCCCAGCTACTCAGGAGGCTGAGGCAGAACAATCACTTGAACCCGGGAGGTGGAGATTGCAGAGAGTCAAGATTGCGCCACTGCACTCCAGCCTGCGGGACAGAGTGAGACTACATATCAAAATAAGTGAGCAAGTAAATAAATAGATAAAATATGGCCGTGCGCAGTGGCTCACACCCATAATCCCAGCACTTTGGGAGGCCGAGGCGGGCGGATCACCTGAGGTCAGGAGTTCAAGACCAGCCTGGCCAACATGGCAAAACCCCGTCTCTACTAAAAATACAAAAATTAGCCGGGCATGGTGGTGGCAGGTGCCTGTAATCGCAGCTACTCGGGAGGCTGAGGCAGGAGAATCGCTTGAACCCGGGAGGCGGAGCTTGCAGTGAGTCGAGATCGCGCCACTGCACTCCAGCCTGGGCGACAGGAGTGAAACTCCGTCTCAGTAAATAAGTAAATAATAAATAATTAAATAAATAAATAAGCTGCAATAAAATAATAAACTAAAAGCACTTTCTGCCCGGCACCACTGCACTGCAGCCTGGACAACAGAGTGAAACTCCGTCTCAAAAAAATATATATATATATAAAAAAAAATAAGTAAATAAATAAAATAAAATAATAAAAATAAAATAAAAGCACGTTCTGCTTCACACCACTATACTCCAGCCTGGACAACAGAGTGAAACTCCATCTCAGATAAATAAATAAATATATAAAATAAATAAATTAATTAAATAAATAAATAAAATACAATAAAATAATAAAAATAAACTAAAAGCACATTCTGCCCGGCACCACTGCACTCCAGCCTGGACAACAGAGCTAAGCTCCATCTCAGAAAAATAAATAAATGTGTAAAATAAATAAATACAATAAATGAAATAAAATAATAAAAATAAACTAAAAGCACGTTCTGCCCCGCCCCGGCTGCCCCACTGGTCATGTGGGCTTCAGAAACCGTCCCCCTGCAGAAGCATCTTCTGTGTCTTTCCGCCCCCATGAAGCCAGTTGCTCAGAAACGCAGCCGCCGCTGCCCACAGGAGGGAGGGAAGAGGAGGAACGGGCTCGACATGAAAGAGAAGGCCCGTTGGGAAAGGCTGTTTTTGCAGCACTGGTGAAGATAAGCCCCTGGTGTTTGAGTTCCGCTGTGAGAAAGCTGACCGGGCTTTGGAACGTGGGAGGAAGTGTGGTGGCAGGTACGCAAACGCTTCACATTGAAGTTCAAGAAGGGAATCTAGACAAAGAAGCCAGGAGGGCCAGTGTGGACGTTGCTGGGCCCCAGGAAACCAGGAGGCGGTTAGCGTCCACCCAGGAATAATAAAAAAGCAGGATCACGTTGCCTCGTAGACCGTGAGGATGAAGGCAGAGACTCGCAGGCCCCAGAGAGCTGGTGAATGGCGTTGTTCAGAGGTGATCCCCCCGGTGAATTCTCTCCTGAAAGCACTGAACAGACGTGAAGTGAGACAGAGGAATGGCATTGAAGGGGCGTACGTAAGAGGAAGAGAAATGCGGAGTCGGGGCAGGTGCAGCCTGCAGTCTTGGGAGACGGGCAGATTTTGCCTCAGCCACGCTCACAAGAAAGGGAAGTCAGGGGAGGATGGAATGGATCCTGGGACAGAGTGAATGGTGGAGGGATAAATAATGTCACTCCCAAAGATGTCCACGTCCTGATCCCCATGTGATAGACAGAATAATGGCCCCAAAGATGTCCACGTCCTGATCCCCATGTGGGAGACAGAATAATGGCCCCAAAGATGTCCACGTCCTAATCCCCATGTGATAGACAGAATAATGGCCCCAAAGATGTCCACGTCCTAATCCCCATGTGGGAGACAGAATAATGGCCCCAAAGATGTCCACGTCCTAATCCCCATGTGATAGACAGAATAATGTCCCCAAAGATGTCCACGTCCTAATCCCCATGTGATAGACAGAATAATGTCCCCAAAGATGTCCACGTCCTAATCCCCATGTGGGAGACAGAATAATGGCCCCAAAGATGTCCACGTCCTAATCCCCATGTGATAGACAGAATAATGTCCCCAAGATGTCCATGTCCTAATCCCCATGTGGGAGACAGAATAATGTCCCCAAAGATGTCCACGTCCTAATCCCCATGTGATAGACAGAATAATGTCCCCAAAGATGTCCACGTCCTAATCCCCATGTGATAGACAGAATAATGTCCCCAAAGATGTCCACGTCCTAATCCCCATGTGATAGACAGAATAATGGCCCCAAAGATGTCCACGTCCTAATCCCCATGTGATAGACAGAATAATGGCCCCAAAGATGTCCACGTCCTAATCCCCATGTGGGAGACAGAATAATGTCCCCAAAGATGTCCACGTCGTAATCCCCATGTGATAGACAGAATAATGTCCCCAAAGATGTCCACGTCCTAATCCCCATGTGATAGACAGAATAATGTCCCCAAAGATGTCCACGTCGTAATCCCCATGTGATAGACAGAATAATGTCCCCAAAGATGTCCACGTCGTAATCCCCATGTGATAGACAGAATAATGTCCCCAAAGATGTCCACGTCCTAATCCCCATGTGATAGACAGAATAATGTCCCCAAAGATGTCCACGTCCTAATCCCCATGTGATAGACAGAATAATGGCCCCAAAGATGTCCACGTCCTAATCCCCATGTGATAGACAGAATAATGTCCCCAAAGATGTCCACGTCCTAATCCCCATGTGGGAGACAGAATAATGTCCCCAAAGATGTCCACGTCCTAATCCCCATGTGATAGACAGAATAATATCCCCAAAGATGTCCACGTCCTAATCCCCATGTGATAGACAGAATAATGTCCCCAAAGATGTCCACGTCCTAATCCCCATGTGGGAGACAGAATAATGTCCCCAAAGATGTCCACGTCCTAATCCCCATGTGATAGACAGAATAATGTCCCCAAAGATGTCCACGTCCTAATCCCCATGTGGGGGACAGAATAATGTCCCCAAAGATGTTCACATCCTGCAGTTAGCCACGTGTGGTGACTCAGGTATGCGGTCCCAGCTATTTGGAGGCTTAGGTGGGAGGACTGCTTGAGCCCAGGAGTTCAAGGCTGCAATGAGCTGTGATTTCACCAGTGCTCTCCAGCCTGGGGGACAGAGTGAGACGTTGTCTCAACAACAACAAAACATAAAACGGGCTCAGTCTGGTCTCAGACTCCTGAACTCCAGTCATCCTCCTGCTTCCCTCTCCCAAAGTGCTGGGATTACGGGCATGAGCCACCAAACCCTGCCAGAAGGAAACTCTTTTTTTTTTTTAAGATGTTTTGCTCTTGTTGCCCAGGCTGGAGTGCAGTGGCGTGATCTCAGCTCACCGCAACCTCCGCCTCCCGGGTTCAAGCGATCCTCCTGTCTCAGCCTCCAGAGTAGCTGGGATTACAGGTGCGCGCCACCACGCCTGGCTAATTTTGCATTTTTAGTAGAGATGGGGTTTCACCATGTTGGTCAGGCTGGTCTCGAACTCCCGACCTGAGGTGATCCACCCGCCTCGGCCTCCCAAAGTGCTGGGATGACAGGCCTGAGCCACCAAACCCTGCCAGAAGGACACTCTTATCAGGCAGAACATTCCAAGGACCCCAGGAAAAACGTCCGCGTTTGCCCGGGTGTCTTGGGCCGTGCTGCGTGGTCTGGGCCACACCAGGTTACTTAAGCTGCCATGTGATCTGCGGCGGGGTTTGGGGGAACATGGATTCACCTTCACCTCTGGAAGGGCTGGATCCTGAAGTCAGCCAAGCAGGAGGTTCCTCCTGTGTAGACCATCCCCCCAGTAAAGACCCTGGAATTCCAGACGTGGATGAACTTATCTACTCGGCAATATCTTGCGTTTGCTGTCACACATCATGGCTGGGAGAAGCTGGGTCTACCCTTCCACTGGGAAGAGACAACAAGAAGCTTGTGCCTGCCTCTCCTATACTCTGCTCCATGTATCTCTTCTCTTGGATAATTTTTTTTTTTTTTTTGACATGGAGTCTCCCTCTGTCTCCCAGGCTGGAGTGCAGTGGTGCAATCTCAGCTGACTGCAACCTCCGCCTCCCGGGTTCACGCCATTCTCCTGCCTCGGCCTCCCTCCTGAGTAGCTGGGATTACAGGTGCCCACCACCACGCCCAGCTCATTTTTGTATCTTGGTAGAGATGGGGTTTCACCATGTTGGCCAGGCTGGTGTCGAACTCCCAACCTCAGGTGATCCGCCTGCATCAGACTCCCAAAGTGCTGGGATGACAGGCATGCACCACCACGCCTGGCTAATTTTTGTATTTTTAGTAGAGACGGGGTTTCTCTGTGTTGGCCAGGCTGGTCTCGAACTCCTGACCTCAGGTCATCCACCTACCTCGGCTTCCCAAAGTGCTGGGATGACAGGCGTGAGCCACGGTGCCTAACGTAATTTATTAATAATTTTATACTATCTCTTCCCTTCTCATTTGCTCAGAAAAATTTGCAATGCTGATGTCATCCGTGTCCTGTTTAGATACACTTTTCCATTACCAATCTTTTATTACCAGGATACCACGAGGCTATAAATAATCTCTCAAGCAGGTATAATCCACCCTAATAAAGACGGGAAGGACGGCCAAGCTATCCTGTGATATTGTATTTCAATTACTTCACTAACCTAATTATCTCTGCTGCTCTGGGCCCAAACAGCCTCCGAGGACTCATTTCCTGTGTGTTGTATATGTTTACGATACTTAAAAATGGAGAAAATTCCTGTCGCTTTAATGAAAAATCCCCTGCGCACCTGTTTGTCTTTGTAGCTGGAGTCTCCCCAGTGCCTTGGAGACGATGCGGTTTTCTGTTTTTTTTTTGTTTGTTTTTTTTTTTGTTTTTTTTTTTTGAGTAGGAGTCTCGCTCTGTGGCCCAGGGGTGCTGGAACATGGTAAATAGTCTCAGCTCCTCGGGACTTTACTTGGTGAGTCTGTGGTCATTTTGTGTGTGTGTGTGTGTGTGTGTGTGTGTGTGTGTTTGAGACGGAGTCTCGCTCTGTGGCCCAGGGGTGCTGGAACATGGTAAATAGTCTCAGCTCCTCGGGACTTTACTTGGTGAGTCTGTGGTCATTTTGTGTGTGTGTGTGTGTGTGTGTGTGTGTGTGTGTGAGACGGAGTCTCGCTCTGTGGCCCAGGGGTGCTGGAACATGGTAAATAGTCTCAGCTCCTCGGGACTTTACTTGGTGAGTCTATGGTCATTTTGTGTGTGTGTGTGTGTGTGTGTGTGTGTGTGTGTGTGTGTGTGTGTTTGAGACGGAGTCTCGCTCTGTGGCCCAGGGGTGCTGGAACATGGTAAATACTCTCAGCTACTCGGGACTTTACTTGGTGAGTCTGTGGTCATTTTGTGTGTGTGTGTGTGTGTGTGTGTGTGTGTGTGTGTGTGTGAGACGGAGTCTCGCTCTGTGGCCCAGGGGTGCTGGAACATGGTAAATACTCTCAGCTCCTCGGGACTTTACTTGGTGAGTCTGTGGTCATTTTGTGTGTGTGTGTGTGTGTGTGTGTGTGTGTGTGTGTGTGTGTGAGACGGAGTCTCGCTCTGTGGCCCAGGGGTGCTGGAACATGGTAAATAGTCTCAGCTCCTCGGGACTTTACTTGGTGAGTCTATGGTCATTTTGTGTGTGTGTGTGTGTGTGTGTGTTTGAGACGGAGTCTCGCTCTGTGGCCCAGGGGTGCTGGAACATGGTAAATACTCTCAGCTACTCGGGACTTTACTTGGTGAGTCTGTGGTCATTTTGTGTGTGTGTGTGTGTGTGTGTTTGAGACGGAGTCTCGCTCTGTGGCCCAGGGGTGCTGGAACATGGTAAATAGTCTCAGCTCCTCGGGACTTTACTTGGTGAGTCTATGGTCATTGTGTGTGTATGTGTGTGTGTGTGTGTGTGTGTGTGTGTGTGTGAGACGGAGTCTCGCTCTGTGGCCCAGGGGTGCTGGAACATGGTAAATACTCTCAGCTACTCGGGACTTTACTTGGTGAGTCTATGGTCATTTTGTGTGTGTGTGTGTGTGTGTGTTTGAGACGGAGTCTCGCTCTGTGGCCCAGGGGTGCTGGAACATGGTAAATAGTCTCAGCTCCTCGGGACTTTACTTGGTGAGTCTATGGTCATTGTGTGTGTGTGTGTGTGTGTGTGTGTGTGTGTGTGTGTGTGTTTGAGACGGAGTCTCGCTCTGTGGCCCAGGGGTGCTGGAACATGGTAAATAGTCTCAGCTACTCGGGAGGCGGAGGTGGGAGAATCAATTGAGTCTAGGGCGTGGAGGCTGCAGTGAGTCATGATTGTGCCACTGGACTCCAGCCTGTGGGTGAGACAGTGAGATCTCGTCTCTTACATACACACACAAACACACACGCTCAACAATTATCCACCAACCAAGCCCTATATACCTGATTTGAGCTATTTAGGAATCACAAACTCTGAATCACACACTTTACTTGGTGAGTCTATGGTCATTTTGTGTGTGTGTGTGTGTGTGTGTGTGTGTGTGTGTGTGTGTTTGAGACGGAGTCTCGCTCTGTGGCCCAGGGGTGCTGGAACATGGTAAATAGTCTCAGCTACTTGGGAGGCGGAGGTGGGAGAATCAATTGAGTCTAGGGGGTGGAGGCTGCAGTGAGTCATGATTGTGCCACTGGACTCCAGCCTGGGTGAGACAGTGAGTCCCGGTCTCTTACATACACACACAAACACACACACTCAACAATTATCCACCAACCAAGCCCTATATGCTTGATTTGAGCAATTTAGGAGTCAGAAACTCTGAATCACACACTTTACTTGGTGAGTCTATGGTGATTTGTGTGTGTGTGTGTGTGTGTGTGTGTGTGTGTGTGTGTGTGTGTGTGTGTTTGAGACGGAGTCTCGCTCTGTGGCCCAGGGGTGCTGGAACATGGTAAATAGTCTCAGCTACTCGGGAGGCGGAGGTGGGAGAATCAATTGAGTCTAGGGGGTGGAGGCTGCAGTGAGTCATGATTGTGCCACTGGACTCCAGCCTGGGTGAGACAGTGAGACCCGGTCTCTTACATACACACACAAACACACACACTCAACAATTATCCACCAACCAAGCCCTATATGCTTGATTTGAGCAATTTAGGAGTCAGAAACTCTGAATCACACACTTTACTTGGTGAGTCTATGGTGATTTGTGTGTGTGTGTGTGTGTGTGTGTGTGTGTGTGTTTGAGACAGAGTCTCTCTCTGCCACCCAGGCTGGAGTACAATGGCACGATCTTGGCTCACTGCAACCTCCACCTTCCGGGTTCAAGCAACTCTCCTGCCTCAGCCTCCTGAGTAGCTGGGATTACAGGTGCCCGCCACCACGCCTGGCTAATTTTTTTGTATTTTTAGTAGAGACGGGGTTTCACCATGTTGGACAGCCTGGTCTGGAACTTGTGAGCTCAGGTGATACACCCGCCTCAGCCTCCCAAACTGCTGGGATTACAGGCGTGAGCCACCATGACCGGCCGGAAGACTCTATTTTTATTTTTTTACTTTTTATTTTTATTTATTTATTTTTAAGATGGAGTCTTGCTCTGTTGCCCAGGCAGGAGTGCAGCGGCACGATCTCAGCTCCTTGCAAACTCCACCTCTGAGGTTCAAGTAATTCTCCTGCCTCAGCCTCCCGAGTACAGGTGCCTGCCACCACGCCCAGCTAATTTTTGTATTTTTAGTAGAGACTGGATTTCACCATATTGGCCAGGCTGGTCTCGAACTCCTGACCTCAGGTGATCTGCCTGCGTCGGCCTCCCAAAGTGTTGGGATTACAGGTGTGAGCCACTGTGCCTGGCCGAAAGAGTCTACTTTCAATTTTTTATTTTTATTTATTTATTTTTCAGACGGAGTCTTGCCCAGGCTGGAGTGCAGTGGTGCGATCTCAGCTCTCTGCAACCTCCACGTCCCGGGTTCAAGCGATTCTCCTGCCTCAGCTTCCCGAGTAGCTGGGACTACAGGCGCCCGCCACCACGCCTGGCTAATTTTTTGTATTTTTAGTAGAGACGGGGTTTCACACATGTTGGCCAGGCTGGTCTCGATCTCCTGACCTCAGGTGATCCACCCGCCTCGGCCTCCCAAAGTGCTGGGATGACAGGCGTGAGCCACCGTGCCCGGCCGGAAGATTCTGTTTTTAAATGTTCCTTCCTGACTTAAACTCGGGGACACTCCCACAGACTTTCCAAATGAAAAAAAGCAACGTAATAATAGTTATCAGCTGGCCATTTTCACAGGGGCCTCCTCTGCAGACCTGGCATCGGCTTTTGGCCTACAGTTGGGGGTCTCTGGGAGTATTCAAGATCCAGGAGCAAAGGAACCCTCAGGAGGGTGGATATCATTCCTGTTGATCCCTGAGACCTGTTTGCTTAGTTTGGAGACAGTTTCCGTGATGGCAAAAAGGCAGAAGATGACCAAAGGCAGAAGATGACCAAAGGCAGAAGATGGCAAAAAGGCAGAGATGCGTGCCAAGGCGGGGAGAAAGATGCCTCTCTGACTGACACGTGTCTGCAGCCGTGCTTTCTCTCAGCCGGCACAGCAGCTAATTAGCACCAATAATAGCTTGACTGACACGTTTTCCCCTCGGGCTCACTGGTGAGAGCCGTTTCTCTGGGGACTCAGAGAGCTTTATTTTAATGGACCTTAAAGTGGGAGCTGGTAAGTGTAAGGTAAATATGAAAGAGGGGATTAACTTAGCCCTTGGATGACAATCATCTCCTACTTACCCATGGTGTGTCTGCGAGCTCAGCTGATTTGTCACGGTGCTCGGCAAAGCTCAGCAAAGGAAATCGTCGAAAGTAGATGACCGTCCCTCATTTTAAGGACGCAGACGTGGATATCACCCCATCCAGGCGTGCCTTGGAGAAAGTGCAAATTGATGTGCAGAGACCATCCCTATAAAGCTCATGTCCCAATAAAGCGAGTCATACACAGTTTTACTTTCCTACTGCGTATACACCTTGCTTAGACTGTAGTCTGGTATGTGTGCAATACCGCTATGTTAAAAAAACAACGTACAGACATTAATTAAGAAACACAGCCCGGCATGGTGGCTCATGCCTGTAATCCCTCCACTTTGTGAGGTTGAGGAGGGTGGATCACCTGAGGTCGGGAGTTCGAGACCAGCCTGGCCAACATGGTGAAACCCCATCTCTACTAAAAATACAAAATTACCCGGGTGTGGTGGTGCATGCCTGTCATCCCAGCTACTCGGGAGGCTGAGGCAGGAGGCTCGCTTAAGCCCGGGAGGTAGAGGTTGCAGTGAGCCGAGATCGCGCTGCTGCACTCCAGTCTGGGTGATAGAGCAAGACTCTGTCTCAAACACAGCCAAAAATAAAAACAAACAGACAAACAAAAAAACAAAACAGCAACAACAAAAGGCCGGTACAGTGGCTGACGCCTGTAATCCCAGCACTTTGGGAGGCCGAGGCGGGTGGATCACCTGAGGTCAGGAGTTCGAGAGCAGCCTGGTCAACATGGTGAGACTCCGTCTGTACAAAAATTACAAAATTAGCCGGGCATGGTGGTGGGTGCCTGTAGTCCCAGCTACTCGGGAGGCTGAGGCAGGAGAATCGCTTGAACCCGGGAGGCGGAGGTTGCTGTGAGCCGAGATCGCACCAGTGCACTCCAGCCTTGGTAACAAGAGCGAATCTCTGTCTCAAAAAACCAAAAAAGAAAAAGAAGGCAAACCAAGCAGCAGGGAGACGATCACACTTTCAAAAACAAGCAGCCAGGGCAGGCTTCCTTTTCTGAGCTAGGCGGGCAGGCCATTCCTACACGGATGATGCTCGGGAATGAGACACAGGCCTTGGTCCCCGGAGCGGAGGTAACTGCAGAGTGTTCAGGGTGCTGAGACACATTCCTCCAAAGCTCCTCATGAAAACCTGGTCAGATTAGAGCCATACATTACACAAATGTGACGCAGAAATGCTGGTGGGTGCCACATCCTCTGCTGGATTTTATTAGCACCTCATCAGGTCTCAGGTCTGCAAGCAGATGCTTACGAGGCTCTGTGAAGCAGGAAAACCTCTGTCTCTCATTAGAAGTGAAAGCAATTTAATAGGTTGAAAGAGGCAGGGAACAGCACGGGCTCATATATCACCTACGCAGAAACGAAAGACAGTCGGGCAAGGAATGTTGATAGCATGAGGCTGACAAGGGGCGAAATGCTCTGTGCCAAAGAGATGGGGGTCACCAAAGCGCTTTCCGACAGCTTCAAAGGTGGTACCCGGGAGGGTTTGAAGTTTCCCTCCTTCATCCCGTAAATGCACATGTCATACGTCAGGCACTGTTTGGAGAGGACAAAACCAAGACCCCCGTCCTGGTGAAACGTACCCCTTCATCAGAGAGAGAAGGAACTCTGAAATAAACAAGAAAATTACATAGTGTGTGAGAAAACCGGTATGTTGATGGAAATGAGAAAAAGTATTCGGGGTCAAAGCCAGCGAGGCAGTGGACAGTTTGCCTCTTAAAAGGAGGGGGGTGGCTCAGGGAGAAGAAGTGAGTTTGTGGCTGACTACATCTTTCCGGAAAAACGTTCTAGAACATTCTATCTGGTGATATGGGGCCAGGCGCGGTGGCTCACGCCTGTCATCCCAGCACTTTGGGAGGCCGAGGTGGGCCTCCCAAAAATAATTTTTTGTATTTTTAGTAGAGACGAGGTTTCACCGTGTTAGCCAGGATGGTCTCGATCTCCCGACCTCGTGATCCGCCCGCCTCGGCCTCCCAAAGTGCTGGGATGACAGACGTGAGCCACCGCACCCGGCTTCAGATATGTCTTTATTAGCGGTGTGAGAATAGACTAACGCAACTGGAGAGAAGTTGCCAGAGGGGTAGGAGGAAGACAGAGAGGGTGTGGAACTCTAGAAGCCGAGTGAGTCAAGGAGAAAGGGGTGATAGCTGAGTCCACCATGCTAGTCGGTGCAGGAAAGGTGACCCAGTGGTGCACTTATCACTGGGGGTTAGTAGGGATCTTGGTGAGACCCAGGTGTGTGCAGTGAAGGAAGTGAGAGAAAAGGGGAGCATGAAGACGATGCTGGAGAAACTCAAGCGCCATCTAAACCCACGTCCTGCTATGCTAGGAAAAGGAGCAAAGAGATGGGGTGAAGGCTTGGGGGAATGTACTCGAAAAAATTGTTTTACCTGAAAAAAATGGCTGTGTGTCTCTCTGCAGATGGGAATGATCTAGTCTAGAGGCAAAAGCAAGGGAGAGAATGTGTTGGGTACTTATGTGTCCAGTTGACTGGGCCACGGGGTGCCCAGATGTGTGGTCAGACACGATTCAAGGTGTGTGGGAGGGTCTCTGGATGAGAGGAGCATTTGAATCCATGCACGGAGCAAAGTAGATTGCCTTTCCCAACGTGGGTGGGCCGTATCCAATCAGTGGAAGGACTGATTGGACAGAACGAAAGGCTTGGCCAGGCGCAGTGACTCACGCCTGCCATCCCAGCACTCTGGGACGCCAAGGTGGGTGGATCACGAGGTCAGCAGTTCAAGATCAGCCTGGCCAACATGGTGAAACCCCATGTCCACTGAAAATACAGAAATTAGCCAGGCGTGGTGGCGCATGCCTGTAATCCCATCTACTCGGGAGGCTGAGGCAGGAGAATCGCTTGAATGTGGGAGGTGAAGGCGGCAGTGGGCTGAGGTCGCAACACTGCACTCCAGCCTAGGCGACAAGAACGAAATTCCGTCTCAAAATAAATAAAATAAAATAAAATAAAATATGAAGTAGCAGCATATTCCAGGTTGGTAGAGGCTGAACTGCATGCTTTCAAAATTCTTATGTTGAAGCCCTAATCCTCAGGACTTCGGAATGTGAATGTACTCGGAGGCAGGGTCTTTAAAGAGGTGATTCAGGTAAAATGATCTCATTAGTGTATCCTTATAAAAAAGGGAGATGAGGGGCCAGGCGCGGTGGCTCACGCCTGTCATCCCAGCACTTTGGGAGGCCGAGGCGGGTGGATCACGAGGTCAGGAGATCGAGACCATCCTGGCTAACACAATGAAACCCCGTCTCTACTAAAAATACAAAAAAAATTAGCCGGGCGTGGTGGCGGGCGCCTGTGGTCCCAGCTACTCGGGAGGCTGAGGCAGGACAATGGCGTGAACCCGGGAGGCGGAGGTTGCAGTAAGCCGAGATCACACCACTGCACTCCAGCCTGGGCGACAGAGTGACACTCTGTCTCAAAAAAAAGAAAAGGGAGATGAGGACACAGACACACACAGAGGGACGACCCTGTGAGGGCACAGGGAGAAGACGGCGTCTCCAAGCCCAGGAGAGAGGCCTCAGGAGGAGCCAGCCCTGCCCACACCTGGATCTCAGACCTCCAGCCTCCAGGGCTGTGGGAGAATCAGTGTGTGTTGTTTACAAGCCACCCAGTCTATGGTATTCTGTGACAGCAGCCTGAAATGGACTAAGACACCTCATAAGAAAAGGAGATGAGGACACAGACACACACAGAGGGATGACCCTGTGAGGACACAGGGAGAAGACGGCATCTCCAAGCCCAGGAGAGAGTCCTCAGGAGGAACCAGCCCTGCCCACACCTGGATCTCAGACTTCCAGCCTCCAGGGCTGTGGGAGAATCAATGTCTGTTGTTTATAAGCCACCCGGTCTATGGTATTCTGTGACAGCAGCCTGAGATGGACTAAGACATCCCATAAGAAGAGGAGATGAGGACACAGACACACAGAGAGGGACGACCCTGTGAGGACACAGGGAGAAGACGGCGTCTCCAACCCCAGGAGAGAGGCCTCAGGAGGAACCAGCCCTGCCCCACACCTGGATCTCAGACTTCCAGCCTCTAAGACTGTGGGAGTCAATGGCTTTTATTTAAGCCACAAACATCAAACAAAAAACAAACAAAAACAACAAACAAACCAAAACAACAAACAAACAAAAACAACAAACTTTTCCTACCATCCGTTTAAAGTAAAAAATAAAACTGTGGGCTGATCTGATCTTTTCTTTTTTTCTTTTCTTTTCTTTTTTCCTTTCTTTCTTTCTTTTTTTTTTTTTTTTTTTTTTTTTGAGACAAGAGTTTTTGCTCTCATTGCCCAGGCTGGAGTGCAGTGGTGCGATCTCGGCTCACTGCAACTTCCGTCTCCCGGGTTCAAGTGATTCTCCCGCCTCAGCCTCCCGAGTAACTGGGATTACAGGTGCCCACCACCACGCCTGGCTAATTTTGTATTTTTAGTAGAGACGGGGTTTCACTATGTTGGCCAGGCTGGTCTCGAACTCCTGACCTCAGGTGATCCGCCCGCCTCGGCCTCCCAAAGTGCTGGGATTATATAGATGTGAGCCACCGTGCCCAGCCTTAACTACCAACTTTTAATCAAGTTTGGCAATTCTCTTTATTTGCAAACAGGGAGCAGAAAACAAAAGCAAAAACAAAAACAGAACAAAACAAAATAAAAAACAAACAATACGGTGCTTATCATGTTCTCTCTCGTTTAAGTTTATTTCGCAGCATGATTTAGAACGCAAGCAGAAGACATCCCAACATACGAATAATGAAGTGTGGCCTTATGAAAAATACGAAACTCATAAAAAGCCATCCGTCTGCCGCCGATCGTAAACCCAACTGCCAGGGAACAAGGGAGGGGTAGAAAAGGAAATTATCACTCATGGAAAAGCACCGTAGCTGTCTCCATTTTTCCCCGATTTCAGACGTGAAATCTGACTTCCTACATTGTTCCCTGAGATTTTCCAGCGAGGTTTTCCTAACTTGATATTTCACGGCGAGGGAAAACAGAGGGAAACCCAGGGTAGCTTTGTAAATGGGGATGATGGAAACTGGCTATAAGATGGAGAGAGGGTTGACCACAGGTGGGATGGAGAGGGTTCAGCGGTAGCATGGATATCGGCTTCCTACATGGGAGAGTCAGAGTTTCACGGTAACTGTTACCAAAGGTACACAGAAAAGTTAGAAGCTTGTGCCAGCCCTGGACATCGTCAAGTCAGGGGATAATGTTGACTGAAAGTGATATTAGGCCGGGCGCGGTGGCACACGCCTATAATCCCAGCACTTTGGGAGGCCAAGTCGGGTGGATCACCTGTGGTCAGGAGTTCGAGACCAGCCTGGCCAACACAGTGAAACCCCATCTCTACTAAAAATACAAAAATTAGCCAGGCATGGTGGTGCATGCCTGTAATGCCAGCTACTTGGGAGGCTGAGGCAGGAGAATCGCTTGAATCTGGCAGGCGGAGGTTGCAGTGAGCCGAGATCACACTATTGCACTCCAGCCTGGGTAAGGAAAGCAAAACCCTGTCTCAAAAAAAAAAAAAGAAAAAAAGAAAGTGATATTGGTGTTTTGTTTATTTTTTTTATTTTTGACAGAGTCTTGCTCTGTCACCAGGGCGTGGTGGCACGTGCCTGTAGTCCCAGCTACTCGGGAGGCTGAGGCAGGAGAATGGCGTGAACCCGGGAGGTGGAGCTTGCAGTGAGCCGAGATCGTGCCACTGCACTCCAGCCTGGGCGACAGTGCGAGACTCCGTCTCAAAATAGATAAAATAAATAAAAAATCATAAAAATAAATGACCCAGTCTCGGGTATGTCTTCACTAGCACCGTGAGAGTAGACGGATACAGACACATCTTGGCATAGAGAAGTTGGATGATCAACAGGGCTGGAGGGAGTAGCCACCAGCAGCAGCATTCAGGGTCAGTCACATCTCACAGTCATGGTGGGAGTTACGCCCGTGGGTCTGGGAAGTCCCCCTTGTCTCGGCCAGCGGGGCTGAGACTATTAGCTTGTCGGTGTGTGCACACTAGCCTACGTGCATACCATGCAGGTCACAGCTGGGGTTGCCTTCAAAAGGAATCGCATGTTCCAAGAATCTATGATGTCCTTGAGTGCTTCCAGGTAGAATGGACGTTGCGTGAAAATGCTGTGAATTTGTTCCTTTTTTCTTTTTTTGAGATGGAGTTTCACTCTTGTCGCCCAGGCTGGAGTGCAATATGGTGTGATCTCGGCTCACTGCCACCTCCGCCTCCCGGGTTCAAGCGATTCACCTGCCTCAGCCTCCCGAGTAGCTGGGATGACAGGCATGAGCCAACAGGTCCGGCTAATTTTTGTGTTTTCAGTAGAGACGGGGTTTCTCCATGTTGGCCAGGCTGGTCTCAAACTCCCGGCCTCAGGAGATCCATCTACCTCGGCCTCCCAAAGTGCTGGGATGACAGGCGTGAGCCACCGTGCCCGGGTCAAGTACCCACACAGGTGGAATTACATTCCCAGCCTCACCAGAGTGGGGAGGGGTGGTGAGGAAGTCCCCTGAAGCCAAATGCTACCCCGGAGGCATCGTCCTCTGGCACACGGCTCAGGTTTGAGATGGAGAAGTTCAGAGGATCAGCCTAGAGTTTGGGGGTTTTCTTACCTACTCAGAAGAGAAAACTGGATCATGAGGAAAAAAAGCTTAATTAAAAAAACAGTCTGGGCATAGTGGCTCACGCTTGTAATCCCAGCACTTCAGGAGGCCGAGGCAGGTGGATCACGAGGTCAGGAGTTCGAGACCGGCCTGGCCAACACGGTGAAACCCCGTCTCTACTAAAAATTCAAAAATTAGCCGGGCGTGCTGGCACGCGCCCGTAGTCCCAGCTACTCTGGAGGCTGAGACAGGAGAATTGCTTGAACCTGGGAGGCGGAGTGAGCCGAGATGATGCCACTGCACTCCAGCCTGGGTGACAGAGCGAGACTGTCTCAAAAAAACAAAAACAAAAACAAACAAAAAAACAAAGGGGTCCTCCTGTAGATGTTGTAACGAAGGACCACAAACTCGTGGCTTCAAATGACACAGGTGTTGTTATCTTACAGTTCTGGCAGAGTCAGAGTCCAAAATGAATCTTAACAGGGCTAAAATCAAAGTATCCCTTACAAGCTCTAGGGGAGAATTCATTTTCCCGGATTTTTTCCTAATTTCAAGAGGTTGCCTGCATTCCTTACCATGGTGTCCCATTTAGGAATGACACTGCAAATTTAGGAATAATTTTTTTTTTTTTCTTTGAGACAGAGTCTCTCGTCTCCCAGGCTGGAGTGCAGTGGTGCGATCTTGGCTCACTGCAACCTCCACCTCCCAGGTTCAAGCAATTCTCCTGCCTCAGTCTCCCGAGTAGCTGGGACTACAGGCATGCGCCACCACGCCCGGCTAGTTTTTGGGTTTTTAGTAGAGACGGGGTTTCACCATGTTGGCCAGGCTGGTCTCGAACTCCTGACCTCGAGATCGGTCCACCCCGGCCTCCCAAAGTGCTGGGATGACAGGCGTGAGCCACCGCGCCCGGCTTCTGCACTCTCTTCTGACGTTATTAGCAAAGATGTTATTTCCCAGCGTAAGTGCACAAAGGAGAAGACAGAAGGACAAAATCAAGGTCCAGCAAAGGCTTCAGACTTTCCCCAGCCTTTTCCAACTCTCCACAGACGGGGATACTCAACTGCATATGGTTCTACCCTGAAAAGACATGAAACAACCGTATCCACCTTCTAGAAACTGATTCAATTTATTCAGCAAAGGATTTCAATGACTAACAGTTAGATTTAAAAGCCATATCCCAGTTAATAACCAGGAGTATGAACGCGTAATTCCATATTTATGAAACACAAATAATTGTGGGTATTACCTTCAAAGGGAATCCCAGATTCCAAGACTGCACGGAGTCGATGAGTGTGCTTTCAGGTAAAAGACCACTTTCATGTAAAACTCTGTGGATTTTCAAAGCTCACGACCGGTTTCATTTTCACGTACACAAGCTTCAACAGACCCAAGTTAATGGAACTGCATGAAATAAATTACAGTAAGTTAAAGCCATTCACCAACGACTTTCACTGAATCTCATTGAAATTGTCCCCCCCAAAAAGGCAGAGGCAGGAGGAAAAAGTATTTCTCCTGTTGTATGAAAGAAGGAGGGTGAAATACTTTTGTTTTTTGAGACAGAGTCTCGCTCTCTCATCCAGGTTGGAATGCAGTGGTGCGATCTCGGCTCACTGCAACCTCTGCCTCCCGGGTTCAAGCGATTCTCCTCCCTCAGCCTCCCGAGTAGCTGGGATTACAGTCGCCCACCACCACGCCCGGCTAATTTGTGTATTTTTAGTAGAGATGGGGTTTCACTGTGTTGGCCAAGCTGGTCTCGAACTCCTGACCTCAGGTGATCCGCCCGCCTCGGCCTCCCAAAGTGCTGGGATGACAGGTGCGTGCCACCACGTTTGGCTAATATTTTGTATTTTTAGTAGAGACGGGGTTTCACCGTGTTAGCCAGGATGGTGTCGATCTCCTGGCCTGGTGATCCGCCCGCCTCGGCCTCCCAGAGTGCTGGGATTACAGACGTGAGCCACCGTGCCTGGCCTCTTATGATTTTTTAAATCAGAGTCACACACTGGAAAGATGTAGAGGTGTGTCTCCACGGCAGACCATGGGACACATAGTATTGAGAGACTCTAAATACAGAATCTTTTGGTAGAAGTGTAGAAGTCTCTCTCCACCAAGGGACTATCCCTGGAGAACCTCAAACATGGAATTCCAGGCACAAATTTGTCCTGACATCTCAGGACCATGCCTCTGAAGTCCATCCCATGAGAGACCACTGTTTTTTTTTTTATTTGTTTGTTTTTTGAGACAGGGTCTTGCTCTGCCGTCTAGGCTTGAGTGCAGTGGCATGATCTCAGCTCACTGCAACCTCCGCCTCTTGGATTCAAGCGATTCTCCCGCCTCAGCCTCCCGAGTAGCTGGGATTACAGGCAGCTGCCACCACACCTGGCCAATTTTTATGTTTTTAGTAGAGATTGGGTTTCACTGTCTTGGCCAGGGCTGGTCTTGAACTCCTGACTTCGTGATCCACCCGCCTCGGCCTCCCAAAGTGCTGGGATGACAGGCGTGAGCCACCGCGCCCGGCTGAGGGACCCCCGACATGCACAATCCTGGGTACAACCTCGTCCAAGTATCTCAGGCTGAGGCCCCGCAAGTACAACTTCAACATCACATTGGTTGAGTCCTATACCTCTGCCAGGTACATGCTATTAGCATTCCATATGCTCACATGAGAAAATGGAGCTGAAATGAGGCAACGGTTAGGAACTCACCCAAGACAACCGTTCGTGGACTTTGGAGGCCAACGAACCAAAACTGGGTGTTCTCATCAAGGGTCACCTACACCATCACTCAGTTATTTTGTCCCAGGCTGTGTCTTCACGTAAAGACCCCATTTTGTGGGCCGGACATAGTGGCTCACGCCTGTAATCCCAGCACTTTGGGAGTCCGAGGCAGGCGGGTCATTTGAGGTCAGGAGTTTGAAACCAACCTGGCTAACACGGTGAATCCCCGTCTCTACTAAAAAATACAAAAAAATTTAGCTGGGCGTGGTGGCGGGTGCCTGTAGTCTCAGCTACTCGGGAGGCTGGGGCAGGAGAATCGCTTGAACCCGGGAGGCGGAGGTTGCAGTGAGCCGAGATGGTGCCACTGCCCTCCAACCTCGGAGACAGAGCGAGACTCGTCTCAAAAAAATAAAAAGAAAAAAGAAAAATCCCATTTTGTCGTAATTTTGTAATTAAGATGCGAGACTTCCTACCAAGCCTCCTGAAAGCAGAAAATCACGTTTCTTGGAATGTCTGATATGCATTTTGCACCTTAAATTTTTGAGTTATATAAAAAGTCTAATTTGTAGATGACGACAAGCATTTATGGGGGACCTGGTCTCTGCCGGGTGTCATACCAGGGGCTGAAGGATGATCCGCTGGGGGGTCCCTACTGCTCAGCCTGGGTCCCTGTGTTTACCAGACTGACGGGTTCCCCATATCCTATACCAGGGGGTCCAGAAAGATGGATATTTGTGTGGTATGCATTATATGTGTGTGTTTGTGTCAGTGTGTGGTGTGTGTGTATCTATGGGTGTAGTGTCTGTGGTGTGTCTAGTACCTGTGTGAGTTATGCATAATTTGCATTAGTGAGCGTGTGGAATAAGTGTGTGCTGTGTGTGAGTGTGGTGTGTATACATGTCTGTGCAGTGTATGTGTGTATGGTGTGTAGTGGTGTGTATTTGTGTGTGGTATGATATGTGTGTTTGTGTGAGTGTGTGGTATGTGTGTAGTCATGTATGCATTATCTGTGACTTTGCATTAGTGTGTCTGGTGTGTATTCGTGTGCGGTGTGATACGTGTGTTTCTGTGTTTGTGTTAGTGTGTGGTATGTGTGTAGTTATGTGTGAGTTATGTGTGACTTCGCATTAGTGTGTGGTATATGTGTGGTGTGTGTGACTGTGGTGTGTATACTTGTGTGTGCAGTGTAAGTCTGGTGTGTACTGGTGTGTATTCGTGTGTGGTGTGATGTGTGTGTGTTAGTGTGTGGTATGTGTGTAGTTATGTATGTGTTATGTGTGACTTTGCATTAGTGAGTGTGTGGTATATATGTGTGTAGTGTGTGCTGTGTATACATGTGTGTGCAGTGTATGTCTGTATGGTGTGTACTGGTGTGTATTCGTGTGTGGTGTGATATGTGTGTTTGTGTGTTTGTGTTAGTGAGTGGTATGTGTGTGGTGTATGTGAGTGTGTGGTGTATATACACATGTGTGCAGTGTGTGTGCATGCTGTGTAATGGTGTGTATTCATGTGTGACTGCATTAACGAGTGTGTGGAATATTTGTGTGGTGTGTGCGAGTGCATGGTGTATATACATATGTGTGCATTGCATGTATGTTGTGCATCGGTGTGTATACATGTGTGTGCAATGTATGTGTGTATAGTGTGTATACATGTGTGGTGTGATGTGTGTGCTTGTGTGTTTGTGTCAGTGAGTGCGTGGTGTATGTGCAGTATCTGTATAAGTTACGTGTCACTTTGCATTAGTGAGTGTGTGGTATACGTGTGTGGTGTGTATATATATGTGTGCACTGCATGTGTGTATGGTGTGTATTGGTGTGTATTCGTGTGTGGTGTGATGTGTGTGTTTGTGTTAGCGACTGTGTGGTGTGTACCCCATTTCCACCCTTCCCCGGGAGTTGGGGAAGGCATTTGCAGCTGTCTTCCCACCTCTGGCTGAATCCTCCTCTCGTGTCATTTTCTTTCCAATGAAATGGTTCTTACAGACAACCTGTGGAGAAGGCGAAGGCATGGACCTGAGTGTGCAAACGTGGAGGAGGTATATGCTTACCCACACCTGTCCCTGTCCCTGCAGTGACATCTGCACCCACACCTGTCCCTGTCCCTGCAGTGACATCTGCACCTCCCCCTGTCCCTGTCCCTGCAGTGACATCTGCACCTCCACCTGTCCCTGTCCCTGCAGTGACATCTGCACCTCCCCCTGTCCCTGTCCCTGCAGTGACATCTGCACCTCCCCGTCCCTGTCCCTGCAGTGACATCTGCACCCACACCTGTCCCTGTCCCTGCAGTTACATCTGCACCTCCCCCTGTCCCTGTCCCTGCAGTGACATCTGCACCTCCACCTGTCCCTGTCCCTGCAGTGACATCTGCACCCACACCTGTCCCTGTCCCTGCAGTGACATCTGCACCTCCACCTGTCCCTGTCCCTGCAGTGACATCTGCACCTCCCCCTGTCCCTGTCCCTGCAGTGACATCTGCACCCCCACCTGTCCCTGTCCCTGCAGTGACATCTGCACCTCCATCTGTCCCTGTACCTGCAGTGACATCTGCACCCACACCTGTCCCTGTCCCTGCAGTGACATCTGCACCTCCCCCTGTCCCTGTACCTGCAGTGACATCTGCACCTCCCCCTGTCCCTGTCCCTGCAGTGACATCTGCACCTCCATCTGTCCCTGTACCTGCAGTGACATCTGCACCCACACCTGTCCCTGTCCCTGCAGTGACATCTGCACCTCCCCCTGTCCCTGTCCCTGCAGTGACATCTGCACCCCCACCTGTCCCTGTCCCTGCAGTGACATCTGCACCTCCATCTGTCCCTGTACCTGCAGTGACATCTGCACCCACACCTGTCCCTGTCCCTGCAGTGACATCTGCACCTCCCCCTGTCCCTGTACCTGCAGTGACATCTGCACCTCCCCCTGTCCCTGTCCCTGCAGTGACATCTGCACCTCCCCCTGTCCCTGTCCCTGCAGTGACATCTGCACCCACACCTGTCCCTGTCCCTGCAGTGACATCTGCACCTCCACCTGTCCCTGTCCCTGCAGTGACATCTGCACCTCCCCCTGTCCCTGTACCTGCAGTGACATCTGCACCTCCCCCTGTCCCTGTCCCTGCAGTGACATCTGCACCTCCATCTGTCCCTGTACCTGCAGTGACATCTGCACCTCCCCCTGTCCCTGTCCCTGCAGTGACATCTGCACCCACACCTGTCCCTGTCCCTGCAGTGACATCTGCACCCACACCTGTCCCTGTCCCTGCAGTGACATCTGCACCCACACCTGTCCCTGTCCCTGCAGTGACATCTGCACCCACACCTGTCCCTGTCCCTGCAGTGACATCTGCACCCACACCTGTCCCTGTCCCTGCAGTGACATCTGCACCTCCACCTGTCCCTGTCCCTGCAGTGACATCTGCACCTCCACCTGTCCCTGTCCCTGCAGTGACATCTGCACCTCCCCGTCCCTGTCCTTGCAGTGACATCTGCACCTCCACCTGTCCCTGTACCTGCAGTGACATCTGTACCTCCCCCTGTCCCTGTCCCTGCAGTGACATCTGCACCTCCGCCTCTCCCTGTCCCTGCAGTGACATCTGCACCTCCGCCTGCCTGTGGCTGTACTTTTACGTATGCCTATACCTGTATCGACACCTCCACCTTTATCTTTACCAGCACCTACATCTATACCTGTACCTGTACCTGTACCTGTACCTGTGTCTGCACTGGTATCTGTACCTGTATCTGTGCCTGAGCCTACACGTGAACCTGCACCTGTACCTGCAAATGCACCTGTATACCTGCACCTGTATTTGACCCTGAACCTGTACCTGCACCCAAAACTGTACCTGCACCTGAATATTCTCCCAAACCCAAGATCTTTAATCACATGTAGAAAGTCCCTTTTGCTGCCTAAAGTAACATGTACCTGTACCTGCACCTGTACCTTTACCTGCACCTCACCTATATCTGCACCTGCACCTCAATCTGTACCAGTACCTGCACTTTCACCTGCACGTGCACCTGTACCTGTTCCCACTCCCATCTAGAAGGCAGCAGAGCCTGACGCACCTGCACCCTCACATGTACCTGCAATTGACCTGAACCCTCACCTGTACCTGCCCTGCACCTGTACTCTATACCTGCGTCTGTACCTGAACTTACACCTGTACCTGTGTTTGTACCTGTGCCTGCACCTGCACCTGTACTCTATACCTGCTCCTGTACCTGTATTTGTATCTGTACCTGCACCTGCACCTGTTCCCACTGTCATCAAGAAGGTGGCCTTTTGATAGCAGAGCCTGATGATGTAAACAGAGGCATCTATAATATGTGTGTGTGTGTGTGTGTGTGCATGTGTGCCTGTTGCCTGGTAGCTTTCCTTACAGATAGACGAATGGAACCGTGTGCTTCTCACGCCCTCCCCAGTACCACCCTCTACTTTTAGCTCTGTGAAGTTCTATGCCTGTAGCCTATGCTGGAGACCACCACTCTAGATCTCAGCCTGAACTATCCTTTTAACCATAACAGCACATTAATAATGCGTCAATATTGGTTCATCAGTTGTGACGATTGTACCCTACAGATATAAGATGCTAAGAATAGGCCAGGCAGGTTGTGGGGTATATGAAGTCTCTCTGTATTATCTGGCAATGTTTCTGTAAGTTAAAAACTGTTATGAAATTAATTTTAATGTATTTTAATTGTTAGATCATAGGCATTATACCTGTATCTTATTTATATATACATTATATGTATATGTACATATACATTATTAATTTTAGTATAAATACATTATAAAATGTAGAGTGTATACGTACATATATGGTACTTTATATCCATGTATATATGTGTATGTACACAATGTCAGTATCTCTGTATACATAGATACTAAACATATATATTATATATACATGATAAACTGTAGCATATATGTATACTTTAGTATATATGTATATGGGTACATATACTAAAAATGTATTCAGTATGTTTCATATATAATTAGCATATATATACATATATACTAAACACATATGCACATATACTAAAGTTTATATATTCAGTTTGTTTAGTATATGGTTAGTATATATGTATACATATATACTCAACATATATGCACATATATGAAGATTTATAATGTATACAATTTATAGTGTATACAATTTATAGTATATACAATATGTACATATTATAATGTGTATATATACGTACATATATATCTATGCTTCTGTCTCTATCACCTGTATCTATCATATATCTATCCACCTATCATCTATCTGTCATCTCTCCATCTGGCTATCCACATCTATCTATGTATCTAATCATTTTTCATTTATTTATCAATCTATATCTACCATCTATCTATCGTTTATGTATCTATCTATCTCTGTTTGTGTATCTGTCTATCATCTATCTATCTATTATCTATGTATCTATCCATCTCTATCTATCCATCTATCTATTGATCACCTCTCTCTCTATCATCTATCTATATCTGTCTATCTAGATATCTATCTGTCTACCATCTATCTATCATCTATGTATCTCTATGTATCTATCTATCTATCATCTATCTATCGTCTATCTATAGCTATAATCTGTCTATCTATCTGTCTAACATCTTCCTCTCTGTCTCTGTCTATCATCTATCTATTGATTATCTCTCTCTGTCTCTATCATCTATCTATATCTACTTATCTATCTATCTATCTATCATCTATTGATTATATCTCTATCATCTATCTATCTATGTATTATCTGTCTATCTATCTATCATCTTCCTCTCTGTCTCTGTCTATCATCTATCTATTGATTATCTCTCTCTGTCTCTATCATCTATCTATATCTACTTATCTATCTATCTATCTAATTATCTATGTATCTATCTATCAATCTATCATCTATTGATTATATCTCTATCTATCATCTATGTATCTATGTATCATCTATCTATCTATCTATGCATTATCTATCTACCTATCATCATCTCCCTGTCTGTCTCTGTCTATCATCTATGTATCTATCTCTGTATCTATGTATCTATATGTCCATATATCTATCCATCGATCATGTCTCTCTCTGTCTCTGCCTATCATCTGTCTATCTACCTACCTGCCTATCTCCCTATCTATCCACTTCCCAAAGGTTTAAATAAATGTAACCACAACGAACTCATGATGAACGCAAAGTCAAAACAGCAGTTTCGGGTGTGTGTGTTCATCACGGTCGGTAAGCCGGTCTCTGGAGACCTTGGACAAGCCTCTCTTTCATGCTCTTTTCAACAAAAGCCTCTGTGTGTGCTGCCATCTCGAGAACTGGTGTTTTCCACAGCAGCCTGGTTTCCGCGTGGAATTATGTTAAGACAACCCAAGCCTTGTAGACGTTAGAGGGTGGGGGATCTTTGGAGTGGCTGGCATGTAGGATATTACTGACATTTTTATCACCTTTTAAAATGCGAAGACTCACATGTGATATGTAATTTGAGATCGGCACACGTGTGTGTGTGTGTGTGTGTGTGTTCTCTATTGGTTAACATTTTAAATAGATGGAGGTCATACATCGGAGAGAAAGAGGAGGTCCCAAAGTGTAAAGCTCTGTTTCAAACTGTGTCTGGCGTGTGCTGACCATGTGTGTGGAGGCTGGAAGGCCCCCCTGCGTTTGCAGCGAAGATGGGGTCCCCTTGGCTATTTGTTAAGTGCTGATATCACTTAAATTGATGCATCCCAGAAAACAAAACAAAAACAACAACAACAAAAAAAGCACCTCACCTTCCTCTGACTGTATTAGATTTCTTTCCTCTGTCCTTCTGCTCACTCCGGATTTCTAATTACACATGAACAAAAGGAAAGGAAATAACACCGTAACCCACTCCCCCCCAACCTCCAACCTAGAACATTAAATCGACTAAAGGTCATAAAAATGATCGAAATCAGAGCAGAGACTTTTCTTTCCACGGGCTCCTGCCGTTCAGGGCTAACCCCAAGTGGCTGAGAATGGAGTTTCCCACCCAGGTTGTAATCAGTGCTGCTGGATTTCACGGCTGGCATTCTGGTGCAACTTCCAGCAACTCAGCTGTTTCCCACCCAGGTTGGAATCCAGCAACTCAGCTGTTTCTCTTTCCCTATAGAGTCTGGGTGGCCTCCTGGGCGGAGGAGAGCGTCACAGCCCTGCTGTCCCCAAAATCATCCTCACTTCCCTTTTTTTTTTTTTTTTGAGACGGAGTCTTGCTCTGTTGGTTAGGCTGGAGAGCAGTGGCGTGATCTCAGCTCACCGCAACCCCCGCCTCTCGTGTTCAAGCCATTCTGCCGTCTCAGCCTCCCAAGTAGCTAGTGTTACAAGAACCCGCCACCCCACCTGGCTAATTTTTGTTTTTTTTAGTACAGACGGGGTTTCACTACGTTGGCCAGGCTGGTCTCGAACGCCTGACCTCAGGTGATCTGCCTGCATCGGACTCCCAAAGTGCTGGGATGACAGACGTGAGCCACCGCGCCCGGCCTCCTCACTTGCTTGTTTATAGTCTTTAAATTCCAGGGTGATTTTGGGGTGCCTGGCCCATCCTCGAAAAGACCCTGCTTGGTTCTGGAGGACAGCGTGGGTCCCCTTTTGTTTGTGTCTGCTACTGTGCCGGGCGCAGAGCTGCTCCCATCAAGCGTAAGCATCTTGACTGGTACAGAGACGTGTACACATGTGTGCACACGTGAAACGCCTCAGGTCCTCGAGGTTGCAGCCTCTTGGGAAGTTGACGGAACAGTTGGACAGTAGATTGGAGGAAGACAGGGAAGCAAAGGAAATCCAGAAGGCTGCCGGAGCCTCACTGTGGCTATGATGGGAGGGATGAACCAAGAGGAAGCTGGGCTCGATGCAGAGTCGGTCAAAGTTATTTATTTATTTATTTATCTATTGAGACAGAGTTCCACTCTTGTCACCCAGGCTGGAGTGCAATGGCATGATCTCGGCTCACCGCAACCTCCGCCTCCCGGGATCAAGTGATCTCCCCTGCCTCAGCCTCCCAAGTAGCTGGGACTACAGACATGCACCACCACGCCCGGCTAATTTTGTATTTTTAGTAGAGATGGGGTTTCTCCATATTGGTCAGGCTGGTCTCGAACTCCCAACCTCAGGTGATCCACCCGTCTCGGCCTCCCAAAGTGCTGGGATTACAGGTGTGAGCTACCACGCCTGGCCTGGTCAAATTTATTTAAACCTTTGGGAAGTGGATAGATAGGTAGACAGGCGGGCAGGTAGAGAGACAGATGATAGACAGAGACAGAGAGAGATGTGATCGATACATAGATGGATAGATAGATATAGAGACAGATAGAGATAGACAGATAGATAGATAGAGACAGGGAGATGATCGATAGATGGATAGATAGATACATATAGATAGATAGATAGATATAGATAGATATAGATAGATGATAGACAGAGACAGAGACATGATCAATAGATAGATGGATAGATAGATATAGACATAGATAGATAAACATATAGATACATAGACAAAGACAGGGAGATGATCGATAGATAAATGGATAGATAGATACATATAGATAGATAGATATAGATAGACCCAAGATAGACAGAGACAGAGACAAACATGATTGATAGATAGATGGATAAATAGATATAGAGAAAGAGATAGGTAGATAGAAAGATAGATATATAGATAGAGACAGATAGGGAGATGACTGATAGATAGATGGATATATACATATAGATAGATAGACAGGTGTAGATAGATAGATGATAGACAAGACAGAGATGACAGGTGGATAGCTAGATATAGATATAGATAGATAGATGATAGATAGATTAGATAGATAGATGATAGATGATAGATAGATAGATGATAGATAGATAGATACATACATAGATAGATACATAGATAGATACATAGATACATAGATGATAGATAGAAAATAAACAGGGCCATGTACAACCTCTTCCCAAACCCCTCATTTTTTTTTTTGAGACAGAGTCTCACTCTGTCTCCCAGGCTGGACTGCAGCGGTGCGATCTCGGCTCACCGCAACCTCCGCCTCCCGGGTTCAAGCGATTCTTCTGCCTCAGCCTCCCGAGTAGCTGGGACTACAGGTGCCGGCCACCACGCCCGGCTAATCTTTGTATTTTTAGTAGAGACGGGGTTTCGCTATGTTGGCCAGGATGGTCTGGAACTCCTGACCTCAAGTGATCCACCCACCTCGGCCTCCCAAAGTGCTGGGATGACAGGCGTGAGCCACCGTGCCCAGCTCATGAGTGTTGTTTAAGCTATAGGAAACTAAAATAGTATCCATTGCTTTGTTGATGAGAATTGGGAAGATGGGGTGAGGAGTTTGGTGTCTTGGGAACGTGGGGGATATGGACCACGCTTGAGCGATCTCTGAGCAACATGTTCTCCCTGCAGGCAGACCTTCCTTCTTCTGGGGTCCTTTATCCCAAGCCCTTTATAGACCTGCAACCAACTTGCCCGACACTTCACCTGTTTTATTCGCAGCAGGTCCTGAATGCAGCTGGAATTTCAGCATGACTCAGCTCCGAACGGAACTCGACTGAATTCTTTAAAATCCTGTTTTCCAAAGTCTGTAAGATACGGAGACTCTCGCTGGGCGCACTGGCTGGCACCTGTCATCCCAGCACTTTGGGAGGCCGAGGCGGGCAGATCACCTGCGGTCAGGAGTTTGAGACCAGCCTGGCCAACATGGTGAAACCCCGTCCCTGCTAAAAATACAAAAATTAGCCGGATGTGGTGGCACACACCTGTCATCCCAGGACTTTGGGAGGCCGAGGCGGGCGGATCACTTGAGTTCAGGAGTTTGAGACCAGCCTGGCCAACATGGTAAAACCCCGTCTCTGCTAAAAATACAAAAATTAGTCAGGTGTGGTTGCTGGAGCCTGTAATCCCAGCTACTCAGAAGGCTGAGGCAGGAGAATTGCTTGAATCCGGGAGGCAGAGGTTGCAGTGAGTCGAGACCACACCACTGCACTCCGGCCTGGGCAACAGAGTGAGACTCTGTCCCGCCAACAAAAATAAAAGCAAAAACCTGGAAATGAGTCAAATGAATTTTTTAAACAGCTAAATAAAATCTAGAAGCCTTCCCTGGATGACTCCGTAGCAGTTAAAATAAGTGGGGGTACATTTGTATTAACTGACCCAGGAATATTTTTAAGACATAATGTTGAGTAAGAAAAGCAGGTTGGCTGGCCACCGTGGCTCATGCCTGTAATCTCAACACTTCGGGAGGCTGAGGTAGGTAGATCATGAGGCCAGGAGTTCGAGACCAGCCTGACCAAAATGGTGAAACCCCGTCTCTGCTAAAAATACAAAAATGAGTCAGGTGTGGTGGCAGGTGCCTGTAATCCCAGCTATTCAGAAAGCTGAGGCAGGAGAGTTGCTTGAACCTGGGAGATGGAGGTTGCTGTGAGCTGAGATTGCACCACTGTCCTCCAGCCTGGGCAACAGAGCGAGACTCCGTCTCAAAAAAAAAAAAAAAAAAGATACAGAGATTCTGAAAGCAAGAAAGAGAAGCTATAGATTTTTCCAGTAGAGGGCATCCCTGGAACACAGATCCAGTTTCTGGCTGTCCAGAGCATGCTACTGCCGAGGCCGGCAGTTCCTGCAAGTCCAAATGCTCCCACTGTCTCTCAGTGAGGCTTTGAGACCTAGAGGACCACACTTCTTATACTGAAATTAAAAGAATAAGACTCTTCTCCCATATGCAAGGATCAAACGCCACCAGCTCATGAATTTCCTGCAGTTCTGAGAGGACATGTACAGAAACTGTAAAATGTCAAAACACACCAAAACCCGGTCAATGTCCCTGGTATAAGAGTGTAGATAAGAGAGACACTTTGAGGCTGAGGTGGGTGGATCACCTGAGGTCAGGAGTTCGAGACCAGCCTGGCCAACATGGTGAAACCCCGTCTCTACTAAAAATACAATAATTAGCTGGGTGTGGTGGTGGGCACCTGTAGTCCCAGCTACTCGGGAGGCTGAGGCAGGAGAATCGCTTGAACCTGGGATGTGGAGGTTGTAGTGAGCCGAGATCGCACCACTGCACGCCAGCCTGGGTGACAGAGTGAGACTCTGTGTGAAAAAAAAAAAATGAATTTATTGTTTCGAAACTTAATGTAGGTGGTCATATTATAACTCTTATTATGAACAAAACTTTTGCATCTCCAAAAGCAGCCCTATTGATTTATAATTTTTATCTTTCTTGTTCCTTTTCCTTGAAGGTAAAGACAAATCATTTCCATGTACCTCTCTCTCCTTCATCTTTCAACACCTCTTCTTACTGATCACCCAGCCCTCATCTTCCGAAGAAAACTATCTGCCAAGAAGTCTCTGTGGATAAATTTACCCTACGGGAAGAAATAAACAAAACAGTATTTATTTATTTTTTTAAACCAGGTTAGGAAAACGTCTTAGCATTCAGGAAATAAGGGGTGATAAGAGAATCAGGACCAAAGAAGAAAAAAAAAGAAAGGAAGGAAGGAAAGAAGGAAGGAAGGAAGAAGAAAGAAAGAAAAAAGAAAGAGAAAGAAGGAAAGAAGAAAAAGAGAAGAAAAAGAGAAAGACAAAAGAAAGATGAAAGGAAAAAGAAACAAAGAAGAAAGAAGAGAGAAAAGAAAGAAAAAAAACAAAGAAAAAAGAAAGAGAAAAGAAAGAATAAAGAAGAAAGAAAGGAAAGAAAGAAAAGAAAGGAAGGAAAGTCCCAGAGCCCACATGGGAACAATGCTGAGGGAAGTAATAAAAGCTAAGTTATAAAGCAGGAGGACTTTTATCAAGGCCTCCGACGAAATCTGAGAAGAAAATGTTATTAGGCAAAAATGAAAATGAAAAATCATACCAGATGCTCTCCTTCTCGCACGCGGAAGAAATAAATGCAAGATTGGACCCAGAAAAGAAAAAAAAAAATCACCAAGATGCTTAAAAAGAGGAGAGAGAGAGAGAGGAGGGAAAATGTTTATTTTTATTACCTAGTATCCAATTTAAGTATTAACAGGTATAGTTGACATCAGACCGTACAGTTTAAACCTCTTTCTTTTCTTTTTTCTTTTCTTTCTCTCTTTCTCTTTCTTTCCTTCTTTCTTTCTTTCTTTATTTCTTTTCTTTCTTTCTTTCATTCTTTTCTTTCTTTCTTTCTTTCTTTTCTTTCCTTCTTTCTTCTTCTTTCTTCATTCCTTCCCTCTCTCTCTCTTTCTTTCTTTCCTTTCTTTCTCTTCCTTCCTTCTCTCTCTCTCCCTCTCTTTCTTTCTTCTTTCTTCTCTTTCCTTCCTTCCTTCTCTCTTTCTTTCTTCTTCCTTCCTTCCTTCTCTCTCTCCCTCTCTTTCTTTCTTCTTTCTTTTTCTCTTTCCTTCCTTCCTTCCTTCTCTCTTTCTTTCTTCTTCCTTCCTTCCTTCCTTCTCTCTCTCTCTCTCTCTCTTTCTTTCTTTCTTTTTTGGAGTCACGCTCTGTCGCCCAGGCTGGAGTGCAGTGGCGTGATCTTGGCTCACTGCAACCTCTGCCTCCCGGGTTCAAGCAATTCTCCTGCCTCAGCCTCCTGAGTAGCTGGGATCACAGACACCCACCACCACGCCTGGCTGATTTTTATATTTTTAATAGAGACAGACAGGGTTTTACCATGTTGGCCAGGCTGGTCTCGAACTCCCGACCTCAAATGATTCACCTGCCTCGGCCTCCCAAAGTGCTGGGATGACAGGCGTGAGTCACCGCGCCCAGCCCATTACTGTTATTTCTAAGGCCATACACAACCTCACTTTTCTTCATCTATCATGCGAATTGAGTAATCTATTATTATTATTTGGAGAGAAAAACAAGTTTTCTATGTTCTGAAAGCCTCTCTAAGGCAGGGAAACTGTAAGTTAACCTGATTGCTATTTACATTAGTCAAAGACAAAGCACTGAGTGTCCTTTTAATTAGAACTCTGCCACCTTCCTTCCCAACTAGATCCACTGTGTCAGCATTTCGACTACAGAAACCTATTTTTAGGGGTTTATAACTCACCTGCTAAAATTCGCTTTAGGCTGAACCCAGGCATGAAATCTCAGCCTGGAAGCAAAAGACAAAATTTAAACACGAATCAAGGCGGGATAGGAAGATAAAATTTGTCCCTTAATCACAGTGCGTTTCAGTGCTTTTGCTTTTCTTTTATTTTTTCAGATGGAGTCTCGCTCTGTCACCCAGGCTGGAGTGCAGTGGTGCGATCTCGGCTCACTGCAACCTCCGGCTCCCGGGTTCAAGTGATTCTCCTGCCTCAGCCTCCCAAGTAGCTGGGATTACAGGCGCCCACCACCACACCTGGCTAATTTTTGTATTTTTAGTAGAGACGGGGTTTCACTATGGTGGCCAGGCTGGTCTTGAACTCCTAACCTCAAGGGATCCGCCCGCCTCGGCCTCCCAAAGTGCTGGGATGACAGGCGTGAGCCACCTTGCCTGGCTAATTTTTTGTATTTTTAGTAGAGACAGAGTTTTGCCATGTTGGCCAGGCTGGTCTCGAACTCCTGACCTCGGGTGAACTGCCCACGTCAGCCTCCCAAAGTGCTGAGATGACAGGCGTGTGCCACCTTGCCTGGCTAATTTTTCTTATTTTCAGTAGAGACAGGGTTTCTCCATGTTGGCCAGGCTGGTCTCGAACTCCTGACCTCAGGTGATCCACCTGCCTCGGCCTCCCAAAGTGCTGGGATGACAGGTGTGAGCCACCACGCCCGGCCCCAGTATCATATTTTTTTCTATTGCTTCACCCCAAGTCCTTCCTGACTGTTTACCCACAGAACGCCTTGGAGTGTTTCAGACAAATGATGTGGCCAAAGAGAGTTGTATGCCCGTCTTTCGAGAGCCTGCCCATCCATCGTGGTGGCACATCCGTTCATTTATTCACTGACTGCGAGACGTGGGAACGCGTCTGTCAGCAAACGCAGACCCGGTGCAAGCTCTGGTGAGCCCAAGAGTCACCTGGGGAAACCAGGAATCATCAGCACGAATAAACTCCAAGTTGTTCAGAGAGTTCTGCCTGTGAATGGGACAGTCTCGATAATTGGAAGGAAAAAAAATGGCATGTACCATGCTTAGGAAATGAAACGAAGCTGTGTGTATGGGTAAGATGAAATAGCAAAGAGAAATATATTGACTGAGGAACGTATAAAAAAAATGTGTGTAAATTCAGGCCAGGCACACCGTCCGTCGCACCTGTCATCCCAGCAATTTGGGAAGCCGAGGTGGGTGGATCACTTGAGGTCAGGAGTTTGAGACCATCCTGGCCAACATAGTGAAACCCCATCTCTACTAAAAATACAAAAATTAGCCGGGCATGGTGGTGTGCGCCTGTAATCCCAGCTACTCGGGAGGCTGAGGCAGGAGAATCGCTTGAACCCGGGAGGCGGAGGTTGCAGTGAGCTGAGATCGAGCCATTGCACTCCAGCCTGGGTGACAGAGTGAGACTCCATCTCAAAAAAAAGAAAAGTGTGTATTGGGAGGCCGAGGCGGGCGGATCATGAGGTGAGGAGATGGATACCATCCTGGCTAACACAGTGAAACCCCATCTCTACTAAAAAAATACAAAAAAACTAGCAGGGCGTGGTGGTGGACGCCTGTAATCCCAGCTACTCGGGAAGCTGAGGCAGGAGAATGGCGTGAACCTGGGAGGCGGCGCTTACAGTGAGCTGAGATTGTGCCCTTACACTCCAGCCTGGGTGACAGAGAGAGAGTCCATCTCAAAAAGAAAGAAAAAAGTGTGTAAATTCAAGAGACAAATGCGACATGGCCTCATGTTATTCTCTAATTTTTGTGCCACTGACGGGGTTGTAAAATATTTAATAAGCTGGTTAGAACTCACGCACCTCTGACCCACTCCTTATAATCAGGAAAGCTCTGGAAATCCTCTACTCTAATTATGAATCTTTTCCTCCTTACCAAAACCCCAGGTTCCTCTCTTCTTATCTTGCTTGTCTGCCAAGTGGCGGGTTAGAACCAGCGAGTCTCCAAGCAAAGCAAATTTATGCCCCGGATTTTAAACGACAAGAACGCCGACCGATGCGTCTTCCGCTGAAATTTCAGATATTTGAGTTTTACAAGAGACTCTCCAAATCTCCAAGCTCACGCTCCCTCTTCCTACTTTAGATTCTTGGCTGATGAAAGGTAGTATGTCTCTTCCGTTGCGTCTCTGTCAGGAGGGATGCCTCTGGGGAGGGGCCAGGACCCCACAGGAGAACTTTACAATTTAGTAGAAATGGGGTTTGAACATGTTGACCAGGCTGGTCTCAAACTCCTGACCTCAGGTGATCTGCCTGCCTTGGCCTCCTAAAGTCCTGGGATTACAGGCGCCCACCACCGTGCCCGGCTAACTTTTGTATTTTTAGTAGAAATGGGGTTTGAACATGTTGACTAGGCTGGTCTCGAACTCCTGACCTCGGGTGATCCGGCCGCCTCAGCCTCCCAAAGTGCTGGGATTACAGGAGTGAGCCACCACGCCCGGCTGATTTTTGTATTTTTAGTAGAGACGGGGTTTGAACATGATGACCAGGCTGGTCTCGAACTCCTGACCTCGGGTGATCTGCCTGCCTCAGCCTCCCAAAGTGCTGGGATTACAGGAGTGAGCCACCACGCCCGGCTGATTTTTGTATTTTTAGTAGAGACGGGGTTTCACCATGTTGGCCAGGCTGGTCTCAAACTCCTGACCTCAGGTGATCCGGCTGCCTCGGCCTCCCAAAGTCCTGGGATTACAGGTGTGAGCCACCACGCCCATCTTCTGGTGATGTTTTCTATTCCTTATTCTCACCACGCTGCAAATTCCCAGGGGCTAAACCAGCTACACTTGGGTCACACTCCTCATGTCACCCTTGGAGTCTGTTCAGGTGCTGTATTAATTCCCGGCAGTTACCAGAACAAACTGCCATAACTGCGTGTCTTAAAACACGAGAATTTTACCCTCTCCTTGCTCTGAAGACCAGAAGCCTCTGATCAAGGTGTTCCTTCTGAAGGCTCTAGGGGAGGGTCCTTCCTGCCTCTCCCAGCTCCTGGGGGCTCCAGGCATCCCTGGGCTTGTGGCCGCATCACTCCAGTCTCTGCCTCCGTCTCCATGTGGCCTTCTCCTCTGTGTCTCCTCTTCTGTCTCTTACAAGGGCACCTGTCATTAGATTTAGGGGACACCCTACTCCAGGATGATCTCACCTCAAGGTCCTTCACCTAATTACATCTGCAGAGAACCTATTTCCAAATCCGGTCTCATTCCAGGTCCTGGGCTTTAGGATGTGGACAGATCTTTCTGGGGGCCACTGTTCCATTCAGTATAATTATATTCAGTTCCTTCCAGGGTTCTAGGGGAGGGTCCTTCCTTCCTCTCTCAGCTCCTGGGGGCTCCAGGCATCCCTGGGCTTGTGGCCCCATCACTCCAGTCTCTGCCTCCGTCTCCACGTGGCTTTTCTGTGTGTCTGTGCCTCTACGTATCCACATTTTTTAAAAAAATTCTACAAAGGCAGCAGTCATTAGATCAGAGCCCATCCCAGTCCACTGCTGCCTCATCGTAACTCGTGATAGCTGCAGACACCGTATTTCCAGAGAAAGTTACATTCTGATGTAGTTGTGGGGTGGGGGGCGGGGAGGTCAGGACTTCTACAAATCTTTTTTGGGGGGATGCAATTTAATTTATAATACGAACAGGGTGAAGAGTATGTTGAGACTTTCTCTGGGCTGAACGGTCCTTCTTTTTATTTTTTTCTTTTTTGTTTTTCTGAGACAGAGTCTCGCTCCGTCACACAGGCTGGAGTGCGGTGGCGCGATCTCGGCTCACTGCAACCTCCGCCTCCCAGGTTCAAGCCATTCTCCTGCCTCAGCCTCCCGAGTAGCTGGGACCACAGGCGCCCGCCACCACTCCCGGCTCATTTTTTGTATTTTTAGTAGAGACGGGGTTTCACCGTGTTAGCCAGGATGGTCTCGATCTCCTGACCTCGTGATCCGCCCGCCTCGGCCTCCCAAAGTGCTGGGATGACAGGCGTGAGCCACTGCGCCCGGCTGGTCCTTCTAATTTCATTAAACACACAGTGCTGTTCCTTGCAGAAATCCATCTACCTGGAAACAGTGGCCAGTTCTTTTGTTTTTTGAGATAGGGTCTCACTCTGTCACTCAGGCTGGAGTGCGTTGGGGCTCATACAGCTCACTGCAGCCTTGACCTCCCTGGGCTCAGGTGATCCTCCCACCTTAGCCTCCCATGTAGCTGGGACTACGGCCTTGCACCACCACACAGAGCTAATTTTTTGTGTTTTCTTTTTGAGATGGAGTCTTGCACTGTCACCGAGGCTGGAGTGCAGTGGCGTGATCTCAGCTCACTGCAACCTCTGTCTCCCAGTTCAAGCAGTTCTCGTGCCTCAGCCTCCCGAGTAGCTGAGAGTACAGGCACCTGCCAACACGCCTGACTAGTTTTAGTATTTTTAGTAGAGACGGCGTTTCACCATGTTGGCCAGGCTGGTCTCAAACTCCTGACCTCAAGTGATCCACCTGCCTTGGCCTCCCAAAGTGGTGAAATTTACAGGCATGAGCCACCTCTCCCAGCCCCGTGTTTTTGTTTGTTTTTAACAGAGATGAGGTTTCGCTGTGTTGGTCAGGGTGGTCTACATCTCCTGGGCTCAAGCAATCCAGCCGCCTTCCTCTCCCAAAGTGTTGGGATTACAGGAGTGAGCTACTGCACCTGACCAGTGGCCAATGCTGGTTAGAAAATAGCATCATGGTGTCTTCTGATTGGAAGAAAAGGTGAAAGACAAATGATATACTACTAGACATATGGGTTGCAGGTAAAAAGGCAAGCTGGAGAAGTTAACGGGGGCCAGGCACAGTGGCTCCCGCCTGTAATCACAGCACTTTGGGAGGCCGAGGTGGGTGGATCACCTGAGGTCAGGAGTTCGAGACCTGCCTGATCAACATGGTGAAACCCCGTCTCTACTAAAAGTACAAAAATATAGCCAGGCTTGGTGGTGGGCACCTGTAATCCCAGCTACTCAGGAGGCTGAGGCGGGAGAATAGCTTGAACCTGGGAGGCAGAGCTTGCAGTGAGCGGAGATCACACCATTGCACTCCAGCCTGGGTGACAGACTGAGAGTCTGTCTCAAAAAAACACAAACAAACAAACAAACAAAAAAGTTCATGGGGCATGGAGCCATATTTCCCAGCAGACTTCCTCATGAAGGCACACCCATTGGATTTTCAGCAAACTGGATAAAAAAATGCCTCTAGACGGCCAGTTCGGAGGAGGTGCTTGTAGGAGGGGTCGCCTTATTTTTCCGAATCGGATGCTTCTGCCGATGTGAGCGCCCACTTTTGCAAAATCCATAGGATTTGCTTTTATCATCCAATGAATGTTATTTTTATTTCATTCAAGGCAGCCGATTCAACCCTGGATCCTGTATTTTTGATTCATGGCTACCCTAGAGATGGAGACGCTCATTCATTGTCAATGACCCAGCCTCATAGGTGCATACACTTGTAAATAACACTGAATTTTTACGAAACATGGAGGTCATGTTACAGACCGCCTGTGGATGTGAGGCCCGTTGAGTCAAATAACATTTCACATACCCTTTCAACGGTACAGCTCTTGCATAGTTCAAATGGCTTTTGGATTACATTTTTGATTTCTGAAAGATAATTCAAAGGCATCTTTTAAGTGTGCATGTTTGATCACAACCTCTGTATCCCGTTAAACACAGAAGTAAAAGCACATTTACATTTGCATGCGGTATTTTTATTTTTTTAAATCTAAGGTCATACCTGCAAACAGGAAGGAGCTTTTCTACCCAGAACTCAGAAGTCCCGTGTTCAATGCAAGGGGTTGTGTATCAGGGCCTTCTCTCACCCCAGGGGACGGAGTTCCTAGAAACAGCTTGTCAATGTCCAAGGACCCCCCCCCCCCACCGCTCTTGGCGCACACGGGGTCTTTCTCTTTCTGCTCCCCCTACAGACCACCCCATAGCCGCATTCTAATTCAAGCAACAAAACAAAGACCGCCGCCTGAGCCTCTCTGAAAAGGGCAGCTCTCTTCTTCCTTCTCTCTGAGCTTCCGGGAACCCCCCCCCACCCCAACAGGACCCCAGGAGAGAAGCTGCCGGGAGAAGGGCAAGCTGCAGGTTTGTGCACGAGAGCTGTGGTGTTCGGAGGTAACAGGTGCACTTGCCATCACCACACACCTCACGTTGCATGCATGGATTCTTGCTTTTAAATCATCCTCCTTAGAGAGACAAAAATAAAGCAATGGTGCATTCTTGGAGAAGGAGTTACTCATTTTCGTCTCTCCTCAATGAGCTGGGGGCGGGGTCTATTGGTTATTTGTCATTGCAGGACTTTTTTTTTTTCTTCTTCTTCTTCCCTCTCTCCCTCTCTCTCTCCCTTCATCCTCTTCTTTAATCGCAGTGTCTGCTTGTTGAGCTTCAAATTGCAATATCCTGAACAGATGTAAAAACACATGTGAACCTCTGCGCACAAGCTGTGTGCGCCTTTGTTTCATCTGCTGATGATATGAGCTAAAGGAGATCTTTTTAAAATTTCATCACTATTCAAAAGGATAATTAATACGTACCCGCAGGCTTTGATTATGCTGTGCACCGTGTATACCGCTGCTACAGAGATAATGAGGGCTCATCAGGCGGGATGAATATACACCAGCGATGCTCAGCCTCCATGACAAATTGAAGATGCAAGAGAGGTACCGTGTAGGTGGCTTAATCTCATTTTCATTTGTAACACAATACAATAGGTAAGATCATGTGTTTGTAACCAGCACAGACACTTTGTTTACACGGAACCCCAGTCACCGTTTGGCAGATGGTCTTTTGAAAGGCTTAATTGAAGTTTTCTAATCTCACCTCTTCTCTCTACTCTCTATTATGGCGGAAAAATGACACACACGCACACACACACACACTAGCATGCATGCACACAAACGCACACGTTGCACGCAAATACACTAGCATGCATATACACACGCACACACTAGCACGCATGCATTCAAACATACTCATGTATGCCCACACACTAGCATGCACACACACACCAGCATGCACGCACACACACGTGTGTTCACATACACTAGCATGCATACACACACTAGCATACATATATGTGTTCACATACGCTAGCATGCATGCACACAGACGCCTACATACACACATGCACACGCTAGCATGCATGCACACAAACACACACGCATATGCACACACACTAGCATGTACACACACTTTCATGGACGCACACACACGTGTGCACATACACTAGCAGGCATGCACACACTAGCATACATATACGTGTGTTCACATACGCTGGCATGCATACACACAGAGACGACTACATACACACACATACATACACTAGCATGCATGCACACATACATACACATGCACACACAGATGCGTACATACATGCGCACACACGCATGCACGTGCACTAGCACACATGTACACATGATACATACATACGTACATGCCCACATATGCATACATAAACACACACTAGCATGCATATACACAAACACACGTGCATATGCACACACAATAGCATGCATGCACACACAGAGACGCATACATATATGCACACAGATGCATACACACACACTAGCATGCACACACGTGTGCAATTACACTAGCATGCATGAACACACACTAGCTTGCATGCACAGACAGACGCATACATACACACAGAGATGCATGCATACACATCCACATACACTAGCATGTACGTATACACACAGACACAATGTATACACACACGCACACACACACCAGCAAGCATGCATGCATGCACACACACACACACAAACTAGCATGCATGCACACACACACCCAAATTGACATTGTTTGTCTGGATCCACAGAAAGCTCTCCAGGTCTCCCAGTGTCCTCCTATGCCACCATCACCCCCCTCGGTCCTGCCTCCTGGGGCAGGTCAACAGTTGCAGTGAGTGGGGATCACGGCACTCCACTTTAGCCTGGGTGACAGAGTGTGACTCAGTCTCAAAAACAAAACCAGAAACTTAGCTGTATGTGGTGGTGTGTGCCTGCAGTCCCAGTGACTCAGGAGAGGCTGAAACGGGAGGATCATTTCAGTTCAGCAGTTGGAGACCAGCCTGGACCACATAGCAAGATCCCGTCTCTACAAAAAATAAAAAATTAGCTGGGTGTGGTGATGCATGCACCTGTAGTCCCAGCTGCTCCGGAGGCTGAGGCAGGAGGATCCTTTTGAGCCCAGGGGGTTGAGGCTGCAGTGAGCTATGATGGGACTCCACTGCACTCCAGCCTGGGCAACATAGCAAGACCCCATCTCAAAAAATAAATGCATACATGGGAAACAAAGAGACTTTAGAAGGGAATATTTGGTGCTCCTGTTTCTTCCTTCCTTTCCTTTCCTTTCATTTCCTTCCTTCCCTTCCCTTCCTTCCCTTCCCTTCTTTCCCTTCCCTTCCTTCCCTTTCTTTCCGTCCATTTCTTTCCTTCCTCCTCCCTCCCTCCCTCCCTCCCTCCCTCCCTCCCTCCTTCCTTCCTTCCTTCCTTCCTTCCTTCTTTCTTTCTTGCCCCAGCTGGAGTGCAGCAGCGCGGTCTTGGCTCACTGCAACCTCCGCCTCCCAGGTTCAAGCCATTCTCCTCCCTCAGCCTCCTGAGTAGCTGGGAGTACAGGCATCAACCACCACACCCGGCTAATTTTTGTATTATTAGTACAGATGGGGTTTCACCATGTTGGTCAGGCTGCTCTCAAACTCCTGACATCAGGTGATCCCCTCGCCTCAGCCTCCCAAAGTGCTGGGATGACAGGCATGAGCCACCGCACCCGGCCCTGTTTTATTTCAAACATTTGGGCCAGTGTCATCTTTTCTGGGCTGTAAAACAAAAAGCTCAGCCACACTCTGTAAGCCTGGGTGCTCTTGCTTAGACCCTCAGTCCGTAATGTACCTACGAAGCATGCAAGGGCTCCTCGGAAGCTGGTGTCTTCACGGAATGAATCAAACGACAGGTTTTTCTGGAGCCTCTTTGGGGGCACGATTTGAAAACAGCTGGGCTGCCTGATTGCTTATGGTTTGTGTTTTTTTTGTTTTTTTGTTTTTTTCCCTAGGACTTGAGGCTGCCGCCACTGCCTTTCACAGCTTAACCACTTATGCAAATAGACCTTAACAGGATGCCTTCAGACATTGTTTTCAAAGCTTATGTTGACTCATTTATTCAATAGATTCAACCCTATTTATTCAACAAATTGTATAAGCAAAAGTTACTGATGCCTTAATTTGCACAAGCCCGAAGCTGCTATTTGCCTGGCGTTTCTTCAAGAGGGAAGACGGTGGTTTTGTGCTGCACACACTCTCAAACGGAGGGATTTCTTTCAAAACAAGTCACTTGGAATGCTGCTGAGCCGTAGCCCTTCCCCCTCCCTGGGCCCCAAACCAGCCGCCCACCGCTTTGTCCTGATGTTACTTTTTCTGGAAAGAGGTCCTAAGAAAACAGCTTCTCAAAGGTCATTCAACTTAAAAAAATGTCCTCATAGAATCATAGCATTTCACTGGCCAGGCTCAGTGGCTCACGCCTGTCATGCCAACACTTTGGGAGGCTGAGGTGGGCGGATCACCTGAGGTCAGGAGTTCGAGACCAGCCTGGCCAACATGGTGAAACCCCGTCTCTACTAAAAATACAAAAATTAGCTGGGCATGGTGGCAGGTGCCTGTAATCCCAGGTACTTGGGAGGCTGAGGCAGGAGAATCGCTTGAACCCGGGAGGTGGAGGTTGCAGTGAGCTGAGATTGTATCACTGTACTCCAGCCTGGGCAACAGGAGCCAAATTCCATCTCAAAAAAAAAAATGTCCTTCTCATAGAATCACAGCATTTGACTGGCCAGGCGTGGTGGCTCACACCCGTAATCCCAGCACTTTGAGAAGCTGAGGCAGGTGGATCACCTGAGGTCAGGAGTTCGAGACCAGCTTGGCCAATACGGTGAAACCCCGTCTCTACTAAAAATACAAAAATTAGTAGGGTGTGGTGGTGGACACCTGTAGTTTCAGCTACTCAGGAGGCTGAGGTAGGAGAATCACTTGAACCCGGGAGGTGGAGGTTGCAGTGAGCCAAGATCGCACCACTACACACCAGCCTGGGCAACACAGCGAGACCCTGTCTCAAACAAACAAACAAAAAAATGATAACAGCCCTTTCTCTAAGCAGAGCTCCTTCTTGCCTGGGGAGTAGATTGCCTCTGTAGGACTAACATTAGCCACAAGATTAGATGATGGTTTAGGAGTAATGTAGATGGAGGCTGCAAGATTCTGGCCCTCACTAAAGTGCTCCTAGGATTAGTGCTGGAGATATTGTGGAGACCCTGGATTTCACCATGTTGGCCAGGCTGGTCTCGAACACCTGCCCTCAGGAGATCCACCCCCCTCAGCCTCTCAAAGTGCTGGGATTACAGACACGTGCCACATGCCCGGCTAGTTTTTCTATTTTTAGTAGAGACGGGGTTTCACCATGTTGGCCAGGCTGGTCTTGAACTCCTGACCTCAAGGGATCCACCCGCCTCGGTCTCCCGAAGTGCTGGGAGGACAGGTGCGAGCCACCGCGCCTGGCTGGAAGGTGGCTATTTGTTTCGGTCCTACAGGTCCGTCTGGGAAGGGAATGGTTCTTTGCAGCTGACGGTAGCTCTTGGAGTGGAGTCGGGCTGTGTTGGCATCTGAATGAATGAATGAGTGAAGAAATGAATGGGAGCTCCCAGGCAGGTCCTGACCTCACAGGTGTTGCCTAACCGGATCCATCAACAGCTGTCTGCCACCAACTTCCAGATGTCCCTAATCTAATTATTATGCAAACCAATAATCCGAGACGTCACTGACACAAAAACCTACACAACCAAACGCACAGCTCCCTACACGTGGATGAGGTTCCGTCGGTGATACTGGAAACACACACAGGCACACACACACACACACATTTGCAGTCAGAGGTGGAGGAGTGAACAGCTGGAACACACACAGAGGCACACACAACCACACTCAGAGCTAGCTGCGAGCGTGGCTGACATCCCTCTCTCTCCCTCTCTCTCTCCCTCCCTCCCTCCCTCTCTGTCTCTCTTTCTCTCTTTCTCTCCTCTGTCTCCCTCTCTCTCTCCCTCTTTCTCTTTCTCCCTCCCTCTCTCTGTCTCTCTCCCCCTCCTTATCTCTCTCTGTGTGTCTCTTTCTGTCTCTATCTGTCTCTTTCTCTCTCTTTATCTGTCTTTGTCTGTTTCTCTCTTTGTCTCTCTTTCTCTGTCTCTCTCTTTCTTTGTCTCCATCTCTCTCCTTCTTTCTCCTCTGTCTCTCTTTCTCTCTTTCTTTGTCTCTATCTCTCTCCTTCTTTCTCCTCTGTCTCTCTCTCTCCTTCTCTCTCTCTCCTTCTCTCTCTTCTGTCTCTCTCTCTCTCTTTCTTTGTCTCTATCTCTCTCCTTCTTGTTCTCTCTCCTTCTCTCTCTTCTGTCTCTCTCTTTCTCTCTTTCTTTGTCTCTCTCTCCTTCTTGTTCTCTCTCTCTCCTCTCTCTCCTTCTCTCTCCTCTCTCTGTCTCCTTCTCTCTCTTCTGTCTCTCTCTTTCTGTCTTTGTCTCTATCTCTCTCCTTCTTGTTCTCTCTCTCTCCTCTCTCTCCTTCTCTCTTCCATCTCTCTCCTCTGTCTCTCTCTCCTTCTGTCTCCTCTGTCTCTCTCTCGCTCCTTCTCTCTCCCTGTCTCTCTCTCTCCTTCTGTCTCCTCTGTCTCTCTCTCTCCTTCTATCTCTCCTCTGTCTCTCTCTCCTCTCTCTCCCTGTCTCTCTCTCGCTCCTTCTCTCTCCCTGTCTCTCTCTCTCCTTCTGTCTCCTCTGTCTCTCTCTCTCCTTCTATCTCTCCTCTGTCTCTCTCTCCTCTCTCTTCTGTCTCTCTCTCTCTCCTTCCCTCTTTCTCTCTCTCCTTCCCTCTTTCTCTCTCTCCTTCTCTCTCCTCTTTCTCTCTCTCTCTCTCTTTCTCTCAACGTGGGATTTGAAGAGTTAGTGACCGTAACCCAAACAGCAGACAAGGTTTGTTTCCCAGGCCTAACCTCACAGATGGGCAGGTGCCCTTCTACAATCAACTATTGGTCTTTGAAAACGAAATCTGTGACACCCTTGAGCACCTGCCAATTCACCACCCGTTTCCTGAGCCCGAGAGCTTGGAACGTCCCGGCCACGTTACTGAGATGAGCTTTCTTATTCCAACCTCTGGGGCAGAGCAGCCGAGCCAGTTCTGTGTTCTTTTCCTTGTGGATATTTACCAGTGAAATTTTAGGAAAATTCAAACGGACGAGACACAGTGCTTCTACATGAGAGAGAGAGAACCGAGGTTCTGTTTGAGTGTTTTTGTGAGCAGGTTCTGGGGTCTCTCGTCAAGGCCCATTGTTCAGAGAGCCCTTCACGTTGGCCCAGATAAATCGATGTGGGCCAATCACCCCCCGGAGTGACTTTTGGAGTTTTACCAGACAACGTGGGTCGAGAATGCAGGGGAGTCTCACAAAAAAGTGAGGGGCACAGTGAACTTCTGCAGCTTTCTAAGAATTTGGTCCCAACATGTCATATTTTAAAATCATCAACATGTTTCCTGAAAGCATGCTTTCATTTTTTAATGTTTTTATTTTATTTTATTTTATTTGAGACAGAGTCTCCCTCTGTCGCCCAGGCTGGAGTGCGATGGCGCGATCTTGGCTCACCGCAACCTCCGCCTCCCGGGTTCAAGCGATTCTCCTGCCTCAGCCTCCTGAGTATCTGGGATTACAGGCACGCACCACCACGCCCGGATAATTTTTGTATTTTTAGTAGAGACGGGGTTTCGCCATGTTGGCCAGGCTGGTCTTGAACTCCTGACCTCAAGTGAGCCTCCCACCTTGGCCTCCCAAAGTGCTGGGATGACAGGCGTGAGCCACCGCGCCTGGTCTCTGAAAGCATTCTTTAAATCTCTATGTGCAGGAGAAGAATTTCCAGCCCCATTTTACGCTGTCCAATTTATGTATGTGTATATGCGTGGCATACATATATCTGTGTGTTTATCTATATATTTATACCTATTTATTTCTATGTATATAAAAGTATTGTGTATATATCCAGACCTATTATATCTGTGTCTACATATATCTATATGTAAGTATACTTCAGTGTTTTCTCTATATCTATACCTATGTCTACATATAGCTACACCTAACTTTACTTATTTATATTCATGTCTGTATCTATTCCTATATATGCCTATGAATATCTGTACTATGTGTATTATAGCTATAGGTACACGGATATCTGTATTTATATCTGTGTATAGCTATGTCTATGTCTGTGTCTATCTAAGTATATTCTATATTTATATCTGCATCCATACCTACAGATACATCTGTAGGTCTATGCTTAGCTATACCTATGTATATCAATATCTGTACCTATCTGTTCCTATACATATGTTTGTCTATGTGTATCTATATCAAAGTATACTCTATATACCTCTATCTATACCTGTATCTACCTATCTATGTATACAGATATCTTTTTTTGTTGTTGTTTTTTGGAGACAGAGTCTCGCTCTCTCATCCAGGCTGGAGTGCAGTGGCACGGTCTCAGCTCACTGCAACCTCTGCCTCCTGGGTTCAAGTAATTCTCCTGCCTCAGCCTCTAGAGGAACTGGGATTACAGGCACCCGCCAGCACGCTGGGCTGATTTTTGTATTTTTAGTAGAGACAGGGTTTCACCATGTTGGCCAGGCTGGTCTCAAACTCCTGACCTCAACTGATCCACCCTCCTTGGCCTCCCAAAGTGCTGGGATTACACGTGTGAGCCACCAGGCCTTGTCTTACGACCACGTTTTCTTTATTCACTTATATACTGATGGACACATAGGTTGATTCCATGTCTTGGCTATTGTGTATTTAACACTCCCACTAGAAGAACACGTTGAGCTACATACTTTTTATTTTATCTTTATTATTTTTTAACGTGGAGTCTCGCTGTGTCCTCCAGGCTGGAGTGCAGTGGCACCGTCTCAACTCACTGCAACCTCCGCCTCCCAGGTTCAAGCAATTCTCCTGCCTCAGCTTCCTGAGTAGCTGGAATTACAGGCGCCCGCCACCACATCTGGCTAATTTTGTATTTTTAGTAGAGACAGGGTTTTACCATGTTGGCCAGGCTGGTCTCGAACTGCTGACCTCAAGTGATCCCCCGGCATCGGCCTCCCAAAGTGCTGGGATGACAGGCGTGAGCCACCACGCCTGTCCTAATTCTTAAAAGTATGTTTGGAGGAATATTTTACCTTTCTTTTTACTTTTCTAATGAGGAAGCTTAGGCACAGAGCGATTTTATTTATTCTATTTTTTAAAGTTTGCCAGGTTCACACACAGGAAGAAATAGGAGAGTCACGATTTCATGCTGAGCCCAGCCTGGCCCTGTGTTTGTGGGCTGTGCAGACATAGCAGATACCGATGAGACCACAAGGGGAATTTGACACTAACACTCATGTTTATGTGAAATCGCACCTTGTAATTTAAGACAAAATTGGTGACAATGAGCAGAACACACTTAATTTCAAGCCAGACCTCAAGCCTTGAGGTTTTTTTCACCCTCAATTTTTCAGGCATTTCCATTATGTAAAGATAGAAAAATAAAAAGCTAATGGGTATAATCTGTGTATATGCTTAGTGGCTAAAGAGGTAATTTAGTTTCTATAAGGTGAAATGGGCTACTGTTATTTTTTAAAGCAAGTTTATGTGGACTCATGCAATTAGCTGGCTCAAGAACTTAATTGGAGAGATGTGTTTAATTATAACATTTAGTTCCTAATTCTGATATAAAAATATTTTCACAGCATGCATGTATAAAACCCACTTTCTCCACACCAGTTAAGTGCTCTCAGCTCCATGGGTCAGTGGTCACAGTCCTTAAATAACCCAGGCACAGTTCCGTGGGAGACATGCCTGTGAGTCCCTGTTTCAGCAGCAGCGAGAGCTGGTCCAGGTGAGCTTCAGACTATAGGCCATATGATACCCACACCTGACCCACATGAGCATCACAGACCGTGGGTGAGCTACATACACAGCAGGGGAGCATCACAGACCATGTGTCAGCTCCATCCACACCAGGGGAGCATCACAGACCAAAGATCAGCTACATCCACACCAAGTGAGCATCACAGACCATGGCCCTCCCCCATTCACACCAGGTGAGCATCACAGACCATAGATCAGCTCCATCCACACCAGTTGAGCATCACAGACCATGGATCAGCTCCATCCACACCAGTTGAGCATCACAGACTACAGATCAGCTCCATCCACACCAGGTGAGTATCACAGACCATAGATTAGCTCCATCCACACCAGGGGAGCATCAAAGACCATGGCCCTTCCCCATTCACACCAGATGAGTATCACAGACCATAGATCAGCTCCATCCACACCAGTTGAGCATCACAGACTACAGATCAGCTCCATCTATACCAGGTGAGCATTACAGACCATGGCCCTTCCCCATTCACACTAGGTGAGTATCACAGACCATAGATTAGCTCCACCCACACCAGGTGAGCATCACAGACCATGGATGACCTGCATCCTCACCAGGTGAGTATCACAGACCATAGATCAGCTCCACCCACACCAGATGAGTATCACAGACCATAGATCAGCCCCATCCACACCAGGTGAGCATCACAGAGCATAGGTCAGCTCCACCCACACCAGGTGAGCATCACAGACCATGGATTAGCTCCATGCACAGCAGGGGAGCATCACAGACCATGGCCCTTCCCCATTCACACTAGGTGAGTATCACAGACCATAGATTAGCTCCACCCACACCAGGTGAGCATCACAGACCATGGATGACCTGCATCCTCACCAGGTGAGCATCACAGACCATAGATCAGCCCCATCCACACCCGGGGAGCATCACAGACCATAGATCAGCTCCATCCACACCAGGGGAGTATCGCAGACCATAGATCAGCCCCATCCACACCAGGTGAGCATCACAGACCATGGATTAGCTCCATGCACAGCAGGGGAGCATCACAGACCATGGCCCTTCCCCATTCACACTAGGTGAGTATCACAGACCATAGATTAGCTCCACCCACACCAGGTGAGCCTCACAGACCATGGATGAGCTGCATCCACACCAGATGAGTATCACAGACCATAGATCAGCTCCATCCACAGCAAGTGAGTATCGCAGACCATAGATCAGCTCCATCCACACCAAGTGAGCATCACAGACCATAGATCAGCCCCATCCACACCCGGGGAGCATCACAGACCATAGATCAGCTCCATCCACACCAGGGGAGTATCGCAGACCATAGATCAGCTCCATCCACACCAGGTGAGCATCACAGACCATAGATCAGCTCCATGCACAGCAGGGGAGCATCACAGACCATGGCCCTTCCCCATTCACACTAGGTGACTATCACAGACCATAGATTAGCTCCATCCACCCCAGGTGAGCCTCACAGACCATGGATGAGCTGCATCCACACCAGGTGAGCATCACAGACCATAGATCAGCTCCATCCACACCAGGTGAGCATCACAGACCATAGATCAGCTCCATGCACAGCAGGGGAGCATCACAGACCATGGCCCTTCCCCATTCACACTAGGTGACTATCACAGACCATAGATTAGCTCCATCCACCCCAGGTGAGCCTCACAGACCATGGATGAGCTGCATCCACACCAGGGGAGCATCACAGACCATAGATCAGCTCCATCCACACCAGGGGAGCATCACAGACCATAGATCAGCTCCATCCACACCAGGTGAGGATCACAGACCATAGATCAGCTCCATCCACACCAGTTGAGCATCACAGACCACAAATCATACTTCAAATCTCATACCAAATTCACTTTCAAAGGAGATTAGCTGAGTTGCTTTATTTTACTCACACTTTTTCATTTCTGATCTTTTTAAAAAGTATATTTTTGGAAATTTTGGTTTCAATTGGTTTAGGATATCTTTTTATTATAACTGTGGTTTCAATTGCAGGGGTCAATTTTGCATTTGAATCAGATCCTCACGAGTGGTTGTTTCGTGCCCTTTGAGAGTCCCTGTTCATCTGGATCAAACTTCACATTTCTGATCACAGATTTGTCATTTTAAATGTAGTTACTTATAATACCTTGATATGATATTTATGCAACTTACCTCTCTTAAAACCTCATTGGAATAAAACTTAAAAGGAATAAAAAACCATACAGAAAAGCAACATTATGTGACATTTTCAAAGTTGTTTAAGTCCAGAAAACAATATCTGTTTGCATGTGATTAATTCCTGACAGTGGTATTTTAAAATATTGTGTGGAAATCACGTTCCTGTGTCTTTTTTTTTTTTTGAAGCATGTTTGTCAAACAAAGTAACACGTGGTGCTGATCACCATACCCAAAGCTGAGCACTGTTTCGAGCAGGAAAATCTCCCCACTCTCCTCCATCTCCTCTTCCTCCATCTCCTCCTCCTCCTCCTCTATCTCCTGCATCTCTTCCTCCTCCTCTTCCATCTCCTCCTCCATCTCCTCCATCTCTATCCCCTCTGTCTCCTCTTCCTCCTTCTGCTCTTCCTCCATCTCCTCCTCCTCTATCTCCTCCATCTCTACCTCCTTTGTCTCCTCCTCCTCCATCTCCTCCTGCTCTTCCTCTATCTCCTGCATCTCTTCCTCCTCCTCTTCCATCTCCTCCTCCTCCGCCACCATCTCTTCCATCTCTATCTCCTCTGTCTCCTCTTTCTCCATCTGCTCTTCCTCCAGCTCCTCCTCCTCCTCCTCTATCTCCTGCATCTCTTCCTCCTCCTCTTCCATCTACTCCACCTCCTCCATCTCCTCCTCCTCCCTCTCCTCCTTGTCCATCTCCATCTCCTCTGTCTGCTCTTCCTCCAGCTCCTCCTCCTCCATCTCCATCTCCTCCTCCCTCTCCATTTCCTCCATCTGCTCCTCCTCCATCTTCTCCTCCTCCTCTATCTCTACCATCTCCTCCTTCTCCTCTATCTCCTCCTCCATCTCCACCATCTCCTCCTTTGCCATCTCCTCCTTCTCCTCCATCTTCTCCTCCTCCTCCTCCATTTTCTCCTCCTCTCCATCTCCTCCTCCTCAATCTCCTCCTCCTCCATCTCGTCCTCCTCTTCCATCTCCTCCTTCTCCATCTCCTCCTCCTTTAACTTCTCCATCTCCTCCTCCTCTAACTTCTCCATCTCCATCTCCTCCTCCTCCATCTCCTCCTCCTCCTCTTCTTCCCCCAGCCTGGCTCCCTTCACCTACTCCTTCTCCTGCTGTGTCTTCCTCCCCACCTTCCTCCTGCCCTCTGCCCACACCCTCCCTGAACCCAGGCCAGGGCCACAGGCTACCAGGTGCCCATCCAGCCATGACCCTCTCCAGCCAGCCACCTTCTGTCCAGCTGATTCCAGCACACAGTGGTCTCAGAGCCACCCTTGAGGCTGGGCGGGGCTGAGGGCACCTGGGGAACCCCTGCTTTGGGGAGCAATGATGGCAGATGCCTGCTGACCGGCTCATTCCCACTCGGCGGCTGCCTGATCCTGGAGCAGGTCTCTAGGCTCATCATCTCCTCACACTCATTCCGGGCCTCTTAGCAGCTGTTGGCTTCCATCAGGGGAGAGAGATTGCTCCTTTTGTTTCTGTGGCACGTTATGGAATGCAGGCAGACACCTTGCAATTTCAAATGCCCAACAACCAATGCCACAGATGGATGAGGAAGCCGGCGTGGGGGCTGCTTGCTCCTGGAGCTTCCAAAGGGCACAGCCCATGTGGGTTTTTTTGGGGGTGGCTGCAGATTCCATGGGTGTGAGCCACCTGTCTCGATCCTGATTTTTCACTCCCCTTTGGATTTCTAACCATCTTGCATGAATGTTAAAGCGTCACTCCTCTCTGTCTTTCTGTTCTGCCTTTTTAAAGATCCTTTCTAATTTTTTTTTTTTTTAGACAGGGTCTTGCTCTGTCACCCGGACTGGAGTGCAATGGCACCATCATAGTTCACTGCAGCCTTCACCTCCTGGGCTCAAGCGATCCCCCACCTCAACCTCCTGAGTAGCTGGGACTATAACCATGCATCACCATACCTGGCTAATTTTTAAGTTTTTTTCAGAGACAGGGTCTTGCTATGTTGCATAGGCTGGTCTTGAACTCCTGGGCTCAAGCGATTCACCCACCTTGGCTGCCCAAGTAGCCCAGAGGGATTACAGGAACAGGTCATCATGCTCGGCTATTTTTTTTTTTAGAGATGGGGTCTTGCTATGTTGGCCAGGCAGGTCTTGAACTCCTGGCCTCAAGGAATCTTCTCACCTCCACTTCCCAAAGGGTTGAGATATCATAGTTCACTGCAGCCTCAACCTCCTGGGCTGAAGTGATCCCCCTACTTCAGCCTCCCGAGTAGCTGGGACTGCAACTATGCGTCACCATACCTGACTAATTTTTGAATTTTTTGCAGAGACAGGGTCTTACTATCTTGCCCAGGCTGGTCTTGAACTCCTGGCCTCACGCCATCATGCTTGGCTAATTTTTTGTAGAGATGGGGTCTTGTTATGTTACCCAGGCTGGTCTTGAACTCCTGGGCTCAAGTGAATCACCCACCTTGTCTGCCCAAGTAGCTGGGATTACAGGAACAGGTCATGATGCTCGGCTAATTTTTTTTGTAGAGATGGGGTCTTGCTATGTTGGCCAGGCAGGTCTTGAACTCCTGGCCTCAAGTAATCCTCTCACCTCCACTTCCCAAAGGGTTGAGATATCATAGCTCACTGCAGCCTCAACCTCCTGGGCTCAAGTGATCCCCCTACCTCGGCCTCCCGAGTAGCTGGGACTACAACCATGTGTCACCATACCTGGCTAATTTTTAAATTAGCCGAGATCATGCCACTGCACTCCAGCCTGGGTAACAGAGCCAGACTCTGTCTCAAAAAAAAAAAAAATACAGAAATTAGCCAGGCGTGGTGGCACGTGCTTGTAGTCCCAGCTACTCGGGAGGCTGAGGCAGGAGAATCGCTTGAACCTGGGAGGTGGAGGCTATAGTGAGCCGAGATCGCGTCACTGAACTCCAGCCTGGGTGACAGAGTGAGACTCCATCTCAATTAAAAAAAGAAGAAGAAGAAGTAGAAGAAAAAGGAGGACTTGCAGAAGCCACCCCAGGACTGTGTGCTCCTCCCAGGACCCAGGATTCTGCATATGAGATTTTCACTTCCAGTGTCACCTCAGAGTCCAAAACAGCTGCTGGGGCTCCAGCCCTCACACCCACTTTTCCACCAGCAAGAAGCAGAAATGGCTGAAGAATGTCAAGCTTCCCCTATGTCCATTCCAGCATCACCTCACAGTCCAAGGTGGCTGCTGAGACTCCAGCCCTCTCACCCACCTTTCCTCCAGCAAGAAGCAGGAATGGCTGAAGAATGGCAAGCTCTCTGATGTGTTCATTCCAGCATCACCTCAGAGTCCAAAACAGCTGCTATGGCTCCAGCCCTCACACCCACCTTTCCCCCAAAGAGAAGCAGAAATGGGTGAAGAATGGCAAACTTCCCCATATATTCATTCCAGCATCACCTCAGAGTCCAAGGTGGCTGCTGAGACTCCAGCCCTCACACCTACCTTTCCCCCAGCAAGAAGCAGAAATGGGTGAAGAATGGCAAGCTTCCCCTATGTCAATTCCAGCACTGCCTCAGAGTCCAACGTGGATGCTGGGGCTCCTGCCCTCACACCCACCTTTCTCCCAGCAAGAAGCAGAAATGGGTGCAGAATGTCAAGCTTCCCCTATGTCTATTCCAGCAACACCTCAGAGTCAGAAACAGCTGCTGGGGCTCCAGCCATCACACCCACGTTTCCCCCTCCTGGGTTCAAGTGATTCTCCCACCTCAGCCTCCCAAGTAGCTGAAACTACAGGTGACTGCCACCATGCATAGCTAAGTTTTGTATTTTTATTAGAGACGGGGTTTCACCATGTTGGCCAGGCTGGTCTTTAACTCCTGACCTCAGATGATCCACCCGCCTCGGCCTCCCAAAGTGCTGGGATTACAGGCATGAGCCACTGTGCCCTACATTATACATTTTAATTTTATTTTCAATTTAGTTGCATTTAATTTCACTTTAATTGGAATGCTTTTGAATTTTAAATTAAATTTTAGATTTTACCACATGCCTGTGTTCCAATAAGTTTAACTGGAAACTTAATTTAAAATAAGTTTTGTTGGGCCAGGCGTGGTGGCTCACGTTTGTAATCCCAGCACTCTGGGAGGCCAAGGCAGGTGGATCACGTTAGGTCAGGCGTTTGAGACCAGCCTGGCCAACATGGTGAAACCCTGTCTCTACTAAAATACAAAAATGAGCTAGGTGTGGTGGCAGGCACGTGTAGTCCCAGCTACTCGGGAGGCTGAGGCAGGAGAATCGCTTGAACCCAGGAGCGGAGGTTGCAGTGAGCCGAGATTGCGCCACTGTACTCCAGCCTAGGCGACAGAGTGGGACTCTGTCTCAAAAAATAAACAAATAAAATAAAAATTAAATAAGTTTTGTTGGGCCAGGCGTGGTGGCTCACGGTCGTAATTCCAGCACTCTGGGAGGCCAAGACAGGTGGATCACGTTAGGTCAGGCGTTTGAGACCAGCCTGGCCAACACGGTGAAACCCTGTCTCTACTAAAGTTGTGGGATTCCAGGCGTGAGCCACCGCTGCCTGCCGATAAACTTTTACGTCAACTGACTGCACTGAAGCCGTCACCCCCAGAGTTTGGAAAGTTAGTCTGAAAGTTCGGTCTCATTACCTTACAAAGCAGAAGAAGTCACCTGTCTAAATCAATCTCTGACAATCGCAGGCCATCGGCCCTGTTACCATTTATATCAGCACCGGCCAGGAACTTCACAGGTGGGCCACGTGTGACACTCGGATTCGGCGTGGAGTGACAAAGAAAGCCAGGAAGGCCTCCCCCGGCCATCTGAAGTCTCTCTAGGATTTGACGTCTGGGTGGCAGTGGCGAGTGGAGTTGGGGGGCGATGGCTGTGATGAAGGATGTTGAAGGGGAACTTTCACCTTCTCTGCAGAAATAATGGGAGGTCATTAAAATGGAATAGAAGGATCCGATAATATACCTGAAACCTCATGGCCACCTTACTCTGCAAAGGGGACACGGTTGATTACATATTTGTGCTGGTGAGACATGAACACACTCTTTGGGAGGCCGAGGCGGGCGGATCACCTGAGGTCAGGAGTTCGCGACCAGCCTGGCCAACATGGTGAAACCCCGTCTCTACTAAAAATACAAAAATTAGCCGGGCGTGGTGGCGGGTGCCTGTAGTCCCAGCTGCTCGGGAGGCTGAGGCAGGGGAATCGGACCCAATGGGGAAATAGGAAAGAAAAAAAAAAAAAAGCCAGGCACGGTGGCTCACACCTGTCATCCCAGCACTTTGAGAGGCCAAGATGAGCAGATCACCTGAGGTCAGGAGTTCGAGAGCAACCTGGACAACGTGGTGAAATCCTGTCTCTACTAAAAATACAAAAAATCAATAAATAATAAATAAATAAATAACCGAGCGTGGTGGCGCATGTCTGTAATCCGAGCTACTCGGGAGGCTGAGGTAGGAGCATCGCTTGAACCCAGGAGGCGGAGGTTGCAGTGAGCCGAGATGGCACCACCGCACTCCAGCCTGGGCAACAAGAGTGAAACTCCGTCTCAGAAAAACAAAAACAACCAACCAACCAGGGAACTTGAGAGAAGACACAGTGATTCTCTCTAAATATTCGTACCCTTTAATGCAACTCTCTTTTGGGAGAACTCTCTGCAGACTTTCAGAAAAACATCACAAATCTGCTCGCACACACACAGACACACACTCTCTCCCAGCGCCGCCCCCATCATCCTCAGCCAGCACGTCTATTTAGTCAGCCTCTGCAACACCACGCTGCTGTAACGCCAGACCCAAAGTGTGTTCATGAATGGTGTCAACGTGCTTAATTTATTACTGTAATTATTGTGATAATTTAGAAGAGATAAATTGAAATCTATTAGAATTTAATGTAAAAAGCTGTAATTAGTTTGCCTGAGAGAGGAGGAAAGAGACATTCCGCATCACGGAAAACCCATTAAGCCAATTACGATGTGAGCATGGCAGAGAGTACCCAGCCCCGTGAAATACACCCGTGGCTTTTGCCTGGTTGTACCCTGAGCGCACAGATTCATCTGTCTCATCCCTCATTAATTTAATAAACACATCGAGGCAAAAAGATGGGAGAATTCCTTAATCACCATAATGAACACATCTGTTCAGCTTTGGGTGTTGGGGATGGATTCTGGGAGGAGGGAGCTGGGAAGAGAGGGGAGAAAATGCATTACTTTCAAGCAATTAGCATGCAAACGATAAAACAGCAGAAAGTGTGTTTGTACACGTGCTGTATTTACACACAGCAGAAAAACAAACAAACAACAAAAAACAACTTTGCTGTATGCATGCATGCGTGTGTGTGTGTGTGTGACAGTATGTGTGTGTGTGCATGGACACACCTGTGCCCAGGGCTGTAACGTGAAATGGGAGGAGAGTGCATGGCTAATAAGACCACCAAATGCTTCGCCAGCAAATCCCCAGAAGGGCAAAAATAAAACCTGCTCAGGTGCAATTAAAAAATAGATATTTAAAGAAGGCAGTAACCGCTACCCCCTATTTACTGTCAAATTAATTCAGTCTGTCTGCAGAAGCCATCTGTATCAGCGTCACGAGACGGTGTCAGCGGCTCTCGCAGCCGTCAGGAGAAGAGAGCCCGCTCTTTTGTTTGATGGCTGTGATCGTGTGTACAAACTAACCAACTGCAACAGATATATCATAGATTTTCTCATAATTACCTGACCTGTTACACTGTGTCTGTCTTCCGCCAAACACACTGTTTTTATGTCAGAAGCTGTATGGGCATTTTTGGCTTTGATCATTCTGTATTCTGCAAATGTCAGCCTTACTGTATTTTAATTGACTCTGGGGCAGGATTGGAAAAAAAAAAAAAAAAAAAGCAACGTCTGCTAGACTCGCTCTTGCCTGATGAGGCTGACAAGCTGCCATTTGCAGACACAGGGTCTGGTATGGAGCCCTGACAGGGAGGCCCAGGCACCCCCCTCCGCGTCTCGGAGGGGTGTAACAAAATGATGTCAGGGAACGGGTTCAGGTAGCAGCTCTCTGCGGAGCCCACCTCTCCCTGCTCCCCGCCACCCTACACGTCAACCCGCCAGCCGGCTGCTGTCTGCCTTGCACCCCTGGGTCGTGTCAGGGTGAAGGTGCAGAGTCCCAGATCAAAGACAACATCGGTGCCTGAAGACGGGGTCACTGGTCCCCAGGCAGTGAGGACCAAGACGGGGTCCCCCCAGTCAGTGGGGACCAACCGCACACAGGTTGGTGGATTGAGATGGAAGCCCTTATCTTCCCTTACTGCAGTATTTGTGGCTTGAGATGGAAGCCCTTATTTTCCTTTGCTGGAGTATTTTTTTTTTTTCTTTTAATTAAGAAACAATTCTCCTGGTTGAAAATGTGGGCTGAGAAGCCGTGGCAAAGATTTCCGCTCAGAGGTCAATTTATTTTGTCTTGAGTTTTCAGAGACAGAAAATCTCTCCTTTTCTATCTGGCAGCACAGCAGTGTCATGATGTCACCGAACGCTTCCTGCCTCGTTAACCCAGCCTGGCTGGGGAAAAGCTGTCTTCATCACACAGTCCCTGAGAGACAAACCCTCCCGCTCCACTCCCCCCACCTCGCTGTGTCGAACGGATGTCTCCTGCTCAGAATCACTGTGTGATTATCTGTGTTGAGCCCACTGCTTTCTCAGAAAACCGAAATGAAGAAAAGAACTCACCGAGAGGAGAACGGAAATGTTACAGCAACTGTTTATTTCGAACGGTGAGGAAGGATGTTGTCATTCTGGAAATAATCTACTTTTTTTTTTTTTTTTTTTTTAAGACGGAGTCTCACTCTGTTCCCAGGCTGGAGTGCAATGGTGCCATCTCGACTCGCTGCAACCTCCACCTCCTGGGTTCAAGCGATTCTCCTGCCTCAGCCTCCCGAGTAGCTGGGATTACAGGCACCCGTCACCATGCCCGGCTAATTTTTGCATTTTTAGTAGAGATGGGATTTCACCATGTTGCCCAGGCTGGTCTCAAACTCCTGACCTCAGGTGATCCACCTGCCTCAGCCTCCCAAAGTGCTGGGATTACAGACGTGAGCCACCGTGCCTGGCTAATTTTTGTATTTTTAGTAGAGATGGGGTTGCGCCATGTTGGCCAGGCTGGTCTTGAACTCCTGACCTCGTGATCTGCCCACCTCGGCCTCCCAAAGTGCTGGGATTACAGACGTGAGCCACCGCGCCTGGCTAATTTTTGTATTTTTAGTAGAGACGGGGTTTCACCATCTTGGCCAGGCTGGTCTCAAACTCCTGACCTCAGGTGATCCACCTGCCTCAGCCTCCCAAAGTGCTGGGATGACAGGCATGAGCCACCATGCCCGGCTAATTTTTGCATTTTTAGTAGAGACGGGGTTTCACCATGTTGCCCAGGCTGGTCTCAAACTCCTGACCTCAAGTGATCCACCTGCCTCAGCCTCCCAAAGTGCTGGGATGACAGGTGTGAGCCACCACACCCGGCTAATTTTTGTATTTTTAGTAGAGACAGGGTTTCACCATCTTGGCCAGGATGGTCTCGATCTCCTGACCTGGTGATCCACCCTCCTCCGCCTCCCAAAGTGCTGGGATGACAGGCGATGATCTACTTTTTAGGTGGCAAATACCCATTGGCCTGACGGATGACTGTGAAGAAATGAACGAATGGATCTGAATCTACGAACAGGTGCCGAAGGAAATGATAAAGCTGAATTACTTACTTGAATCATATGCTTCCTTGGTATTGCGTAGAATGTGAGCAGCATCTACAAACTATTATCTAGACTTCCCCAGAGATGGGAAATTGGTGAAGAATGATGACTTGGAGAAGGAAGGGTGCTGGTCCAACTTTCATGCTAAGCACCAACCTGGGTAGAAGGCTGGTTGACTCTGCTGCTGCAAACTGAGTGTATTAGTCGGCTGGGGCTGCCATCACACAATACCATCCACTAGGCCAGGTCCAGTAGCTCACACCTGTAATCCCAGCACTTCGGGAAGCCGAGGCGAGGCGGGTGGATCGCCTGAGGTCAGGAGTTCGAGACCAGCCTGACCAATATGGAGAAACCCCATCTCTACTAAAAATACAAAATTAGCTGGGCATGGTGGCGCATGCCTGTCATCCCAGCTACTCGTGGGGCTGAGGCAGGAGAATCACTTGAACCCAGGAGGCGGAGGTTGCCATGAAGCGAGATCGCGCCACTGCATGCCAGCCTGGGCGACAGAGTGAAACTCTGTCTCAAAAACAAAAACAAACATACAAACAAAAAAACATCCACTATGGGGCACAAACACTACACATTTATTTCTCATAGTTTTGGACACTGGAAGTCCTGCAGTTTGCATGCCACCAGATTCAGTTACTGGTGAGGATTCTCTTCTTGGTGGATAGACAGTATCTTCTCCCTGTGTCCTCGTATGGCAGATAGAGAGAGAGAGAGAGAGAGCTCTGGTGTCTCTTCTACTTCCCGTAAGAACGCTAATCCCAGCTGAGCACGGTGGCTCATGCCTGTAATCCCAGCACTTCGGGAGGCCGAGGTGGGCGGATCCCCGAGGTCAGCAGTTGGAGACCAGCCTGACCAATGTGGTGAAACCCTGTCTTTACTAAAAATACAAAAAATTAGCCGGGCGCGGTGGTGGGTGCCTGTAATCCCCACTACTCAGGAGGCTGAGTCTGGAAAATGGTGTGAACCCAGGAGGTGGAGGTTGCAATGAGCTGAGATCCCGCCACTGCACCCCAGCCTGGGTGACAATGTGAGACTCTGTCTCATAAATAAATAAAATAAGAACGCTAATCCCATCATGAGGGATATATCCTCAAGATTTAATCTAATTTTAATTATCTTCCAAAGTTTCCGTGTCCAAATAACACCCCATTGCAGATGCGGGTTCCAACATATGGATTTTGATGGGATATTTAACCCACTGTGCCAAGACAGAACTCAGTTGGTTATGGCTGCAATTTCTCTATTTCTCTCTGTCTTTTTTTGTTTGTTTGTTTTTGTTTTGAGACAGGGTCTCACTCTGTGGCCCAGGCTGCAGTGCTGTGGTGTGATCTCAACTTGCTGCAACCTCCACCTCCCAGGTTCAAGTGATTCTTCTGCCTCAGCCTCTCGAGTAGCTGGGATTACAGGTGCCTGCCACCACACAAGGCTAATTTTTGTATTTATAGTAGTGACGGGTTTCACCATGTTGGCCAGGCTGGTCTCGAACTCCTGACCTCAGGTGATCCACCTGATCCACCATGATCCATGCCCAACCTATTTTTCTCTCTTACTGCAGAGATAATGGTCCCCAGAGATGTCCCCATCCCCTTCTGTGAGTTTCAACCTTCTCCCTAGGTAGCAATGTCTGCCTTTATTATTATTTTTATGTTTTCTCATATACTCTTTACTGAGTTTCCCTCAGTGGTAACATCTTGCAGTGGTAACATCTTGATAGTACAATATCAAACCCATATATTGACATTGATATAGCCAAGATACAAAACATTTCTATCACTACAAGAATCCTTGCTGTTGCCTATTTGTAGCCATACCCACTTCCCTTCTGCCCCCACTCCCTCCTTAATCCCTGGCAACAACTAATCTGTTTTCCATTTCTATAATTTTACCAGGTCAAGAATGCTACATACATAGAATTACATAGAATGCTACTTTTTCACTTGACATAATTCCCTGGAGATTCACCCAGGTTGTTGCATATGTTAATAATCTGTTCTTTTTTGTTATCAGATAGTATTCTCTGGTAGAGATGTATCACAGTTTGTTTACCTACTCAGCTGATGAAGGACATCTAAATTGTTTCCAGTTTTTGAGTATTACAAACCAATCTGTTACAAACATGACGTAAAGGTTTTTGTGTGAGCAAAAGTCTTCATTTCTCTGGGCTAACTACCCAGGAGTGCAACAGTCAGGTGATTGCTCAATGTCTACTTTTAAAAGAAACTGCCAAACTATTTTCCAGAGCATGTCATTTTTATATCACTAGCATAGACAAAATGGCCCGGTTTAAACCTCATTCTTTCCAGCATGCAGGTTTGAACTCAGTCAACAGTATCAACACATAAGGCAAAGTGCAAAGTTGTGGGATCCCAGCTACCCATTGGAATGAGCACTCACTCACAGAGGCAGAATTCCTGAGAGAGACATGGCCTGGACTTCCGTATCAAGAAAAATCCACCCAACAGGGCACCAACGAGATGCCTTCAGTGATGGTATCTTCATGTAATGGCTGAGGATCCAGTCTCTCCAGGAAAGGACGAAAAGGAGGAAAGGAGGCTTCTAGGAACCGGCTACAGGTTATTATTTAAGGAGATTCACTGAGCTTGAATAAGTCCCCACCAAAGGAAGTGAAAACATCAGCGACTTTTGCACTAAACTCAGCCCAAAGGGAGGTCCTGGAAGATCAATGCTATTTATGCAAAATTATTTCTGGCCGGAGTTATCTGGCAAACAGACAAACACCCACATTTCAGGCAATGAATGAAGATGACTTGGATGAGCCTCCACCAGCTTCTCTGTGGCTATTTATTTACAGTAATACTATTCTGCTCATAGCATCCTTTGCTCTCCAAAGGTTGACTTTGCCACATTGCATCTCATTGTTTAGGGTTGGTCTTTGGTGCTCTATAAGACTAATTTTTTTTTTAATTGAGGCAGAGTTTTGCTCTCATTGCCTAAGCTGGAGGGCAATGGCACAATCTCGGCTCACTGAAACCTCCGCCTCCCGGGTTCCAGTGATTCTCGTGCCTCGACCTCCCGAGTAGCTGGGATTACAGGCGCCCACCACCACACCTGGCTGATTTTTTTGTATTTTTAGTAGAGATGGGGTTTCACCATGTTGGTCAGGCTGGTCTCGAACTCCTGACTTCATGATCCGCCCCCCTCGGCTACCCAAAGTGCTGGGATTACAGGTGTGAGCCACCGCGCCTGGCCAAGACCAAAGTTTTCTTTTCTTTTGTAATATTCGTCCACCACAAGTTATAGGAAGAGGAGTCAGGTTTGACAAGGCTGTTTGAGGATCTGATGAAAGGTATGCATTTGCTCAACCCTAAAAACCTATGGAATTCCTCAACCCTAAAAAGTGTGTACATTCTTTGGCCAGGTGCGGTGGCTCATGCCTGGAATCCCAGCACTTTGGGAGGGTGAGGCAGGTGGATCACACGGTCAGGAGATCGAGACCATCCTGGCTAACACGGTGAAACCCCGTCTCTACTAAAAATACAAAAAATTAGCCGGGCGTGGTGGCGGGCGCCTGTAGTCCCAGCTACTCGGGAGGCTGAGGCAGGAGAATGGCGTGAACCCGGAAGGCGGAGCTTGCAGTGAGCCGAGATCGTGCCACTGCACTCCAGCCTGGGCAACAGAACGAGACTCTGTCTCAAAAAAAAAAAAAAAGAAAGAAAGTGTGCACATTCTTTGGCCAGGTGCAGTGGCTCATGCCTGTAATCCCAGCACTTTGGGAGTCTGAGGCAGACGGATCATGAGGTGAGGAGTTCGAGACCAGCCTGGCCAACATAGTGCAACCCCATCTCTACTAAAAATACAAAAAAATTAGCCGGGCGTGGTAGCGGGTGCCTGTAGTCCCAGTTACTTGGGAGGCTGAGGCAGGAGAATGGCGTGAACCCAGGAGGTGGAGCTTGCAGTGAGCCGAGTTTGGGCCACTGCACTCCAGCCTGGGCGACAGAGAGAGACTCTGTCTCAAAAAAAAAAAAAAATTTGTGTACATTTTTTGGCTGGGCCCGGTGGCTCACGCGTGTAATCCCAGCACTTTGGGAATCTGAGGCAGATGGATCATGAGGTGAGGCGTTCGAGACCAGCCTGGCCAACATAGTGAAACCCTGTCTGTACTAGAAATACAAAAATTAGCCAGGCGTGGTGGTGGACGCCTGTAATCCCAGCTACTCAGGAGGCTGAGGCAGGAGAATCACTTGAACCCGGGAGGAGGAGGTTGCGGTGAGCAGAGATCACGCCATTGCACTTTAGCCCAGTGACAGAGCGAGACTCCATCTCAAAAACAAACACACAAACAATAAACCAACACAACAACAACAACAACAAAAAACCCCAAAAAACTGATACCTTGACCAGGTCTTCTGCCACATTCCCTAATGACCTCTCCCAACCTTGTCCCCATCATGTGGACAATAGCCACCATCATTTTCTCGCACAGATTCTCAACGCGCGCCCACGCTTGCTTTGTTTTACTTGCTCCAGAAATGAAGCACATTTCTGGAATGACCCAAATCTCAACCCACTCCTAGCCTACACCTCTAGGGCTCAATGTAACTCATGAATATCCTGTGGGCACCCCCAATAGCTTCACTTCAATGGCACCCAACCAGGAGTCTCACTTCAAATCAATGGCAGCCAACCTTACGGTCTGCTTCTTGCTGGCCAGAACCATGATACATATATTTTCTTCTATTCATTCTCCTCTCCTCCAGGAGTATCAGACATTTTTTGTTTCCCCTGCCAGCCTCCAACATCTCCTCCAACCTCACCTGATACCCTCCTCTGACATTGAGAATGTGAAAGAAGAAGACACCAGCAGAACACTAATGCCCACCAACCCACCCCCTCACCAGCCGCTGCAGCTATGAGCTCTTCTCTGCATCACTCAAATGACTCGTGGTCCAGTTTAAAACCCATTCTACGCCTGTAATCCCCATGAGTCACAACCCTATACTTTTCAGACTCAGGGATATCAACCCTAAGGGGTTCAATGTATGATATCAACCTCATGAAATCCATTTATATGAGACACACCAATACATGTCCTAGCAGTACGGATTCCAACCCTGTAGAGTCCAGCCCTAAAATTCCCAACTCTACAGACCCCAGACTTATGAGTTCTAGCCTTATAAAATCAAGCAAATATGACCGAGCCCTAATCAGCTCCATTCACTGAATTCCAACCCTATGAATACAACTCTATAGATGCCAGCCCTATGAATCCCAGCCCCATGGGTCACAACCATACGAATCCAGCCCTATGGGTCATAATCCTACAACTCTTAGCCCTCTGAATCACAACTCAGCAAATCCAGCACTATGAGTCACAACCCTATGAATTCAGTCCCTTGGATCACAACCCTATGAATCTAGCTCAACGGGGCATGACCCTACACCTCTAAGTCCTCTGAGTCACAACTCAGCAAATCCAGCCCTATGAGTCACAACCCTACGAATTCAGCCCTTTGGGTGACAACCCTATGAATCCCAGCCCCATGGGCCAAAGCCATACAAATCTAACTCTATGCGTCATAACCCTACAACTCTTAGCCCTCTGTGTCACAACCCTATGAATTGTAGCCTTCTGGGTCACAAATCTACAAGTCCAGCCATTTGGGTCACAACCCTATATATCCCAGCCCCATGGGTCACAACCCAATCAATCTAGCTTTCTAGGGCATAATCCTGCAACTCTTAGCCCTCTGAGTCAAAACTCAGCAAATCCAGCCCTATGAGTCACAACCCTATGAATTCAGCCCTTTGGGTGACAACCCTATGAATCCCAGCCCCATGGACCAAAGCCATACAAATCTAACTCTATGCATCATAACCCTACAACTCTTAGCCCTCTGTGTCACAACCCTATGAATTGTAGCCTTCTGGGTCACAAATCTACAAGTGCAGCCATTTGGGTCACAACCCTATATATCCCAGCCCCATGGGTCACAACCCAATCAATCTAGCTTTCTAGGGCATAATCCTGCAACTCTTAGCCCTCTGAGTCAAAACTCAGCAAATCCAGCCCTATGAGTCACAATCCTACGAATTCAGCCCTTTGGGTGACACCCCTATGAATCCCAGCCCCATGGGCTAAAGCCATACAAATCTAACTCTATGCGTCATAACCCTACAACTCTTAGCCCTCTGTGTCACAACCCTATGAATTGTAGCCTTCTGGGTCACAAATCTACAAGTGCAGCCATTTGGGTCACAACCCTATGAATCCCAGCCCCATGGGTCACAACCCAATCAATCTAGCTTTCTAGGGCATAATCCTACAACTCTTAGCCCTCTGAGTCAAAACCCAGCAAATCCAGCACAATGAGTCATGACCCTACGAATTCAGCCCTTTGGGTGTCAACCCTATCAATCCCAGCCCCATGGGTCAGAACCCTAGGAATCTAGCCCTGTAGCTCATAATCCTACAAATCTCAGCCCTTTGGGCCACAACCCTACAAATTCTAGCCCTCTGGGTCACAACTCGACAAATTCAGCCTTCTGAGTCACAACCCTACGAATCCATCCCTTTGGGTTATAACCCTATGAGTCCCAGTACCATGGGTCACGACCCTACTAATCCAGCTCTATGGGTCATAACCCTACAACTCTTAGCCCCACAGATCGAGCCATCTATATGCCAGAGAGCTGTGGATCTCAGCCTATAATTCCTACAGCTATAGGTCCCAGCCCTATGGCTCCCCTTTTCAGCAAATCCCTCCCCCAAACTCTACCTACTCCTTGGAGCAGAACACAAATCCTTAGACTCTCTTTGGCTCAAAGGGACATATCACATTCCCCAAAGGGCTTCCTCCAAAGGCACCATGAAGCCCATCACCAGGTCTTAGCTCCTCTAAGCTTTACGTACCCGGAGGGCTTGGCACACGGAGTTCGTTTCCCTCCCCACGTCACACGTTCACAGCACCCCAGGAGCAGCCCGGGGGTCTCCCATGGCACCTGGAGGCAAAATTCAAATTAAATCGAAACAACCCTGAGTTTGAGACATACTTTTGAATACCAAGTGAATTAACATTAAAAAAAAAAAGGATGCCAAAAATGGGTGTCTGAAAGCAGAAAGACATATGTCAGGAAGGTTGTGGGACTCTCATAAAACCTGAGTACCACTCATAAAAACATGGCAAATAAAGTTCCCCAGTGTTTCACTGCACGATGGAAAGAGAATTGCCAAAGAGAGAGGAAGGAGCGAAAAGCAATCTCTGCGTGAAGATTGCCCGATGCTCAACATGAGTAACCTCATGCATAAAGAGAAATGAACATGGCAGAACGCAGCCTAGCGTGGAGTGGGCTGGTTCAATCATTACCCAGGTGTAAACAGAGGAATCAGTTTTCCCACAGTCTTTGACTTTCATTGGACAAATCCACCCCTATGAGTCACAACCCTACAAATCCAGCCCTCTGGGTCATAACCCTATGAATCTTAGCCCCCTGGGTCACAACCCTATGAATTCTAGCCCTCTGGGTCATACCCTACGAATCTTAGCCCCCTGGGTCACAACCCTATGAATTCTAGCCCTCTGGGTCATACCCTACGAATCTTAGCCCCCTCGGTCACAACCCTATGAATTCTAGCCCTCTGGGTTGTAACCCTACAAATCTTAGCCCCCTCGGTCACAACCCTATGAATTCTAGCCCTCTGGGTCATACCCTACGAATCTTAGCCCCCTGGGTCACAACCCTATGAATTCTAGCCCTCTGGGTCATACCCTACGAATCTTAGACCCCTGGGTCACAACCCTATGAATTCTAGCCCTCTGGGTCATACCCTACGAATCTTAGCCCCCTGGGTCACAACCCTATGAATTCTAGCCCTCTGGGTCATACCCTACGAATCTTAGCCCCCTGGGTCACAACCCTATGAATTCTAGCCCTCTGGGTCATAACCCTACGAATCTTAGCCCCCTGGGTCACAACCCTATGAATTCTAGCCCTCTGGGTCATACCCTACAAATCTTAGACCCCTGGGTCACAACCCTATGAATTCTAGCCCTCTGGGTCATACCCTACAAATCTTAGACCCCTCAGTCACAACCCTATGAATTCTAGCCCTCTGGGTCATAACCCTACGAATCTTAGCCCCCTGGGACACAACCCTATGAATTCTAGCCCTCTGGGTCATAACCCTACGAATCTTAGCCCCCTGGGACACAACCCTATGAATTCTAGCCCTCTGGGTCATAACCCTACGAATCTTAGCCCCGTGGGTTACAACCCTATGAATTCTAGCCCTCTGGGTCATACCCTACAAATCTTAGCCCCCTGGGTCACAACCCTATGAATTCTAGCCCTCTGGGTCATAACCCTACGAATCTTAGCCCCCTCGGTCACAACCCTATGAATTCTAGCCCTCTGGGTCATAACCCTACAAATCTTAGCCCCCTGGGTCACAACCCTATGAATTCTAGCCCTCTGGGTCATAACCCTACGAATCTTAGCCCCCTGGGACACAACCCTATCAATTCTAGCCCTCTGGGTCGTAACCCTACGAATCTTAGCCCTCTGGGTCACAACCCTACAAATTCCACTGTTTGGGTCACAACCGTATAAACCCTATAAATATAATTTTGGTATTTATCTTGTTTCCATAATTTTTGATTGAGGTTAAAAAAACCCCACATGAGACATAAAATTTACCATCTTGAGCCTTTGTAAGAGGGCAATTTAGCCGTTTTATGTATTTTCCTTTTTTTTTTTTTTTTTTGAGATGGAATCTCGCTCCTGTTGCCCAGGCTGGAGTGCAATGGCGCGATCTCAGCTCACTGCAACCTCTGCCTCCCAGGTTCAAGCGATTCTCCCGCCTCAGCCTCCCGAGTAGCTGGGACTACAGGCACCTGCCACCATGCCCGGCTAATTTTTGTATTTTCGGTAGAGACAGGGTTTCTTCATATTGCTCAGGCTGGTCTTGAACTCCCGACCTCAGATGATCCGCCCCCGCCCACCTCGGCCTCCCAAAGTCCTGGAATTACAGGTATAAGCCACCGTACCCGGTAAGTCTTTTCCCTTTTTATGCAAAAAATCTTTTTGACGTTTCCCGTCTTGCAAAACTGAAACTCTGTCCCCTTTTCTCCCTCCCCAAGCCCCCGGCACCCACGACTCTATTTTCCGTGTCTACAAATTTGACGACTCTAGGGACCTCATATAAGTGGAATCCTAGAGTATTTGTCTTTTTGCATCTGGCTTCTTTCTCTCAGCGTCATGTTCTCAAAGGTCCATCCGTGTTGGAGCAGGTGTTATGCGATGGTTAATACTGAGCGTCAACTTGATTGAACGGAAGGATGCAAAGTATTGTTCCTGGGTGTATCTGTGAGGGTGTTGCCAAAGGAGAATAACATTTGAGTCAGTGGACTGGGAGAGGCACAGCCACCCTCAAGCTGGGTGGGCACCCTCTCATCTGCTGCCACCGCAGCTAGAATAAAGCAGGCAAAGGAGCGTGCAAGGACTAGACTGGCTGTATCTTCCAGCCTCCATCTTTCTCCTGTGCTGGACACTTCCTGCCATTGAAACTCAGACTTCAAGCTCTTCGCCTTTTGGACTCTTGGACTGACACCAGTGGTTTTACCAGGGACTCTTGAGCTTTCGGCCACAGACTGAAGGCTGCCATGTCAGCTTCCCTACTTTTGAGGTTTTGGGACTCAGACTGGCTTCCTGCCTCCTCAGCTTGTAGACGGGCTATTGTAGGGCTTTACCTTGTGATCGTGTGAGCTAATTCTTCCGATAAACTCTTTCATGTACGTCCGTGTGGAGACCACCAAACAGGCTTTGTGTGAGCAATAAAACTTTTAATCACCTGCGTGCAGGCGGGCTGAGTCCGAAAACAGAGTCAGGGGAGGGAGATAAGGGTGGGGCTCTTTTATAGGATTTGGGTAGATAAAGGAAAATTACAGTCAAAGGGGGTTTGTTCTCTGGCGGGCAGGAGTGGAGGTTGCAAGGTGCTCAGTGGGGGAACTTTCTGAGCCAGGATGGGCCAGGAAAAGGATTTTCACAAGGTAATGTCATCACTTAAGGACCGGCCATTTTCACTTCTTTTGTGGTGGAATGTCATCAGTTAAGGCAGGGCAGGACGTTTTCACTTCTTTTGTGATTCTTCAGTTACTTCAGGCCACCTGGGCATATACGTGCAAGTCACAGGGGATGCGATGGCTTGGCTTGGGCTCAGAGGCCTCACAAACTGCCCTGCATATATTCATCTATTTTATTAGTCCTGTCTCTTTAGAGAAACTTGACTAATACATGTTAGCATTTCCGTCTTTTTAACGGTGAATACCATCCCACTGTAGGTTGACGTCAGATTGTTTGTTGTTTGTTTTTGCTGTTGTTTGTTTGATTTTGTTTTTTGTCTTTTCTTTTGAGACAGAGTCTCGCTCTGTCACTCAGGCTGGAGTGCAATGGCACGATCTCAGCTCACTGCAACCTCTGCCTCCCGGGTTCAAGCGATTCTCCTGCCTCAGCCTCCTGAGTAGCTGGGACTACAGGCACCTGCCATCATACCTGGCTGATTTTTGTATTTTTAGTAAAGACGGGGTTTCACCATGTTGGCCAGGCTGGTCTTGAACTCCTGACCTCAGGTGATCCGCCTGCTTTGGCCTCCCAAAGTGCTGGGATTACAGGCATGAGCCGCCATGCCTGGCCGAGAATTTCCTTCTTTGTAACAGTGAATACTATCCCACTGTAGATTTAAGTCAGCTTTTTTTTTTTTTTTTTTTTTTTGAGATAGAGTATCACTCTTGTTGCCCAGGCTGGAGTGCAGTGGTGGGATCTCAGCTCACTGCAACCTCCGCCTCCCAGTTTCAAGTGATTCTCTTGCCTCAGCCTCCCGAGTAGCTGGAACTACAGACATGCACCACCACACCTGGCTAATTTTTTGTATTTTTAGTAGAGATGGGTTTTCACCATGTTGCCCAGGCTGGTCTCAAACTCCTGACCTTAGGTTATCCACCTACCTCGGCCTCCCATAGTTCTGGGATTACAGGTGTGAGCCACCACACCTGACCAATTTTTGTGTTTTTAGTAGAGACGGGGTTTCACCATGTTGCCCAGGCTGGTGTGGAACTCCTGACCTCATGATCCACCTGCTTCAGCCTCCCAAAGTGCTGGGATTACAGGCGGTAGCCACTGCACCCAGCTTTTGCAGTGAGTTGTTTTACTGAGGATTTAAATTGCGGATTCCAAGTTTGAGACTTGGGGAAAGAAGAGGTCAAAGGAATACACCCACTTATTTTTATTTATTTATTTTTTTTTGAGATGGAGTCTTGCTCTGTCACCCAGGCTGGAGTGCAGTGGCGCGATCTCGGCTCACTGCAAGCTCTGCCTCCCGGGTTCACGCCATTCTCCTGCCTCAGCCTCCCGAGTAGCTGGGACTAAGGCGCCCACGACCATGCCCGGCTGATTTTTTTTATTTTTAGTAGAGATGGGGTTTCACCGTGTTAGCCGGGATGGTCTCCATCTCCTGACCTCATGATCTGCCTGCCTCAGCCTCCCAAAGTGCTGGGATTACAGGCATGAGCCACCGTGCCTGGCCACACCCAATTATTTTTTATTCTCTGCCAAGAGGTCCTGGGCAGGCACTGGATACATGTTTGCTGTGTAGTGGGTATTGATAAGGGAACACATCTGTCATTTCTTCCTCCCCATAGAACTACCTTTCTGTCCTTCACAACTGAAAGCTCTTCAGTTCTGGCTCTTTTGGGACTTGGATGAGATCTCTGGGCCAGGCATTTGGGCTGATGGTCCATCCAGTCCCTTCCATGTGGATGGTAAAGCCTGTAATCCCAGCACTTTGGGAGGCTGAGGTGGGTGGATCATGAGGTCAAGAGATCGAGACCAGCCTGGCCAACATGGTGAAACCCCATCCCTACTAAAAATACAAACAATTAGCTGGCCGTGGTGGCGTGCGCCTTGTAATCCCAGCTCCTCAGGAGGTTGAGGCATGAGAATCGCTTGAACCCAGAAGATGGAGGTTGCAGGGAGCCGAGATCGCGCCACTGCACTCCAGCCTGGCGACAGAGCAAGACTCATGCTTGTCATCCCAGCACTTTGGGAGGCCAAGGTGGGTGGATCATGAGGTCAAGAGATCAAGACCAGCCTGGCCAACATGGTGAAACCCCGTCTCTACTAAAAATACAAAAAATTAGCTGGGCGTGGTGGTGCATGCTTGTAATCCCAGCTACTCAGGAGGCTGAGGCAGGAGAATTGCTTGATCCCAAGGAGGCGGAGGTTGCAGGGAGCCAAGATCGCGCCATTGCACTCCAGCCTGGTGACAGAGCAAGGCTGTCTAAAAAAAAAAAAAAAAAAAGACACAGCTGGGCACAGTGGCTCACGCCTGTAATCCCAGCACTTTGGGAGGCTGACGTGGGTGGATCATGAGGTCAAGAGATTGAGACCAGCCTGGCCAACATGGTGAAACCCCGTCTCTACTAAAAGTGCAAAAAATTAGCTGGGCGTGGTGGTGCATGCCTGTAATCCCAGCTCCTCGGGAGGCTGAGGCAGGAGAATTTCCTGAACCCAGGAGGCGGAGGTTGCAGGGAGCCGAGATCGCGCCACTGCATGCCAGCCTGGTGACAGAGCGAGACTCCATCTCAAAAATAAAAAAAATAAATAAATAAAAATAAAAAGACATCAAAGGCAGAGAGCCAGTGAATCCTGACAGAGCATCACGCGTACTCCAAGCTGGAAACAATGCCGTCCACGTTGGACCATAGAACCGCTGTCAGAGTGAACGCAAAAGCCACCACTAACAGCCTTGCACCAACCAGACCTGTTTCCTTAAACCAAACCAGTGCCCACTTCTCACTTTTCTCAGCTGAACCTTTACACAAGGTATCTACTTAACATAATTCATACTCCCCCCATGCCCCGCCTGTGAGTAAAATCTAGTAGAGTAAGAAAATGAGGCTGGGAGCGGTGGCTCGTGCCTGTAATCCCAGCACTTTGGGAGGCCGGGGTGTGGGGTGTGGATCGCTTGAGGCCAGGAGTTCGAGACCAGCCTGGCCAACACGGTGAAACCCAGTCTCTACTAAAAAAAAAATTCAGAAATTAGCCGGACGCAGTGCCTCACGCCTGTAATCCCAGCATGTTGGGAGGCCAAGGCGGGAGGATCATGAGGTCAGGAGTTCGATACCAGCCTGGTCAACATGGCGAAACCCCTGCTGTACTAAAAATTCAAAAATTAGCCGGGTGTGGTGGTGGGCGCCTGTAATCCCAGCTACTTGGGAGGCTAAGGCAGGAGAATCACTTGAACCCGGGAGGTGGACGCTGCAGTGAGCCGAGATCGCGCCGTTGCACTCCAGCCTGAGTGACAGAGTGAGACTCCATCTCAAATATAAAATAAAATAAAAAAGCAAAAATACAGAAATTAGCTGGGCGTGGTGGCAGGTGCCTGTAGTCCCAGCTACTTGGGAGAGGCTGAGGCTGGAGAATCGCTTGAACCCGGGAGGAGGAGGCTGCAGTGAGCCAAGATCGCGCCACTGCACTCCAGCCTGGCTGATAGACAGAGTGAGACTGTGTCACAAAAAAAAAAAAAGAAAGAAAAAAGAAAATGGAATGCAGCTTCCAGAAGAATCAGAATTATTCAGATTTTTGTTTATTCCTTCTGGGACACTCTCAGGCCAATAAGTAACATTGAGCCATCTCAGCACGCTGAGAATTCCAAAACCTTAGACTTTGCTTCTCAGAATTAAAAATTTAAGAGGGCCGGTTGCGGTGGCTCATGCCTGTAATTCCTGCACTTTGAGAGGCTGAGGCAGGAGCATCGCTTGACCCCAGGAGTTTGAGACCAGGCAGGGCAACATAGCAAGACCCCATCTCCACAAAAAAAATTAGAAAAACTTAGCCGGGCATGTGCACGCCTGTGATTGTAGCTACTCAGGAGGCTGAGGCAGGAGGATCTCAGAACCCAGGAGTTTGAGGCTGCAGTGAGCCATGATTGTGCCATTGCATTCTAGCCGGGAAACAGAGCAAGACCCTGTCTCAGAAAAAAAATAAATAAATATGTATATATATATATATATATATATACACACACACACACACACATATGGACAATTTGGTTGGATTATGAGAAATATCCTTGCATTTGCTTTTTGTCTTTGGGTTTTTTTTTTTGAGACAGAGTCTCGCTCTGTCGCCCAGGCTAGAGTGCAGTGTTGCAATCTTGGCTCACTGCAACCTCCGCCTCCCAAGTTCAAGCAATTCTCCTGCCTCAGCCTCCCAAGTAGCTGGGATTACAGGCACACACCAGCATGTCCAGCTAATTTTTTTTATTTTGGATTTTTAGTAGCGACGGGGTTTCACCATGTTGGCCAGGTTGGTCTTGAACTCCTGACCTCAAGTGATCCGCCCGCCTCGGCCTCCCAAAGTGCTGAGATGACTGGCATGAGCCACCGCGACCGGCCGAGAAATAAGCTTGCAGTGTTCACGCCTCATTCTAGCTCAAAGGCAGACAAAAGATAGGACAGTGAAAGCTTCCGTGAAGACCTCCGCTGTTCCTGAGCTTTGTAGAACTGACTTTATCTTGCAGATCAAAAGGACTGTCCCCTGATGTGTGGAATCTTCCTGGACCCAGATGTCGCTGCACGTCTGCAACCTTACAACTCTCCTTTGCACACCTCCTCCTCCTCCCCAGCCATCATCCCTGCAGGCGTGGGGTTTGAGATCTCTTTCCTGTACAGAGAGTGTACTCTGGCAGGGAAGACCTTCACAGTCCCCTGTCATTGATCTGTAGTCTCCAAAATGCCATGTGTGAGCCGACGTGGAACTTCCCCAAAGCCGACGTGCTGGGGAAGTCTTTCAAAGCCTGCCCTCGTGCTCCGCGCCCACGTCAACTGCAAAGCTTTTTCTCCCAGAGTCTTTTTTGTCACAGACACACAGCGCAATTGTTGGAAAGCGTTTCTTTCATTCACAAGAGGTCCCTGGCTGCCAGAAACGCCCGACTGAAGGAAGAAAAGAAAAAAGGGTGATTTCTTCCACCCAAAACTCCTCTTTATAACTCGGTGAGCAGGCGGAAATCCTACAATGTCAGCTGAGGTCGTGATCCGCTGTGATTCTGTCACCGCCAGGCGCCTGACGGTCTCACCCTATGAAACACTCATTGTCACGAATACAACATCCAACATTGCCTTTGTAATTGTCAAGCTGAACTTGTCTTGAATCAAGCCCAGCGTAAGATATGGCTCGGCTCACAAGAATAAGAAGGGGGTATGGGGATATCACAGCAGGAAAACGTCGCTGCTGAACGCCTCCAGCCCACGAGATCCTTCTCAGTGACAACTGCCTTCTCTGTTACGGCCTCATCTCTGCAGGGAGAACACGAAGGAAAGGAGACGGGCAGCCTCGGTTCTTGGGGTTGAGGGAAGTGGAGCAGGTGTGTTTAATTTTAAATCTCTTATTTCCCCATCAGTATACTCTTTTAATTTTTATTTTTCATTGAGGTGAAATTTTCATAGCAAACAATTCAATTTTTTTTTTTTTGAGATGGAGTCTCGCTCTGTCACCCAGGCTGGAGTGCAGTGGTGCGATCTTGGCTTACTGCAGCCTCCACCTCCCAGGTTCAAGCGATTCTCCTGCCTCAGCCTCCCGAGTAGCTGGGATGACAGGCGTGAGCCACCATGCCCGGCTAATTTTTGTGTTTTTAGTAGAGACGGGCTTTCACCATGTTGGCCGGGATGGTCTCGAACTCCTGACCTCAGGTGATCCACCCACCTCGGCCTCCCAAAGTGCTGGGATGATAGGCGTGAGCCTCCACACCTGGCTAATTTTTGTATTTTTAGTAGAGACAGAGTTTCACCGTGTTGGCCAGGATGGTCTCAATCTCTTGACCTTGTGATCTGCCCGCCTTGGCCTCCCAAAGTGTTGAGATTACAGATGTGGGCCACCGTGCCTGGCCTTTTTTTTTTTTTTCTTTCAGTGTATAATTCAGAGGCGTTTAGTACATGGGTGATGGTTATGAAACCATCACCTCTGTCTAGGTCCAGACCACCATAGTCCTCCAAAGTACACCCTGTAACTAATATGAAGCAGTCACTCCCCTTTCTTCCTCCCCAGCCCCTAGCAACCCCAAATCCACTTTCTCCCTCTCTGTGGATTTCCCTGTTCTGGAAATTTCACAGAAGGAAACACTGTGTGGTCTTTTGTGTCTGGCACCTCTCAGTGAGCATGGTGTCCTCAACGTTCATGCACGCGGCAGCCTGTATCAGAGCCTCGTTCCTTTTCATGGCTGCGTAATATTCCACTGTGTGAATCTACCACATTGTGTTTATTCGTATGACCACTGATGCGTGTGGGGTTGGGTCCACCTTTTGGCTGTTGTGAATGCATTAATCAGGGTCTCCAGAGGAACATGACCAACAAGAGATTCTGTATGTATGTATGTATGTATCTATCTATCTATCTATCTAATAAGGAATTGACTCAAGTGAATATGAAGTGTTAGAAACTTTAGGATACAAGGTCAGCAAGCTGGAGACCCAGGACAGCAAATGGTGTGGATTCCAGTCTGAGTCTGAAGGCCTGAGTCTCAGGAGAGCCAAGGGTGTGAGTTCCAGTCTGAAGGCCTGAGACCCAGGAGAGCTGATGGCGTGAGTTCCTGTCTGAGTCTGAAGGCCTGAGACCCAGGAGAGCTAAAAGTGTGAATTCCAGTGTGAGTCTGAAGTCCTGAGACCCAGGAGAGCCGAGGGTCTGAGTTCCTGAAGGGCCGAGACCCAGAAGAGCCGAGGGTGTGAGTCCAGTGTGAGTGTGAAGACCTGAGACCCAGGAGAGCTGAGGGTGTGAGTTCCTGTCTGAGTCTGAAGGCCTGAGACCCAGGAGAGCTGAGGGTGTGAGTTCTAGTGTGAGTCTGAAGTCCTGAGACCTGGAAGGGCTGAGGGTCTGAGTTCCTGAAGGGCCGAGACCCAGAAGAGCCGAGTGTGTGAGTTTCAGTCTGAGTCTGAAGTCCAGAGACCCAGGAGAGCCGAGGGTGTGAGTTCTAGTGTGAGTCTGAAGTCCTGAGACCCGGAAGGGCTGAGGGTCTGAGTTCCGGAAGGCCTGAGACCCAGGAGAGCCGAGGGTGTGAGTTCTAGTGTGAGTCTGAAGGCCTGAGACCCAGGAGAGCCGAGGGTGTGAGTTCTAGTGTGAGTCTGAAGTCCTGAGACTCAGGAGAGCTGAGAGTGTGAGTTCCAGTCTGAGTCCGAAGTCCTGAGACCCAGGAGAGTCGAGGGTGTGCGTTCCCATCTTAGTCTGAAGGCCTGAGACCCAGGAGAGCTGACGGTGTGAGTTCCCCTGTGAATCTGAAGGCCTCATACCCAAGAAAGCTGGTACTGTGAGTTCCAGTCCGAAAGCCTAGGAAGACCAAATCACAGCACCTAGAATCACCTTCAAAGACACACCCAGAATCATGTTTAGCCAAATATCTGGGCACCTCAGAGCCCAGTCAATTGGACACATAACGCCTCCCAGTAAGAAAAATGTGGCTTTGAACATTCGAGGACAAAATCTATTTGGACACTTGTTTTGAATTCTCTCGGTTATACACCTAGAAGTGAAATTTCTGGGTCCTGTGGAAATTCTGTGTTTAACTTTTTTGGGATCCCTCAGACATATTTTTACAGTCTCTGCAGATGACACCTGGGATTCATGGCATGTGATGTGGTCTCTTCCAAGCAGCAACGAAGAGTTGACCCAGAGTGAAATATCCAGTTTCTCTCCTTCTTTAATGTATTCTTTCTAGGACCCTTTGCAACCAAGGTATGCCTCTGATGTCGGGCAGGTGGGTCCTCAAATTAATGCTTAGGCTGGGAGGGTTCTTGGCTTTGTCCAGGAAAGAATTCAGGGTGAGTCGGGAGTGTGAGATGGCAGATTTTATTTTATTTTATATTTTTATTTATTTTATTATTTTATTTTTATATTTTATTTTTTATTTTATATTTTATTTTATTTTTATATTTTATTTTATTTTTATATTTTATTTTATTTTATATTTTATTTATTTTTTATTTCATATTTTATTTTTTTATATTTTTATTTTTTATTTTATTTTACTTTATATTTTATTTTACTTTTACATTTTATTTTATTTTATATTTTATATTTTATTTATTTATTTATTTTATATTTTATTTTATATTTTATCATTTTATTTTATTTTTATATTTTATTTATTTTTTATTTTATATTTTATTTTTTTATATTTTATTTATTTTATTATTTTATTTTTATATTTTATTTTATATTTTATTTATTTTTTATTTTATATTTTTTTTTATTTCATATTTTACTTTATTTTTATATTTTTATTTTATTTTATTTTATTTTTTATTTTACTTTTACATTTTATTTTATTTTATATTTTATATTTTATTTATTTATTTATTTTATATTTTATTTTATATTTTATTTATTTTATTATTTTATTTTATTTTTATATTTTATTTTATATTTTATTTATTTTTTATTTTATATTTTATTTTATTTTTATATTTTATTTTATTTTATATTTTATTCATTTTTTTATTTCATATTTTATTTTATTTTTATATTTTTATTTTATTTTATTTTATTTTTTATTTTACTTTTACATTTTATTTTATTTTATATTTTATATTTTATTTATTTATTTATTTTATATTTTATTTATTTTATTTTTTATTTCATATTTCATTTTATTTTTATATATTTATTTTTTATTTTATTTTATTTTATATTTTATTTTATTTTTAAATTTTTATTTTTTATTTTATTTTATATTTTATTTTTTATTTTATTTTATTTTTATTGTGTTTGTTATGTTATGTTATGTTATGTTATGTTATGTTATGTTACGTTACGTTATGTTATGCTATGTTATTTTATTTTTTAGACACAGTTTCACTCTTGTTGCCCAGGCTGGAGTGCAGTGGCTCGATCTCGGGTCACCGCAAGGCAAAACCCTGTCTCTGCAAATACAAAAAAAAAAAAAAATAGCTAGACCTGGTGGCACCTGCCTGTAGTCCCAGCTACTCTAGAGGCTGAGGTGGGAGGGTCACTTGAGCCCAGCAAGGTGCTGTTTCTTGCAGAGCTTGCAGAGTCGGTCCCGCAGTCTTATTTATACCCGCTGCTAATTACATGCAAATGAAGGGGCGGGTTATGCAACAGCAATTTCTTTTTTTTTTTTTTTTTTTTTTTTGTATTTTTAGTACAGACCGCGTTTCACCATTTTGGCCAGGCTGGTCTTGAACTCCTGACCTCGTGATCCACCTGCCTCGGCTTCCCAAAGTGCTGGGATTACAGGCGTGAGCCTCCGCACCCGGCCCTCTACAGCAATTTCTAGGGAAAGAGTGGCAACTTCCGGGTCGTTGCCATGGAAAGGGGGCGGTACTTCCGGCGTGTTGCCATGGCAACGATACCTGGACCTGCACCCTGCTGGGTGTGTGCGATGGAGGGGGGCTTACACCCCAGCTGTATTTCAGTTGGTTCCCAGTTTGGTCCAGGGTCCAAGCCCTGCCTCCAGAGTCAATTCCCGCCTTATAACCTCATCCTGCAAACAGAAAAACATCCAAGTCGGTTTTTTCCCAGGTCTTTCTTTTTAAAATCAATAACCCCACCTCTTTTGAAAAGGAAAATAGGTATCATCAACCTGGTGCACTTGGAAAATAGAAAACAGAATAAGAAAAAAGACATCCCGGCCGGGCGCGGTGGCTCACACCTGTAATCCCAGCACTTTGGGAGGCCGAGGTGGGTGGATCACCTGAGGTCAGGAGTTCGAGACTAGCCTGGCCAACATGGAGAAACCCCGTCTCTACTAAAAACACAAAAAATAGCCAGGCGTGGTGGTGCACACCTGTAATCCCAGCTACTCGGGAGGATGAGGCAGGAGAATTGCTTGAACCTGGGAGGCGGAGGTTGCAGTGAGCAGAGATCACACCACTGCACTCCAGCCTGGGGACACAGCAAGACTCCATCTCAAAAAAACGAAAAAAAGGAAAAAAGTAAATCTCTCCACTGTCTGTCTTGTAACTCAAAAATGGCATTTTCGGTCAGATGTGGAGGCTCATGTCTGTCATCCCAGCACTTTGGGACGCCGAGGTGGGCGGATCCCCTGAGGTCAGGAGTTCGAGACCAGCCTGGCCAACATGGTAAAACCCCGTCTCTACTAAAAATACAAAAAATAGCCAGGCGTGGTGGTGCACGCCTGTAATCCCAGCTACTCGGGAGGCTGAGGCAGGAGAATTGCTTGAACCCGGGAGGCAGAGCTTGCAGTGAGCTGAGATCGCACCACTGCACTCCAGCCTGGGGGACAGAGGGAGACTCTGTCTAAAAAAGAAGGAAAAAAGTAAATCTCTCCACTGTCTCTCTGTCTTGTAACTCAAAAATGGCATTTCAGGTCACATATGGAGGCTGACACCTGTAATCCCAGTACTTTGAGAGGCTGAGGTGGGAGGATCACTTGTGGCCAGGAGTTTGAGACCAGCCCAGGCAACATGGCAACAGTCTGGCTACAGAAAAATTAACAATTAGCTGGGTGTGGTGGTGCACACCTGTAATCCCAGTTATTCAGGAGGCTGAGGTGGGAAGATCTCTTGAACCCAGGAGGTCGAGGCTGCAGTGAGCCAGGATCACACCCTTGCACTCCAGCCGGGACGACACAGTGAGACCTTCTCACAAATAAATAAATAAATATAAATAAATAATAAAAATTAAAAAAAAGCCAGGCGTAGTGGCTCACGCCTGTAATCCCAGCACTTTGGGAGACAAAGGTGGGAGGATCACGCGGTCAGGATCTTGAGACCAGCCTGGCCAACAGGGTGAAACCCCGTGTCTACTAAAAATACGAAAATTGGTCAGGCACAGTGGCTCACGCCTGTCATCCCAGCACTTTGGGAGGCCAAGGCGGGTGGATCACGTGAAGTCAGGAGTTCGAGACCAGCCTGGCCAACATGGTGAAACCCCATCTCTACTAATAATACAAAAATTAGCCGGGCGTGGTGGTGGACGCCAGTAGTTCCAGATACTCTGGAGGCTGAGACAGGAGAGTCGCTTGAACCCGAGAGGTGGATGTTGCAGTGAGCCGAGATGGCACCGTTGCACTCCAGCCTGGGCAACAAGAGCGAAACTCCGTCTCAAAACAAAACAAAAGAAAAAAGAGCGATGTATACTTTGGAGAAAGAGACACAATATAACATCAGCGGGTAACAAGTGAGCTATCGAAACAAAAATACAACAGGCAATCTTGCAAGATAAAATTTTCTTTTTTTCTTTTCCTCTTTCTGTTTCTTTCTCTCTTTTTTTTCTGTCTCTTTCTCTCTTTCTTCCTGTCTCTCTTTCCCTCCCTCTCTCTCTCTCTTTCTTTCTTTCTTTCTTTCTTTCTTTCTTTCTTTCTTTCTTTCTTTTCTTTTCTTTCCTTCCTTCCTCCATCTCTCTCTTTCTTTTTCTTTCTTTCTCTCTCTTTCTTTCCCTCCCTCCCTCCCTTCCTTCGTCCTTCCTTCCTTTTCTCTCTCTCTCCCTCCTTCTCCCTCCTCTCTCTCTCTCTTTCTTTCTTTTTCTTTCTCTTTGTCTCTCTCTTTCTTTCCCTCCCTTCCTTCCTTCTTTCCTTCCTTCCTTTCTCTTTCCCTCTCTTCCTCCCTCCCTTCCTCTCTCTTTCTTTCTTTCTTTCTCTTTCTTTCTCTCTTTCTTCCCTCCCTCCCTCCCTCCCTCCCTCCCTTCCTTCTTTTTGAGATAGGATCTCACTCTGTCCACCAGGCTGGAGTGCAGTGGCACAATCACAGTTCACTACAACCTCAACCTCCTGGGATCAAGAGATACTTTTCCCTGTCAGCCTCCCTAGTAGCTGTGCCGCTTGGTGCCTGCCACCACACCCAGCTAATTTTTGTTTTTGTGTTTTTGTAGAGAGGAGGTTTCGCCATGTTGCCCAGGCTGGTCTCAAATTTCTCCCGGGCTCCAGCAATCCGCCCACCTCGCCCTCCCAAAGTCCTGGCATTATAGGCATGAGCTACCATTCACAGCCCGCAGGATAAAATTTTAAATTATGATTATAAAAGCAGTATACATCTATAGAGAAATGGTAGAATTAAAATCATAAACAGGGATGAAGAGGGATTTTTGGAGAAATATAAGAAATAAGAAAGTTTATATTTGGGACAAACCCATCTATATTTTGTTTGTTTGTTTTTTTGAGATGGAGTCTCACTCTGTCGCCCAGGCTGGAGTGCAGTGGCACGATCTCAGCTCACTGCAACCTCTGCCTCCCGGGTTCAAGAGATTCTCCTGCCTCCGCCTCCCAAGTACCTGGGATTACAGGTGCGCACCAGCACGTCCAGCTAATTTTGTATTTTTAGTAGAGACGGGGTTTCACCATGTTGGCCAGGCTGGTCTTGAACTCCTGACCCCAAGTGATCCGCCCGCCTCGACCTCCCAAAGTGCTGGGATGACAGGCGTCAGCCACTGTGCACGGCCCATCTGTCTGTTTTGAAGCACTTGTATTTTTGTACTTTGAAGTGTTTTTAAATTTAAATAAAAAGGAATAAAGTCAACCAAAAAAAGTCATAGGTTCCTCAAAAATGTAAGCACGGCCAACTTCTAAAAATACCCTCTCAGCCCCATCCTGGGGTCCCAGGGACCAAAACAGAACATCATTACTGCCCCTTCCAATTAGCTGGTGTCACAGGAAGCCGGGTAAGTCACCCTGCAAATTGTCACATCCCCCTCCCTTCGCCCCACCCAGGCATTGTCTCTGATCCTTTAATATTAAACAGTGAAGGAGCCGGTCGCCTACAAATTTCTATTCTAACGAAAAAGGAGATCTCTGTGTCGGTAAATAAATGAGTGTCAGGGTCTATGCTCGTCAGCATGAGAGTCTGCAAATCCCAGCCGTGGACCTGCCTAGTTATGTGAGCCTCCCTGAAAGGTGTTAGTCGCCTGGCAGGTGCGGTCGGGGGGAAGAAGACACAGGCGTTGGGTCAAACGCCAGGGAAACGTACCTTATTTATTCAGCTCTTCAGCTGTCTATGGGGAAGAGAGCCTGTGGCAAGTGAGGTTGCCGTAACCCACCCGTGCATTTTAAAATGCCTGCATCCACTTACTTGCCCTTAGGACTCCCAGTGGGATGATTAAGTACAAATCGCGTTTCCATATATTAACTGCCGCAGACTGAATTTCCTATCAATTGTCAGCACCCAGTACTTAGTCTCTGGTGAGATGCCATCTAGAGAAGTCAGTGCCCAAATGGACATGATTATCGTGTGTAAGGAGCGCTATAGAAGGGCTGAAATTAATGGCCCGGATGAGGCATCATTTCGAATCCACAGAACGTGGAGATGAAGGCCTGAAAATTCTGCTGCTGAGAAATACAAGTTTCTTCATCATCCACAGCTCCTTGTCATCACAGGGAGCTTCGTGAAACACACACGCTGGCCGGGCGTGTTGGCTCATGCCTGTAATCCCAGCACTTTGGGAGGCAGAGGCGGGCAGATCACCTGAAGTCAGGAGTTCGACACCAGCCTGACCAACAGGGTGAAACCCTGTCTCTCCTAAAAATACAAAAATTAGCTGGGCGTGGTGGCGCACGCCTGTAATCCCAGCTAGTTGGGAAGCTGAGGCAGGAGAATCGCTTGAACCTGGGAGGTGAAGGTTGCAGTGAGCTGAGATCGCACCATTGCACTCCAGCCTGGGCAATAAAAGCAAAACCCTGTCTCAAAAACAAGGCTGGGCACAGTGGCTCACACCTGTAATCCCAGCACTTTGGGAGGCCGAGGCGGGTGGATCTCCTGAGGTCGGGAGTTCGAGACCAGCCTGACCAACATGCTGAAACCCTATCTCTACTAAAAATACAAAAATTAGCTGGGTGTGGTGGTGCACAGCTGTAATCCCAGTACTTTGGGAGGCTGAGGCGGGTGGATCATCTGAGGTCAGGAGTTCAAGACCAGCCTGGCTAACATGGTGAAACCCCGTCTCTACCAGAAATACAAAAATCAGCTGGATGTGGTGGCTCACGCCTGTAATCCCAGCACTTTGGGAGGCCGAGGCGGGTGGATCACCTGAGGTCAGGAGTTAGAGACCAGCCTGGCCCTGTTTCTACTAAAAATTCATAAATTAGCCAGGCATGGTGGTGCACACCTGTGATCCCAGCTACTCGGAAGGCTGAGGCAGGAGAATGGCGTGAATCCGGGAGGCAGAAGTTGCAGTGAACTGAGATCCCTCCACTGTACTCCAGCCTGGGCGACAGAGTGAGACTCCCTCTCAAAAAAAAAAAAGTGCTAGCCTAGGTTGAGTGTGGTGGTTCACATCTGTTATCATAACCGTTTGGGAGGCCAAGGTGGGAAGATTGCTTGAGCCCAGGAGTTTCAGAGCAGCATAGTTAATATAGCAAGAACCTGTCTCTAACACAATATAAAAAGTAGCTGGGTGTGGTGGTTCACACCTGTAATCCCAGCACTTTGGGAGGCCGAGGCGGGTGGATCATGAGGTCAGGAGATCGAGACCATCCTGGCTAACATGGTGAAACCCCGTCTCTACTAAAAATACAAAAATTAGCCGGGCGTGATGGCGGGTGCCTGTAGTCCCAGCTATTCAGGAGGCTGAGGGCTGAGGCAGGAGAATAGCATGAACCCGGGAGGTGTAGCTTGCAGTGAGTTGAGATCGTGCCACTGCACTCCAGCCTGGGCGACAGAGTGAGACTCCGTCTCAAAAAAAAAAAAAGAAAATTATCTGGGTGTGGTAGTAGAGACTTGTAGTCCCAGCTGCTTAGGAGGCTAAGGTGGGAAGATAGCTTGAGCCCAGGAGTTTCAGACCAGCAAAGATAATATGGCAACACCCCATCTCTACAAAAAAGTAAAAATTATCTGGGTGTGGTGGTGTGTGCCTGTAGTCCCAGCTACTTGGGAGGCCGAGGTGGGAAGATAGCTTGAGCCCTGGAGTTTCAGACCAGCATAGATAATACAGCAACACCCTGTCTCTACAAAAAAATAAAAATTATCTGGGTGTGGTGTTGTGCACCTGTAGTCCCAGCTGCTTAGGAGGCTAAGGTGGGAAGATAGCTTGAGCCCTGGAGTTTCAGACCAGCATAGATAATACGGCAACACCCCATCTCTACAAAAAAATAAAAATTATCTGGGTGTGGTGGTGTGTGCCTGTAGTCCCAGCTGCTTAGGAGGCTGAGGTGGGAAGATAGCTTGAGCCCAGGAGTTTCAGATCAGCATAGGCAATATAACAAGACTCCCTCTCTACAAAAATATAAAAATTAGCTGTGTGTGAGGATATGCACCTGTAGTCCTTTTCTAGATATATATAAACTTGCCGCGAGTCGCATATACATCTGACGTGAGGGCCAGATATTTGCTCCTAAACCGCAGCTTCCCTTCATATATTTCTTCTCATTTTTCTTCCCATTTCTCAGCTCGACGACCTCCTGGTTGCACTTCAGTTACCCCCGCCACCCCCCGTTTCATCTCAGTTACCACTCGGATGGTAAGTATCCTGCCTGTCAGGCTAACTGTGGACATACGGTCTCATCTCTGTCTTTTTTTTTTAATTCACTCTGTTGCCCAGGCTGGAGTGCAGTGGCGCGATCTCGGCTCACCGCAACCTCAGCCTCCTGGGTTCAAGCGATTCTCCTGCCTCAGCTTCCCGAGTAGCTGGGATCACAGGTGCCCGCCACCACGCCCGGCTAATTTTTTATTTTCTTATTTTTTTTATTTTTAGTAGAGATGGAATTTCACTATGTTGGCCAGGCTGGTCTCGAACTCCTGACCTCGTGATCTGCCCTCCTAGGCCTCCCAAAGTGCTGGGATTACAGACATGAGCCACTGCACTCAGCCACATGTTATATATTATACATTTATTTTACTTTATTTTATTTATTATACTTTAAGTTCTGGGGTACATGTGCAGAACGTGCAGGTTTGTTACGTAGGTATACATGTGCCATGGTGGTTTGCTGCACCCATCAACCCGTCACCTACATTTGGTGCTATCTCCTAATGCTATCTCTCCCCTAGCTCCCCACCCTGTTTGAATGAAAAAAAAAAAGAAAAGAAAAAAGAAAGAAAGAAAAAAGGCTGGGCGTGGTGGCTCACACCTGTAATCCTAGCACTTTGGGAGGCCGAGGCGGGTGGATCACTTGAGGTCAGGGGTTCGAAACCAGCCTGGCCAAGATGGTGAAACCCCGTCTCTACTAAACATACAAAAATTAGCTCAGCATGGTGGTGGGTGCTTGTAGTCCCAGCTACTCCAGAGGCTGAGGCAGGAGAATTGCTTGAGCCCAGGAGGCAGAGGTTGCAGTGAGCTGAGATCGCGCCATTGCACTCCAGCCTGGGCAACAAGAGCAAAACTCCGTCTCAAAAAAAAGAAAAGAAAAGAAAAAAACAAAAAACAAAAAACAAAACCCAACGTGGCCCCACTGGAGTAGGTGTTTAATGAAAACAGAACCCTGTACTCAGAGAGGCAACGTGGTAACTAACGAGGAACAGATGCCCAGACACGACCCAAACCCTTTTCTGATTATTCAGAAATGGAATCTACAAAGGCGCTTTGTAAGTTGTTTCATAAGGAGTTAATTTCGCTCAGCAATAACAGGGCCATTAAATCTGCTTAGAGCTGGGATTACAAGAAAAGAAGAATCGTGGTTTTCATACGTGTGTGTGTGTGTGTGTGTGTGTGTGTGTGTGTTTAAATTTTGTCCCTAACTCTTTTCCCTCAAAGATCATCAAAGAGTAAAAGGGCAGAAAGCAGCTACATCGCAGCTCCTGTCCACTTCACTATGTGTAACTGAAAATACCTCTTCACAGTGAGAGGATGAGGTGCACATTCAAATACAAGATCTGACGGGGCCGGGCGCGGTGGCTCACGCTTGTCATCCCAGCACTTTGGGAGGCCGAGGCGGGCGGATCACAAGGTCAGGAGATCGAGACCATCCTGGCTAACGTGGCAAAACCCCGTCTCTACTAAAAATATAAAAAAAAAAATTAGCCGGGCGTGGTGGCGGGCGCCTGTGGTCCCAGCTACTCAGGAGCCTGAGGCAGGAGAGTGGCGTGAACCTGGGAGTCGGAGCTTGCAGTGAGCTGAGATTGCGCCACTGCACTCCAGCCTGGGCGACAGAGCGAGACTCCGTCTCAAAAAAAAAAGAGAAACTGTATTTGCAAACTATGCCTCTGAAATGAGTTAATTTTAATACGTAAGACACTTAGGGCCGGGCGCGGTGGCTCACGCCTGTAATCCCAGCAGTTTTGGAGGCCCAGGCGGGTGGATCAGGAGGTCAGGAGATCGAGACCATCCTGGCTAACACAGTGAAACCCCATCTCTACTAAAAATACAAAAAATTAGCCAGGCGTGGTGGCGGGCACCTGTAGTCCCAGCTACTCGGGAGGCTGAGGCAGGAGAATGGCGTGAACCCGGGAGGCGGAGCTTGCAGTGAGCCGAGATTGCGCCACTGCACTCCAGCCTGGGTGACAGAGCGAGACTCTGTCTCAACAAAACAAAACAAAACAAAAGAACTGAGGGTAGCTCACTAAGTCTGTCTTGCAGAGAACAACGCTTGGAGGATGGGAACCAAATCCTATCCCAAGGTGTCTGTGAGCTTTGGGATCCTTTGGGGAAAATCAGCATCTCCAAGCGTCAGCTTCCCCGTTCCTCATCTGAACTTGAAATTGAGTCTGTTGAGAGAGGACTTTTATGTTTATTTATTTGTTTTTGAGATGGACTTTCACTCTTGTCACCCAGGCTGGAGTACGGTGGTGCGATCTCGGCTGGCCGCAACCTCTGCCTCCCAGGTTCAAGTGATTCTCCTGCCTCAGCCTCCTGAGTAGCTGGGATTACAGGTGCCCACCACCATGTCTGGCTAATTTTGTATTTTTAGTAGAGATGGCAGGGTTTCTCTATGATGGTCAGGCTGGTCTCGAACTCCTGACCTCAGGTGATCCGCCCGCCTCGGCCTCCCAAAGTGCTGGGATTACAGGGGAGAGGACTTTTAAAACCCAGCTGTGTTAGTCTGTGTTCATGCTGCAGATAAAGACGTTACTTGAGACTGGGTGATTTCCAAAAGGAAGAGATTTCATGGACTCACAGTTCCATGGGGCTGCAGAGGCCCTTCAGTCACGGCGGAAGCCGAAAGGCACATCTGACATGTGTGCAGGGAACCTCCCTTTATAAAACCATCAGATCTTGTGAGTCTTATTCACTACCACGAGAATAGCACGAGAAAGACCCCCTTCTTCCCCTTTCCCCTTCCCCATGATTCAATTCCCTTCCCTGGGTCCCTCCCACAACACATGGGAACGGTGGGAGCTACAATACAAGAGGAGAGTTGGGTGGGGACACAGCCAAACCCTATCACCATCCATGGCTCCCACACCCCAAACCCAGCCCTGCTTGTGTGTGTGTGACTTTACCCCGACCCCGATGCCTTCCCATCTGGGCAGAGTTGTTTCAGAAAGACAGAATGAGGCACAGAGAAAACCTTCCTGGGTTTCGGGTTCTCAAAGTGCGTGCATTGATGGCCTATTCCCAGCGGACACGTCTTACTTCAATATCTCGGCTCACTGCAAGCTCCGCCTCCCGGGTTCACGCCATTCTCCTGCATCAGCCTTCCCAGTAGCTGGGACTACAGGCGCCCGCCACCACGCCTGGCTAATTTTTAAAATATTTTTAGTAGAGACGGGGTTTCACCGCATTAGCCAGGATGGTCTCGAACTCCTGACCTCGTGATCCGCCCGCCTCAGCCCCCCAAAGCGCTGGGATTACAGGCGTGAGCCACCGCACCCGGCCCTAAGTGTCTTATAGATTAAAATTAACTCATTTCAGAGGCATAGTTTGCAAATACAGTTCTGCTTTTTTTTTTTGAAACGGAGTCTCGCTCTGTCACCCACGCTGGAGTGCAGTGGCGCGATCTCGGCTCACCTCAACCTCCTCCTCCCAGGTTCAAGTGATTCTCCGGCCTCAGCCTCCCAAGTAGCTGGGATTACAGGCATGCACCACCACACCCGGCTAGTTTTGTATTTTTGGTAGAGACGGGGTTTCTCCATGTTGGTCAGGCTGGTCTCGAACTCCTGACCTCAGGTGATCCACCCTCCTCGGCCTCCCAAAGCGCTGGGATTACAGGCGTGAGCCACCGCGTCTGGCCCACTTATGATTTTTCTTTGTCTATGTTTTGAGTCTAATGATCCTGGCAGGTGCACAAGGATGATTCTAAACCATCGTTTCCTGGGAAGAGGCGGATGTAGCTTTAGTGCTGCTGGTTCAGCTCCTGGCTGCTTCCTTGACTCACATTCTAGGCTTGAGAGAGCTGGTCTTGCTCAGGAGACAGCTGCCCCCAAAGACTGAACCAAACAATTGTGGGTCTTGCTAAGTGTGGACAAGAAGGTAACAGCCATGTAGGGATCTAGAGGGAGAGCATCCCGAGCTCAGGGAGCAGCTCCTGGGCAGGAAAATGTGTACCACATGGAGGAAGAGTGAGAAGTTGTGGATGGTGAAGAGGAGCGAATGCAGACAAAGCCCCCAGGCAGGTGCAGGGATGACCACAGAATGCCGTGGGCTCCATCCCAGTGCTGCCCACCCTCTTGCCCTGGCTGCATGCTCCGAAGCCCCTCTTCACATCCTCACCTGTTTTCACGTGAGCACTTTCCTCCCTTGCTGAGTGGATGAGAATGGGGTCCACCGGGCTGGATGGGGTAGTGTGGACAGGACCAGCATGCTGGAGAAACAGAGAGAGAGAGAGAGAGGGACACACACAGAGAGAGATGAGGGAACGGAGAGCAAAGACTATTTCAATTTGCACCATTCGGCCACCAGGTGGGCACACCTGGCGAAAGGTAAGACCCTGGAGGTGGCAACACAGTAGGACCACCTTGGTCAATGCCCACAGGGTCTCTGGGAGATGAGAGCAGATGAGGACATTGGAGACAGCACAAGACACTCTGCAGGGGACGGAAATTGCGTCCTCTCCAAAATTCACATCCACTCAGAATCTGTGAACATCACCTTCTTTGGAAATACAGTCTTCGCAGTTTTAGTCAAGTTATGGTGAGGTCATATTGGATTAAGGTGGACTCTAAATCCAATGACAGCTGTCCTTGTAAGAGACAGAAGAGGAGACACAGACACAGAGGAGAAGGCCACCTGGAGATGGAGGAGATGGAGATGGAGGCAGAGACTGGAGTGATGTGGCCACAAGCCCGGGGACACCTGGAGCCCCCAGGAGCTGGGAGAGGAAGGAAGGATCCTCCCTTAGAGCCTCCAGAAAGAACTGGATACAACTGGAATGGATTGAGCAGTGATCCCTCAAAAAGATACGTCTACATCCTAAAGCCCAGAACCTGGTAATGAGACCTTATTTGGAAATAGGGGTTTTTGCCGATGTGCTTAGGAAAAGGATCTTGAGATGAGATCATCCTGGAGTATGGTGGCCCTAAATCCAATGACAGGTGCCCTTGTAAGTGACAGAAGAGGAGACACAGACACAGAGGAGAAGGCCACGTGGAGATGGAGGCAGAGACTGGAGTGATGGGGCCATAAGCCCAGGGATGCTGGAGACCCCAGGAGCTGGGAGAGGCAGGAAGGATCCTCCCCTAGAGCCTCCAGAGGGAACTGGATACAATTGTACTGGATTGAACAGTGGCCCCCAGAAAGATCTGTCCACATCTGAAAGCCCAGAACCTGGAGTAAGAACTTATTTGGAAATAGGGTCTCTGCAGATGTGATAAAGTGAAGGGCCTTGGGATGATATCATCCTGGAGTAGAGTAGGGTAGACCCTAAATGCAATGACAAGTGTCTTTTTAAGAGACAGAAGAGGAGACACAGACACACAGGAGAAGGCCACGTGGAGATGGAGGCAGAGACTGGAGTGATGCGACCACAAGCCCAGGGATGCCTGGAGCCCCCAGGAGCTGGGAGAGGCAGAAAGGATCCTCCCTAGAGCCTCCAGAGAGAACTTGATACTTAAGAAGTGGATTGAACTATGTATCCCAAAAAAAGATATATTCATATTCTAACCCAAGAACCTGTGAGTGGAGGTAGAGACTGGAGTGATGCGGCCACAAGCCCAGGGATGCCATTCCAGACCCCTAGAGAGGGAGGACACCTGGAACCCCCAGGAAGGAATTTATGCTAAACAAGGGGTGGATAATTCATGCCTCCCCTTTTTAGACCATATAGGGTAATTTCCCGACGTTGCCATGGCATTTGTAAACTGTCTTAGCGCTGGTGGGAGTGTAGCAGTGAAGATGACCAGAGGTCACTCTCATTGCCATCTTGGTTTCAGTGGGTTTCATTCAGCTTCTTTACTGCAAGCTGTTTCATCAGCAAGGTCTTTATGGCCTGTATCTTGTGCTAACCTCCTGTCTCATCCTGCAGCTTAGGATGCCTTATCCATCTGGGGATGAAGCCCAGTACGTCTCAGCCTCATTTTACCCAGCCCCTATTCAAGCCGAAGTTGTTCTGGTTCCAGTGCCTCTGACAAGTCCCAAAGGCTGGAGTTCATCTTGGGGACACACCCAGAGTACAATTGCTGGGCTGGGGAACCCGTGTTTCTCAGCTTTATAAGATGAGGCCAAACCCTTTCCAAAATGGTGGTCGAGACGGACATTTTGCCCTACGATGTTGAGGAAAGCCAATCTTTGCCACCTATGGCAACATCTGCGACTGTCAGAATTCTTCATTTTTAACATTTTTGCCAATCATATGGTTACAGGCAGGTCTTTGTTCTTACAGCTCCCAAGATGGGGGTAGGCCACTCCCAAGATGGCGGCGGGCCACTCCCAAGATGGTGGCGGGCCACTCCCAAGATGGCAGACGGCCACTCCCAAGATGGCAGCCGGCCATTCCCAAGATGGCGGCAGGCCTTTTGTTCTCTGCGCTGGGGTTCTTGGCCTCACGGATTCCAAGGAATGCAACCTTGGGCCATGCAGTGAGTGTTGTAGCTCTGTTAGAAGCCATGGGTCACGGAAGAGAACCGTGGAACCCAGAGACTAGTGTTCAGCTCCATGAGGATGAACCCGGACACTTAGCCACTCAGGAACAATGATTGGGAGCCGCAGCGGGCGTCTCGCTGGATCAGAAGCACAGCACATACCCTGCCTGATCCGGAGGGGTGGAACTCAAAGGTGGGTCTGCAACGGCGGCGTTCAGCAGTGGTGGACGGCGAGCGAAAGCTCAGCTCGAGCGGGAACAAACATGCATCAGAAGAGTGTACAGTTGCAAGATTTAATAGCGTGAAAACAGAGCTCCCATTCCAACAGGAGGGGACCCAAACCGGCTCAAATGCCTGGGTTTATATCCCAATCATTGTCCCTCCCACTGTGCTCTCAAGTGATAGATGATTTGACTATTTCTTTACCTCCCGCTTTTAGCCTAATTTGTATTTTAGTGAGCTCCCTCTTTACTACCTGATTGGCCGGGTGTGAGCTGAGTTACAAGCCCCGTGTTTAAAGGTGGGTGCGGTCACCGTCCCCAGCGAGGCTTAGGAATTCTGAGTCAGCCTAGGACATCCAGCTAGTCTTGTCTTTCAATATTGGTGTGAAAAGGGTGTCTCACGGCAGTCCTGATTTGCCCATCACGTAATATGTCTAAAAATGTTTACAGTAGCCCTGCCCCAAAATACCCCATAGAAATATTCCTATTTCCATTTTCCTGTTTCCACGAGGAAATAACCTAATGCCCATAGGCAGAAGGATGCATCCATAAGTCGTGGAATATTTCACCCGCTGGGATATTACGGTGTCACCAAAATGAAGAGACAGCAGAAACTCAGTATGGATGAATCTTTGAAATGACGTTTTGAGTGGGAAATGCTGGTCTCAAAAAATTACATAGAGCATGATATACACTTTTCATAAAGTTAGAGACAATTAAAATAGAGAAATGCAATAAAGTGATGTAACAAAGGAAATTCAGAAAATGAAGGATATCAAAGTGCACACAGAGTCACCTTGGGTGGTGGGTAGCGTCGCAGAGGGCTGGATGGGGTGGGAGAAGCGATGGGTTTCCGTTATTCTTAATGTCTCTGTTTATATATTGGTGACGGTTGGACAGATTGCATTAGAGTGTTAAAAGGGACCTCTACCTAACCCCCCTGAAAAAAAATTAACTATAAAATTGTATTGGGGTATTAAGAATACCTAACTAACATCTTAAATATATATATAACTATTAAGATAAAAATGAAGACAAAAATTAAGACTCAAGAGCCGAGAGTCCTAACGGCAGAGCCTGGGAGGACAAATTAAAATAAGAACAACTATAAGGAAAAATGCCCTGATTTGGGGGGTACCTGCTTTGTTGGAAGAAATAATAACATTCCCTTTGATTCTGTCTTCATACAACCCCCTTTCTGCTATTCCCATTAAAGGTGCCCACAACCACACCTCTAAGCGTTTGCAAGTATTGATCCCTCTCCACAAACTCTCCTAAGTCTCCCTGGCAAACTCCTATGCAGTCTGCAAAACCCCATTTACCTGATCCCTCGTGACTCACATTGGTCACCCTTGCAGAAATAAGGCTGAGCTCTCCCTCCTGTGTTTTTGTTTGTTTGTTTGTTTGTTTGTTTTATTTCTTTTTTCGTTTGGGGGATGGTGTTTTGCTCTTGTTGCCCAGGCTGGAGTGCAGTGGCATGATCTCAGCTCACTGCAACCTCCACCTCCTGGGTTCAAGCGATTTTCCTGCCTCAGCCTCCAGAGTAGCTCGTATTACAGGCACCCGCCACCATGCCTGGCTAATTTTGTATTTTTAGTAGAGATGGGGTTTCTCCATGTTGGCCAGGCTGCTCTCGAACTCCTGACTTCATGATCCTCCCATCTCAGCCTCCCAAAGTGCTGGGATTACAGGTGTGAGCCACCGTGCCCGGCTGGTATCTCCTTTCTGTATCTGTCCCGTGTTGGATTAGCCTAGTAGGGACATGAGTTTTCAGAGATGAAGTCATTCATTCTTCCTCACAACCTGCCACTCAGAACTTTGCACATGGTAGGACCTCAGTAAACAGCCTCTAACACACTGATGGGCGTCCGCTCTGGGGCTTCACCTGGTCCTCCAAAGCATAAGCATAGAAATATTAGTTTCCCTCCATCAGGCAGAACATGACGTAAAATACATCATGCCTCTTTTGAGTCCAAAGGTGTTTTTCTTTTTTTTCCTGCTTAGCCTTACTTTACTTAACAAGTTAACATTTATCCTGAAAAAATGGTTTTAAACAGTACCTGGAATCAATGATTTGAGGACTGAACAAAACCTTTGGTGATGCTGAAGGCAGAGACTTCACCACCACGCACAATATCCGTGGAGCAAAACTGCAACTGGAACCCTTAAATCTATACAAATTAAAATTAAAATGTAAAAAAATCCAAAGGAAAGTACTGATCGTCCTTGACTCCATGGAGCAGTCGCCCCTGAGTCCAACCAGGGTTAAAATACTTACAAAAGAAAGGCCGGGTGGGGTGGCTCACACCTGTAATCCCAGCACTTTGGGAGGCTGAGATGGGTGGATCCTTTGAGGTCGGGAGTTCGAGACCAGCCTGGCCAACATGGCGAAACCCCGTCTCTTCTAAAAATACAAAATTAGCCGGGCGTGGTGTCAGGTGCCTTTAATCCTAGCTACTTGGGAGGCTGAGGCAGGAGAATCATTTGAATTGGGGAAGCAGAGGTTGCAGTGAGCTGAGATCACCCCACTGCACTCCAGCCTGGGGAACAGAGCAAGACTCTGTCTCAAAAAAAAAAAAACAAACCATCATATGTGAACCATAATTCGTAAGAAGTTGTGTGTGTGTGTGTGTGTATGTGTGTGTGTGTGTGTGTGTGTGTTTTGAGGAAGAAAAACAAGGTCTTGCTCTGTTGTCCAGGCTGGAGTACAGCAGCATTGTCACAGCTCACTGCAGCCTCAACCTCCTGGGCTCCAGCGATCCTCCTCCCTCAGCCTCCCGAGTAGCGGGAACCACAGGCACTTACCACCATGCCCAGCTATTTTTTCATTTTTTGTAGAGACGGGGCCTCACTGTGTTACTTAGGCTGAGCTTGAACTTCAAGTCTCAAGCAATCTTCCTGCCTAAAGTGCTTTGATCATAGGCGTGAGCAGCCACGCCCAACCTGCTATGAGGTTTGAAAAGGGACAGGGTCTTCCTCCGGCCCCAAAGAGGAGGGCGGATTTTACGGGGAGATGGTCAGGGTTGTACCAGGCCACGAAAACAGCAAGCCACATTTGCTTTGAGCTAAGGCCTATGGAAGACGTGACAACTGTCACACTGGCTTATTTGCTGGTGACCGAAGGTGACAACCGGCTCAATTTCACCCTGAAAGAATTTGTCAACAGTCATTTGGTGCCACCAGCTCCCAGGAAAAGTGACATTTTTGTCAAAGCTTTCCCAGACTTGGCCAGGCGTGGTGGCTCACGCCTGTCATCCTAGCACTTTGGGAGGCCGAGGCGGGTGGATCACCTGAGGTCGGGAGTTCGAGACCAGCCTGGCCAACATGGTGAAACCCTGTCTCTACTAAAAATACAAACATTAGCCAGGCGTGGTGGCAGGCGCCTGTAATCCCAGCTACTCGGGAGGCTGAGGCAGGAGAATTGCTTGAACCCTGGAGGCGGACGTTGCAGTGCACTGAGATCCTGCCACTGCACTCCAGCCTGGGCAACGGAGAAAGACTCTATCTCAAAGAAAAAAAAAAAATTAGCCGGGCCAGGTGCGGTGGCTCACGCCTGTAATCCCAGCGCTTTGGGGGGCTGAGACAAGGCGGTAGGGGGTGGGGGGATCACTTGAGGTCAGGAGTTCGAGACCAGCCTGGCCAACATGGTGAAACCCCGTCTCTACTAAAAATACAAACATTAGCCAGGCGTGGTGGCAGGCGCCTGTAATCCCAGCTACTCGGGAGGCTGAGGCAGGAGAATTGCTTGAACCCTGGAGGTGGAGGTTGCAGTAAGCCGAGATCAGGCCACTGCACTCCAGCCTGGGAGACAGACCAAGACTCCATCTCAAAAAAAAAAAAAAAAATTTGTCTGGCGTGGTGGTGGGCGCCTGTAATCCCAGCTACTCGGGAGGCTGAGGCAGGAGAATTTGCTTGAACCCTGGAGGTGGAGGTTGTAGTGAGCCAAGATGGCCCACTGCACTCCAGCCTGGGCCACAGAGAAAGACTCAGTCTCAAATTAAAAAAAAAAAAAAGAAAATTAGCTGGGCCGGGTGCGGTGGCTCACGCCTGTAACCCCAGCACTTTGGGGAGGCCGAGGCGGGCAGATCACCTGAGGTCAGGAGTTCGAGACTAGCCTGGCCAACATGGAGAAACCCCATCTCTACTAAAAATATAAAAATTAGCTGGGCGCAGTAGCGTATGCCTGCAGTCCCAGCTACTCCGGAGGCTGAGGCAGGAGAATTGCTTTAACCCCAGAGGCGGAGGTTGCAGTGAGCTGAGATCACGCCACTGCGCTCCAGCCTGGGAGACAGAGCAAGACTCCATCTCAACAACAAAAAAATTAGTCGGGTGTGGTGGCGGGCGCCCGTAATCCCAGCTACTCCAGAGGCTGAGGCAGGAGAATCGCTTGAACCCGGGAGGCGGAGGTTGCAGTGAGCCGAGATCGCACCATTGCACTCCAGCCTGGGTGACAGGGTAAAAGTCTGTCTCAAAAACAAACAAACGACAAACAAAAAGAGCAAAAGTTTCCCAAACTCCTTCTTCACCCACGTGATTGTGGATCACTGGGTAATTCTCCAGGCATCCCAGCCAGAGAATGTCAAATCGTTTCCGCCCTTTCTCTTCTGGCCTTTGGTAAGCTGAGATTTCTCTACAAGGTCTCCAGCGGCACAGAAATAAATATCAGGGCTCCCCACCAAAACATCTTAGAGTCTTAATGGGGCCAAAGTGAACACCAGCATTCTGGGCTGTGATTACGGCTCTGAACTTCATTTTGTTTTGTTACACCTTTTTGGGCTATACCTTCACAGAAACCGCAGACTCTTAATGGAATATTATGCAGCCTGGAAAAGGAACAAGTTTCCGACAAAGACAGCAATGTGAATGAAACACATTTTATAAATAAAATTTTATTTTATAAATAAATAAATAAATAAAAATTATAAATAAAATGTGTTTGAAGTTAGAGGGTCAATTACGGGTTAGAGGGTCAATTACGCCAGTCAACGCCCCCAACCCCTCCGAATTACAACAACATTCAGCACAAAGCACTTTAATGCTAGCGCCCTTTGGATGTCTAAATGTGAAACCGCATAAATCGTTCTGGGTATGATGAAAATAAGTAAATAAAAATGGAAGTTCAACTCTGTTATGCCAACCGCACTTTATAAGGGGCAATTGTGGCCAGTTTCAGCTTGTATTTTTGGATTGCATTTGGGAAAAAAAAGAAAAAAAAAAGTTGGATTCTAAGTCAACCAGCAAGAGTGATATAGCGTGTGGAGAAGGCAAGCGTTCTGGAAGATTCTTTTTTTTTTTTTGAGGCAAGAGTTTTTGCTCTGTCCTCCAGGCTGGAGTGCAGTGGCACAATCTCAGCTCACTGTAACCTCTGCCTCCCAGGTTCAAGCGATTCTGCTGCCTCAGCCTCCCGAGTAGCTGGGATTAAGGCGTGCACCACCACACCCGGCTAATTTTTTTGTATATTTAGCAGAGACGGGGTTTCGCCATGTTGGCCAGGCTGGTCTCGAGCTCCTGACGTCAGGTGATCTGCCCGTCTCGGCCTCCCAAAGTGCTGGGATTTCAGGGGTGAGTCACCGTGTCCGTCCATTCTGGAAGATTCTTTACCCAACCTCTCACCTGTTAAAAAAGAAAGTTCAGAATGTACATTCTTTTTATGATGACAAAATACATATATATAAAATTCAGCTTTATAACCGTTTTAAACTGAATGAGTCAGTGACATTTAGTCCATTCACAATGTTGTACAACCATCACCAATCTCTAGGTCCAGAACATTTTCATCACTCCCAAAAGCGCACCCTGTACATGTTGAGCAGTCACTCCCATTTCTCCTCCCCAGGCCCTAGCACCCAAAATTCCACTATCTTTCTCTAGGGGTTTGCCTGTTCAGCACATTTCATTGAAAGGGAATCACACACTGTGTGTCCTTTTGTGTTTGTGCCTGGCTTTTCTCTCTGAGCATGATGTCCTCAGGGTTCATTCACGTTGTGGTCTTTGTCAGAGCCTTGTTCCTTTTCCAGGCTGCATAGTATTCCATTATAATACTGCTGCTGTGTTTATCCATTCCTTCATAGATGAGCAGCAGGGCTGTTTCCAAAAATTCATTCCTGTTGCAGCTTTTGTCAGAGCCTTGTTTCTTTTCAAGGCTGCATAATATTCCATTGCATGGATGAACCATGCTGTGTTTATCATTCCTTCACAGATGAGCAGTACGGGTATTTCCAAAAATTCTTTCATGTTGCAGCCTTTGTCAGAGCCTTGTTCCTGTTCCAGGCTGCATAATATTCCACTATAATATTGCATTGCATGGATGAGCCACATTGTGTTTATCATTCTTTCATAGATGAGCAGTAGGACTGTTTCCAAAAATTCATTCACGATACAGTCTTTTGTCAGAGCCTTGTTCCTGTTCCAAGCTGCATAATATTCCATTATAATATTGCATGGATGAACCACATTGTGTTTATCATTCTTTCATAGATGGTAAGTAGGGCTGTTTCCAAAATTCATTCATGTCATAGCCTTTGTCAGAGCCTTGTTCCTTTTCCAGACTGCATAATATTCCATTGCATGGATAAACAATGCTGTGTTTATCATTCCTTCATAGATGAGCAGTAGGGCTGTTTCCAAAAATTCATTCACGTTGCAGCCTTTGTCAGAGCTTTGTTCCTTTTCCAGGCTGCATAATATTCCATTACAATATTGCATTGCATGATGAATCATGTGGTGTTTATCCATTCATTCATAGATGGGCAGTAGGGCTGTTTCCAAAATTCATTCATGTTGCAGCCTTTGTCAGAGCCTTATTCCTTTTCCAGCCTGCATAATATTCCATTGCATGGATAAACGATGCTGTGTTTATCATTCCTTCAAGGATGAGCAGTAGGGCTATTTCCAAAAATTCATTCACATTGCAGCCTTTGTCAGAGCCTTGTTCCTGTTCCAGGCTGCATAATATTCCATTATAATATTGCATTGCATGGATGAACCACATTGTGTTTATCATTCATTCATAGATGAGCAGTAGGACTGTTTCCAAAAATTCATTCATGATAGTCTTTTGTCAGAGCCTTGTTCCTGTTCCAAGCTGCATAATATTCCATTATAATATTGCATGGATGAACCACATTGTGTTTATCATTCCTTCACAGATGGGCAGTAGAGCTGTTTCCAAAATTCATTCACATTGCAGCCTTTGTCAGAGCCTTGTTCCTGTTCCAGGCTGTATAATATTCCATTGTAATGTTGCATTGTATAGATGAACTATGCTGTGTTTATCCATTCCTTTATAGATGGGCAGTAGGACTGTTTCCAAAATTCATACATAGTGCAGTCTTTTGTCAGAGCCTTATTCCTTTTCTAGACTGAATAATATTCCATTGCATGGATAAAGGATGCTGTGTTTATCACTCCTTCATCGATGAGCATTAGGGCTATTTCCAAAAATTCATTCACATTGCAGCCTTTGTCAGAGCCTTGTTCCTGTTCCAGGCTGCATAATATTCCACTATAATATTGCATGGGTGAACCACATTGTGTTTATCATTCTTTCATAGATGGTAAGTAGGGCTGTTTCCAAAATTCATTCATGTCATAGCCTTTGTCAGAGCCTTGTTCCTTTTCCAGACTGCATAATATCCCATTGCATGGATAAACAATGCAGTGTTTATCATTCCTTCATAGATGAGCAGCAGGGCTGTTTCCAAAAATTCATTCACATTGCAGCCTTTGTCAGAGCCTTGTTCCTTTTCCAGGCTGCATAATATTCCATTATAATATTGCATTGCATGGATGAACCACGTGGTATTTATCCATTCATTCACAGATGGGTATTGGGCTGTTTCCAAAAATTCATTCATGTTGCAGCCTTTGTCAGAGCCTCATTCCTTTTCCAGGTGGCATAATATTCCATTGTATCGATGAACCACGCTGTGTTTATCCATTCCTTCATAGATGAGCAGTAGGGCTGTTTCCAAAATTCATTCATGTTGCTGCTTTTGTCAGAGCCTTGTTCCTTTTCCAGCCTGCATAATATTCCACTATAATATTGCATGGATGAACCATATTGTGTTTATCATTCCTTCATAGATGAACAGTAGTGCTGTTTCTAAAAATGCATTTATGTTGCAGCCTTTTGTCAGAGCCTTGTTCCTTTTCCAGGCTGCATAATATTCCATTATAATATTGCATCACATGGATGAACCATGCTGTGTTTATCCATTCTTTCATAGATGGGCAGTAGGGCTGTTCCAAAAATTCATTCCTGTTGCAGCTTTTGTCAGAGCTTTGTTCCTTCTCAAGGCTGCATAATATTCCATTACATGGATGAACCATGCTCTGTTTATCATTCCTTCATAGATGGGCAATAGGGTTGTTCCAAAAATTCATTCATGTTGCAGCCTTTTGTTAGAGACTTCTTTTTCCAGGCTGCGTAATATTCCATTATAATATTGCATTGCATGGATGAGCTATGCTGTGTTTATCCATTCCTTTATAGATGGGCAGTAGGGCTGTTTCCAAAGATGCATTCATGTTGCAGCCTCTTGTCAGAGCCTTGTTCCTTTTCCAGGCTGCATAATATTCCATTATAATATTGCATTGCATGGATAAGCCACATTGTGTTTACCCATTTATTCATAGATGGGCAGTAAGGCTGTTTCTACTTTTTGGCTACTGTGAATACCACTGCTATGAATACCCCTGTACAAGTTTTTATTTGATAATTGTGACTATTTTACACAAACTTGTGAGTATGAGACACGCGACAAGCTTTTTTAAAAATAGAGGTAAAATTCACATCACATACCTCTGTTTTTTAAACAGCTTGTTGCATACCCCATACTCCCGCATTTGTATGAAATAGTCACAATTATCAAATAGAAACTTACACACATCACATAGCCCAGCACAGTGGCTCATGCCTGTAATCCCAGCACTTTGGGAGGCCGAGGCGGGCGGATCACTTGAGGTCAGGAGTTCGAGACCAGCCTGGCCAACATGGAGAAACCCCATCTCTGCTAAAAATACTGGTGTGGGGGCAGGTGCCTGTAATCCCAGCTACTCGGGGGGCTGAGGCAGGAGAATCGCTTGAATCCGGGAGGCAGAGCTTGTAGTGAGCCAAGATCGCACCATTGCACTCCAGCCTGGGTGACAGAGCAAGATTCTGTCTCAAAAAAAAAAAAAACAAAAAAACAAAAAATTACATCAAGTTAGTTATTTTAAATTATACGAACGGGGCATTTGGTACATTCATCGTGCTCTACAACCACCTCTATGTAGTTTGAGAAAATCTTCATTCCCTTTAAAAGGAAACCCCCATTCCCATCAAGCAGTAACTCCACATCCCCCCCTCCAACCTCTGAGAGTCACAAATTCACTTCCTGTCTCTGTGGATTTGCCTGTTGGGCACGTTTCATAGAAATGGAGTCAGACATCAGTTACTTCTGTGCAGAAAAAAACCCTCTCACCTGGCCTTTCTTCCCCTGCTGCTGGGATTTAGGATGTTCCCCCAAATGTTTAGGCTGCTCTCTCATAACCACACCTTCCTTTGTTTTTCTTTTCCTTTTTTTTTTTTGAGATAGCATCTCGCTGTGTCTCCCAGGCTGGATTGCAGTGGCACGATCTCAGCTCACTGCAACCTCCGCCTCCCGGGTTCAAGCGATTCTCCTGCCTCAGCCTCCCTAGTAGCTGGGATTACAGGCACCCGCCACCACGCCTGGCTAATTTTTGTATTATTAGTAGAGATGGGGGTTTCACCGTGTTGACCAGGCTGGTCTTGAACTCCTGATCTCAGGTGATCCACCTGCCTCAGCCTCCCAAAGTGCTGAGATTACAGCCGTGAGCCACCGCACCCAGCCAAAAAGATATCTTAAAAGATCTGAGCATCTCAGCTCACTGTAACCTGCACCTCCTGGGTTCAAGTGATCCTCCTGCCTCAGCCTCCCAAGTAGCTGGGATTACAGGCGCCCAACACGATGCCCAGCTAATTTTTGTATTATTAGTAGAGACGGGGTTTTCACCATGTTGACCAGGCTGGTCTCGAACTCCTGACCTCAGGTGATCCGCCTGCCTCGGCCTCCCACAGTGCTGAGATTACAGCCGTGAGCCACCGCACCCAGCCAAAAAGATATCTTAAAAGATCTCAGCATCTCAGCTCACTGTAACCTGCACCTCCTGGGTTCAAGTGATCCTCCTGCCTCAGCCTCCCAAGTAGCTGGGATTACAGGTGCCCAACACGATGCCCAGCTAATTTTTGTATTATTAGTAGAGACGGGGTTTTCACCATGTTGACCAGGCTGGTCTCGAACTCCTGACCTCAGGTGATCCGCCTGCCTCGGCCTCCCACAGTGCTGAGATTACAGCCGTGAGCCACCGCACCCAGCCAAAAAGATATCTTAAAAGATCTCAGCATCTCAGCTCACTGTAACCTGCACCTCCTGGGTTCAAGTGATCCTCCTGCCTCAGCCTCCCAAGTAGCTGGGATTACAGGTGCCCAACACGATGCCCAGCTAATTTTTGTATTATTAGTAGAGACGGGGTTTTCACCATGTTGACCAGGCTGGTCTCGAACTCCTGACCTCAGGTGATCCGCCTGCCTCGGCCTCCCAAAGTGCTGGGATCGCAGGCATGAGCCACTGCACCCAGCCGGAGAGTCATTTTAGATAAGCACCAAATGATTTTTCTCATGTAGTTAGGAAAATAAGTGCATGCGTGTGTGTGTGCACGGGTTTGTGCATTTGATCCTGTGTTCTATGCCTCACTCTGTGGGTTTAGGGGCAATGACGGTGACCTTAAACGCTGTTGGACCATGTATTTTAGAAAAATGCAACCCACAGTCTATGTTGGAAACCCACGTGGTAAGCATCAATGATCCCAGCCCCGGCATTGAGATTGGACATTTTGATTTGGTACAGAAGGCACAAGGAGGAAGAGATCCCTCAGAAAACAGGGGCATCTTCACCCTTAAATTCAATGGGAGTCACGACTGGGACCATGGACAGCTGATGGTGATTCGTTACAAATATATTGATTACAGATTGCTAAAGGTGTTCACTAAGGGTCAGAGAGGAGTGAAGGCACTACCCAGAAAGACGTAGACTAGTCAACGTCAATAGGAGAGTAGTTTATTTTATTTATTTGTGTATTCATTTATTTGAGATGGAGTCTTTCTCTGTCACCCAAGCGGAATGCAGTGGCATGATCTCGGCTCTTAGGATTGGAACAGTACCTCATTGTGCCTGGCACTGGAACAAATGAATGCAGGAGATATGCTGGTTTTTTTTTCTTTTTCTTTCTTTCTTTCCTTCTTTCTTTCTCTTTCTTTCTTTCTTTCTTTCTTTCTTTCTTTCTTTCTTTCTTTCTTTCCTTCCTTCCTTCCTTCCTTCCTTCCTTCCTTCCTTCCTTCCTTCCTTTCTTTCTTTCTTTCTTTCTTTCTTTCTTTCTTTCCTTCTTTCTTTCTTTCTTTCTCTCCCTTCCTTCCGTCCGTCCTTCCTTCCTTCCTTCCCTTCCCTTCCCCTTCCTTCCTTCCTTCCTTCCTTCCTTCCTTCCTTCCTTCCTTCCTTTCTTTCTTTCTTTCTTTCTTTCTTTCTTTCTTTCTTTCTTTCTTTCTTTCTTTCTTTCTTTTTCTTTCTTCTTTCTTTCTCTCTTTCTTTTTTTTTTGAGATGGAGTCTTTCTCTGTTGCCCAGCCTGGGGTGGAGTGTCAAGATGTTGGCTCACTGCAACCTCCGCCTCCCGGGCTCAAGTGATCCTCCTGCCTCAGCTTCCTGAGTAGCTGGGATTACAGGTGCCCACCACCACACCTGGCTAATTTTTGTTTTTTTAGTAGAGACAGGGTTTCACCATGTTGTCTAGGATGGTCTTGAACTCGTGACCTCAGGTGATCCACCTGCTTCGGCCTCCCAGAGTGCTGTGATGACAGGCGTGAGCCATTGTGCCTGGCCAGGTGGTGTTTCAGTGTGGTTTCTCCATGTTGGCCAGGCTGGTCTCGAACTCCTGACCTCAGGTGATTCACCCGCCTCAGCCTCCCAAAGTAGTGGGATGACAGGCGTGAGCCACCACACCCGGCCTAAAAGGTTTAAAATATAAATCTATCAAATATTTAAACCCACTTGTAAAAATGCTAGCGTTAAAGACAAATGGAAAATGATTGCATTTAAAAAAATCAGTCATGACATGGCTAAATGTTGAAGAATTCTTTTGTAATTTTTTTTTTCCATTCTGAAAGCCAGCATCATCTTTTATGATTGCTGTCTGCATCTTGGTAAATGGAATTCTTGCAAAAAGGTCTGAGTTTCCAACATGCATAAAACAAAGGAAATCATGTACAAGGCGAAAAAAACAGAGAGAGAGAGAGAGAGAGAGAGAGAGAGAGAGAGAGAGAGAGAGAGAAATATCCTAAAAGAGCCAAGAGTGCTAGAGGAAAAATGCATTTAAAATCCGGCGTAAATGACATTGGACAGCGTTCAGTTGAGCAGCTCTGGGTTGCAGATGACGGGCTGCTCCAACAGGCTGCGAGTGTTACATGATAACAAACATATGTTATGTGAGCAGAAGGAAGATGGTTGCGTTGGAAAGAATGATTGGAGACACAGCCTCGACGGAAGACCGTGTTATTAGCAGACGCTTCAGAACTTGAAAGGGCTTCTGAGAAGCTGCTTAAATGGGTAGCTGGCTGATGCACGATTGGCAAAAAAAAGACCCCCTTACAGAAATTGGAAGGAAAAGAGGCGCTGGTCTAGACAAGAATGCACGTGAGATGTCAGAGTTGCAGTCGCCTAAGAAAAGGTAATTTATGAGCTACCTAATAAAACATAAGTCGGCATCTCTTCTTTGCCGGAAGAGAAATAACTTAGGATATGAACAGTACCTCATTGTGCCTGGCGCTGGAACAAATGAATGCAGGAGGTATGCTGTTTTTTTTTCTTTTCTTTCTTTCTTTCTCTTTCTTTCTTTCTTTCTTTCTTTCTTTCTTTCTTTCTTTCTTTCTTTCTTTCTTTCTTTCTTCCTTCCTTCCTTCCTTCCTTCCTTTCTTTCTTTTCTTTCTTTCTTTCTCTTTCTTTTTCTTTCTTCTTTTCTTTCTTTCTTCTTTCTTTCTTTCTTTTCCTTCCTTCCTTCCTTCTTTCTTTCTTTCTTTTTCTTTCTTTTCTTTCTTTTCTTTTCTTTCTTTCCTTCTTTCTTTCTTTCTTTCTCTCTTATTTGTTTCCATTTTTTTTGATTTTTGAGATGGAGTCTTTCTGTGTCACCCAGGCTGGGGTGCAGTGGCAAGATGTTGGCTCACTGCAACCTCTGCCTCCCAGGTTCAAGCGATTCTCCTGCCTCAGCCTCCCAAGTAGCTGGGTCTACAGGTACATGCCACCACACCTGGCTAATTTTTGTATTTTTAGTACAGACAGGATTTCACCATGTTGGCCAGGCTGGTTTCAAACTCCTGACCTCAGGTGATCCACCTGCCTCATCCTCCCAAAGTGCTGGAATTACAGGCGTGAGCCACTGCACCTGGCCAGTATGCTGTTCTTTAGAAGAAGTTGGAGGAATGGAAATATTAAAAGGGGCTTGGCGACACATATGCCCTCATGAATGAACTTCATTAACTACTCTGTATGGCTACACCTGGGCAGGTGATTTCTCCACTCCATTCCTAGAGATGAAAAGTAGCAAACAGAAGTACTACGAGGAATGCCTGTTCCAGGTATCTGCTGCAGCCTGGGGAGAAGGAATATTCCTTACCACAGACCTATCATCACAGCGGCACAAATGGCTGGGAGGAATTGAGGAGACGTGAAGTGAGAATATTTCTTGCTCCTGCCAAAGTCCCGTGGAGTGTTTGCTGCAGTGATGCAGGCAGAGAAATCTAGGCCGTTCGTGCAAATAAAGAACAGAGAGTAATGCAAATAAAGAACAGGTAATGCAAATAAAAGAACAGTAATGCAAACAAAGAACAGAGAGTAATGCAAATAAAGAACAGGTAATGCAAATAAAAGAACAGTAATGCAAATAAAGAACAGGTAATGCAAATAAAAGAACAGGTAATGCAGATAAAAGAACAGTAATGCAAATAAAGAACAGGTAATGACATCCTCCTGCATGGTAACACCTCACAGTCTGACAGTGTGCCTCATAGTCACAAAGCAGCTGCTGGAGCTCTGAATGTCCTGCCCTCAAAAGAGCATTCCTAGCAGGAAGTGAAGGCATGGGCACAACACAGTTTTCATATTCTTACAAAGTGGCTGCTGAAGCTCCGGACATCACGCCCTTAAGAGAGCATTCCTAGCAGGAAAGGAGGCCGTGGGCACAAGAGAGTTTTCTTACAATCACAAAGTGGCTACTGAAGCTCCATACATCATGCCCTCAAGAGAGCATTGCTAGCAGGAAGGAAGGGCACGCGCACAACAGAGTTTTCTCATACTCACAAAGTGGCTGTTGAAGCTCCGGACATCGCACCCTCAAGAGAGCATTCCTAGAAGGAAGGGAGGCCATGGGCACAACAGAGTTTTCTCATAGTCACAAAGTGGCTGCTGAAGCTCCAGATATTACACCCTCAATAAAGCATCCCTAGCAGGAAATGAGGGCATGGGCATGGCAGAGTTTTCTCATATTCACAAAGTGGCTGCTGAAGCTCTGGACATCACATTCTCAAGATGGCATTCCTAGCAGAAAGGGAGGGTGTGGGCAAAGATAGTTTTTTCCCTGTTCCTCTTTTGCCATGCTTCTCCCACACACTTTACCAAGTCTGAAGCTTGGCTACCAGAAATGGGGAACAGATCGACCTGCCTGGTTCATCCCCTGGGTTGGGGCAGGATCCTGTAAAGGAAATCAGGGTCTTATTAAAGAAGTGAGGGGGCAGGGCGTGGTGGCTCATGCCTGTAATCCCAGCACTTTGGGAGGCTGAGGAGGGTGGATCATGAGGTCAAGAGATCAAGACCATCCTGGTCAACATGGTGAAACCCCGTCTCTACTAAAAATACAAACATTAGCTGGGCGTGGTTGTGTGCGCCTGTAGTCCCAGCTACTTGGCAGGCTGAGGCAGGAGAATTGCTTGAAACCTGGGAGGCAGAGGTTGCAGCGAGCCAAGATCACACCACTGCACTCTAGCCAGGGCAAAAGAGCGAGACTCCGTCTCAGAAAAAAAAGGAAAAAAGAGAGGGCGAATGGCTTTTTAAAAGTTAAGGAGAATGGTCATTGTGGAGGAAAGACACACAAAGTCATAAACTTCAAGAGACTTAGTGCGGGGAGAGGAAATGGGCATGACTGATAATAGGTGCAGGGTCTCCTCGGGTTGCAGAGAATGTTCTAGAAGGAGATGGACTGATGATTTCACAGCACGGTGTAAGTGTTGAATACCATTGAGCTGCTCTCTTCAAGATAGTTAACGGGAATTTCATGCTATGCGAATTTTATCCCAATTTAAAAAAAAAAGTTTAGGCCAGGTGCGGTGGCTCTCTCCTGTAATCTCAGCACTTTGGGAGGCAGAAATGGGCGGATCACGAGGTCAGGAGATCGAGATCAGCCTGGCCAACATGGGGAAACCCCATCTCTACTGAAAATACAAAAAATTAGCCAGGGGTGGTGGTGGGTGCCTGTAATCCCAGCTACTAGGGAGGCTGAGGCAGGAGAATTGCTTGAACCCGGAAGGCGGAGGTTGCAGTGAGCCGAGATCGCGCCACTGCACTACAGCCAGGGTGACAGAGCGAGACTCCGTCTCAACAAAAAAAAAAAAGAAAAAAAAAAGTTGCTGGGCGCAGTGGCTCACGCCTGTCATCCCAGCACTTTGGGAGGCCGAGGCGGGCAGATCACAAGGTCAGGAGATCAAGACCATCCTGGCTAACATGGTGAAACCCCATCTCTACTAAAAATACAAAAAAATAGCCAGGCGTGGTGACGGGCGGCTATAGTCCCAGGTACTTGGGAGGCTGAGGCAGGAGAATGGTGTGAACCCGGGAGGCGGAGGCTGTAGTGAGCCAAGGTCGCGCCACTGCACTCCAGCCTGGACAACAGAGCAAGGCTCCGTCTCAAAAAAAAAAAGTTTACCTTTTGGTGGAGGAAGGCAACTGCATATGTACACACGTACAGACACACATGCCCGCATACATATGTGCATATACACACAAGCAGTTTCTGTTCTTTTAACTAATAAGCTTTCTTATTGGTAAGACAGAGCATTTTCATGTAAATGGTCATATTTTTATAATTAAAATGTGATTTGTAGGGTTTTTTTTCTGTTTTGTGAGCAGTTCTCCTATCTAGTAAAGTTTGATTTTTTTTTTTTTTTTTGAGATAGAGTCTCGCTCTGTCACCCAGGCTGAAGTGCAGTGGTGCAGTCTCAGCTCACTGCAAGCTCTGCATCCCGGGTTCAGGGCATTCTCCTGCCTCACCCTCCTGAGTAGCTGAGACTACAGGCGCCCGCCACCACGCCTGGCTAATTTTTTGTATTTTTAGTAGAGACCGGGTTTCACCATGTTAGCCAGGATGGTCTCGATCTCCTGACCTTGTGATGTGCCTGCCTCGGCCTCCCAAAGTGCTGGGATTACAGGCGTGAGCCACTGTGCCTGGCCAAGTTTGATTTTTTTTAGTTGCCAACTTCATATTTATTTATTTACTTTTAATTTTTTAATTTTTTTAGACAGAGTCTTGCTCTGTCACCCAGGCTGGAGTGCAATGGCAAGATCTTGGCTCACTGCAACCTCCGCCTCCTGGGTTCAAGTGATTCTCCTGCCTCAGCCTCCCGAGTAGTTGGGATTACAAGCGCCCGTCACCATGCCCGACTAATTTTTGTATTTTTAGTAGAGATGGGGTTTCTCCATGTTGGCCAGGCTGGTCTCGAATTCCTGACCTCAGACAATCCACCAGCCTCAGCCTCCCAAAGTGCTGGGATGACAGGCATGAGCCACTGTGCCCGGCCTGTTTTTCTCAGAAAGAGTCTGTGTTGAAGGATTCAGAACCCAAGCTGGGGCCGGGCATGGTGGCTCATGCCTGTTATCCCAGCTACTCGGGAGGCTGAGGCAGGAGAATCACTTGAACCCAGGAGGTGGAGGTTGCAGTGAGCTGAGGTTGTGCCACTGCACTCCAGCCTGGGTGACAGAGTGAGACTCCATCTCAAAAAATAAAATAAAATAAAGCTCTCAAAGTTGCAGATACCAGGACACCCCATCCCACGTCTTGAGGTGGTGTCCATCATGTCCTGATACTGCCCGTTAGCTGGGGTTTGACATCAGACAGTGCCCAGCACACTTTGTTCCTGGTCTTTTACTTTCTCTGCACCTGCTGTGGGAGATCAGTATCTCTCTGTGCTGCCAAGGGGACTCTTGGGATGGTCCAAATTGACCTTCAGTGAGGAACTCGTCACCCGAGTGTTCCAGCTGTACCTCAGATCGTACACAGGTGGTCTTCAACAACAACCACTGGGTCCTGCACTCTTCACAGCTACAACTTCCCCCTCAGTGGTGCCAGTTCTCCCCAATACAGTCACATTAACTGGAGGGGTTCATGGCTGCACCCACAGACCTCACCAGAAGCTCCCATTCCTCAGCCCTCTGTCTTCTGCATGGTCCAGCTGTGATGCATAAGATAGACGGATGGATGGATGGATGGATTGATAGATGGATAGGTGGATGGATGAATGGGTGGATGGATGGATGGATGGATGGACAGATAGTTAGATGATAGATAGATGGATAGATAGATGGACAGACACATGAACGGACAGAAGAAGAGATAGATAGATAGATAGATAGATAGATAGATAGATAGATAGATACAGATAGAGATAGATAGATAGATGGATAGACAGAGGGACAGACAGACAAACTGACAGAAGAATGGATAGATAGATAGAGATAGAGAAAGAGATAGACAGATAAAGAGATCGATAGAGAGCTAGATAAAGAGATAGAAAGATGGATGATAGAGATAGATAAAGATAATAGATGGGTAGATAGACGGATAGATAGATTAGATAAAATAGATAGGCAGGCAGGTAGGTAGATAGATGTATAGATAGAAGAATACATTGATAGATCAATTGGATAGATGAATGGAGATACATAGAAAGATAGATAAATAGAAGGATAGACTGATAAGTCGATAGGATAGATGCACAGAGATGGACAGATAGATGGAGGATAGATTGATACATAATAGGATAGATGATAGATCAATTGATTGATATGATAGATGGATGGATATGGATAGATGGATGGATAGATAGAAGGATAGATAGATAGATAGACCAATAGATAGATAGATAGATACATAGATTGACAGATAGATAGACCAATAGATAGATAGATAGATGATAGATAGATATATAGATAGATACACAGATAGACACATAGACAGATAGGTAGATAGATACACAGATAAATGGACACATAGACAGATGATAGATAGATAGATACACATATAGATAGATAGATACATGGATAGACAGACAGACAAGCAGATAGATAGATAAGTACATAGAGTGACACATAGATAGATAGATAGATGATAGCTAGACACATAGACAGAGATAGATATATAAAAATAGATGAGACCTTTTACTGACATTCAATATATTTTCAGCTGCAAAAGAAGGAAGCTGATCAAAGATCCTCATGTCTTCTTCTTATAAAGGTTCTTAGGGAGGTGGCGCTGGATCACGGGAGGGCCGCAAGGGTTCGGGTTCCAGGAGAGGTGTGATATCCTCCCAAGGAGCCAAGAGGCTGTGGAATTAGCCGTGGTCCCAACAGGCCAGTGAAACATGAGCCTGTGGTGTTCCTCTCTAGACCTCCCAAGTCCAACCTCGGGCTTGGGCGTGCTCCCAGGACAGCCCCGGAGATCTTGGCTGGCTTGGCTGTGTTGCCTAAACCCCTTGGTAAGTTGGCTTCTACAGCAGATCTCACACCTTGTTTAGAACAAGCCCACATCTCCCGCCTCCCTGCCCGGCCTCTGCCCTAATCCGTCTCCCTCTTCATCATCTTGCTTTCATGAGATGAGTCTTTGGGGCAGATGGAAAAGGCAACTGTAAGAAAAATAACACAAAGCAATCAGGCAAGGAGCTAAATCCGCAGGCCAGATAGGTAGCGATGCAGGAGCTTGAGGGAATCAAAGAACGGATAAGATTGGGAACAGATAAGACTGTGTTCATACAGTTTTTCCAAGGTGCAAAGTATGAGGGAATCAGAGAAAACTGGCTAATTGTACAAAAAGCCCATACTGAGTGTGGAGAAAACATGTGACAATCGGTGCCTAGGACAAAGCCCACACTTCCTGGGCCACCAGATTTGAAGTGCAAGAAACAAAAAGGCCATCAAAGGGAAAATGCGTATGACGAGGTGCTCAAGCTTTGAAGACGGAGCAAGGACCGAAGGAGAAATCTCACTCCTTCCTTGTGGACAGGCAGGACACAGGTTAGTGACCTTGGAGAATGAGCTACAGATGAGGCAGTGATTTGGAAATTGTTCAGACAATAGACAAACACAGGGCAGGCTACCTTTACGCAGGCACCATGATCAGAACTGGGTGGACATGGGGAGAAATCGACAGTGGCTTATCTCAGACAGAGCCTGCTATCAGCTCTTCTGTAGACTTTAGATGTGGTCTCTGGTCTGTTGAGTCAGTGTGGCTTTTAAAGAAAGGAGCCTTGGGTTGATGAACCGTTGGAGCCCTGTCCATCAATCATGTCCAAGTGGCCACACCAACTTCTCCACTGGTCACTCTGCTTTCATATACATCCATTGATATATTCTCCAAACCATGTTCAGACCAACTTGAAGGTGGAGGTCAACTTGGAGGTTGGAGGTCAATTTGGTTGGTTGGAGGTCATCTTGGAGGTGAAGGCCAACTTCGAGGTTAGAGCCAGCTTGGAGGTAGAGGCCAGCTTGGAGGTGGAGGCCACTCAACTTGGCAGTGGAGGCCAATGTGGAAGTGAAGGTCAACTTGATGGTGGAGGCCAACTTGGAGGCATAATAAGATATAATAAGCAGATTGATATAATAAGCAGATTGATAATCTCCCAGCTGGTAAATTAGCTAACTTGCAGGTGGAGGCTAACTTGGAGGCGGAGACCAATTTGGAGGTTGAGGCTAACTTGGAGGTGGAGGCCTGTTTGGAGTGTGGAGTCCAGGTTGGAAGTGGAGGCCAACATGTGGGTTGGAGGCCAACTAGGAGGTAGAGTCCAGTTGGGAGATTGGAGGCTAACTTGAAGGTGGAGGCTAACTTGGAGGTGAGGTCAATTTGGAGGTTGGAAGCTAACTTGGAGGTGGAGGCCAGTTTGGAAGCTGGAGTCCAAGTTGGATGTGGAGGCCAACTAGGAGGTAGAGTCCAACTGGGAAACTGGAGGCTAACTTGGAGGTGGAAGCCAATTTAGAAGTTGGAGACTAACTTGGAGGTGGAGGCCATTTGGAGGTGAAGGCCTACTTGAAAGTGGGAGGTGCTCCTGCTAACATTGCCTAGCTGCTGAAGACCATGCAACACCTTCCCTGTTGCTGTTGAAAGAAAGACAAAACTACAGCTCAGGCCCACAAGGACAGCACAGCAGCTCTCAGCTTCTTTGTCTCTTCTTCACAATGCATTTCAGAGTGGACATTAGTCACTACTTCATGGGCCTCCTGTCTCAGGGCTGAGAATGGTCCTGAAACATCTACTCACTGCTTGCCTTCTCTGGAATGCCTTCCACTGTCTATCTCCTATATAAGGTAACCATCCTCTTTTTATTTTTTTAGAGTTGGGGGTCTCGCTTTTTCTCCCAGGCTGGAGTGCCGTGGTGTGCTCATAACTCACTGCAGCCTCAAACTCCTAGACTCAAACAATCCTCCTGCTTCAGCCTTCCAAGTAGCTGTTTCTACAGACATATGCCAACAGACTTGGCTGATTAGTTTTAAAATTTTTATTTTGTAGAGACAGAGTCTTGCTATGTTGCCCAGCCTGGCCTCAAACTTCTAGGCTCAAGCGATCCCCCTGCCTCAGCCTCCCAAAGTGCTGGGATTACAGATGTGAGCCACTGCACCCAGACAGCATGCCTTTTACTTACCTGAATAATGGTTAGTGTAAGGAGAGGAACCATAGAGCTGGCCATATAATTTCTGTCTGATATGGTATGAATGCATTTCCTCCAGAATGCAAGTGTTGAAATTTGATGGCCAATGTGATGGTATCGGGAGGCCTTAAAGAGGTGATTAGACCATCATGGCTCCTCCCTCATAGGGGGGATTAAGGCCTTATAAAGGGGCTTCATACAGCATTTAGCTTTCTCTTGCTCGTCTGCCTTCTGCTATGCGAGGACATAGCATTCCTCTCCTGCAGGAGAAACAGTGACAAGTTTTCATCTTGGAAGCAGACAGCAGCCCTCACCGGACAACAGAATCAATTGATGCTTGGCTGCTTGGCTCTTGGACTTCCCGGCCCCCAGAACTGTAAGAAATACATTTTTGTTCTTTTAAAATTACCCAGTCTTTGTTGTTTTTTACAGCAGCCCAAACAGATAATGACACTGTTCTACTCATTACTGCAAGGAAAGGGGCCGTTACATTGTAAGATTGAAAGTTTCAAGTGCTGATGCTTTTACATCTAGAGCCTCAGGAGCCCCCAAATCCTAGCCATGAGTTCTTTTCATAAGAAGCCCAGAGCTATTGCATGGGGGTTCATGCTCATGAATTCGTCTTTACTTGATTATACCTCTGAAGACCCTATTTCCAAATAAGGTTATACCCACGGATATGGGACACGATTCAATCCAGAACACCTGGTCATAGCTGCATGACTGAGAGAGAATGTGACTCACTGTTTTAATGTGTTTTCCATCCAGCATGCCTGATTATCTATTTCTCTCTCATTGGCAGGCGTCCTATGGTGCTGCATTGTTTTTAATTAATGTATTTATTTTTTGAGACGGAGTCTCGCTCTGTCACCCAGGCTGGAGTGCAGTGGCACAATCTCGGCTCACTGCAACCTCCGCCTCTTGGGTTCAAGCAATTCTCCTGCCTCAGCCTCCCCAGTAGCTGGGTTTACAGGCACCCACCATCACACTTCGCTAATTTTTATATTTTTAGTAGAGAAGGGGCTTCAGCATGTTGGCCAGGCTGGCTTCGAACTCCTGACCTCAAATGATCCACCCGCCTGGGCCTCCCAAAGCGCTGGGATGACAGGCGTGAGCCACCGTGCCCAGCCTATATATGGTATTCTTAATGGAATACTTACATATACATATATATATATATATATATATATATATATATATATATATATATATATAAAGGGGAGTTTACTAAGTATGAACTGACATGATCACAAGGTCCCACCTTAGGCTGTCTGGAGGCTGAGAAGCAAGGACAGCCAGTCCGAGTTTCAAAACTGAAGAACTTGGAATCTGATGTTTGAAGGCAGGAAGCATCCAGCACGGGATAAAGAGGCTGTGAGAAGGATGAACAGATTTTTGGAAGACGCACATTTTTGTAAAGCTAACTCAGATAGACTTCACTCCGTCCTCATGCCCTGCCAGTATCTTTAATTTTAAAAGAGGAAGAAGGAAGCAACGTCTCTTCTCCCCAACAGATAATACTGGGTGCTCTGTGCACAGGGTGACATTAAAAAAATTAAAAAATTAAAGAGGAAGGAAGGAAGCAACGTCTCTTCTCCCCAACAGATAATGCCAGGTGCTCTGTGCACAAGGTGACGTTATCCATTCATTCCTCTCTCAGGTGTGGGAGTGAGGGTAGGGGAGGTCATGGCAACGATGGCCTTTGCCAGGGACCTCTCCAAACACGACCCCGGGCCAGCCAGGGCTGACAAAGGACACAGTTTAAGATGGGCTGGTGGGGCCGGGCATGGTGGCTCACACCTCTCATCCCAGCACTTTGGGAGGCCGAGGCGGGCGGATCACGGCGTCAGGAGATTGAGACCATCCTGGCTAACACGGTGAAACCCCGTCTCTACTAAAAATACAAAAAAAATAGCCGGGCGTGGTGGCGGGTGCCTGTAGTCCCAGCTACTCGGGAGGCTGAGGCAGGAGAATGGTGTGAACCCGGTGGGGGAGCTTGCAGTGAGCCCAGATCGCGCCACTGCACTCCAGCCTGGGTGACACAGCGAGACTCCATCTCAAAAAAAAAAAAAAAAAAAAAGAAAAAGATGGGCTGGTGTGTGTCTTCTTGTGCTTCTCCTTGCGTCCGTTTCTGAGAGTTGGCTGAGAAAATGCAAAAAGCAAAATGCAGGGAGATTGTTGCATTGGTCCCTCAGGGTGGCCATCACCGACTATCACTCACTGGGGGGCTTTGAAACACATAACACTTTCCTCTCACTCTTTCAGAGAACAGAAGCCTCCAGTGAAGATGCTGGCAGGGCTGATTCCTCCTGAGGTCTCTCTCCTGGGCTTGGAGATGCCGTCTTCTCCCTGTGGCCTCACAGGGTCATCCCTCCGCATGTGTCTGTGTCCTCATCTCCTCTTCTTATGGGATGTCTTAGTCCATCTCAGGCTGCTGTCACAGAATACCATAGACTGGGTGGCTTATAAACAACAGACGTTGACTCTCCCACAGTCCTGGAGGCTGGAAGTCTGACATCAAGGTGTGGACAGGGCTGGTTCCTCCTGAGGCCTCTCTCCTGGGCTTGGAGACGCCGTCTTCTCCCTGTGTCCTCACAGGGTCGTCCCTCTGTGTGTGTGTCTGTGTCCTCACCTCCCTTCTGTTTTTTGTTTGTTTGTTTGTTTTGTTTGTTTTTGTTTTTTGAGATGGAGTTTCACTCTTGTCGCTCAGGCTGGAGTGCAATGCCGTGATCTTGGCTCACCGCAACCTCTGCCTTCTGGGTTCAAGTGATTCTCCTGCCTCAGCCTCCTGAGTAGCTGGGATTACAGGCGTGCCCCACCACACCCGGCTAATTTTACATTTTTAGTAGAGACGGGGTTTCTTTATGTTGGTCAGGCTGGTCTTGAACTCCCGACCTCAAGTGATCCCCCAGCCTCAGCCTCCCAAACTGCTCGGATTACAGGCGTCAGCCACCGTGCCCGGCTCATGTCCTCTTCTTATAAAGACACCAGTCCCATTGAATCAGGGCCCACCCTACGGATATCATGTTAACTTTCCAAATCAAAGACCCTGTTGCAAATCAAGTTACGTTCACTGGAGTCTGGATTGCAACACGCTTTCCAGGAGAGACACCGTTCAGCCCACGGCTTTCAGATTGTGGCAGATTCCTTTACATTTACAGCCAATCGACTCTCATTCAAGCGATTCTCCTGCCTCAGCCTCCCTAGTAGCTGGAATTACAGGCACCCACCACCACGCCTGGCTAATTTTTATAATTTTTAGTAGAGGGGGGTTTTGCTAAAGGTCCAGATCCTGCCATCATACTGTTCTTGAGCAAATCCAAACCCCATCCTCAAATCTTGCTAATTTTCCAAAAAGAAGCATTATCAAATTGTTGTCTGAGAAAAGACATAGCTATGGTTTTGACACTATTTGGTAATTTTTTTTTTTTTTCTTTGAGCCGGAGCCTCACTCTGAGTCTCACTCTGAGATCATCGATTTGGCTAAAGGCGACGTAAAATGCACCCACCGGGTGTCTGCTGGATAGCTCAATCCTTCCTTGCTTGGAATTCCAGGGGATCCTTTTTATCGAGAGTGAACTCTGCATAAATACACGTGCAGGGCGTTCCCTGGGGGACCCGTGTCTAGAACCTTTGGGATTTTTCTCAAAATGCATTTTCCCCGGGTGTTTCTCCTCAGCTTCTCTGAGCCCGTTAGAGTCAGCCTCGTCCGAACCGTTCCCAGCCAGAGGGTATTTTCCATAAAGGGCTAACGGGGGGACCTTGGCCACTGCACTCAGCAGCACACTCTAGATCTGGGGACTCCGACACACGGTGCTTTCCATTACACCCGGTTTTATTTCCCGTAAACTGTTTATTTTCTCGGCGAGATTGATGCTGTTAATATTAGCTTTCAAAATGACAGATTAACATCGCCAGTTAATCAGGGCTATTAGCAGATAAATATCTGTAATTCGATCACCAGAGTAATTTCTTTTCCAATAATGCGATTTACAAATGCGAGTGATTAAGTAATTAGCTTCCATCCCCACGGATTACCAGCTCCCCGACGCCTCCCCTTACGGATAATTCGGGGTGATTAGAGGCAGCTTGGCCTCCTCGGAACGCTTCGGAGCCGAAGCTTGCGTTCTTCCTGGGTTCAGAGCATGTCTTGGAGCATTCTTTCCTTCCTACGAGAGCTTGACCCCGCTAGCCATGCAGACCTGCCTTTCCCGGGGACTGCAGAAGCAAGCTTGCTCTCCCTAAATTCCTTCTCGTGGACATCACACTTCCACAGAAGAGCCAGGAGTGTTGCAGAACAATTTTACATGCCCATTAAGAAGGAAAAGAAACAGGTGTGAGATGGCTCAGACTTGTCATCCCAGCACTGTGAGAGGCCGAGGCGGGTGGATCACCTGAGGTCAGGAGTTCAAGACCAGCCTGGCCAACATGGTGAAACCCTGACTCTATTAAAAATACAAGAAATAGAAAAAACAAAACAAAACAATGAGCTGGGCATGGTGGCGGCTGCCTGTCATCCCAGCTACTCGGAAGGCTGAAGCAGGAGAAATGTTTGAACCCGGGAGGCGGATGTTGCAGTGAGCCGAGATTGCACCACTGCACTCCAGCCTGGGCAACAGAGCGAGACTCCATCTCAAAAAAAAAAAAAAAAAAAAGAAAAGAAAAGAAAATGAAAATGTGGTTTATATACACCATGGAATACTACTCAGCCATGAAAAAGAACAAGATAATGTAATTTGCAGCAACTTGGATGGAGCTGAAGATGACTTTCCTAACTAGAGTAACTCAGGAACAGAAAAAAAATACCACATGTTGTCATTTATAAGAAGACACTACGTTCTGGGTACCCGGGGACATACAGGGTAGAATAGTGGACATTGGAGACTCAGAAGACGGGAAGATAGGAGCAGAGTGAGGCATGAAAAATTACCTCTGGGGTTCAATGTATGCTACTCAGTGCACAGGTGTGCTAGCAGCCTAGACTTTACCAAACCATCCATGCAACCAAAAAACATTTAGGCTGGGCGAGGTGGCTCACGCCTGTAATCCCAACACTTTGGGAGGCTGAGGCGGGCAGATCGTGAGGTCAGGAGATCGAGACCAGCCTGGCCAACATAGTGAAACCCCGTCTCTATTAAAAATACAAGAAATTAGCTGGGCATGTGGCGGGCGCCTGTAGTCCCAGCACTTTGGGAGGCCAAAGCAGGCGGATCACCTGAGGTCAGGAGTTCGAGACCAGCCTGCCCAACACAGTGAAACATCATCTCTACTGAAAATACAAACGTTAGGCCGGGTGCAGTGGCTCACGCTTGTAATCCCAGCACTTTGGGAGGCTGAGGCGGGCAGATCATGAGGTCAGGAGATCGAAACCAGCCTGGCCAACATAGTGAAACCCCGTCTCTATTAAAAATACAAGAAATTAGCTGGGCGTGTGGTGGGCGCCTGTAGTCCCAGCACTTTGGGAGGCCGAAGCAGGTGGATCACCTGAGGTCAGGAGTTCGAGACCAGCCTGCCCAACACAGTGAAACATCATCTCTACTGAAAATACAAACATTAGGCCGGGTGCAGTGGCTCACGTCTGTAATCCCAGCACTTTGGGAGGCTGAGGTGGGCAGATCATGAGGTCAGGAGATCGAGACCAGCCTGGTCAACATAGTGAAACCCCATCTCTATTAAAAACACAAGAAATTAGCCAGGCGTGGTGGTGGGCGCCTGTAGCCCCAGCTACTCGGGAGGCTGAGGCAGGAGAATCGCTTGAACCCGGGAGGCGGAGGTTGCAGTGAGCCGAGATCGTGCCACTGCACTCCAGCCTGGGTGATGGAGTAAGACCTTGTCTCAAAAGAAAGAAACAAACAAAAAATTTGTAGTGATCGAGCCTGCTCACTTTCGATGCTTTAAAGACCTATTCCCCACTTTGTGTTTGTACAGTGAGCTTTTGGGAAGGAACCGTGAGTCCATTCAACCTCTTTTTCTTTCTTTTTTATAAATTACCCACTCTTGGGTATGTCTCTTTTTTTCTTTTATTTTTGAGATGGAGTCTCGCTCTGTCGCCCAGGCTGGAGTGCAGTGTCGTGATCTTGGCTCACTGCAACCTCCGCCTCCCGGGTTCAAGCGATTCTCCTGCCTCAGCCTCCTGAGTAGCTGGGATTACAGGCACGCACCACCAAGCCTGGCTAAGTTTTATATTTTCAGTAGAGACGGGTTTTACCATGTTGGCCAGGCTGGTCTCAAACTCCTGACCTCAGGTGATCTGCGTGCCTCGGCCTCCCAAAGTGCTGGGATTACAGGCGTCTGCTACTACGCTCAGCTAATTTTTGTATTTTTAGTAGAGACAGTTTCACCATGTTGGCCAGGATGGTCTCAAACTCCTGACCTCAGGTGATCCACCCACCTCAGCCTCCTAAAGTGCTGGGACGACAGGCGTGAGCCACCGTCCCCAGCCTCGGTTGTATCTTTATCAGCAGCATGAAAACGGACTAAGACAATCAATAATCATCAGGGAAAAGCAAATGAAACACACGTCGGTCGATTATATATGTTTCCCATTGTGAATAGTGTGGGGATCTTCGTCGGAGTGCAGCTGTGTTTTCGATAAACTTTTTGAAAAATATTCAAACAGATGCAATGATGCCGCAGATGAAGAGTCAAAAGGCTGAAGAACAAACCAGCCTTGATCTCCAACTCTGTGTCTTTGCCTCCCCTAAGTCAGCACAGAACGTTTGCAGAGAGAGCTCCGGCGGCAGGTGCATGCATCAGAGTATCCCACCAAGCCCATCAGACAGACACAGATGTTGTCCTTCTCACAAACAGAGGTCCCCAGGAGTGCTTGGAAGCCGCTGGGGAAACAGAGTCACCCTGCGCTTCCTCCTGGAAAACCCGCCCTGGAGAAGTCAGTCTGGGCAGGGCAGGTTGGTGGTGCTACAAGCTAATACCACATGACAGCTCCCTGAGATGAAGCTTCCGACGCCCTCGCCTTTCAAAGCGTCCAGCTCAAGCCACGAACGCTGACTTTTCGGAAAGATCAGACAGCGATGTACCTTGGACCGTGTCCAGACAGACATCCGTCCCCCTTTTCCTACAGAGATGACGTCCCGGTTCAACATGACCACTGGGGCAGATATCAGCCGTGACGAGCCATCACTGGGAGCTCCACTTCTGTGTGTATCTGTCTGGGTAAGGGGCTGCCAGCCCGTGCCCGGCTGCCGATTAATATGAAGCTCCACGTGCCTGGGTGGAGAGGCCGTCCCCAAGCGTCTGAGCTTGTCCTCTGGTTTCCCTGGTAACCGCCTCCAAATGCACCGAGCTGGGCTCTGCTCCTCCTTCCCTGCTGCTGGTGGACCAGGCCCAGGCGGGCCATGTGGGCAACTCCGCACCTCACCTGTCAGCACCGGCGGACACGCCGTTTGATCACGGCAGCCACCTGTCCCACCAAGACCATTCATCCGGTGATCACAGGGCCGTGCTAATGCAGTCAGCTATGGCGACCCTGGGGGAGTCATACCCTGAGATCTGCCAGGGAGTCTCTGATTTTCTTTTTTTTTTCTTTCTTTTTTCTTTGAGACGGAGTTTTGCTTTTGTTGCCCAGGCTGGAGTGCATTGGCATGACGTCGGCTGACGGCAACCTCTGCCTCCTGGGTTCAAGCGATGCTCCTGCCTCAGCCTCCCGAGTAGCTGGGATTACAAGCATGCACCACCACGCCCGGCTAATTTTTGTATTTTTAGTAGAGACGGGGTTTCTCCATGTTGGTCAGGCTGGCCTCGATCTCCTGACCTCAGAGGATCCACCCGCCTCAGCCTCCCAAAGTGCTGGGATTACAGGCGTGAGCCACTGTGCCCAGCCCTTTCTTCCTTTCTTTCTCTTTCTTCTTTCTTTCTTTCTTCTTTCTTTCTTTCTTTCTCTTTCTTTCTTTCTTCTTTTCTTTCTTTCTTTCTTTCTTTCTTTCTTTCTTTCTTTCTTTCTTTCTTTCTCTTTCTTCTTTCTTTCATTTTTCCTTCTTTCTCTGTCTTTCTCCTTTCTCTTTCTTTCCTTCTTCTTTCGCTTTCTTTCTTTCCTTCTTCTTTCGCTTTCTTTCTTTTTTCTTTCTTTCTTTTTTTTTTTTTTGAGACGGAGTCTCACTCAGTCGCCCATGCTGGAGTGCAGTGGTGCCATCTCGGCTCACTGCAACCTCTGACTCCCAACTTCAAGCGATTCTCTTGCCTCAGCCTCCTGAGTAGCTGGGACCACAGGCACCCGCCATCACTCCCAGCTAATTTTTGTATTTTTAGTAGAGACAGGGTTTCACCATGTTGGTCAGGCTGGTCTGGATCTCCCGACCTCGTGATCCACCCGCCTCGGCCTCCCAAAGTGCTGGGATTACAGGTGTGAGCCACTGCACCCCACCTCTTTTTTTTTTTTTTTTCATTTTTGAGACAGAGTCTCACTCTGTCACCCAGGCTGGAGTGCAGTGGTGCAATTTCTGCTCACTGCAACCTCCGCCTCCCGGGCTCAAGCAATCCTCCCACCTCAGTCCCCTGGAGTAGCTGGGATTACAGGCACCCACCACCACACCCATCTAATTTTTGTATTTTTAGTAGAGACGGGGTTTCCCCATGTTGCCCAGGCTGGTCTTGATCTCCTGAGTTCAAGAGATCCACCTGCCTCGGCCTCCCAAAGTGCTGGGATTACAGGTGTGAGCCACCACGCCATTCTCCTGCCTCAGCCTCCCGAGTAGCTGGTACTACAGGTGCTCACCACCGCGCCCGGCTAATTGTTTGTATTTTTAGTAGAGACGGGGTTTCACCATGTTAGCCAGGACAGTCTTGATCTCCTGATCTGCTGATCCACCTGCCTCGGCCTCCCAAAGTGCTGGGATGACAGGCGTGAGGCACCGCGCCCGGCCCTGATTTCATAATTTCTTTGGGCCTTTCCTAGTTTGCAAAGTTTTGAGTCAGACATTGGGTTGGTGGAGGTATTCCTGGCGTGAGCTCATCCTGCAGAATAGTGACGGAAATTCGGTGCCCGACATGAGGGTTGGTGATGTGGGCCCGTTGGAGGTAGATCCCAGCTAACGACACTCCAAATTGGTCTGATTTCAGATTTCCTTTGAGAAAATTAGACTCACCGTGTACCAACCTCTGGGTAAGAAAAATCAAGTTTTTTTTTTTTTTTTTTAATGACCACATTCCTTTACTTCGACTTCACCCACTGGGACTCCAAAGACCATCTAGCCCTTTCTGACTTTCAATATTAAAAATTCCGCCTCATAAAACGTGGATCTAGCCGGCATCAAAGACTCGCATTCCATCGTGAAGGAAAACGCAAAAGCCACACACAGCTCCTCACCTTCCTGCACCCCAGGCAAGACTGTTCATCGCAAACCTTTTTATGCCACAAATGTCGTGGCCTCCATTAGCCCCTCTAGAGAAATCCGGGGCTGGAGCCGGGGGGACAATTCTTCAATACTGCTATCTCTGTGTTTATGATCGGGAGCGTGCTTTGCGTTTTGGAAGTTAGACTTTGACAACAGACTCATACAGTGAGTTGGCGTTTCTATCAGGTCATAGAAAAAATTTGATTGCGATTCATAATTCTGCCAACCTCATTACCTGCCTTGATCCTTGGACACCCAGGAGAGAAATTCAGACCGAGTTGCATTGGCCATTTTTTCCAGCCAAACGGCTGCTTAATAAATGTGCCCGGCTCATCTTGCAGGAGGTGCCGACGTCAACGTGTGGGCTGGTGTTTTTTGAGGACGCTCCTTTCTTTTCTGTATTTCCAGGAAGAGCTTGGAAGATGGACTTTCTGCCATTCTTTCAGCTCGTCCTTCATTTTCCCCTAAGTATAAATTGGCCGATTGTCTCTAGAAATGAAAGGCTGGACGGGAAGTCAGAATCCGCCCCACACATAAGATGACTGTGCTCTTTGCAAATCCTGAGACGCATAATTAAACCATTAACTCAGAGGCCCAAACTTTCATTTTTCAACAACTTTTCCCGGGATCACCACCTCGGTCCTTAATCATTTTAATAAAAACCTCCCTGCCAAAGTATGGGACGGGGCCTGGCGGATGCCTGAGAGTTTCTACGTTCCCTCCACCCAGCTCACTGTGTGGCCTTTGCTGAACTACCATGGGTCTCTGAGGTCCAGATGAAAATTGGCACACACGTTTACCGCCCACCTTCCTACCTACCTCACAGGCGGGCTGTGTGGGGAAGTTAATTTATGCTCAGAGAGCCCTCAGTACCATGTCAGGCCTTACATAATCGGCTCATCTTTTATTTTTTTCCAATTGGCTGAAGCCGGCACAAGATGAGGCCCTCCCAAGCCCACTGGACAGCGTGTTCTCTTCACCCAGCATTTCCCGGACAGGGTTCTGCGTAAAGCCAGGTGCTCAGAAAGCATGTGGTCAGCTGAAGACCTTTCTGCCCCAAGCAATCCTATTCCAGAGTGTTTTGGTCCTTTTCGTGCCCGCAGGAAGACATCTCAAGTTGTCTCACGATAAACCTTGCTCCCAGTGACCCCCAATCCTCTCTCCTGGATGGATATAGAGAATCCAGCCACTCACACGTCTTGGGATGACTTCCCTTGGTTATCATAGCCTTTGGAGGACTGCGATTTTTTTTTTCCTTCTTCTACTTTTAGGCAGACTCTCATGTGACCAGCTCATGTACAAGAGCCCTGATGTAGCTTCAGGCTACCTTTGCAAAGGCATCCCCTGTAAAAAGCAAATTTAGGACTGGGCAGGGTGGTTCATGCCTGTAATGCAAGCATTTTATGAGGCCAAGGCGGGTGGATCTCTTGAGGCCAGGAGTTTGAGAGCACCCTGGCCAACATGGTGAAACCCCGTCTCTACTAAAAATACAAAAAAAGTAGCTGGGCGTGGTGGCGCGTGCCTGTAATCCCAGCTGCTTAGGAGGCTGAGGCAGGAGAATCGCTTGAACCCAGGAGGCAGAGGTTGCAGTGAGCTGAGATTGTGCCACTGCACTGTAGCTTGGGTGACAGAGTCAGACTCTGTCTTGAAAGGAAGGAAAGAAGGAAGGAAGGAGAGAGGAAGAAAGAAAGAAGAAACAAAGAGAAAGAAAGGAAGGAAGGGAGAAAGAAAGAAAAGACAGAGAAAGAAAGGAAGAAGAAAGAGAAAGAAAAAAGAAAGAGAGAAAGAAAGAGAAAGAGGAAGAAAGAAAGAAAACAGAGAGAAAGGAGAGAGACAAAGAAAGTAAGAGAAAGAGAAAGAAAGGAGAAGGAAAGACAAAGAAAGGAGAGAGAAAAAAAAGAAAGAGCAAGAAAGAAAAAAGAAAGAAGAGACAAAGAAAGAAAGAAAACAGAGAAAGTAAGAGAAAGAGAAAGAAGAAAAAGAAATGAGACAAAGAAAGGAGACAGAGAGAAATAGAAAAGAAAGAGAAAGAAGAAAGAAAAAGAAAAGAGAAAGAAAGAGAAAGAAAAGAGAAAGAAGAAATAAGAGAGGGAGAAAGAAAAAAGAAGAAAGAAGAGAGGGAGAAAGAAAGAGAAAGAAAAGGAAGCAAGAAAAAGACAGGAGAGAAAGAAAGAAAGAAAGAAAGAAAAGGCAAATTCCGCAAAACAACAGTAGGCCATAACAGCCTTCCCGTGGGACTTAGGCACAGTGAGAGGGCGTGGGGCGTCCCGGACAGGGTATGGGTTTGTGGGGAAAACGTTTTCTATGACACAAGCCACAAGATGTGCGACACACACAACAGAATAGTCTTCAGCCTGGAAAAGCAAGATGAACCCGGGGGACGTGATGTTGAGGGAAATAAGCCAGGCTCAGACGGACAAATACCGCGTGATCTCACCTCTACGTGGAATGTAAAAAAGTCTAACCCGAGGCAGGTGGATCATGAGGTCAGGCGTTCGAGACCAGCCTGGCCAACATGGCGAAACCCTGTCTCTACTAAAAATAGAAAAATTAGCCGGATGTGGTGGCAGGTGCCTGTCATCCCAGCTACTCGGGAGGCTGAGGCAGGAGAATCGCTTGAACCCGGGAGGCGGAGGTTGCAGTGAGCTGAGATTGTGCCACTGCTCCCCAGCCTGGTGACGGAGTAAGACTCTGTCTAAAAAGAAAGGAAAAAAAGAAAAGAAAAGAAAAGAGAGGAGAGGACAGGGGAGGAGAGGGGAGGAGAGGGGAGGGGAGAGGAGAGGGAGGAGGAGGAGGAGGGGGAGGTGGAGGAGGACGAAGAAGAAGAAGAAAAAAAAGGGGGAAACCGTTGGTAAAATGATACAAAGTTTCAGTTTGACAGAAAGGATGCATTCTAGTGACAGAAGAAAACATTGTAGCCCAGCATGGTGGCAACAGTTAATAGATAATGTATAATTCAAAACTGATAAAAGAACAGATTTTACATGTTTTCACTAAAAAAAGATTAAGCACTTGAAGTGACAGATACGTGAATTAACCTGATGTAATTATTCCACAATGATACATCTATCAAAACGTCATGTTGTGCGCCTTAAAAATATGCAAGTATTGTTTGCCAATTTTATGTAAAGTAAAAAGTTTTTTAAAACACACATAAAACATCTTTGTTCCTGAGCCGGAGTTGTCTGAAACGGTGACTTCTTTTTCTGTATGCCTTTCACCACAGGAAGGAAACCACGAAACCAGTTCCCATTTTAGAATTCAGTAGTGAAGTACAAAGGAAAAAAGTTGAAAAGGGGGATTTTTTGTGTGTGTGTTTGAGATGGAGTCCCACTCTTGTTGCCCGGGCTGGAGGGCAGTGGTGCGATCTTGGCTCACTGCAACCGCCGCCTCCTGGGTTCAAGTGATTCTCCTGTCTCAGCCTCCTGAGTAGCTGGGATGACAGGCGTGCACCACTGTGCCCAGGTAATTTTTGTATTTTTAGTAGAGACGGGGTTTCGCCATGTTGTCCAGGCTGGTCTCAAACTCCTGATCTCAGGTGATCCACCCGCCTCGGCCTCCCAAAGTCCTGGTATTACAGGTGTGAGCCACCGCACCCAGCCAGGGGATGCATTTTTTAAATTTTTTTAAAAATGTAATTTTAATTTAATTTTAGTATTATTATTTTTTGAGATGGAGTCTCGCTGTTTCGCCCAGGCCGGAGTGCAGTGGCGCGATCTCGGCTCACTGCAAGCTCAGCCTCCCTGGTTCACGTCATTCTCCTGCCTCAGCCTCCCGAGTAGCTGGGACTACAGGCGCCCGCCACCACGCCCGGCTAATTTTTTGGATTTTTTTAATAGTGACGGGTTTTCACCATGTTAGCCAGGACGGTCTTCATCTCCTGACCTCGTGATCCCCCTCCCTCAGCCTCCCAAAGTGCTGGGATTACACGCGTGAGCCAATTTTTATTATTTTTGGAGACAGAGTATCACTCTGTCGCCCAGGCTGGAAGGCAATGGCACGATCTCGGCTCACTGCAATGTGTCTCCCGGGGTCAACAGATTCTCCTGCAGTCAGCCTGCTGAGTAGCTGGGATTACACGTGTGAGCCACCGTGCCCAGCCTTGCGAAATGCATTTTCTATACAGCTGCATGACAGCAAACATGATACAGAGAGAAGATCCTTTAGCAGATGTTTGGCAAGAAAAGAGAGGAATTCCACCTAATTCAAAGAAATCAGCCAAGCCTGGCACACACAGCACGTCTCCAGGACACACAGCACGTCTCCAGGACACACAGCTTCCCAATCTTTGTTTTTCTCTACACCCTTCAACTTTCACCCTTGCAAACTCTTTTTTTTAAATTTTATTATTATTATACTTTAAGTTTCAGGGTACATGTGCACAACATGCAGGCTTGTTACATATGTATACATGTGCCATGCTGGTTTGCTGCACCCATGAACTCGTCATTTAACATTAGGTATATCTCCTAATGCTCTCCCTCCCCCCTCCCCCCACCCCACAACAGTCCCCGGTGTGTGATGTTCCCCTTCCTGTGTCCATGTGTTCTCATTGTTCAACTCCCACCTGTGAGTGAGAACATGCATTATTTGTTTTTTTCTCCTTGTAATAGTTTGCTGAGAATGATGGTTTCCAGTTTCATCCATGTCCCTACAAAGGACATGAACTCATCATTTTTTATGGCTGCATAGTATTCCACGGTATATGTGTGCCACATTTTCTCAATCCAGTCTATCATTGTTGGACATTTGGGTTGGTTCCAAGTCTTTGCTATTGTGAATAGTGCCACAATAAACATACGTGCGCATGTGTGTTTATAGCAGCATGATTTATAGTCATTTTGGTATATACCCAGTAATGGGATGGCTGGGTCAAATGGTATTTCTAGTTCTAGATCCCTGAGGAATCGCCACACTGACTTCCACAATGGTTGAGCTAGTTTACAGTCCCACCAACACTGTAAAAGTGTTCCTATTTCTCCACATCCTCTCCAGCACCTGTTGTTTCCTGACTTTTTAATGATCGCCATTCTAACTGGTGTGAGATGGTGTCTCATTGTGATTTTGATTTGCATTTCTTTGATGGCCCGTGAAGATGAGCATTTTTTCATGTGTTTTTTGGCTGCATAAACTCTTAAACGTGTGAGTCGCTTCTCTTTGTACAGAAAACCTTCCTCTTCACCAGCCTTTTCCAAACAGCTCTCTTCATTTACTGGCAACATCCAATTCCGTATTTGTCGTGGGTAATCCGTGCATTTCACCGGGGACCATCTTTCCCCCCTAGAACGCTGGTTGTCTTTCTAAAACAGCCTTTCCTTCTGGCATCAGAACCGGTTTTTAAAACATTAATTTCCAATGTTTGCCTTGGGAGAATGTCTTTTGATCACCACGGCAAATTTCTGCCTGGCAGGCCGAAGTTATCACAGGTGCGGGATATTATTGACCTAATATTGACATGGTTATTAGGCTGAGTAATATCCTCACCAAGTCAGCCTCGGAAAAGACACAGATCGCGGTATTAGAACCCGGGGTGCAGTTTTTCCTGCTTATAAAAGCGGGAAGTTCTTTTGCCTGAGGATTAGACGACCGCTTCAGACTCGGCGGTGGAGGCCTCTCGGGAAAGCAGTCCCCAGGCTCATGCACGAATGGGGGGCCCCACGTGTTGGATCAGGACAGATAAATAAAACAGGGAGATCAAAGATTTGGAAAAGACCCTCCTCCAGAAGAGATTATCCCAGGTCTGCAGGATCCTGAATGTGAGCTGAGTAGAAAAGAGCCGGGATGAACAAGCTTTCTCTGCAGAGAGCTCACGAGCACAGCAAGAGGCCAGACGGATTTGTTGTGAAAGATGAAGACGGGTGCATTTAGCACAGATGGTTCCCATTCCATCATGGTGCCTCCAACAGATGGAACACAACCAGGGACTTCTTTCCAAACGTTAAAAAGAGTTCGGGTGATTTTTTTGGCCGGGCGTGGTGGCTCATGCCTGTCATCCCAGCACTTTGGGAGGCTGAGGCGGGTGGATCACGAGGTCAGGAGTTCGAGACCAGCCTGACCAACATGGTGAAATCCCGTCTCTACTAAAAAATACAAAAATTAGCCGGGCGTGGTGGTGCATGCCTGTAATCCCAACTACCCAGGAGGCTGAGGCAGGAGAATTGCTTGAATCCGGGAGGCGAAGGTTGCAGTGAGCCGAGATCATGCCATTGCACTCCAGCCTGGGTGACAAGAGCAAGACTCCGTCTCAGAATAAATAAATAAATAAATAAATAAATAAATAAATAAATAAATAAAAAGAGTTCAAGTGATTTTAAAGACATATTTTACGGGTCCCCGAAGCACAGGGCATGGTTTGTAAGAGAGAAATATCCTACCTTTGGAAGGACTAGCCGACAAGAAAGAAGTGAAAGCGTAGTCTGCAGATCCTGATAGAAGGGAAATTACGTAATATGTTTTTAATTGACTGTTGAATTCAGAGCCGGATATTGTGTTATTATAAAATAATCCTCCCCCACCCTCACCCCAACCCCTGATATTGTTCATGGTAGAGACATAGCAACCTTGGAAACTTTTTTTCTCTTTTTTTGAGACGGAGTCTCGCTCTGTCTCCCAGGCTGGAGTGCAGTGATGTGATCTCGGCTCACTGCAACCTCCGCCTCCCGATTTCACGCCATTCTCCTGCCTCAGCCTCCCGAGTAGCCGGGATTACAGGCACCTGCCATTGTGACCGGCTAATTTTTGTATCTTTAGCAGAGATGGGGTTTTGCCATGTTGGCCAGACTGGTCTCGAACTCCTGACCCCAGGTGATCCACCTGCCTTGGCCTCCCAAAGTGCTGAGATTACAGGTGTGGACCACCATGCTCCCAGCTTTGAAAAGGTGAAGATGCAAATTATACCAGCCCTGTTTCCACTTAACTGTGACACTCACACATGACTTTTGTGTCTCTATTAGTCTCTGTCTTATTCTCTAGTTAATGACTATGAAAATAATTATGCTTTTTTTCTTTGCACTATGTAAACTTTTTAAAAAATGTTATTTTAAGGTCTGGGGTGCCAGGCACGGTGGCTCACGCCTGTCATCCCAGCACTTTGGGAGGCCAAGGCGGGCAGATCACGAGGTAAGGAGATCGAGACCATCCTGGCTAACACGGTGAAACCCTGTGTCTCCTAAAAACACAAAAATTAGCCGGGCGTGGTGGCGAGCACCTGTAGTCCCAGCTACTCGGGAGGCTGAGGCAGGAGAATAGCGTGAACCCGGGAGGTGGAGCTTGCAGTGAGCTGAGATCGCGCCACTGCACTCTCCAGCCTGGGCGACAGAGTGAGACTCCATCTTGAAAAAGAAAAAAAAATTAAGCTCTGGGGTGTGGGGGAAGGGTGGGCAAGTTTGCTACATAGGTAAACACGTGCCATGGTGGTCTGCTGCACCTGTCAACCTGTCGCCTAGGTATTAAGCACACGATGCATTAGTTATTTTTCCTGTTGCTCTCCCTCCCACCCCTCCACCCCTGGCGGGCCCCAGTGTGTGACGTTCCCCTCCCTGTGTCCATCTGTTCTCATTGTTCAGCTCCCACTTATGCGTGAGGACATGAAGTGTTTGGTTTTCTGTTCCTGTGTGAGTTTGCTGAGGATAAAGGCTTCCAGCTCCATCGACGCCCCTGCAAAGGATATGATCTCATGGGTGAACATATTTTTTTCATCTCCAAATTTTCCTAGAAAAACAGAGCATACTGCTATACCCAAGTTCATAGTGTCATGACTCACAACAGTTCAAACGTGGAAGCAACCCAGGCGCCCATCAGTGGATGAACAGGTAAACAGAATTTACTCTGGGAACACAATGGAATACTATACATCCAGGAAAAGGAATGAGGGTCAGACGCAGGCTGCAGCGTGGATAAACCTTGAAGACCTCAGGCCCAGTGAGAGAAGAGACACACAGTGGAATACTATACAGCCAGGAAAAGGAATGAGGGTCAGACGCAGGCTGCAGCGTGGATAAACCTTGAAGACCTCAGGCCCAGTGAGAGAAGAGACACACAATGGAATACTACACAGCCAGGAAAAGGAATGAGGGTCACATGCAGGCTGCAGCATGGATGAACCTTGAAGACATCAGGCCCAGTGAGAAGAGACACACAATGGAATACTACACAGCCAGGAAAAGGAATGAAGGTCAGACACAGGCTGCAGTGTGGATGAACATTGAAGACATCAGGCCGAGTGGGAGAAGAGACACACAATGGAATACTATACAGCCAGGAAAAGGAATGAAGGTCAGACGCAGGCTGCAGCATGAATGAACCTTGAAGACATCAGGCCCAGTGAGAGAAGGAAGAGACACACAATGGAATACTACACAGCCAGGAAAAGGAATGAGGGTCAGACGCAGGCTGCAGTGTGAATGAACATGGAAGACATCAGGCCCAGTGAGAGAAGGAAGAGACACACAATGGAATACTACACAGCCAGGAAAAGGAATGAGGGTCAGACGCAGGCTGCAGTGTGAATGAACATGGAAGACATCAGGCCCAGTGAGAGAAGGAAGAGACACACAATGGAATACTATATGGCCAGGAAAAGGAATGAGGGTCACACGCAGGCTGCAGCATGGATGAACCTTGAAGACATCAGGCCCAGTGAGAGAAGAGACACACAATGGAATACTACACAGCCAGGAAAAGGAATGAGGGTCAGACACAGGCTGCAGAGTGGATGAACCTTGAAGACATCAGGCCCAGTGGGAGAAGAGACACACAATGGAATACTGTACAGTCAGGAAAAGGAATGAGGGTCAGACGCAGGCTGCAGCATGAATGAACCTTGAAGACATCAGGCCCAGCGGGAGAAGAGACATACAATGGAATACTATACAGCCAGGAAAAGGAATGAGGGTCAGATGCAGGCTGTGGCATGGGTGAACCTTGAAGACATCAGGCCCAGTGAGAGAAGCCAGACAGGAAAGACCACATAGTGTATGACTCCACTTAACTAAAATGTCTAGAACAGGCAAAGATTTCATAGAGACAGAAACTAGAACTGTGGGTGGCAGGGGCTGGGGGGTGAAATGGGGAATTGGTGTTTCATGGGAAGAGAGTTTCTGTTTGGGACGATGAAAACATTTTGGAGGTGGTTAGTGATGATGGTTGCACAATTATTTGAATGTACTATTTTTTTGGGGGGGGTATAGAGTTTTGATCTTGTTCCCCAGGCTAGAGTACAGTGGCGCCATCTCAGCTCACTGCAACCTCCGCCTCCCGGGTTCAAGCGATTCTCCTGCCTCAGCCTCCTGAGTAGCTGGGATTACAGGCATGCGTCACCACTCCCAGCTAATTTTTTGTATTATTAGTAGAGATGGGGTTTTGTCATGTTGGCCAGGCTGGTCTCGAACTCCCGACCTCCGGTGATCCACCTGCCTCGGCCCTCCCAAAGTGCTGGGATTACAGGCGTGAGCCACCATGCCCGGCCGAATTGTACTCTTTAAAATGGCTAAAATGGCAGAGATTATATTATGTGTGCTCTACCACAATTTTAAAAAAGTATATATTGCTATAGACAGGAAAAGAAGCTTTCTTTTGAGGAAAAGGGTACATTCGGTTGGCAACAATGAACATTGCACAATATTTAAATTTTTTTTCTTTTTTTTTTTTGAGATGGAGTCTCGCTCTTGTTGCCCAGGCTGGAGTGCAATGGCACAATCTCAACTCACTGCAACCTCTGCCTCCCGGGTTCAAGTGATTCTCCTGCCTCAGCCTTCCGAGTAGCTGGGATTACAGGCATGTGCCACTACGCCTGGCTAAATTTTGTATTATTAGTAGAGATGGGGTTTTGCCATGTTGGCCAGGCTGGTCCCGAACTCCTGACCTCACGTGATCCACCCACCTCAGCCTCCCAAAGTGCTGGGATGACAGGCACACACCACCACACCGGCTAATTTTTGTATTATTGGTAGAGATGGGGTTTTGCCATGTTGACCAGGCTGGTCTCGAACTCCCGACCTCAGATAATCCACCCGCCTCGGCCTCCCACAGTGCTGAGAGTACAGGCATGAGCCACCGTGCCCGGCCAAAATGTACTCTTTAAAATGGCTAAAATGGCAGAGATTATATTATATGCACTCCTCCACAATTTTAAAAAAGTATGTATTGCTATAGACAGGAAAAGAAGCTTTCTTTTGAGGAAAAGGGTACATTTGGTTGGCAACAATGAACATTGCAGAATATTTAATTTTTTTTCTTTTATTTTTGAGACAGAGTCTCGCTCTTGTTACCCAGGCTGGAGTGCAGTGGCGTGATCTTGGCTCACTGCAACCTCCACCTCCTGGGTTCAAGCAATGCCCCTACCTCAGCCTCCCGAGTAGCTGAGACTACAGGCGTGCACCACCATGCCAGGCTAATTTTTTGTATTTTAGTAAAGATGGGGTTTCACGATGTGGGCCAGGATGGTATCGATCTCCTGACCTCCTGATCGGCCTGCCTCAGTCTCCCAAAATGCTGAGATTACAGGTGTGAAACACCATGCCTGGCCGAATTGTACCTTATTTACAATGGCTAAAATGGCAGAGATTATATTATGTGTGCTCTACCATGTTCTTAAGAAATTATATTGCTATACACAGGAAAATAAAGCTTTCTTTTGTGGAAAAGGGTACATTTGGTTGGCAACAATGAACACTGCACAGAATTAAATTTTAAAAATGCAAAAATTTGTTCTCAGCAGGGCACAGCGGCTCACACCTGGATTCCCTGCTACTTGGGAGGCTGAGGCTGGAGGATCCCTTTAGCCCAGGAAGTTGAGGCTGCAGTGAGGTGTGATCACGCCACTACACTCCAGCTTGGGCAAAAAGACAACACCCTCTCTTGGGGCCAGGCGCGGTGGCTCACGCCTGTAAGCCCAGCACTTTGGGAGGCTGAGGCGGGCAGATCACGAGGTCAGGAGATCGAGACCAGCCTGGTCAACATGGTGAAACCCCGTCTCTACTAAAAAACACAAAAATTAGCCAGGCGTGCTGGCGCATGCCTGTAATCCCAGCTACTTGGGAGGCTGAGGCGGGAGAATCACTTGAACCTGGGAAATGGAAGTTGCAGTGAGCCGAGATCACGCCATTGCACTCCAGCCTGGGCGACAGAGCAAGACTCCATCTCAAAAACAAGAACAAAATACCCATAGGTTTGGGAGGCCGAGGCGGGTGGATCACCTGAGGTTAGAAGTTCGGGACCATCCTGGCCAACATGGTGAAACCGCGTCTTTAGTAAAAATACAAAAATTAGCCGGGCGTGGTGGCGGGCACCTGTAATCCCAGCTACTCGGGAGGCTGAGGCAGGAAAATCGCTTGAACCGGGGAGGTGGAGGTTGCAGTGAGCCGACACCGCGCCACTGCCCTCCAGCCTGGGTGACAGAGCGAGACTCTGTTTCAAAATACAAGAAAGAGAGAGAAATAGAGGATAGAAAAGAAAAATGAAACAAAGAACGATACAGAAAAGACAAAATAAAACACGATTAATATGGAAAAGAGCCCATAAGATGATAGGGGACCTGAAAGAACAAAAAAAAATAAAAAATAAAAAACAAATTGCAGAAAATTGTGCAGAGATCCAAATTTGAAGTTGAAGAAAGAAGAGACATAGAGAATTAACCCAGAATAAGTTCAAAGAACGCAAGACCACCAAATCATCAAATAAAGTGAGACTCATTACTTGTGGTTTCATTCCAACTTCTAGCAACCGTAAAATTGTAAAACCAGTATTTCCCTGAATGTATCAATAAGCAGTAACAATGGAAAATAAGGCGATGCCCATGAGTGACTATTTTTTTTTGTTTGTTTTTTGAGACAGAATCTCGCTGTTGCCCAGGCTGGAGTGCAGTGGCACGATTTCAGCTCACTGCAAACTCAGCCTCCCGGGTTCAAGCGATTCTCCTGCCTCAGCCTCCCGAGTAGCTGGGATTACAGGCGCCTGCCACCAAGCCAGGCTAGTGTTTGTATTTTTAGTAGAGATGGGGTTTCACCATGTTGGCCAGGCTGGTCTCCAACTCCTGACCTCAGGCGATCCACCCTCCTCGGTCTCCCAAAGTGCTGGGATGACAGGCGTGAGCCACCGCGCCCGGCCTCATTTCAGAGTTTGCTTTCATATGCCCCATATAAAGAAGTCATCAGGTGCTCCGATACCGTAGCGTGGAAGGCAGCAGGAACATGTAAATTATACTCACAGGATTTTCCCCAGTTCAGCACATCCAGAAGTTGAAAGGAAGAGAGAAATGGACATTTCAAAGCTGAATCTCTAACAACATCTAACACCTGTTCGGTGGGGCTTGATTTGGCAGGAGTAAATGAACTCGAATCAAATTCAATTACCCTGTGGCCGTACAGGAAGCCACAGGCGTGTACATTACCCATAATGTGTGTTTAACATTTTACAAAAAGATCTGATTTTCTGGTACTTGTTTATTTTCAACCGCAATAAAAAGCCAAAATTTGGTGGAAAACATTTAACATGTGTTTTCTGTAGCGCTCATGAGCTGTGCAATGGTGCTGTTATTTAAGAAAAGGAAAAGAAAAACAGTGGCCGGGCGCGCGGTGACTCACGCCTGTAATCTCAGCACTTTGGGGGGCTGAGGTGGGAGGATCATTTGAGGTCAGGAGTTCGAGACCAGCCTGGCCGACATGGTGAAACCGTGTCTCTACTAAAAATACAAAAAAATTAGCTGGGTTTGGTGGCGGGCACCTGTAACTGCAGCTACTCGGGAGGCTGAGGCAGGCGAATCGCTTGAACCTGGGAGGTGGAGGTTGCCGTGAGCTGAGATCACGCCACTGCACTTCAGCCTCGGTGGGCGAGACTCCATCTCAAAACAAACAAACAAAACAGAAACAAAAACAAAAACAAAAAGACAGGCCCTGTGACTCAGACCTATAATCCCAGTACTATCAGAGGCCAAGGCTGAGGATGCTTGAGCCCAGGAGTTTGAGACCAGCCTGGGCAACATGGTGAAACCCTGTCTGTACCAAGAAAAAAAAAAAATTATCTGGATGTGGTATGAATGCCCATAGTCCCAGCTACTTGGGAGGCTGAGGAAGGAGGATGGCTTGAGCCCAGAAGGTGGAGGCTGCGCTGAGCTGAGATTGCACGACTGCACTCCAGCCTGGGCAACAGAGCAAGATCTTGTCTCGAAAACAAAACAAAACAAAACACAAAAATTAAAAAAACAGATTGAGAACCCTTGGCCCCCACCTCTTACCAGCTCAGTCACAATTGCAAACCAGAGGCCGGGCACGGTGGCTCACCCCTGTCATCCCAGCACTTTGGGAGGCCGAGGCTGGCGGATCACCTGAGGTCAGGAGTTTGAGACCAGCCTGACCATCATGGTGAAACCCCATCGCTACTAAAATACAAAAATTAGCCAGGCGTGGTGGCGGGCGCCTGTAGTCCCAGCACTTTGGGAGGCCAAGGTGGGTGGATCACCTGAGGTGAGGAGTTCGAGACCAGCCTGACCATCATGGTGAAACCCCGTCTCTACTAAAATACAAAAATTAGCCAGGTGTGGTGGCAGCTGCCTGTAATCCCAGCTACTTGGGAGGCTGAGGCAGGAGAATCGCTTGAACCCGGGAGGCGGAGGTTGCAGTGAGCTGAGATTGCGCCACTGCACTCCAGCCTGGGCGACAGAGCGAGACTCAGTCTCGAAAAGAAACGAAACAAAACACTAAACCTAAAATCTGGATTGAGATTCCTCAGCCCCCACCTCTTACCAGATCAGTCAAAATTCCAAACCAGAACGTATCCAGCTGCCTTGGATACCGAGGATAGATGTCATTTCATCTATGACCCTCTCTGCAGCAGGAAAGCAATATTGCCCAGCTGCATTATCAAATTGGGCTCACTCAGCTAATTAAACCTATCAGCAAGATATGCAAACTGGAAGGCTGGGCACGGTGGCTCACACCTGTAATCCCAGCACTTTGGGAGGCCGAAGCAGGCAGATTACTTGAGGTCAGGAGTTCGAGACCAACGTGGCCAGCATGGTAAAACCTGGTCTGTATTAAAAACAAACAAACAAAAAATACAAAAATTAGCCGGGTGTGGTGGCGGGCGCCTAAAATGCCAGCTACTCAGGAGGCTGAAGCAGGAGAATCATATTTACGAGGCGGAGCTTGCAGCAAGCCGAGATCAAGCCACGGCACTCCAGCCTGGGTGACAGAGTGAGACACCGTCTCAAAAAAACAAAACATATGCAAACTGGAATAACCAGGCTATATTACTCAAGGGATACTTTGCTATGAGAATTTCTTAGTCAGCAGGAAAAATAATAATTTCTTGCCTTGTCTGAGGTATGAGTACTTGCATCTGGTGTTCATGTGACTTAAGAATTTGGAGCAATTACGTCGGGCGAGGTGGCTCACGCCTGTAATCCCAGCACTTTGGGAGGCCGAGGCGGGTGGATCACCTGAGGTCAGGAGTTCGAGACTAGCTTGGCCAACAGCTAAACCTGGTCTCAACCAAAAAAACAAAAATTAGCTGGGTGTGGTGGTGGGCGCCTGTAATCCCATCTACTGGGGAGGCTAAGGCAGGAGAATGGCTTGAACCCGGGAGGCGGAGGTTGCAGTGAGCAGAGATCGCGCCACTGCACTCCAGCCTGGGCAACGGAGCGAGACTTTGTCTCAAAAAAAAAAAAAAAAATTGTAGCAGTTTGAAAGCTAAAGTGTGGGCTTTCCTCACCTTCTTCATCAAATGTTATTTCCATGTCTTTTTTTCTTTTTTTGAGACAGGGTCTCCCTCTGTTACCCAGGCTGGAGTGCAGTGGTGCAATCTCAGCTCACTGCAGCCTCAACCTCCTGGGCTCAAGCGGTTCTCCCATCTCAGCCTCCCGTGTAGCTGGGGTGACAGACGTGCACCAGAATGCTATTTCCATCTTCTCAGCATTTAGGAGAGCGTCACATCACATACCCTGACCTCGAGAATGAATTCAAGAAATTCTTTTTTTTTTTTTTTTGAGAGAGAATCTCATTCTGTCGCCCAGGCTGGAGTGCACTGGCCCGATCTCAGCTCACTGCAAGCTCCACCTCCCGGGTTCAAGCTATCCTCATGCCTCAGTCTCCCAAGTAGCTGGGATTACAGGCACCTGCCACCACGCCGGGCTAATTTTTGTATTTTCAGTAGAGACGAGGTTTCACCATGTTGGCCAGGCTGGTCTCGAACTCCCAACCTCAGGTGATCCGTCCGTCTCAGGCTCACGAAGTGCTGGGATTACAGGCGTGAGCCCCCACGCACCCGGTCCAAGCAACTGATTTAGATAAAGGTTCCCCCGGCTCTCATTCTTTCTGACCCTGTTTTATTTCTTTATTTTTGTTTTCTTGCCGTCCTAGAGTGGGAAACGCTGATTTAAGCACCCGTCTTTGCAACTGTTACAGAATTGTCAGGTATTTAACGAAACAATGATCAGATCCCGTATTTGCCAACGAGAACATATTGTACAAATATAGACAAAGTGGCATAATTTACATCCCTCGTTTCAAGTAGACACACGATGAATTTTTCATAGCCTCTCAGCTTTGAACTCCATTATTATGGCTGGATACAATGATTTGTATTCTTCTCTGAAGTCTGTTTTCTGACAGCCACAGTCAGATATTTAGAAGGCGGCTGGTTTTGACAATTTCATGGGGATCATCCTAAAACTGTTTTTTTTTTTTTTTAATTTTTCTCTCCCACTGTGGGTGAGGTCGCGGAGGATGCTGTGTGACTATAAATTGTCTAATTTACATTGTGTTGATCATATATCTTATTTTATTTTATTTTATTTTAATTTTTTTTGATCATATATTTTAGAGATGGAGTTTTGCTCTTGTCACCCAGGCTGGAGTGCAGTGGCACGAGCTCAGCTCACTGCAACCTCCACCTCCTGGGTTCGAGCGATTCTCCTGCCTCAGCCTCCCGAGTAGCTGGGATGACAGGCACCTGCCAACACGCCCAGCTCACTGCAACCTCCGCCTCCCGGGTTCAAGTGATTCTCCTGCCTCAGCCTCCCGAGTAGCTGGGATTACAGATGCCTGCCACCATGCCCGACTAATTTTTGTATTTTTAGTAGAGATGGGGTTTCACCATGTGGGTCAGGCTTGTCTCGAACTCCTGACCTCAGGTGATCCACCTGCCTCGGCCTCCCAAAGTGCTGGGATGACAAGCGTGAGCCACCACACCTGGCCTTATTTTATTTTATGAGACAGAGTCTCGCTCTGTCACCCAGGCTGGAGTGCAGCGGCACGAGCTCAGCTCACTGCAACCTCCACCTCCTGGGTTCGAGCGATTCTCTTGCCTCAGCCTCCCCAGTAGCTGGGATTACAGGCGCCCTCCACCACACCCGGCTAATTTTTGTATTTTTAGTACAGACGGGGTTTCACCATGTTGGTCAGGCTGGTCTCGAACTCCTGACCTCAGGTGATCTGCCCGCCTCAGCCTCCCCAAGTGCTGGGGTTACAGGCGTGAGCCGCCGTGCCCAACCTGTGGTGTGATCTTTCTTTCTTTTCTTTCTTTCCTTTCTTTTTTTTCTTTTCTCCTGTGCTCATGCTGTATTACAGGAGACATCGTCTGTCTCCTGGCTGTCCCGCCATCCACACTCACGTCCCGCTGATCACCTGAGCGTGCCCCACCAACGGCGAATGCTTCAGACTCCGTCACAATCCAGGCCTGTGACAGTGGGGGTCCCCGGGTCACCTTGGTGTGGGCACTTAGCAATGAGAGAGAGGGATACTGGGGAGGGGGTCCCCTGACATCAAAACATATGACTGGATCGGCTGTGAAAGTGGTGAGGGTGCGGAAAATGTTGAACAACATTGAATATATATGCTTCTGTTTATATGGTAATTAAATATTTAATAATTAGTATTTAATTATCAATATTAAATATTCGTGATTATTATTAGATATTAATTAAATATTTAATTAAAATATAAACATTCATATATCTATATATCCATATATTTGCATATATCCATATATTTGTATATGCATATAGATGCATATCTATTGCATAGATATATATGCATAGCTATATATGCATATTGCAATGTATGCAATATAAAGTAGAAATATAAATAAATAGAAATATTGATTAAATATTAACTAAATATAAATTAAATGTTTAATTAATATCTAATAATAAACATTAATATTTATTTAATATTAATATTAAATATTCAATAATATTTAATATTAATATTAAATATTTAATAATATTTAATATTAATAATTAAGTATTTAATAATATTTAATATTAATAATTAAGTATTTAATACTATTTAATATTAATAATTAAATATTTAATTAAAATATAAACATGCATATATCTATATATCCATATATTTGCATATATCCATATATTTTTATATGCATATATAGCTATGCATATACATCTATGCAATAGATATGCATCTATATGCATATTGCAATATGTGCAATATAAAATAGAAATATAAATCAATAGAAATATTGATTAAATATTAATTAAATATAAATTAAATTTAATTAATATGTAATTCATTTAACATCACTTGATATTTTTATAATATAATATATAATAAACAACAAATATAATATAATAATATTAAATATAAATTAAGTATTTAGTTAATATTTAATAATAATTATTTAATATTTAATAACAACAATAATAATGTTTGATAATATTGACTAACACCGACGAGGGTTGATGGACATGGTTGCAGGTAAAAAGACGCACGATTCATCCGTGCAGCGGCGACTCATGCTTGTGATCCCAGCACTTTGTAAGGCTGAGGCAGGAGGATGGCTTGAGGCCAGAGGTTTGAGACCAGCCTGGGCAACATAGTGAGAGCCCCCCCGCCACATCTCTACAAAAAATAAAAAAACAGAAAGAGGCAAGATTCATGAAACACAGAGGGAGGGCTCTGTGATGTTCTAACGGTCTCAGCAATTCTGTGTTGAGCGTTTGCAAGAAGGGATTGTCAGTAAGTAGCTCAAACTATAGGGCAGAGGAGATGGATGCTTCGCTGAGGACGTCTTTATGTTCTTTTATATTTTTTACTTTATTATTTTTTTTTCTTTTAAGATGGAGTCTCGCTTTGTTGCCCAGGCTGGAGTACAGTGGCACAATCTCAGCTCACTGCAACCTCCGCCTCCCGGGTTCAAGCGATTCTCCTGCCTCAGCCTCCTGAGCAGCTGGGATTACAGGCACCTGCCACCACGCCCGGCTAATTCTTGTATTTTTTTTTTCTTTTTTTTTTTTTGAGACGGAGTCTCACTCTGTCGCCCAGGCTGGAGTGCAGTGGTGCAATCTTGGCTCACTGCAAGCTCCACCTCCCGGGTTCACACCATTCTCCTGCCTCAGCCTCCTGAGTAGCTGGGACTACAGGCGCCCGCCACCACGCCCAGATAATTTTTTGTATTTTTAATAGAGATGGGGTTTCACCGTGTTAGCCAGGATGGTCTTGATCTCCTGACCTCGTGATCCGCCCGCCTCGGCCTCCCAAAGTGCTGGGATTACAGGCGTGAGCCACCGCGCCCGGCCGCGGGAAATATTTTTACAGAACTTAGACAGCTTTTGTGATCGATTTTGCATTGAAAGAGTAATTTTTGAATGTTCCCACCATTAAAAAACTCACAGTGATAATAAGGAGGTGAGACGGTGGGTGTGTCAACGTGATTTAACCATTACACATTGCGCACATCGATGAAAACATAACATGACACCCTGGACGCATACATAATTATTTGCCAATTAAAAATAAAGTAGTAGCCGGGCGCAGTGGCTCATGCCTGTAATCTCAGCACTTTGGGAAGTCGAGGCAGGTGGGTCACGAAATCAGGAGTTCGAGACCAGCCTGGCCAACATGGTGAAACCCCGTCTCTACTAAAAATACAAAAATTCGCCGGTCTTGGTGGTGGGTGCCTGTAGTTCCAGCTACTCGGGAGGCTGAGGCAGAGAATCGCTTGAACCCGGGAGGTGGAGGTTGCAGCGAGCTGAGATTGCACCACTGCACTCCAGCCTGGGTGACAGAGCGAGACCCCATCTCAAAATTTAATTTTGTATTTTTAGTAGAGACAGGGTTTCTCCATGTTGGCCAGGCTGGTCTCAAACTCCTGACCTCAGATGAGATGAGTCTGGGCATGGTGGCTCATGCCTGTAATCCCAGCACTTTGGGAGGCCAAGGTGGACAGACCACCTGAGGTGTGGTGCCATTTCACTCCAGCCTGGGCAACAGAGCGAGACTCCATCTCAAAAAAAAAAAAAAAAAGCTTCCAAAGGCAGTTCTCCTGAAAGCGTCTCCAAAAATCCAAGATGACAGATTTGGATCGTTTTAAAGTGGCTGAGGAAGAGAACTGCTTGAACCCAGGAGATGGGGGTTGCAGTGAGCTGCGACTGTGCCACTGCACTCCAGCCTGGGTGACAGAGCAAGACTCCATCTCAAAAAGGAACACCACCACCAAAAAAACAAGAAAACACACGGTGATAATAGGTAGGTGAGGTGGCAGGTGCGTTAACTTGATTTAATCCTTCCCACATTGATGAAAACATATCGTTATACCCTAAACACATACATAATTATTATTTGCCAATTAAAAATAAAAGATTAACCTTCTCGCCTAAGGCTGCCAACATGGTGTTCAGGGAGTTCGTGGAGGTTGCCCGGGTGGCCTACGTCTGCTTTGGACCTCATGCTGGAAAACCGGTCGCGACTACAGATGTTATTGATGGGAAGAGGGCTTTGGTTGATGGACCGTGCACTCAAAGGAGGAGACAGGCCATGCCTTTCAAGCACAGGCAGCTCACAGATTTCCTCCTCAAGCTTCCACACCGCGCCCGCCAGAGGTACGTCCGACAGGCCTGGCAGAAGCTACACATCAACACAGAATGGGCAGCCAGACGAGGGGCCAAGAAGATGGAAGCCAGAGAAAGGAAAGGCAAAATGACACAGTTCAATCGTTTTAAAGTTATGCAAGCAAAGAACATGGGAACACAACCATCAGGAATGAAATGAAGAAGCTTCAAGACCCCGGGCACAATGGCTCACGCCTGTAATCCCAGCACTTTGGGAGGCCGAGGCGGGTGGATCACCTGGGGTCAGGAGTTCGAGACCAGCCTGGCCAACATGGTGAAACCCCGTCTCTACTAAAAATACAAAAATGAGCTGGGCGTGGTGGCGGGTGCCTGTAATCCCAGCTACTCGGGAGGCTGAGGCAGGAGAATCGCTTAAACCGGGAGGCAGAGGTTGCAGTGAACTGAGATGGTGCCATTGCACTCCAGCCTGGGTGACAGAGCAAGACTCCATCTCAAAAAAAAGAAGCTTCGAAAGGCAGCTCTCCTGAAAGCTTCTCCAAAAAGCCAAGACGACAGATTTGGATCATTTTAAAGTTATGAAGGCAAAGAAAATGAGGAACAGAATTATCGAGAATAAAGTTAAGACGCTTCAAAAGGCAGCCCTCCTGAAAGCTTCTTCCAAAAAGGCACCTGCTGCTAAGGGGTACGGCTGCAGCTGCAGCTGCTGGTAAAGTTCCAGCGAAAAAGATGACCGCCGTGCGTAAGAAGGCTACAGCCCAGAAGATTCTTTCCCAGAAAGCCGCAGGCCAGAAGGCAGCGCCTGCTCCAAAAGTTCAGAGGACTCAAAAACTCCAGCTCCTAAAATAGAAGAAACACCTGCCAAGTAGAGTAAGAAGATGGTTACGTCCAGAGAGGCACCTGCTCCAAAAGTTCAGAGGACTCAAAAACTCCAGCTACTAAAATAGAAGAAACACCTGCCAAGTAGAGTGAGAAGACGGTTACATCCACAGAGGCACCTGCTCCAAAAGCTCAGAAGGGTCAAAAAGCTCCAGCTCCGGCCAGGCACGTTGGCTCACGCCTGTAATCCCAGCACTTTGGGAGGCTGAGGTGGGAGGATCTCTTGAGATCAGGAGTTCAAGACCAGCCTGGCCAACATGGTGAAACCCCATCTCTACTAAAAATACAAAAATTAGCCAGGCGTGGTGGCAGGTGCCTGTAATCCCAGCTACTCGGGAGGCTGAGGCAGGAGAATCGCTTGAACCTGGGAGGCGGAGGTTGCGGTGAGCCGAGTTCGTGCCACTGCACTCCAGCCTGGGCGACAGAGTGAGACTCCCTCTCAACAAAACAAAACAACAACAAAAAAGGCTCCAGCTCTAAAATAGAAGAAACACCTGCCACAGAGGCTCCCGCTCCAAAGGCATGTGGCAACAAAGCATAAGAGGCAATTATAGAAAGTAATAAAGGTTCTTTTTGACATGCTGGCAAATCTAAAAAATAGTAATAATGAAAAATAAATAAAATATTAGGAAAACTTATTACAGTTTTATGACCTGCTTTTTCTTCTCTTAGAACTATATTAAAAATATGTTTGTGTGTTAAAAAAGAAAACCAGAAAAGAAAAGCAGAGAATGTGCTTCTAAAAAAAGAAACATTCGTTATGACCCTGGCGGGTGTGAATGAAGCTACCTGGGGCTCAACCACTACCCGAGGGCTGAGTTGTGAGGTGGGACAGGCACCTTTTTTGTCTTTATAAAAAGCAAGATTGACCAGGCGCAGTGGCTCACGCCTGTAATCCTGGCACTTTGGGAGTCTGAGGCGGGTGGATCACTTGAGGTCAGGAGTTCGAGACCAGCCTGGCCAACATGGTGAAACCCCGTCTCTACTAAAAATACAAAAATTAGCAGGGTGTGATGGTGGGCGCCTGTCATCCCAGCTACTGGTGGGGCTGAGGCAGAAGAATCGCTTGAACCCGGGAGGCGGAGGTTGTAGTGAGCCGAGATCATGCCATTGCACTCCAGCCTGGGGGACGGAGGAAGACTCCATCTCAAATTAAAAAAAAAAAAGAAGGATCAGGGTATTTTTCCGTCCTTAAGCCCAGGTAGGACTCAGTAAGTTCCCCTATCTGTATGTACATGCGTCTGACTACTTATGAAATGTTGCCATGTTGTGTTAATCACACCGTTGTTGGATTTCTCTTGATTTTTATTTTTAGACAACAGGGTCCCCGTCACCCAGGCTGGAGTGCAGAGGCTCAGTCACAGTTCACTGCAGCCTTGACCTCCTGGGCTCAAGCCCTCCTCCCACCTCAACCTCCCAAGTAGCTCAGATTACAGGCTCATGCCATCATGCGCACTTAATGTGTCACAGTTTTTGTAGAGATGGGGTCTTGCTACGTTGGCCAGGCTGGTCTCAAACTGCTGGGCTCAAGAGATCCTCGTGCCTCGCCTTGGCCTCCCAAAGTGCTGGGATTACAGGTGTGAGCCACCACGGCCAGCCGCTTCTACCTGTCTTTACCTGCACCTGTTTCTTTAAGATGTGGCTGCCGTGTTCATTGCAGACTTGCGGCATTCTCCTGGATTTTTCAAAATCATTGCAATAAATTATTACTTGTCTCAGTGACTCAGTTTTTGGCACCCTTTTGAATCTGGTGCCCGGCCAGACACAGGGGCTCATGCCCGTAATCTCAACACTTTGGGAGGCCAAGGGCAGTGGATCACCTGAGGTCAGGAGTTCGAGACCATCCTGGCTAACAAGGTGCAACCCCGTTTGTATTAAAAATACAAAAATTAGCTGGGGGTGGTGGCAGGTGCCTGTAATCCCAGCTACTCAGGAGGCTGAGGCAGGAAAATCGCTTGAACCTGGGAGGCAGAGGTTGCAGTAAGCTGAGATCACACCACTGCACTCCAGCCTGGGGAACAAGAGTGAGACTCCATCTCAGATAATAATAATAATAATAATAATAATAATAATAATAATAATAAAAAAATAAATCTGTTGCCCTAGATGAATGCCTCACTCTAGTCCCAGCCCTGAAAGTGACTAAGAATGTTGGAAGTTTGGTATCTACCCCAAATACTACTCAGCCATAAGAAGGAATGAAATGATGGCATTTGCAGCAACCTGGATGGAGCTGGAGGCCATGATTCTAAGGGAAGTAACTCAGGAATGGAAAATCAATCATCATTATGTTCTCATTTATAAGTAGGAACTAAGCTATGAGGACGCAAAGGCATGAGAATGATATAATGGACTTTGAGGACTCAGTAGGAGAGTTAAGCAATGAAAGGAATGAAATAATGGGATTTGCTGCACCTGTAAGTCCACCAGCCAGAAGGGTCAACCTGGAAAGTGCACCTGTATTTAAGAGTGGACATCCGGCCAGGCGCAGTGGCTCACGCCTGTCATCCAGCACTTTGGGAGGCCGAGGCGGGTGGATCGCCCGAGGTCAGGACTTCGAGACCAGCCTGATGAACATGGTGAAACCCTGTCTCTACTAAAAATGCAAAAATTAGCCCGGTGTGGTGGTGCATGCCTGTAATCCCAACTATTTGGGAGGCTGAGGTAGGAGAACTGTTTGAACCCGGGAGGCGGAGGTTGCAGTGGGCCGAGATCGTGCCGTTACCCTCCAGCCTGGGCAACAAGAGCGAAACTGCATCTCAAAAACAAACAAACCAACTAACCAAAAAAACAGCAGATGTCCACGTAGGATGGGGCAGGTGGCTTAACTGGGGGGTCCTTAGGCCAGTGACATCCGCCGTTAGGATGCATCGGAATTCATTTGACATTGAATGGTCAATTCTAATCAGATACCACAATGGCTAAAGTTGTGGACAGGACCTCGTTCCGCCTGGCTCCAACCACACACACACACACACACACACACGCACACACACACACACACACACACAAAGTGCATGCATCAAATAACTGAGGAATCTATTAATTGCTTATTAGGCAATGTATCATGTTGTCCCACAGAGGCCTGATTTGCTAATGAACCAGCCGGGACTCTGAAGATTTCAATTTGTACCCGATAAGTAAGCGAGTGATGATCCGTTCCGTCTCTATTAATGAGCCTGCTGGATCGTTACGGCTGAGGACTTTCAGAAGCTACCTCCAGTCATGTATTTGACGGCAGAGGAAACAGAGGTGGCTGAAATGATGTCTCTGAATATATAAACTAGACGGTGTCCGCCAGCCAGCTGGGAGGATGTCACACTCAGCAGCTTCTCCTGGCATCAGCCGGGAATACCGGAATTAAGGGGCTGCTTTTTTTTCTTTAAGTTTTTTTTTTTTTTTTTTTTTTTTTTTTGAGACGGACTCTCACGCTGTCGCCAGGCTGGAGTGCAGTGGTGCAATCTCAGCTCACTGCAACCTCCGCCTCCCAGGTTCAAATGATTCTTCTGCCTCAGCCTCCTGAGTAGCTGGGACTACAGGCGCCCATCACTGTGCCCGGCTAATTTTTTTGTATTTTTAGTAGAGACGGGGTTTCACCATGTTGTCCAGGCTGGTCTCGAACTCCTGACCTCGTGATCCGCCCACCTCAGACTCTCAAAGTGCTGGGATTTACAGGTGTGAGCCACCACGTCTGGCCTAAAGTTGTATTTTTTTTTGAGACAGAGTCTCACTCTGTCACCAGGCTGGAGTGCAACCGTGAGATCTCGGCTCACTGCAACTTCCGCCTCCCGGGTTCAAGCGATTCTCCTGCCTCAGCCTCCTGAGTAGCTGGGATTACAGGTGCCCATGATTACGCCCGGCTAATTTATGTATTTTTAGTAGAGACGGGGTTTCTCCATGTTGGTCAGGCTGGTCTCAAACTCCTGACCTCGTGATCTGCCTGCCTCGGCCTCCCAAAGTGCTGGGATTACGGGCGTGAGCCACCGCGCCCGGCCTCCTTTGATGCATAAAAGAAAACTTGATGCATAAAAGAAAAGGTGCATAATTTAAGGGTACTTTGTAAAAATCAAATCAGTTCACTTGGGATATCTGTCACCTTAAACATTCGTCTTCTCTTAATGCTAGAACCAGTGGAATTCTTATAATTTAAGAGAATTTAAGATTTAATATGAGAATATAATCATTATATATAATTTAATTGGTTCTAGCATAAAGAAAATACAAATATTTAAATTTTATTACATATATTTTATATATATGACTTAAAATATATATTTTATTATATATATATAGTATATATATAGTTTAAAAGAGCACCAAAAACTCAGTCATGAAGAAAAGTGGCCGGGCGCGGTGGTTCACGCCTGTCATCCCAGCACTTTGGGAGGCCGAGGCAGGTGGATCACCTGAGGTCAGGAGTTCGAGACCAGCCTGGCCAACATGGTGAAACCCCGTCTCTACTAAAAATACAAAAATTAGCCAGGCATGATGGTGGGTGCCTGTCATCCCAGCTACTTAGGAGGCTCAGGGAGGAGAATCACTTGAACCTGGGAGGCAGAGGTTGTAGTGAGCCAAGATCGTGCCAGTGCTCTCCAGCCTGGGTGACAGAGGGAGACTTTGTCTTAAAAAAAAAAAAAAAAAGAAAAAGGAAAGAAAGAAAGAGAGAAAAAGAGAAAGAAAGAAAGAAAAAGAAAGAAAAAGAAAGAGAAAGAAAGAAAGAGAGAAAGAGGGAGGGAGGGGGAAGGAAGGAAGGAAAATTAATAATTGAAATGATTTTGAAAAATCACAAGTCTGTGATGAACTTGTTGTGTCTTTATATATACACACGGAAAGAGAAGGAGAGAGACAGGTGTATAAACCGAGCAAGGAGATTTTTTTCCTGGTCAAGATTTTTCTGAGCTGGGCGCAGTCGCTCACGCCTGTAATCCCAGCACGTTGGGAGGCCGAGGCAGGTGGATCACCTGAGGTCAGGAGTTCGAGACCAGCCTGGCCAACATGGTGAAACCCCGTCTCTACTAAAAATACAAAAATGAGCCAGGCATGGTGGCGGGTGCCTGTAATCCCAGCCACTTGGGAGACTGAGGCAGGAGAATCGCTTGAACCCAGGAGGCAGAGGTTGCAGTGGGCTGAGATTGTGCCATTGCACTCCCGCCTGGGTGACAGAGAGAGACTCCCTCTCAAAAAATAAATAAATAAATAAATAAATACTGAGAACTTTTCCTTCTGAGGTATGAAGACCTGCATGACCAGGACGTGCAAAGAATCACCAGTTATACCTGGTTCTGTTGCATTGCAAACTTCACACCCTGTGTCTTGGACCACAGAAGGAAGGGACAGGGGATTCTTATTTTATTTTATTTTATTTTTTGAGACAGAGTGTCGCCCTGTCGCCCAGGCTGGAGTGCAGTGGCGCGATCTCGGCTCACTGCAACCTCTGCCTCCCGGGTTCAAGCGATTCTCCTGCCTCAGCCTCCCGAGTAGCTGGGATTACAGGCACCTGCCACCACGCCCAACCAATTTTTTGTATTTTTAATACAGACGGGGTTTCACCATGTTAGCCAGGCTGGTCTCGATCTCCTGACCTCAGGTGATCCTCCTGCCTTGGCCTCCCAAAGAGCTGGGATGACAGACGTGAGCCACTGTGCCCGGCCAAGACGAAGAATTCTGCAGAGCCTGCCCTTCTCTCTCCTCCTGCCACACTGCCTGGAGAGTCGTGGGTAGCTGTTCTCCTGCAGCACATGAGCAGAAAGGAAATATTCCATGAGGAAAATTAACTCCACACAGACATCTTGGGATGGGATTAAAATACCAAATACACTTGTCTGTCCTGTGCATGAAACGTAAGAATCAATTCTCTGTCCCAGGCATGTAGAGAGGGAGAGGTGGGGGTGAGATTCCACCGTGAGACTATTTGTTGTTTCATAAGGAATTTCACTGAAACCCTGAAACTTTTGATAGGTAATTACAGTCAGGAAGCCCAGCACATATGAATTTTATATTTACAATCCACACTGAGGTCACCCCACAAACTGCCTTCAGAAATGGGTTTGGGGGGTCTGTGTTATTAAAACTGAATTTCCGCTCCCGCTGGTATGGCCCGGCCGAGGAGAAAATGGGAACAGATGTAGCCGGGGACGCCTTCAGAATCTGGCTGTCCCCCGTCTGCCATCGCCATAGACACAACGGGATTTCAGCATCGTCTTCCGAGGGACGCGGGGAGGCCGGACAGCCAGCCTGGACGAGGAAATGGAATGACATCTCCTTCACCTCTGCTCGGTCGTCTTCTAACTCATTGCTGAAGTCATCCACTGCTGAACACTTAATTGTTTATTTAAATAGGATAACTCGCCGGGTGCGGTGGCTCACACGTGTCATCCCAGCACTTTGGGAGGCCGAGGCGGGCAGATCCCCTGAGGTCAGGAGTTTGAGACCAGCCTGGCCAACATGGTGAAACCCCTTCTCTACTAAAAATACAAAACTTAGCCAGGTGTGGTGGTGGGCACCTGTAATCCCAGCTACTCGGGAGGCTGAGGCAGGGGAATCCCTTAAACCCGGGAGTCGGAGGGTGCAGTGAGCCGAGATAGTGCCATTGCACTCCAGCCTGGGTGACAGAGTAAGACTCTGTCTCAAAATAATAATGATAATAATTAAGAAATAAATAGGATAACTATGCATCCCCATGTTCACTGAGGTGAGGAGATCAAGATATTCCTATTTGTATCTTGTAACTACAGCATTCTCTGGACTGTGGATACGGTTGTGGGTGGCCAACCCTGCCCCTCTCCTTCTCCAGGGTCTGAGTTTGAGCCTCTTTCTTCCATTCTCTCTTCCCCATGGCTTCTCCTGACTCCTCTGTTTGTCCGTTCTCTCTCGCTGCAACTTTTTTTGGGAGGGAGTCTCGCTCTGGAGACCAGGCAGAAGTGCAGTGGCATGATCTTGGCTCACTGCAACCTCTGCCTCCTGGGTTCAAATGATTCTCCTGCGTCAGCGTCCTGAGTATCTGGGATTACAGGTGTATGACACCATGCCCAGCTAATTTTTATATTTTTAATAGAGACGGGGTTTCACCATGTTGGCCAGGCTGATCTCGAACTCCTGACCTCAAATGATCCACCTGCCTCGGCCTCCCAAATTGCTGGGATTACAGGCATGAGCCACCGCGCCTGGCTTGCTGTTTTATTTTAAAGACAGGGTCTTGCTCTGTCACCCAGGCTGGAGTGCAGTGACATGACCACAGCTCACTGCAGCCTCCACCACCCGGGCTCAAGCAATCCTCCTGCCTCAGCCTCCCGATTAGCTGGGACCATTGGTGTGGGCCACCACACTCAAGTAGCTGGGACTCCACACTCCTGTAGTCCCAGCTACTTGGGAGGCTGAGGCAGGAGGGTGGCTTTTTTTGTATTATTTGTAGAGATTATTATTTTGTATTATTTGTTGCCCAGGCTGGCCTCAAACTCCTAGGCTCAAGCAATCTTCCCGCCTTGGTCTCCCAAAGTGCTGGGATTACCAGTGTGAACCACCACACTCAGCCGTCATTTTTAATTCTATTTCTCATATATGTGATTTTATTCTATTTTTCACATATTCTATTTTTACATATATCTATTTTTCACCCATATAAGTAAAACATCTCTAAAGCACACAAAGCATCTCTCCTTCCGCACAGACAAGCTTCTCATTTTGGGCGTGTTTGCACTGTGTAATTTTCTTTTTACTGTGATTTCTCCTTGCTTGTTTTGACTTTGTAACACTTGGTAAAAAATGCAATGCCTGGATCCAACGGGATGGGCATTTTCTTTTCTTTTTCTTTCTTTCTTTTTTTTTTTTTTTTTGCTCTGTCGCCCAGGCTGGAGTGCAGTGGTGCGATCTCGGCTCACCGCAACCTCCACCTCCCGGGTTCTAAGAGATTCTCCTGCCTCAGCCTCCTGAGTAGCTGGGACTACAGGCGCCCGCCACCACACCCAGCTAATTTTTGTATTGTTAGTAGAGAACGGGTTTCACCATATTGGCCTGGCTGGTCTCGAACTCCTGACCTCAGGTGATCCACCCGCCTCGGCCTCCCAAAGTGCTGGGACTACAGGCGTGAACCACCGCGCCCAGCCAAGAGAATGGGCATTTTCAAAGCTTCTGAGTTTTCAGCTCTGGAGGGCAGAAAAGCATGCAATGTAGAAAATTCAAGTGAGGTCTCCTTGTTTTAAAGAAAGTATTTCTGTAATCTTTACTGAAGTCGAACGTGTTCTGTTGATTCCGACCGTTTATCTTGTGCCGTTTGACTTTTTCATTGGGGGAAACTTCACGTTTGATTTGAAACACCTCCTTGTGTAGTAATGATGCTTTGGTTTAGAATGTATTTTCCACGTGGTCTCTGAACTTCCCTTTAATTTCGTAAATATTTTGTGACACACAGAAATCTTGGATTTTTTTTTAATGGAATGAATTCGAAAACCACCTCTGTCACGTTATAAACTCTCATTGTGTTACTTATTATTATTATTATTATTATTATTATTATTATTATTATTTTTTTTTTTCTGAGATGGAATCTCACTTGTCCCCCAGGCTGGAGTGCAGTGATGCGATCTCGGCTCACTGCAACCTCCGCCTCCCGGGTTCAAGCGATTCTCCTGCCTCAGCCTCCTGAGTAGCTGGGATGACAGGTGCACGCCAGCCACCCTGCCCGGCTAATTTTTTGTATTTTTGGTAGAGACCGGGTTTCACCGTGTTAGCCAGGAAGGTCTCGATCTCCTGACCTCGTGATCCGCCTGCCTCGGCCTCCCAAAGTGCTGGGATGACCGGCGTGAGCCACCGCGCCCGGCTATTTTACTTTATTTCTTCAGATGGAGTCTCGCTCTGTTGCCCAGGCTGGAGTGCAGTGGCGTGATCTCAGCTCAATGCAACCTCCGCCTCCTGGGTTCAACCAATTCTCTTGCCTCAGCCTCCTGAGTAGCTGGGATTACAAGCACCCGCCACCACGCCCAACCAATATTTTGTATTGTTAGTAGAGATGGGGTTTCACCTTGTTAGCCAGGCTAATGTTTCTACAGAAACATTTGGAAATCTGTGTACTGATTCCCAGATCTGAAAAAAAAAAAGTTTCTGCAGGGATTAAGGCTGTATTTTAATTTGGGAAATACTGATATATTTACAAAATGAAATCTATAAATCCCACAGGACCACAGGCTTCTCTATTTTTTTTTTTTTTTTTTTTTTTTGAGACAGGGTCTCGCTCTGTCGCCCAGGCTGGAGTGCAGTGGCGGGATCTCGGCTCACTGCAAGCTCCGCCTCCTGGGTTCACACCATTCTCCTGCCTCAGCCTCCTGAGGAGCTGAGACTACATGCACCTGCCACCACGCCCGGCTAATTTTTTTGTATTTTTAGTAGTGACGGAGTTTCACTGTGTTAGCCAGGCTATTCTCAATCTCTGGATCTTGTGATCCGCCCGCTTCTTAAAGCATTCTTTTTGTTCCGTTTTGTTTTGACAGTCTCGCTCTGTGGCCCAGACCGGAGTGCAATGGCATCATCTCCGCTCACTGCAACCTCTGCCTCCCGGATTCAAGGGATTCTCCTGTCTCAGCCTCCCAAGTAGCTGTGACTACAGACGCCCACCACTACTCTCGGCTGATATTTGTATTTTTAGCAGAGACAGGGTTTCACCATGTTGGCCAGGCTGGTCTCGAACTCCTGACCTCAGGTGATCCACCCGCCTCAGCCTCCCAAAGTGCTGGGATTACAGGCACCTGCCACCACGCCTGGCTAAATTTTGTATTTTTAGTAGAGATGTGGTTTTGCCTTCTTGGCCAGGCTGGTTTCGAACTCTTGACCTCAGGTGATCCACCCACCTTGGCCTCCCAAAGTGCTGGGATTATAGGCGCCCGCCACCATGCCCAGCTAATTTTTTGTATTTTTAGTAGAGATGGGGTTTCACCATGTTGGCCAGGCAGGTTTTGAACTCCAGATCTCAGGTGATCCACCCACCTTGGCCTCCCAAAGTGCTGGGATTATAGGTGCCTGCCACCAGGCCCAGCTAATTTTTTGTATTTTTAGCAGAGACAGGGTTTTGCAATGTTGGCCAGGCTGGTCTTGAACTCCTGACCTCAGGTTATCCACCCGCCTCAGCGTCCCAAAGTGCTGGGATTACAGGCACCTGCCACCACGCCTGGCTAATTTTTGTATTTTTAGTAGAGACAGGGTTTCGCCATGTTGGCCAGGCTGGTCTCGAACTGTTGACTTCAAGTGATCCACCTGCCTCAGCCTCCCAAAGTGCTGGGATTACAGGCATGAGCCACCGTGCCTGGCCAAAGCCGTCTTTCATTTGCTTCCTGAGTACCCTTCCTGAGCTTCCTGAGCAGGCAGGAAGAATCGCTTGGACAGTTATGGCACAGGTCACAGCTCTGTCACCCAGGCTGGAGCACAGTGACAAGGTCTCTGCTCACTGCAACCTCCGCCTTTCTGATCCAAGCGATTCTCCTGCCTCAGCCTCCCGAGTAGCTGGGATGACAGGTGCCCACCATGACCAGCTAATTTTTGTATTTTTAGTAGAGACGGGGTTTCACCATGTTGGGCAGACTGGTCTCGAACTCCTGACCTAAGGTGATCCACCTGCGTCAGCCTCCCAAAGTGCTGGGATTACAGGCTCGAATCACCGCGCCTGGCCCCTCTACTTTCTTCATAAACTTGCTCTCACTTTACTCTATGGCCTCGCCCTGAATTGTTTCTTGTGCAAGGACCAGGAACCCTCTCTTGGGGTCTGGAGCAAGACCCCTTTCTGGTAACAACACTGCCTTTGAAAAACCCCTATCTCTGAGCCTTGAGTAGGTACTCCGCCTGCCACATGGCATGGCCGGCCTTGTGTCTCTTAAATTCTTTGTCTACGGCAATGCTGTGAGTCTTTATTCAGCAGGCAGGAAGAACCACTTGGACAGTTATGCCACAGCTTAGAAGACATTCTCAGAGTCGCTGCTTGGAAAGTAGACTGGCCTCAGTGAAAATTCGCTCTGAAAGGGTAAGCCTGGCTCTAAGCTGTGAGCTCAGCAGGCTGGTGGTAAACATTGCAGCTGTAAATCCAGGGAGAGCTGTGTTACTGGCGGGAGAAGGGATTTTACAGCCCAGGGGAGGGAGGGAGATTTGAATTTGAAAGACTTTTGCACAAAGGACCCCGTGCCCAGCTGCTGTCCGCGGGGTCCCCTGCTTCTCTGAGCTTCTCACAATGACTCTGGGCCCCTGGGGACAGCCACAGTGACTTCTGAATGTTCTAGCGAAACCTGCAAAGGTCAGTTGGACGCCAGGAATTGTTTCTTGGGTCCTGCTTTTCCTCCAATAGGGGGCCATGTGGCTTTAGCTCTGAGTGTATTTGTGGTTGTGGTTAGTTATGGCGTTCCATTTGGGGGAACTGTAAAAGCGAAAAATCAGAGGAGGTGGCAAGGAACAGACATTTTGTTAAGTTATCAAATCTATAGCTGAGAGAAATTAATGCTTGTCTATTTCAAGGTCTCTCTGCCCAGGCTCTGCTGACATTTGGGGATGGAGGATTCTCCGCGGTGGGGCTGTCCTGGGCACTGTATGGTGTTGAGCAGAGACCCTGGGCTTCACCCACCAGGTGCCAGGACCACCCCCTCCCCAGTTGTGACAACCAAAATTGCCACCAGATATTGCAAAATATCTCCTGGGGGTAAAAGCTCTCTGGTTGCCATAGATAGGTAAGTACACAAGTAGATACACAGGGGGAGGGGGCAGGAGATGGGTGGATAGATGACTGATAGATACACGATAAACAGAAAGATGAGATAGATAAATAGATGGTAGATGATGGATAGATAAATATATACATACATACATAGATGGATGGAAGGATAGATACACAAATACATGGATAGATGGATGGATGGATGGATTGATGGATAGATAGATAGATACATACATACATACATAGATGAATAGATGGATGGATGGATAGATACATACATACATGAGTTGATGGATGGATGGATGGATAGACAGACACATACATACATACATAGATGGATAGATACATACATACACACATACATACATGGATAGATGGATGGATGGATAGATAGACAGACAGATACATACATACATACATAGATGGATAGATGGATGGATACATACATACATGGATAGATGGATGGATGGATGGATACATACATACATACATACATAGATGCATAAATGGATGGATGGATGGATAGATACATACATCCATGAATAGATGGATGGATGGATGGATGGATAGACAGACACATACATACATTCATACATAGATGGACAGATGGATGGATAGATAGATGCATACATACATACATAGACGGATAGATGGATGGACGGATGGATGGATGGATGGATGGATAGATATATATATACGTACATGAATAGATGGATGGATGGATGGACAGACGCATACATACATACTTAGATGGATAGATGGATGGATGGATAGATAGATACATACATACATACACACATGGATAGATGGATGGATGGATGGATGGATGGATAAATCGACAGATAGATAGATAGATAGATACATACATACATACATACATACATACATAGATGAATGGATGGATGGATGGATGGATACATACATACATACATGAATAGCTGGATGGATGGGTGGATAGATACATACATACATACATACATACATGAATAGATGGATGGATGGACAGACAGATAGATAGATAGATAGATAGATAGATAGATAGATACATACATACATACATAAACGGATAGATGGAAGGATGAATAGATGGATGGATGGATAGATAGATAGATTGATAGGAAGAAAAATAAATCTTAGGACTCCCAAATCACTAAGCCAAAGGAAAAAGTCAATATGGAAACGGCATCAGGCAAACCTGCCTCCTATTTTATTCGTAAATAAGATCGCTACAGAGATACAAAGATCACATATGTCCCTCACAATCTGTCCACAAGGAAATTCCTACCTATCACCTATAAGCCCCCTCCTCACTTTGAGCTGTCTCACCTTTCCGGACCAAACCAATGCACAACTTACAGTATCACACATTGATTGATGTCTCATGTCTCTCTAAAATGTATAAAACCAAGCTGTGACCCAACCACCTTGAACACCTGTCGTCAGGACCTCCTGAGGCCGTCTCATGGGTGTGTCTTTAACGTTGGCAAAATAAACCTGCTAAATTGATTGACACCTGTCTCAGATATTTTGGGTTCATGATAGATAGATAGATAGATAGATACATACATACATACATACATACATACATAGATACATAGATGGATGATACATGACATGACTCGAGAGATGATAGATGATATAGGTGGATATATAGATGATAGATTAGTGATAGTGGATAGATAGATAATAGATACGTAGATAGACACATAGATGGATAGATAGATATACATAGATGAATGGATAGATAGATGATAGGTTGGTATATAGATAGATAGATGAAATGGATAGACCGATTATACATAAATAGACAAATAAATAAGATGAATGGGTAGATAAAGAGATGTGATGGATGGATAGATGATAGATAGATAGATAGATAGATAGATAGATAGATAGATAGATAGGGCCAGGCACGGTGGCTCACGCCTGTAATCCCAGCACTTTGGGAGGCCGAGGCGGGCGGATCACGAGGTCAGGAGATCGAGACCACGGTGAAACCCCATCTCTACTAAAAATACAAAAAATTAGCCGGGCATGGTGGCGGGCGCCTGTAGTCCCAGCTACTCGGGAGGCTGAGGCAGGAGAATGGCGTGAACCTGGGAGGCGGAGCTTGCAGTGAGCCGAGATTGCGCCATTGCACTCCAGCCTGGGCGACAGAGTGACACTCTGTCTCAAAAAAAAAAAAAAAAAGATAGATAGATAGATACATAGATAGATAGATAAAGATGGATGGGTAGTTGATAGATGATGAGATGGGTAGATAAACAGATGGTAGATGACAGATTGACAGGTGATAGTACATAGATGGACACACGATAGATTGATAATAGATAAGGTAGATAGATGATGGATATATAGATAGCTTGATTGATAGATGATAGTTAATAGGTAAGTAGATAGATGATACATGGATAGGAAGACAGATGAGATGGATGACTAGATAGATAGATACATAGATGGATAGATGGCAGGATGAATGGATGGATGGATGGATAGATGAGATGGATGAATAGATAGGTAGGTAGATAGATGAGACGAATGGATAGATGATTGAAAGACAGATAGATGTTAGACAGATAGATAGATGATAGGCAGGTAGGTAGGTAGGCATTTAAAGTTAAATTGCATTCCAGAACCTCTCTCAGTAGACCTAGAGAATGCCAAAACCCAATCCCATGTTGTCAGATAGTTTACAGTATGAATATTCAAAGAGTTTGAGACCCAGGATGGCCGTGAAGCTTTCAGAGAATCTCCAAATTTGCAGACGATAACGCTGTTGAAATACAGAAGAGAAGCCGTCCATGTTGAATGTAGTAACTCCAACTCTCCCTTTAGAAGAATCCCAGAGTTTCTTGCGTCTCAACGCTTTTTTGTAATGTTATTTCATTACACAGAATACAGAAACCATAAAAAGTGCACGTAAACATTCAATTAGACTTGATGTGTCTCTGTTGAAATCCATCAGATAAGCTTAAACCATGATTAAGATCCTTTCTTTTCTTTTTTTTTTTTGGACATGTTTCCTGCTAAACAGTCTTTCTGCACTTATTAGCGTTTTGTTGACGGTGTGTCCCGTGCACAGTTAATTTCATTTGTCTCCATGCCGTTTCAATCTTCCCTTGATAACGAAGATAGATTTATAAACCCCACTTACCATTGTGTTTTCCTTTTGCCGAAAGCGATGTGAACAAATCAGAAACACAACGGAGTTTTGGGAAATAAGAGAAAGAGACAGAAAAGAAGGAAAGGAACAGAAATACAGCCGATGTCCCACGGACGACGTGTTGACTAGAGTTCTCTCGGAGAGCTGTGCCTGGGTTCACACTGGGTGTGCCTGTTTGCTGCGCACGTGTGTGATGAGATGTGTGGACAAGGACTGAGAAATACAAAAGACATGGGTTAAAATCAGACTCATGGAGGCCGGGCGCGGCGGCTCACGCCTGTAATCCCACCACTTTGAGAGGTTGAGGTGGGAGCATCACTTACCCCAGAAGTTCGAGACCAGACTGGGCAACATAGCAAGACTCTGTGTATATAACTCTGTTCTCAGGCTGCTAATAAAGACATACCTGAGACTGGGTTATTGATTGATTGATTGATTGATTGAGATGGAGTTTTGCTCTTGTCACCCAGGCTGGAGTGCAATGGTGCCATCTCGGCTCACTGCAACCTCCGCCTCCCGGGTTCAAGCGATTCTCCTGCCTCAGCCTCCCGAGTAGCTGGGATTACAGGCACGTGCCAGCACGCCCTGCTAGTTTTGTATTTTTAGTACAGACAGGGTTTCTCCACGTTGGGCAGGCTGGTCTTGAACTCCCGACCTCAGGTGATCCTCCTGCCTCGGCCTCTCAAAGTGCTGGGATGACAGGCATGAGTCACCGCGCCCAGCCCGAGACTGGGTAAAAGATAAAGGAAAGAGGTTTAACGGACTCACAGTTCCACATGGCTGAGGAGACCTCGCAATCATGGCGGAAGGCAAAGGAGGAGCAAAGTCATGTCTTCCATGGTGGCAAGCAAGAGAAAAGGGGAAAGTCCCCTTTATAAAACCATCTGATCTCATGAGACGTCTTCACTATTGTGTGAACAGCAAGGGAAAGACCTGCCCTGTGATTCAGTTACCTCCCACTGGGTAAGTCCCATGACACGTGGGAATTTTGGGAGCTGCAATTTGAGATTTGGGTGGGGACACAGCAAAACCATATCACTGCGTCTACAAAAATATTTCCTTCCTTCCTTCCTTTTCCTTCCTCTTTCCTTCCTTCTCTTTCTTTCTCTTTCTTTCTTTCCTTCCCTCTTTCCCTTTCTTTCATTCCTTTCTTCCTTTCTATCCCCTTTCCCTTTCTTTCATTCCTTTCTTCCTTTCTTTCCCCTCTCCCTTCTCTTCCTTACCCTTCCCTTTCTTCCCTTTTTTCTTTCCTTTGTTTCTCTTCCTTTTATTTTTCCTTCCTTCCTTCCTTTCTTTTTCTTTCTTTCCTTCTTTCTCTTTCTTTTCTTTTTGTCTTTCCCTTCCTTCCTTTCTTTTCTTTCCTCACTCTGTCACCCAGGCTGGAGTGCAGTGGCACAATCTCAGCTCACTGCAACCTCTGCCTCCTGGATTCAAGTGTTTCTCCTGCCTCAGCTTCCCAAGTAGCTGGGATTACAGGCCCAGCTAATTTTTGTATTTTTAGTAGTGACAGGGTTTCACCATATTGGCCAGGCTGGTTTCAAACTCTTGACCTCAGATGATGCACCCGCTTCAGCCTCCCAAAGTGCTGTGATTACAGGCGTGGGCCACCATGCCCGGCCTTACATTTTTATGTTTTATACAACCAATTGCCAACTAAAGAATCCCTAAAGCCTACCTGTGACTCGTAGGAACCCACTTTGAGATGTTTCATCTTTAAGGCCGAAACAAGGTATACCTTCCATGTAATGATTTATGATTTTACCTACAATTCCTGTCTCCCTGAAATATATACAATAGAACTGTAGGTCGGGCGCGGTGGCTCACACCTGTAATACCAGTATGTTGGGATGCCGAGGTGGGAGAATCAACTGAGGTCAGGAGTTTGAGACCAGCCTGGCCAATATGGTGAAACCTCGTCTGTACTAAATACAAAAAATTAGCCAGGTGTGGTGGCAGGGGCCTGTAATCCCAGCTACTCGGGAGGCTGAGGCAGGGAAATTGCTTGAACCCTGGAGGCAGACGTTGCAGTGAGCCGAGATCACGCCATTGTACTCCAGCCTGGATGACAGAGTGAGACTCCATCTCGATTTAAAAAAAATAAAAATAAATAAATAAATAAAAATGGAACTGTAACCAGACCTCCTGAACACACTTTCTCAGATCTCTTGAGACCATGTAATCCTGGAGCACAGGCGCTCAGCACTCATATTGGTTCAGAATAAACCTCTTTAAATCTCTTGGCAGAATTTGTTCTATTCTGTCATCAGTAGCAAATGCTGACGATTACATACACTCACTTTTTCTAGCTAAGACCCCTGGTGTTGGAAACAGCTACGTCGTGCGGGGTGTATACCCTGGAGTTCCTTGTCTCACTCTGAGAAATAATTGAGGACAGGGAAGAAAGGAGAGAGGAGAGCAGCTCCTTGTGAGACAGACAGAGAGATAGAGAGACAGAGACAAAGAGAGGCAGTCAGACAGAGAGAGACAGACACACACACACAAGTCCAAACAGGAGAAAAGAGAAGAGAGCAGCTCCTTGCGAGAGAGAGAGAGAGAGAGAGAGAAAGACAGACAGACAGACAGAGACAGAGAGACAGACACACACAAACACACAGATACAAAGAGACACACACAGAGAGAAACAGACACACACAGAGACAGAGAGAGAGAGAGACACACACACACAGAGGTCTGAACAGAAGAAAGGAGAGAGGACAGCAGCTCCTTGCGAGAGAGAGAGAGAGAGAGAGGCAGACACACACACACACACAGACACACACAAGCAGAGAGGTCCAAACAGAAGAGAGGAGAGCAGCTCCTTGCGATAGAGAAAGAGACAGAGACAGAGGGACAGAGAGAGACAGAGGGACAGAGAGAGACAGAGAGACAGACAGACAGACACACACACACAGACAAGTCTGAAGAGAAAAAAAGAGAGGAGAGCAGCTCCTTGAGAGAGAGACAGAGACAGAGACAGAGAGAGAGACAGACAGAGAGGAAGAGACAGACAGACAGATATAGAGAGAGACAGAGGGACAGAGAGAGACAGTGAGACAGACAGACAGACAGACACAGGCACACACACTCGTCCAAACAGAAGAAAGGAGAGAGGAGAGCAGCTCGTTGTGAGAGACAGAGAGACAGAGACAGAGGGACAGAGAGAGAGACAGAGAGAGAGAGATGGACAGAGAGAGAGGGAGAGAGAGACAGACTGAGAGACACAGAGACAGAGAGAGAGAGAGACAGAGGGACAGAGACAGACAGAAACACAGACACACACGCAGGTCCTAACAGAAGAAAGGAGGAGAGCAGCTCCTTGCGAGAGAGAGAGAGAGAGAGAGAGAGAAAGAGACAGAGGGACAGAGACAGAAAGACAGACACACACACGTCTCAACAGAAGAAAGGAGGAGAGCAGCTCCTTGCGAGAGAGAGAGAGAGAGAGAGAGAGAGAGAGAGAAAGAGACAGAGGGACAGAGACAGAAAGACAGACACACACACGTCTCAACAGAAGAAAGGAGGAGAGCAGCTCCTTGCGAGAGAGAGAGAGAGAAAGAGACAGAAAGACAGACACACACACGTCTCAACAGAAGAAAGGAGGAGAGCAGCTCCTTGTGAGAGAGAGAGAGAGAGAGAGAGAGAGAGAGAGAAAGGGGGAGGGGGAGAGGGAGTGGGGGAGAGTGAGGGAGAGGGAGGGAAGGGGAGGGAAGGGGAGGGAGGGAAGGAGAGAGAGAGAGAGAGAAAGAGAGCCAAAAAGGTGGGAGGCACCTGACCTCTGCAGACTTTATAGGCAGGCTGGTGAAGGCGGTGTTTCATTTACGTAGGGCTCAAAGATTGGTTCCATCCGGCATGACATCCATAGAGTGCGTGGGGAAGGCTGGTCGCCCCACCCTAATCTTAAGCAAATGGGATTTCCAGTTGATCGGCGCCATCTTGTCTGCTTTTCTTACTGTACATGCGGTTGACAAAGAGGAGGGAAGATGGAGCCGCCATCTTGAACGTGTCTAGTCTCTAGTTCCTGCCGGGAAGATGGAGCCGCCATCTTGAAGGTGTCTAGTCCGTAGTTCCTGCCGGGAAGATGGAGCCGCCATCTTGAACGTGTCTAGTCCCTAGTTCCTGCCGGGAAGATGAAGACGCCATCTTGAAGGTGTCTAGTCCGTAGTTCCTGCCGGGAAGATGGAGCCGCCATCTTGAACGTGTCTAGTCCCTACGTTTTGCCGGCATTCACCCGTGCAAGCTCCCAGCTGGCTTGTCTATGTCTGCAGCTCGATGCAGCTCAATTTTACAGACTGCTCTTTGTTAGAAAATGATTTGGGGCTGGTTTTCATTAAAGAGAAAAGCCTTACTAAGGACTTCCATAGCCTTACCATCTGCCTAAGTGATTTCTTCTTAACTCCTATATAAATGTCTTTATTTCAATTCTCACGATGCCAAAAAAAAAAAAAAAAAAATTGAGGCTCGGTCCTTGCTGTAAAATGCATGCAAAATAATTTGCACTCTGTCAACTTCAAGTTCAGTATAATTTATACATCCTCAACAATGGTTAGACTTGGAAACTGGGCATTTCAAATCAATCAAATGGTTGATGATACCTAGATATACAAGCTGAGTCCTACTTAGTGGATTTAGCCACAGTGAATTCATTAATTTACTCACTATCTTTGTCTACCATTTCAGTAAACCTGTTTTCTGAGCTATATCTCCTACATATTGTATTATACTATATTATATTATCTGTATTATTTTAACAAAATATGTATACTAGCCTGGTATGGTGGCTCATGCCTATAATCCCAGCACTTTGAGAGGCCAAGGCAGGAGGATCACTTGAGACCAGGAATTTGAGACCAGCCTGGGCAACATAGTGAGACTTTATCTCTACAAAAGAAAAAGAGATATATGTATACTATCTTTAAATGTAGCTTATATCTGCTAATACGCAAATACAGAAATATACAACAAAGGAAGATAAACAAGATGTGAATCCTAATATAAAGTGTTTTTTTAAAAAAGTCTATAGTTGATTAAAGACTGTATTTACTGGAATTTTATAAATCCCCCCCAGTGTGTTATAAATTAATAATTTGCTATATTTATTTGTGTGCTGTCTGTGTAATTCAATTATTAATGAATACATTTGTTACATATAAATAATAAAATCTCCATCTCTGACCGCAGCCAACGCTTCATGTTAATATACTGAGAACAGCACATTAATAATGAAATAAAGGTAGAGTAAATAATGGTATTGCAGCTGCCAAGCATTTGTTGTTATTCAAACGCTTCAAAGTAATGTCTGAAAATGCAAGTTTTGAGCTCAAACTTTGGCCTGGAAGTATATTGCAAGCCCACCCTTATATGAATTAAAAGGGAGGTGCAGGGCTGGGCGCGGTGGCTCATGCTGGTAATCCCAGCACTCTGGGAGGCCAAGGTGGGCAGATATCGGTGGTCAGGAGTTCAAGACAGGCCTGGCCAACATGGTGAAACCCTGTCTGTACTAAAAATACAAAAATTAACCGGGTGTGGTGGTGTGTGCCTGTAATCCCAGCTACTCAGGAGGCTGAGGTGGGAGGATCAGTTAAACCTGGGAGTTGGAGGTTGCAGTGAGCTGAGATCGTGCCACTGCACTCCAGCCTGAGCAACAGATTGAGACACTGTCTCAAAAAAATTTATATATACATATATATATAGTAATTAAGAAAACTAATCCTTTATCACAAATCCTTATAGACGAGCACATCTCCCCATGATCTCTCTCTCTCTCTTTTTTTTTTTTTTTGAGACAGAGTCTTGCTCTGTCGCCCACGTTGGAGTGCAATGGTGTGATCTCAGCTCACTGCAACCTCCGCCTCCTGGGTTCAAGCGATTCTCCTGCCTCAGCCTCCTAAATAGCTGGGATTACAGGCATGCACCACCGTGCCTGGCTAATTTGTGTATTTTTAGTAGAGACGGGGTTTCTCCATGTTGGTCAAGCTGGTCTCGAACTCCCCACCTCAGGTGATCCACCTGCCTCGGCCTCCCAAAGTGCTGGGATGACAGGCGTGAGCCACGACGCCCGGCTTGCCCATGATCTTTTTTTAAATCATATATATAAATGAATATTGTACCTAGGGAGGACGCGTTCCTCCTCTTACTTTTGGGAACCCCTTATTCTGTCTGTGCTGAGGAGGATTAGTAAAAGAGGAAGTCCTCTTTGCAGTTGAGGTAAGAGGAAGGCATCTGTCTCCTGCTCATCCCTGGGCAATAGAATGTCTCGGTGTAAAGCCCGATTGTACATTCCATCTACTGAGATAGGGGAAAACCGCCTTAGGGCTGGAGGTGGGACATGCTGGCAACAATACTGCTCTTTAAGGCACTGAGATGTTTATGTATATGTGCATCAAAAGCACAGCACTTTTTTCTTTACCTTGTTTATGATGCAGAGATATTTGTTCACAAGTTTTCCTGCTGACCTTCTCTCCACTATTATCCTATTATCCTGCCACATCCCCCTCTCCAAGAAACGCCAGATAATGATCAATAAATACTAAGGGAACTCAGAGGCCGGTGCCGGCGCCGGTCCTCCGTATGCTGAACGCTGGTTCCTCTGGGCCCATTTTTCTTTCTCTATACTTTGTCTCTGTGTCTTTTTCTTTTCCAAGTCTCTCGTTCCACAGCAACCCATCCCTTCAGTACTTTCAGCACTTTGCTTTCTTAATAATCTTTTTTTTTTTTTTGAGATGGAGTCTCGCTTTTTCGCCCAGGCTGGAGTGCAGTGGCGCCATCTTGGCTCACTGCAACCTCCGCCTCCCGGGTTCATACCATTCTCCTGCCTCAGCCTCCCGAGTAGCTGGGACTACAGGCACCCACCACCATGCCCGGCTAATTTTTTGTATTTTTAGTAGACACGGGGTTTCACTGTGTTAGCCAGGATGGTCTCGATCTCCTGACCTCGTGATCCGCCCGCCTCGGCCTCCCAAAGTGCTGGGATGACAGGCGTGAGCCACCGCGCCCAGCCTGTTTTTGTTTTTTAATGTTTTAGTTTTTGGTGTACAAATCTACTTTCACGATTAATTTCTAAGTGTTTTATTCTTTTTGGTGTTATTGTTAATGTAATTGTTTTCTTATTCTCTTATTTATGTACTTATTTTGAGGTAGGGTCTCACTCTGTTGCCCAGGCTGGAGTGCATTGGCACAATCATGGCTCACAGCAGCCTTGAACTCCTGGGTTCTAGTGATCCTCCCACCTCAGCTTCTCAAGTAGCTGGGACTACAGGCGTGTACCACCATGCCCAGCTAATTTTTTGTATTTTTAGTAGAGACGGGGTTTCACCGTGTTAGCCAGGATGGTCTCGATCTCCTGACCTCGTGATCCGCCCGCCTCAGCCTCCCAAAGTGCTGGGATGACAGGCGTGAGCCACCACGCCCGGCCTTCTTAATAATCTTAAATGCTGTGGAAACTGGGCCTGTCGGATCAATCAGATGGTTGTTGATACCTAGATGTAGAAGCTGAGTCCTCCTTAGCTGGATTTAGCCACAGTGAATTCATCAGTTCCCTCACTATCTTTGGCTACCTTTTCAGCAAACCTGTTTGCTATGGGGTAGCTGTATTTTTGCCACTTTACTTTTGTGATTAACTTACTTTTGCTTTGCACTGTGGACCCGCCCTGAATTCTTTCTCGCACCGGATCCAGGAACCCTCTCTTGGGATCCGGATTGAGACCACTGTCCGGTAACAGGTCCATCTTTCCTTGTACGAGAAGTCTCCTTGTTGGGGGAGCTTCTGCCTTCCTAAGGCAGCGGTGGGTATGGGACTTGCTGTATACATGAAGGTCTTTGGTCTCTACTGCTAGAGGTAGTGGTGTGTCTTCCCTAGGTAGATTTGCAGAGGATAGAGAATAGAACACTTTCTCAAGAGCAAAAACTCAAACGTACCCTTTCAAAGCATCCACATCCCCTTTCTGTGGGAGGAGAATGTTGACACAATACAAGCCACTCACTCGAGACCTAAGCCCCATGCAGTCGCTAGACCAGTCTCCAATCACAGCCCTGTCTTAGAATTAGATTTCCTCACGCCTGTAATCCCAGCACTTTGGGAGGCCGAGGCGGGCGGTTCACGAGGTCAGGAGTTCAATACCAGCCTCGCCAATATTGTGAAACCCCATCTCTACTAAAAATACAAAAATTAGCCAGGCGTGGCGGCACACTCCTGTAGTCCCAGCTACTCGGGAGGCTGAGGTACGAGAATCGCTTGAACCTGGGAGATGGAGGTTGCAGTGAGCCGAGATCGCACCACTGCACTCCAGCCTGGGTGACAGAGTGAGACTCTGTCTCAAAAAAAAAAAAAAAAACAGAAATTAGATTTCCTCACTGGGCACGGTGGCTCATGCTTGCAATCCCAGCACTTTGGGAAGCCAAGGCGGGTGGATCACGAGGTCAAGAGATCAAGACCATCCTGGCTAACACGGTGAAACCCCGTCTCTATTAAAAATACAAAAAATTAGCTGGGCCTGGTGGCGGGCGCCTGTAGTCCCAGCTACTCAGGAGGCAGAGACAGGAGAATGGCGTGAACCTGGGAGGCGGAGCTTGCAGTGAGCCGAGATCGCACCACTGCACTCCAGCCTGGGTGACAGAGTGAGACTCCATCTCAAAACAAAGAAACAATAAAAACGAAAATAGCTAGCTGGGAATGATTGTCACACCTGTGGTCTTGGCTACTTGGGAGGCTCAGGTGGGAGGATGGCTTGAGCTCAGGACTTCAAGACCAGCCTGGGCAACATTGCAAATCTACGGTTCTACAAAAATGACAAAAATTAGCTGGGTGTAGCAGTGCACACCTATAGTCCCAGGTGCTTGGGAGGCTGAGGTGGAAGGTGGAAGGTCAGCTGAGAGAAAGCATGAGGAGACCTAAAATTCCACCATAGTTAGAGTAGGCAGCCTGGCTTACAGAGTATAGCAGGGTTTCATAGGGCCAGAACCAGGTCATGGTGGGGGAGCTGAGCTAGGGGTGCAGGTGTCTTGTCCACATCCTGGAGATGTCTTTTGCCAGCTTTTTTTTTTTTTTTTTTTTTTTTTGTTTTTGGAGACAGAGTCCCGCTCTGTCGCCCAGGCAGGAGTGCAGTGGCGCGATCTTGGCTCACTGCAAGCTGCACCTCCCAGGTTCACGCCATTCTCCTGCCTCAGCCTCCTGAGTAGCTGGGACTACAGGCGCCTGCCACCGCACCTGGCTAATTTTTTGTATTTTTAGTAGAGACGGGGTTTCACCATGTTAGCCAGGATGGTCTTGATCTCCTGACCTCGTGATCCTCCCGCCTCGGCCTCCCAAAGTGCTGGGATTACAGGCGTGAGCCACCGCACCCGGACTAGTTTTTGTATTCTTTGTAAATACAGAGTCTTCCTATGTTGCCAAGGCTGGTCTCGAACTCCTGGATTCAAGAAATCCTCCCACTTCAGCCTCTCAAAATGTTGGGTTTATAGGCATACGCCTCTGTCTCTGGCTTATTTTCTCTAATGAAAAATGCAGTGTTTCTATTGAAACAAGAAATTCATTTCATGCACCAGTTAATGGGAAAAGCATTGCCAGAATCAACTTCTTAGTTAAACTCCACTTCTGTGAACTTTTGGCCAAGGTTCCTGAATGTTTTGGCCATGGTTCCTGAACTTCTTGTTCACAGCTATTGGCTGTGCAGTTGAGTGGTTGCAGTCTCTTTTTCTGGGGTTTGGAGGGTAGAAATGATGGAGGATTTAGTTCTTGGTCACTTTGCAAGCCGGGGACCTCCAGCTGGTGATGCTCCACCAGAGCTAGGCTTAGGCACACCTGTAATCCCAGCTACTTGGGAGGCTGAGGCAGGACAATTGCTTGAACCCAGAAGGCAGAGGTCACAGTGAGCTGAGATTTCACTGTGTTAACCAGGACGGTCTCGATCTCCTGACCTCGTGATCCGCCTGCCTTGGTCGCTCTTGTCGCCCAGGTTGTATTGCAACGGTGAAATCTTGGTTCCCGAGTTGTTGTCCAGCGTCCAAGAAGAATGAGGACATGCTGAGAACTGAAGAGTGAGCAAACCAGGGAGTTTTATTACGTGATGAGACAGCTTTCCTCAGAGAAGGGAAGTGGGGAGGGGCGGGCCATAGGTAGTATTGGAAACGGGAACATTTGATTGATTAAAAGGCATTATTCAGGCTGGGTGTGGTGGCTGACTGACGCCTGTCATTCCAATACTTTGGCAGGCTGAGGCGGGTGGATCGCCTGAGGTCAGATTGGTTAAAAAGCATTATTCAGGCCGGGTGTGGTGGCTGACGCCTGTCATTCCAACACTTTGGGAGGCTGAGGCCGGTGGTCAGATTGATTAAAAAGCATTATTCAGGCTGGGTGTGGTGGCTGACACCTGTCATTCCAACACTTTGGGAGGCTGAGGTGGGTGGATCTCCTGAAGTCAGGAGTTACAGACCAGCCTGACCAACATGGAGAAACCCCATCTCTATTTAAAAATACCAAAATTACCAAGGCGTGGTGGCCAGCAACTGTAATCCCAGCTACTCAGGAGGCTGAGGGAGGACACTTGCTTGAACCCGGGAGGCAGAGGTTGCAGTGAGCTGAGATCTCTCCACTGCACTCCAGTCTGGGCGACACAGCGAGACTCTGTCTCAGAAATAAATAAATAATTAATTTAATTTAATTTAATTAAAAAATTATTCAGAAAGAATCAATTGGGAAAGGGCAGGCAAATAGGAACAGATGTTGTCACTCTGGGTGGCGAGTTTCATTCTGGACCAGCAGGCTGGTCTTTCGGTTCTCAGCCTGTTTTTGACTCGAAGGTGGGGTTTCACCAGGCACCTGCCCCTTCCTGCCTAGGCATCTGGCTGCCTCCTATCAGGACAAGGGGAAGAGAATGCTGTCCACAGAGGGTAAACGAGGAAAACTCCACCTGCAGTGAAATAACAAGGCGGGCTGTGTGGTTACGACACCCGACATCTGGAGGCTTCAGGATCTGGCCCCGAGCGCTGGAATTCCGTAGGATCCTCAAATCTGTTAAAACCCATGTCTACGTATTAGGGAAAAATAAATAAGCTCACACAAGTCCCTCCAGGTTAATTGCAAACGTATCAGAAACGCATGGGTGAATATCGGGGCAAAACGCTCATTAATTTGAGAAAGAAGTAAGTTCTTCTCAAAGAGCATCCCAGGAAGTGGGCAGTGGAAAATTGGTTTTAAGATGTTGCCTTAGGCCAGGTGAGGTGGCTCACGCCTGTCATCCCAGCACTTTGGGAGGCCAAGGTGAGTGGATCATGTGAGGTCAGGAGTTCCAGACCAGCCTGGCCAACATGGTGACACCTCGTCTCTACTAAAAATACAAAAATTAGCCAGGTGTGGTGGCAGGCACCTGTACTCGGTCACCCAGCTACTCGGGAGGCTGAGGCAGAAGAATCGCTTGAACCCGGGAGGTGGAGGTTGCAGTGAGCCAAGACTGCACCACTGCACTGCAGCCTGGGAGACAGGGCGAGACTCCATCTCAAAAGAAAAAAATAAAAGAGATGTTGCTTTGACCGCAGACACGGCCACGCTGGTCTTTCCAATGACACACACGGCTGTTGGGATGCTGCTGATTGCTCCACACATACGTCCCATCAGACACACTCAACCAGATTTCGTTGGTGAGGTCACTTGAGGTCCAGCAGGGCCATCCCAGGCTGCAACTCAAACCCAGGAGACTTCATCGGAGGCTCCTCCGAGGACGACATGCGTCAATCAATCAGCAACGTGTAATGCCTAACCTTGTTTTTTTTACTAACCCTACTTTTAGACGTTCCCTTTTTGTCTCTTTAATGACCTAGCCTTGTTTCCCATGAGAATAGACTCTCTCTCAGCTGGGAAAGCCGGACGCACTCCATTTGGCCCCTTGATTTACAAGACACTAAGTGCTCCTTACCCAACCCCCTTCCTCAAGGAGTTAACCTGTGTAAGCAGACCGTCAGCATTTCAAAGGAGCTCCATTAACTGAGAAGATACTGGAACAAACAATGTATGAAGTTCCCAGGATTTTGCTCAAAAAGGATGACAACAGAAAGCCCCTCGGCCTCCCAAAGTGCTGGGATGACAGGCGTGAGTCACTGCACCTGGCCAGCGATTGGAGTTTTTAAGGATGATTTGGTGGGTGGGGGCTCAGGAAGCAGAGAGTGCTGGTTGGTCAGGTTGAGGGTGAAATCACAGGGGTTTGAAGTGAGTCCGTGCTGTCTTCTGTTCCTGTGTGGGATGGCTGATATCTGGTTGAGCCACGTTACCGGTCTGTGTGGTGTCATCGGCTGCATTGGAATCCGGGATCTGCAAAATATCTCAAACACCGATCTTGGGTTCTGCAACAATGATGTTATCCCCAGGAGCTATATGTGGGAGGTTCAGACTCTTGGAACCAGAGGCTGCATGGTCCTTCAGGCGTAATTCCTAATCTTGTAGCTAATTTATTAGTCCTGCCAAGGCAGGCTGGTCCCCAAGCAAGAAGGTTCCTGCCGTCCCTGCCCTCCCGGAAAAGGGCTATTGTCAGTTTTGTTTCAGAGTTTAAACTATAAACTAAATTCCTTCTGAGGCTACTATGCCCAGGAATGAATAAAGACAGTTTCGAGGTTAGAAAGAAGATGGGGCGGGGGGAGGTGGGTGGTTAGGTCTCTTTCGCTGTCGTAATTTCTTCAGTTATAATTTTTGCAAAGGCGCTTTCAGGAGGACAGGGAGGAATGAGGGCATCATGAGAGAGCCAATTCCTCCTCCATCCCAGCCCCAGGGCTGAGAATGTGGACACAGCCCCTCCTCCTCCTCCTCCATCCCAGCCCCAGAGGGCAGAGTGTGGACACCACCCCTCTTCCTCCTCCATCCCAGCCCCAGTGGGGAGAGTGTGGACACGGTCCCTCCTCCTCCTCCTCCATCCTAGCCCCAGGGGTGAGGGTGTGGACACCAGTCCTCTTCCTCCATCATCCCAGCCACAGGGGGGAGAGTGTGGACACAGCCCCTCCTCCTCCTCCATCATCCCAGCCCCAGGGGGGAGAGTGTGGACACAGCCCCTCCTCCTCCTCCATCATCCCAGCCCCAGGGCTGAGAATGTGGCACGGCCCCTCCTCCTCGTCCTCCTCCATCCTAGCCCCAGGGGTGAGGGTGTGGACACCAGTCCTCTTCCTCCATCATCCCAGCCCCAGGGGGGAGAGTGTGGACACGGCCCCTCCTCCTCCTCCATCATCCCAGCCCCAAGAGAGAGAGTGTGGACACCACCCCTCCTCCTCCATCCCAGCCCCAGGGCTGAGAATGTGGCACGGCCCCTCCTCCTCCTCCTCCATCCCAGCCCCAGGGGTGAGGGTGTGGACACCACCCCTCTTCCTCCATCATCCCAGCCTCAGGGAGGAGAGTGTGGACACGGCCCCTCCTCCTCCTCCATCATCCCAGCCCCAGGAGAGAGAGTGTGGACACCGCCCCTCCTCCTCCTCCATGGACACCGCCCCTCCTCCTCCTCCATGGCAGCCCCAGTGGTTGAGGGTGTGGACACCACCCCTCCTCTTCCTCCTCCATCATCCCAACCCCAGGGTGGAGAGTGTGGACACCTCCCTCCTCCTCCTCCATGGCAGCCCCAGTGGGTGAGGGTGTGGACACCACCTCCTCCATCTCAATCCCAGAGAGTTCAGGTGTAGACACGACTCTTCCTCCATCCCAGCCCCAGGGGGAAGGCATAGCCCTTCTTGCATCCCAAAACCAGCTGCTGAGCAGTTTGGTGACGTCCCCATTGTACCTGGGTCTACAGCATGAAATCTCTACGTCTTTATGGAACCCAGAATTAACCCCCCAACAGCTGTTTAATCTTCAACTGTCCCATATCTGGGGATGCATCTCCTGGTTTGAAATCTCTGCTGTCAAGGTGCCTTTTTCTTTCCAGAATCCCTATTGCACTGTTTCTTTCACTCTGACCTCTGTGTTTCTTGGTGGAGCTGGAATCCTCCGGGCTCCCCTCCCAGGGAGCCTGGCTTGGCCTCCCTCCTCCTCCCCCTTGCAGCCCGTGCCAAAGACCCCTCAGTGTGCGGTGGCCTCTTGTTTTTTATTATTTTAATTGGTGCTTGAGCCCTGCAGGTTTACGACCCCCGTGTTTACACTAACTGTACTTTAATAAGTCGCCTAAGAGGTAACAGGAGCATAGGGCTCTATAAATGTTTTAATTCACACAAACCCACCCAGCTATTTCCATCCACACCCAGTGTGGTCGGGACGTGAAAATCGACAGGGCCAAGGTGCTGGATCAGGCCCCCGACTCCCCCGGCCGCCTCTTCCCTCTTCTTTAAACGTTTCCAGCAGCCTCTCACTTTTATGTTTGCGCTTGTCTAAACGGTGCTCTGAGGCCGTTCACACACCCCCGGAGCCCCATAAACCACCGCTTAGGACAATCTCCTTTTACCACCTGCCCTAGGAGACCGGCAAACCCCACATATACAAACCCCACTGTTTCCAGAGCTCTCTTAGGTTACGAAAGACGCATTTGGGAGGCTCAGGAAGACAGCCAGACACCCAAGAATCTGGGCCTGAAGCATTTCTTCTTGCAATGTGTTTGGGTTTCCTCTGTCTGTCCTCATATTTCTTATCCTAAGACAGATTTCTTATCCTAAGAAATTAGGCTCGGATTTCTTATCCTAAGAAATTATCCAACCTAAGAAGTCAGGCGTGCCAACTGAGGGGACCTGGAATGTATCTATCTATCTATCTATCTATCTATCTATCTATCTATCTATCTATCTATGTATCTATCATCTATCTGTCTATTATGTATTTATTTTGAGACGGAGTTTCGCTCTTGTTGCCCAGGCTGGAGTGCAATGGCACAATCTCGGCTCACCGCAACCTCCACCTCCCGCGTTCCAGCGATTCTCCTGCCTCAGCCTCCTGAGTAGCTGCGATTACAAGCCCGCGCCACCATGCCCGGCTAATTTTTGTATTTTCAGTGGAGATAGGGTTTCACCATGTTGGTCAGGCTGGTCTCGAACTCCTGACCTCAGGCTGGAGTGCAGTGGCGCGATCTCGACTCGCTGCAACCTCTGTCTCCCGGGTTGAATCGATTCTCCTGCCTCAGCCTCCTGAGTAGCTGGGATGACAGGTGCCCACCACCATGCCTGGGTAATTTTTGTATTTTTAGTAGAGTCAGGGTTTCACTATGTTGGCCAGGCTGGTCTCGAACTCCTGACCTCAGGCCATCCACCCTACTTGGCCTCCCATAGTGCTGGGATTACAGGCGTGAGCCACTGCGCCCAGCCTCGTTGAATGCATTTATAGGATGCCAGGGATTTGGGGGCCTAGGCATGGCACATTGTTTTGCAAAATGCCAAGAACCCAGCTTGGGAGAAGATGGTGCCTTGGCATGGAGGGTAAGGAGACGTGTGCAGCCGGGGACGTCCTAAATGTTCGCTGGCACTTTCAACAACCACATTAAACATGGGCTTGGACAGAACGTTGAAAATTGACTCTTTTAGAGATTTCGAAATGTGAAATGTATATAAGCCTATGTCAAAACGTCACATTGTACCCCATAACATATACATTATAGATCCTAATTTCAATTCATTACATGTATATGTATATAATAGGGTATATATGTGTGTGTGTATACATAATAGAGTATAATAATATATATTTATTTTATTATACATTTAATACATATAAATACATATAAATATGTATATGTAAATACATACTTATATAGTATATATTATATGATATATGATATATTACATGCTGTATTATTTTATTATTAATTATAATATATAACATGTATAATTATCATATAATATATAATTATATTGTAATATATTATATTTTATATATAATAATATATTATATTTTATAATGTTATATAATATAATAAAATATACTATATAATAATATATTATTATATTTTATAATGTTATATAATATATGATATAAAACATAATATATAATAATATATTATTATATATTATGTTATATAATATATTATAATAAAACAATATATAATAATATATTATTATATATTATGTTATATAATATATTATAATAAAACATAATATATAATAATATAATATATAACATGTATAATTACTATATAATATATAATATAGTATGTAGTATATAGTATATGTATAATTATAGAATATATAATTAATAAATATATATTATGTTATATATTATATATAAGATATATGATTGCTATGTAATATAGTTAAATATATTATATATCTTTAAATATGTATATTTATAGATATAATATAACATACATCAATATATAATGGGGCACAATGATATATATTTATTTTATTTTAATATAATAAATCAATACATATAACAAACATGCATTTATATGTAAATATATTTAAAATATATGTATTGATTATATTATACATATATTATGCGGTACAATAGTATATATATTTCATTTTACATATAAATAGATATATAAATATATGTATTATATTATATATAATTTAAATTTATATATTTTATATATTCTATGTGTCATATATTATGGGGTACAATGATTGCATATTAAATACATGCAATTATTATTGGTCAATGAAAAATAAAATATGAAAAAAGAAAGAGAAAAAGACAGATGAAACCTGTGGTCAGCTCTTGTGGGAGCGCGGAAAGCAAGTCCAGAGCTCAGAAGTGTCTCTTCTTTTCTGTGGTTTCACGATGCGGCACCGCTATGAGGAATATGTGAGGAATATCTCTTGGCTCGGAGGATGAAGACAGGCAGCTGCTGGCATGAAGACAGCAAAGGCCTTTGGTTCCCATCTGCAGAAGAATATACGTGTCTCACATGAATGCATTGTTCTTCTTGGCCAAAGTCAATCCACAGAAAACATGGTATGAGTTCTCCTCTCTGCTTCTATGAGTTTGACTATTTTAGATTTCTCATTTAAGGGAGATCATGAAGTATTTGTGTTTCTGTGCCTGGCTTATCTCACGAAACATAATGTCCTCCAGGTTCACCTGTGTTGTTGCAAATGGCAAGATTTTCTTCTTTTTCAAGGCTGAGTAATATTCCAATGCATGTATATTATTGATGTCCCAATTTCTTTATCCATGCATCCATTCATGGTCGCTTGGTTTGGTTGCATGTCTTGGCTATTGTGGATAATTCTCCCAATATCTTTATCCATTCCTCCATTCATGGTCTCTCAGTTTCCATTCATCCATTCATGGTCTCTTGGTTTGGTCCATGTCTTGGCTATTGTGGATAATTCTTCCAATTTCTTTATCCAGTCATCCATTTTTGGTCGCTTGGTTTGTCCGTGTCTTGGCTATTGTGGATAATACTTGGTTTGGTCCGTGTCTTGGGTATTGCGGATAATCCTCCCAGTTTCTTTAACCATTCATCCATTCATGGTCACTTGGTTTGGTCCATGTCTTGGCTATTATGGATAATTCTCCCAATTTCTTTATCCATTCATCCATTCGTGACCGCTTGGTTTGGTCCCTGTCTTGGCTATTGTGGATAATTCTCCCAATTTCGTTATCCATTCATCCATTCGTGGTTGCTTGGTTTGGTCCGTGTCTTGGCTATTGTGGATAATTCATCAGTGAGTATGGGAATCCAGGTATTTCTTCAAGATTCTCATGTCAATTCTTTTGGGGCAAAAATAAAGCTGTTTGATATGGTTTGGCTGTGTCCCCCGACCCCAAAACCTCATCATGAATTGTGGTTCCCATACTCCTTATGTGTCATGAGAGGGACCCAGTGGGAGGTAATTTAATCATGGGGACAGTTACCCTCATGCTGTTCTCGTGATACTGAGTGAGTTCTCACAAGATCTGATTAATTTTTTTTTTCTATTTAGGTGGAGTCTCACTCTGTCACCAGGCTGGAGTGCAGTGGCACGATCTTGGCTCACTGCAACCTCCACCTCCTGGGTTCAACCGATTCTCCTGCCTCAGCCTCCCAAGTAGCTGGGACTACAAGTGTGCACCACCACACTCGGCTAGTTTTTGTATTTTTAGTAGAGACTGGGTTTCACCATGTTGCCCAGGAAGGTCTCAAACTCTAGACCTTGTAATGAGCCTGCCTCGGCCTCCTAAAGTGCTGGGATTACAGCAGTGAGCCACCGAGCCCGGCCCAGACATGGTTCCTTCTTACTCATTTCCACTTGATTACAGTAGGATGAAGACACATGGAGCGGTTGGGGCAAATGATGGCTCCCTTCTCTCTCTGCCTCCTCTTAAACCTGCACACACCTGCTATCCAGGATTATCATTTATTTACTTGGTCTCAACCTACTGGGATGAAGTCCCAGAAGAATTGAGCAGAGAAATGGACACCGTTTCAGGACCAGCGTTTCTGTAGCCTTCTCAGTTCTGGGAAGAAGATGGTAACAAAACTTTTTTTTTTTTTTTTTTTGAGACAGACTTTCGCTCTTGTTGCCCAGGCAGAAGTCCTTATAAGAAGAGGAGATGATGACACAGACACACACAGAGGGAGGACCACGTGAGGACTCAGGGAGAAGATACGGTCTGCAAGCACAGGAGAGGGTCCTCAGGAGGAACCAGCCCTGCCCACACCTTCATCTCAGACTTCCAGCCTGCAGGACTGTGGGAGAATCAATGTCTGTTGTTTCTAAGCCACCCAGTCTAATGGTGATCTGTGATGGCAGTCTGAAATGGACTAAGGCATCCCATAAGAAGAGGAAATGAGGACACAGACACACACAGAGGGATGACCGTGTGAGGACGCAAGGAGACTATGGTGTCGGCAAGCCCAGGAGAGAGGCCCCAGGAAGAACCAGCCCTGCCCACACCTTAATCTCAGACTTCCAGCCTCCAGGACTGTGGGAGAATCAATGTTTGTTGTTTCTAAGCCACCCAGTCTATGGTGTTCTGTGATAGCAGCCTGAAATGGACTAAGACATCCCATAAGAAGATGAGATGAGGACACAGACACAGACAGAGGGATGACCCTGTGAGCACACAGGGAGAAGATGGCATCTACAGGGCAAAGAGAGAGGCCTTAGGAGAAACCAACCCTTCCTACACCTTGATCTCAGACTTCCAGCCGCCAGGACTGTGGGAGAATCAATGTCTGTTATTTTGAAGCCACCCAGTCTATGGTGTTCTGAGATGGCAGCCTGAAATCGACTAAGACACCTCATAAGAAGAGGGGATGGGCTGGGCACAGTGGTTCACATGTGTAATCTCAGCACTTTGAGAGGCTGAGGCAGGTGGATCACAAGGTCAGGAGTTCAAGACCAGCCTTGCCAACATAGTGAAACTCCTTCTCTACTAAAAATACAAACAAACAAACAAACAAAATTATCTGGGTTTGGTGGCACGATCTCAGCTCACTGCAAACTCTGCCTCCTGGGTTCAAGTGATTCTCCTGCCTCAGCCTCCTGAGTAGCTGGGATTACAGGCACCCACCATCAAACCCAGCTAATTTTTGTATTTTTAGTAGAGATGGGGTTTCTCCATGTTGGCCAGGCTGGTCTCGAACTCCCGACCTCAGGTGATCCACCTGCCTCAACCTCCCAAAGTGCTGGGATTATAGGCGTGAGCCACCGTGCCTGGCCTGGCAACAAAACATTTTAACACTGGCCACCGTGGCTCATGCCTGTAATTCCAGCTCTTCAGGAGTCCAAGACCTGCAGATGGCTTGAGCTCAAGAGTTGGAGACCAGCCCGGGGAAGATGGTGAAAACCTGTCTCTACAAAAAACCTAAAAACTACTCAGATGTGGTTGTCTATGCTTATAGTTTCAGCTACTTGGGAGGCTGAGGAGGGAGGATCACCTGAGCCTGGGAGGTTGAGGCTTCAGTGAGTCATGATTGCACTATTGCGCTGCAGCCTAGACAACAGAGCAAGACTCCGTTTAAAAAAAAATTTTTTTTGGCCGGCCACGGTGGCTCAAGCCTGTCATCCCAGCACTTTGGGAAGTGGAGGCAGGTGGATCACTTAAGGTCAGGAGTTCGAGACCAGCCTGGCCAACATGGTGAAACCCCGTTTCTACTAAAAATACAAAAATGAGCTGGGTGTGGTGGCGGGCGCTTGTAATCCCAGCTCCTTGGGAGGCTGAGGCAGGAGAATCGCTGGAACCCAGGAGCTGGAGGTTGCAGTGAGCCGAGATCTCACCATTGCACTCCAGCCTGGGCGACAAAGCAAGACTCTGTTTAAAAAAAAAAAAAAAAAGAAAGCTTTTGCATATATTTTATAATCAGGCAGCTACCTAGCTAGGTCGCCTCTTACTCCCTGATGTTTAAATATTCTGATGACCTGTGGGGACAACGGACAGAAGTTGGAAAAACCCCAACTTGAAATAATTCATGTGTTTTTCTGTCTTTTTTTTTTTCAATGCTGGACCGTACGTATTACCATTTGTGTTCTGATTAGCAACCGCCCCGCTAATGGACTTAGCATCCGTGGTTCATAAGCAAATCCTCCCTTCTTACTGCAGAGCTAAACACATAGGAAATTAACAAAATCTGTGACCCCCACAACTAGCAATTCATAAATTCATTAGATTAAAAAAAAAAAAAAACAGGCAAGCCACGCAGCCATCCAGCCATCCTGTTAATAGGTTTTTCTTCTAATGTCTAATTTACATTTCTGCCTGGCCTGGTAAAGATATTACTTCGTTACATCTTTTTTTTTTTATTTTTTTCCTAAATTAGAGAAATTTTAATGACTTCTCTTATTCATTCTTTCCATATGTAAGTAGTTATGTTTCTTACAAATGGAAACGAGACCTTAAAATTACCACAAATGGGGCCAAGCCTCACAGTCCATGTGTTCCTATTTGGAGACGGCCAAGCTGCCTCCTCGAATTACGGTTAACCCTCCTGTCCATTGAACAGACGGTCCTAATAGGTGGGCTTTGAAAGTCGCTCTCGTTAAATTTATTTGGGACCGCCGAGAACACGCCAGTCCAGCTTCAGCAAATGAGCTCTGATAATATTAACCACCTGGTAAGCCCTGGCCCCCGGGGAACCCTGCGTGGCTGCGTCTGACCCCTGGCCCCTTGGCCTTCTGATCCTGGGGCTCAATTCAGACAAGAAGGCGATTCTGAGAAAAAACACCTGTTGGCGTCGCTGACCCCGGAGTCAGGGTTTGGAGGGAAGGGCCTCCGAGTCTTCAGCACAGGTGTTTCCTCCAGCAGGCCCGGGGAGTTTGGGAAGCCACCGGGATGAGGAGGGAGCTGGGCAGCACCGTGTCAGGCAGGGGACGGCACCTTCCACGTCCCGGAACTCTGGGGCACTCCATGGCGGGACAAGACGTGGAAAGGAGGGATTATTCCAGGCTCTACAGAATATCTCATGGACACAGCTTCATGGCTTGCTTCTGCTAGGCAAAAAAGTGAGAGAAAACCCAAGAATAAAACATAGCAGGCTGCAGGTGGACACAAGATTAAGACCAACCTTCCTTCCAAAGATGCCTTACATTAAGACCAACCTTCCTTCCAAAGATGCCTTAGGATAAGACCAACCTTCCTTCCAAAAATGCCTTAGATTAAGGCCAACCTTCCTTCCAAAAATGCCTTATGTTAAGACCAACCTTCCTTCCAAAAATGCCTTAGGTTAAGACCAACTTTCCTTCCAAAGATGCCTTACATTAAGACCAACCTTCCTTCCAAAGATGCCTTAGGATAATACCAATCTTCCTTCCAAAAATGCCTTAGGTTAAGACCAACTTTCCTTCCAAAGATGCCTTAGATTAAGACCAAACTTCCTTCCAAAAATGCCTGAGCAACGACCCTCAGCTACTCAAGGGCAGTGAACAACGAATAGGTCTATCCCAGATTGCAAGGAGAAACCCCAGAAAGTTGATGTGCATATTCATTGCAGAGTGCAGGTAGGTTCCCCAAATAGGGGACACTGGGAATCTATCTCTATTGTAGTGTGGGTGGGTGCCAAGATGGTGGTCACTGGGTATCTCTATTGTACAGTGTAGGTGGATCCCCTGATGGAGGACGCTGAGTGTGTCTATTGTAGATTGTGGATCTACAATAGAGTGTAGGTGGATTCCCAGATGGGTGTGTCTATTGTAGAGTGTAGGTGGATCCCCAGATGGGTGTGTCTATTGTAGAGTGTAGGTGGAGCCCCAGATGGAGGACGCTGAGTGTTTCTATTGTAGAGTGTAGGTGGATCCCCAGATGGAGGACATTGAATGTGTCTAGTGTAGAGTGTAGGTGGATCCCCAGATGGGTGTTTCTATTGTAGAGTATAGCTGGATCCCAAGATGGAGGACATTGAGTGTATCTAGTGTAGAGTGTAGCTGGATCCCCAGATGGAGGACATTCAGTGTGTGTACTGTAAAGGGTAAGTGGATCCCCAGATGGAGGACATTGAGTGTGTCTATTGCAAAGTGTGGGTGGATCCCCAGATGGAGCAAATTGAGTTGGTTTATTGTAGAGTGTAGGTGGATCCCCAGATGGAGGACGCTGAGTGTTTCTATTGTAGAGTGTAGGAGGATCCCCAGATGGAGCACATTGAGTGTGTCTATTGTAGAGTGTAGGAGGATCCCCAGATGGAGGACATTGAGTGTGTCTATTGTAGAGTGTAGGAGGATCCCCAGATGGAGGACATTGAGTGTGTCTATTGTAGAGTGTAGGAGGATCCCCAGATGGAGGACATTGAGTGTGTCTATTGTAGAGTGTAGGAGGATCCCCAGATGGAGGACATTGAGTGTATCTGTTGTAGAGTGTAGGAGGATCCCCAGATGGACGACATTGAGTGTGTCTATTGTAGAGTGTAGATGGATCCCCCCAATGGAGGACATTGAGTGTGTCTAGTGTAGAGTGTAGGAGGATCCCCAGATGGAGGACATTGAGTGTGTCTATTGTAGAGTGTAGGAGGATCCCCAGATGGAGGACATTGAGTGTGTCTAGTGTAGAGTGTAGATGGATCCCCAGATGGAGCAAATTGAGTTGGTTTATTGTAGAGTGTAGGTGGATCCCCAGATGGAGGACGCTGAGTGTTTCTATTGTAGAGTGTAGGAGGATCCCCAGATGGAGCACATTGAGTGTGTCTAGTGTAGAGTGTAGGAGGATCCCCAGATGGAGGACATTGAGTGTATCTATTGTAGAGTGTAGGAGGATCCCCAGATGGAGGACATTGAGTGTGTCTAGTGTAGAGTGTAGGGGGATCCCCAGATGGAGGACATTGAGTGTGTCTATTGTAGAGTGTAGGAGGATCCCCAGATGGAGGACATTGAGTGTGTCTATTGTAGAGTGTAGGGGGATCCCCAGATGGAGGACATTGAGTGTGTCTAGTGTAGAGTGTAGATGGATCCCCCCAATGGAGGACATTGAGTGTGTCTAGTGTAGAGTGTAGGTGCATCCCCAGATGGAGGACATTCAGTGTATCTACTGTAGAGTGTTGGTGTATCCCCCAGACGGAGGACACTGGGTGTGTCTATTGTAGAGTGCAGGAGGATCCCCAGATGGAGGACATTGAGTGTGTCTATTGTAGAGTGTAGGAGGATCCCCAGATGGAGGACATTGAGTGTGTCTAGTGTAGAGTGTAGATGGATCCCCCCAATGGAGGACATTGAGTGTGTCTATTGCAGAGTGTAGGTGCATCACCAGATGGAGGACATTCAGTGTATCTACTGTAGAGTGTTGGTGTATCCCCCAGACGGAGGACACTGGGTGTGTCTAGTGTAGAGTGTAGGTGGATCCCCAGATGCAGGACACTCATTATTTCTATTTTACAGTGTAGGTTAGATGTGTCCTGTTGTGCTCACTGGATATTTCTTTGTAGAGTGTAGCTTGCTTCCCCAGGCGGTGAACCTGGGCATTTTCTCAGGTAAAGGTTATGTTACAATGTCGGCGTGTATTGGGCTATGGGACACTGCCTGATTCCATGACAGCCATCTGTTTGGCCTCTATTGTGCTTAGGTGGCTGAATTTTGCCCTTTCTGAAGGTGTCTTCCATATCTGTCGCAGGCGTCTCTTCTGTGCCTCATCTGTGCTAGTTTGGCGTCACCTAGAACAGCCCCTCTGTTTCCAGAGCAGCCTCCTAGGCTTTCCCGTGTGGCCATTGCAGCTGACATGGAGCTCCAAATCCCATTCCTCATTTTTGTCAACAGCCTGCATTGCGAAAGACACAGGTTTGATCTCTCTTTTATTTATGGAGTGTCTATGGGGAAACAGGGTCAGAGGGTGGGAACCTAACCTGCTTAAATCCTTCCTGTAATTCCTTCCTTCCTTCCCTCCTTCCATCCATCCTCCCTCCCTTCCTTCCTTCCTTCCCCCACTTTTTTTTCTTTGACGGAGTCTCACTCTGTGGCCCAGGCTGGAGTGCAATGGCATGACCTTGGCTCACTGCAATCTTCGACTCCCGGGTTCCAGCGATTCTCCTGCCTCAGCCTCCTGAGTGGCTGGGACTACAGGTACCCACCACCACGCCTGGCTAATTTTTGTATTTTCAGTAGAGACGGGGTTTCGTCATGTTGGCCAGGCTGGTCTTGAACTCGTGACCTCAAGTGATCCGCCCGCCTCGGCCTCCCATAGTGCTGGGATGACAGGCGTGAGCCACCGCACCCGGCCGAAAAACACATTTTTAATCTCTTTTTTATTTATGGACTGTCTATGGTGAAACAGGGTGACGGGGCGGGAACCTAACCTGCTTAAATCCTTCCGGAAATTTCTATCTACACAGATCCCCAAGGTCACGCTCATACACTGGACAGGGCTGCTGCCTCCTTGCTCATTGGGGACTGGCATCACGCTGCCTCACCTGGTAGGGAGCTTCCTATGACCCCAGGCACAAACTTTCCATTTCTGGCATCCTCCAAGACTCTGGCATGCTCAGATATTAAACAGCCAATTTTGGACCATTAAAATAAAAAAAAAAAAAAAAAAGGAGGGGGAGAGGAGAGGGTCGGGTGGCCGTGAATGTACTCAGGGAATTCAGCCTGGTCCTGTCAAAAATCATTTCTGGTTTGGCCACCGAGAGGTTTCAGGTCCACAAGGCTCCCTATCACTGTGGCTGAGGCGGAGCTGCTGTGTTTTGTTCCAGACGTGAAAGGTTAGCTTAGCAGGGGCAAAGTTTCTCATTAAGGCAACCAGATTCTTGAAGCAAAATAAAAAAGAAAAAACGAGAGACAGAGAGAGGAGAGAGGAGAGAGGAGAGAGGATAGAGAGAGAGAGAGAGAGACGGATTATTGGCAAGGCCAACAATGCTAGCAATTACCTTCATCTTTCGCCCAGCATTTTGGCAAGCACAGAAACTCACATCTGAAATCCATCGCCACAGCCTATCATCTTATCAAAACCCGGTGCCATCAGGAGGCACATTCACGCCGCTCTGTTTTTAAGGTTTAAACAATTTGCAGTGTATTTCAGAGATGACTGAGCTGCATATGGAGGGAACACGGGTTCTCTGAGTCAGTCCCCCACTTTTCTCTTGCTGTACATTGAGAACAAGTGAAATCCAATTGCTTTCACCCTGCTGGAAGCAAATCCAACTCATCACTTCGCATAAGGCTGTGGGTATGATTCCTGCCACGGCTGATCAGCGGGTCCTGGGGTTGACGAGGCTCCATCAGCCCCACTTAGCAGTGAGGATGTCAACTTGTCAAGTATTTTTAAGGCTGGGAAGCTGCAGACAACCCTTACCAATTTCTCCGGGAAGCCAGGGGCTTGGATGCCCTCCCCTCTGCAACATCCGTACTTCATAGAGTAAGTTAATGTCAAGGCAAATGCTGGGCACTTGGGAAGCTGGGCACGCAATTTTTTAAAGATCATTCCCCAGGGAATCTAAAAGGACAACACCATCACTGCCTTTCAGAGAAACTCCAGGCTTTTCTGCCGGCAAAATAACAATTAAATGGAAATGGGATAATGAATCTTCCCATTTCAATGAGGCTGCCAGGGATGCCTGTTTTAGAGAAAGCCTCTCTGGCTGCCAGGCTACTGGGCTCTCTGTCTGTTCTGCAGGGTTAGAGCTGGATACCTCCTTTTGGCAATTGTCCTTGCCAATGGAAGGCTAGCAGAGAGGCCCTAAAGGGGTGGAAAGAACCCTAAAAGGCCCACATCTCCATGCAGGGGAGCTGGAGAATATGAAGGAGAACTGAGGGTGTTCAGACGTTCAAAGGCCATATAGTCCCAAGTCGCTGGACACATTCTGGAAATGGATGGTTCACACTTGGGGAGAAAGTATACTGAACGGCTGGGCCACCCCACCCCTTTTTTTTATTTTTATTTTTTTTGAGACAGAGTCTTGCTCTGTCACCCAGGCTGGAGTACAGTGACGCGATCTCGGCTCACTGCAACCTCTGCCTCCCGGGTTCAAGCGATTCTCCTGCCTCAGCCTCCTGAGTAGCTGGGATGACAAGCACCTGCCACCATGCCCGGCTAATTTTTTCTATCTTTAGTAGAGACAGGGTTTCTCCATGTTGGCCACAGTGGTCTGGAACTCCTGACCTCAGGTGATGCACCCACCTTGGCCTCCCAAAGTGCTGGGATTATAGGTGTGAGCCACTGCTCCCGGCTGGAGTACAGGGGCATAATCTTGGCTCACTGCAACCTCTGCCTCCCAGGTTCAAGTATTCTCCTGCCTCAGCCTCCCAAGTAGCTGGGATTACAGGTGCCCGCCACCACGCCCAGCTAATTTTTTTTTATATTTTTAGTGGTGAGGGGTTTTTCACCATGTTGGCCAGGCTGGTCTCGATCTCCTGACCTCAGGTGATCTGCCTGCCTCGGCCTCCCAAAATGCTGGGATTACAGGCATGAGCCACTGTGCCTGGCCTTTTTTTTTTTTTTTTTTTTTTTGGAGACAAAAATCTTGGTCTGTCACCCAGGCTGGAGTGCAATTAATTAAACTGAAACTATAGAAAAATGTTTAAAGGTGTTTTTGTTTTAAATTCAGACATGCAGCATTGTTGGTGCGAAATAATATATATAATATATAATACATATCTAATATATAAAATTCTGTAAATTATATAATATACAAATTTATATAACTATATATAAAATATATATGTGTATATACATAGTGATGCCACTTTTGTCTGTAAGCTGAACGTCCAAAGAAACCAGACAGATATCTTCATGCTCAGCCTTGCACCATTTCCACGTTTCAGCCGTTGTGAAAACCCACGCACACGTTCTCATTTGAACACCTCCTTTCCCAATACCTTTTGGGCGTACCCGGGAGAAACACCCGTGAGGTCTTAAAAACTCGCCTCCTCCTCCTTCTCCCCCGATGCCCAGGTGGGCAGGCCCAGGATCCCGTGCAGGTGCAAAGCTGAACATCTTTTTTTTTTTTTATCACCCACTTACACTTCAGTCCCCAGCATTCCCAGCATTTCTCTTGGCAAGAAACCACCTCGAGCTGTTCACACGGGGGCCCCGCGCTGCCGCCCTCGAGTTTGCCAACGGGTCAGAAACATTGCAAGGATATAACGGTGGAAAAAGTTTGCTCGGGACGCAGGGGAGGGGAGGGAAATGAAGGCTGGGGAGTGACTGCCAGCCAGGACGGCGTGTGAGATTTACAGTATGACTCCACAGCCCCATAAAACCAGGTTATAGGCCCACTGGACCTATTACTTAGACTGAATAAAGGAGGGGCTTTGAGTGGCGGCTGTGTATTCTCCCAAGGAGCGTCATGCACCTACCTGCCACCTCTGGGCAGATTCCAGGGCTCACCGGGCCTGGTAGGACCCACACACAGAGACAGAGAGAGAGAGCACAGGAAGAAACCAGCCCCACCAGGCAGGTGAGCTCAGGGAGGTCTCTGGCACAGCTCACATCAGCAACGCCTGGGAGACCTGTACCCTCAGCAGTGGCAACCCTCAGGGCTGACAGCATCTTTCTGGCAGCCAAAATGCTTTGCAGTGCTTAGAAGCCGTACTATCTTTCAGACTTTCTTGCAAACAGTGCACATAGATCTTGAAAAGACAAAGATGCCTTTTTTTTTCTTTTCTTGAGACAGACTCTCACTCTGTCACCCAGGGTGGAGTGCAGTGGTGCAATCTGGGCTCACTGCAAGCTCCACCTCCCGGGTTCACGCCATTCTCACACCTCAGCCTCCTCAGTAGCTGGGAGTACAGGCACCCGCCACCATGCCTGGCTAATTTTTTGTAGTTTTAGTAGAGACGGGGTTTCACCATTTTAGCCAGGATGGTCTCGATCTGCTGACCTCGTGATCCACCTGCCTCGGCCTCCCAAAGTGCTGGGATGACAGGCGTGAGCCACTGCACCCGGCCCAAAGATGCCTTTTAAGAAACAAGATATTTGGGAGGCTGAAGAGGATGGATGACCTGAGGTCAGGAGTTCGAGACCAGCCTGGCCAACAACCCTGTCTCTACTAAAAAAAAAAACACACAAAAATTAGCTGGGTGTGGTGGCGGGTGCCTGTAATTCCAGCTACTTGGGAGGCTGAGGCAGAGAATTGCTTGAACCTGGGAGGCAGAGGTTGCAGTGAGCCGAGATCACACCATTGCACTCCAGCCTGGGCAATAGATTGAGACTCCATCCCCCACCTCCCCCCCACAAAAAAAAACACAAAACACAGAAGAGGAGACACAGACAAGAGAAGGCCATATGGAGATAGAGGCAGAGACTGGAGTGCTGCGGCCACAAGCCCAGGGATGCCTTGGAGCCCCCAGGAGCTGGGAGAGGCAGGAAGCATCCTCCCTGAAAGCCTCTGGAGGGAACTAGGCACAAGTGAAGTAGATTGAACTATGATCCCCCCAAAAAGGTATATCCAGGTCCTGATCCCCAGAACCTGTGAATGAGACCTTATTTGAAAAGGGGTTTTTGCAGATGTAACTAAATAAAGGACCTTAAGATGAGATCATCCTGAATTATCTGTGTGGTCCCTAAATCCAGTGACAGGTGTCCTTCTGAGAGACAGAAGAGGAGACAGACACAGAGGAGAAGGCCACGTGGAGACGGAGGCAGAGACTGGAGTGATGCTGCCACAAGTCCAGGGACGCCTGGAGTCCCCAGGAGCTGGGAGAGGTGGGAAGGATCCTCCCCTACAGCCTGTGGAGGGAGCTCAGCCCTGAGACACCTTCCTCTTAGACTTCTGGTCTCTAGGAGAGGGAGATGCTAAGTCTCTGTAGTTTTAATGCTCAAGCCTGTGGTCATTTATTACAGCAGGTTTTGCAAACGAATCCACTAAATGGTGACTTCAAAGACCAGTGCACGGCAGAGGCTCTTTGAAGCCCCGACTCCATGACCAGACAGACAGACACAGACCTTTTCTTGCCAAAATGAAAGCAAAACCTTATTAGTCTCTGCTGCAGCTCTAATGTCCTGTCCGATGAATGAGGTTTCAGGGTGCCCCGAAAGAGCTTCATGACCAGTTTAAAAAAAAACAAAAACAAAAGAAGAAACAAATAGAAATTCAGGAGACGTTCTGCGGTGTCTGTGAGCCTGGGTTGTATCTTGTTAATGCAATGTGCCCTGATGTAATAGGGGAAGGTCTTCACAGCCCTAAAAATCTCTCTTTGATGATGAGTTCATGTCCTTTGCAGGGACATGGATGAAGCTGGAAACCATCATTCTCAGCAAACTCACACAGGAACAGAAAACCAAACACTGCATGTTCTCACTCCTAAGTGGGAGTTGAACGATGAGAACAGAGGGAAACAGGGAGGGGAACGTCACACACCAGGGCCTGTTTGGGGCTGGGGGGCCAAGGGGAGGGAGAGCATTAGGACAAATACCTAATGTAGATGACGGGTGGATGGGTGCAGCAAACCACCATGGCACGTGTATACCTATGTAACAAACCTGCACGTTCTGCACACGTACCCCAGAACTTAAAGTATAATAATAAAGAACAAAAGAAAAGAAAACAAAATCTCTCTTTTAATCAACCAAAGGAAAAAGAGTGGGTCAGAACTTCTTACTTCAAAAAAAAAAATGGCATATTAAAAAGAAAAGCTAAAACAGTAAATTTGGCAATTATGTGATTTTTAAACATTGCTTTTAAAGAACCATTAACATCAAACTGCTTATGCAAAAGAGGTGTTTGAGGCAAGTCAGTAACCCACTTTTTTTTTTTTTTTTTTTGACCTGGAGTCTCGCTCTGTCACCCAGGCTGGAGTGCAGTAGCGCGATCTCGGGTCATTGCAACCTCCACTTCCAGGGTTCAACCGATTCTCCTGCCCCAGCCTCCTGAGTAGCTGGGACTACAGGCGCCCGCCACCATGCTGGGCTAATTTTTTGTATTTTCAGTAGAGACGGGGTTTCACCATGTTGACCAGGCTGGTCTCGGTCTCCTGACATGGTGATGAGCCTGCCTCAGCCTCCCAAAGTGCTGGGATTACAGGTGTGAGCCACCACCCCTGACCAAATCTCTGTCTCTTTTAATCAATCAAAGGAATGAGAGTGGGTCAGAACTTCTAACATCAAAAAAAAAAAACCCATATATATATATTTATATATGTATATATATGTATGTATATATACATGTATGTATATATGATATATATGTGTGTATATATACGTACATATGTATATATACGTATATATGTGTATATATACGTATATACACACATATACATGTATATATGTATATATACACATATACGTATATGTATACATATACACATATATACGTATATATACATATACACATATATACGTATATATACACACATATATATGCATATGGCATATATATATGGCCTATTAAAAAGAAAAGTTAAAATAGTAAATTTGGCAATTATGTGATTTTTAAACATTGCTTTTATATATATATGGCATATTAAAAAGAAAAGTTAAAACAGTAAATTTGGCAATTATGTGATTTTTAAACATTGCTTTTATATATATATGGCATATTAAAAAGAAAAGTTAAAACAGTAAATTTGGCAATTACGTGATTTTTAAACATTGCTTTTCAAGAGCCATTAACATCAAACTGCTTATGCAAAAGAGGTGTTCAAGGCAAGTCAGCGACCCACTTTTTGGCTTTTTCTTTTTTTTTTTTTTTTTGAGACAGAGTCTTGCTCTGTCACCCGGGCTGGAGTGCAGTGGTGTGATCTCGGCTCACCGCAACCTCCACCTCCTGAGTTCAAGCAATTCCCCTGCCTCAGCCTCCCCAGTACGTGGGATTACAGGCATGCATCACTATGCCCGGCTAATTTTTGTATTTTTAGTAGAGACAGAGTTTCACCATGTTGACCAGGCTGGTCTCGAACTCCTGACCTCAAGTGATCCACTCACCTCAGCCTCCCAAAGTGCTGGGATGACAGGCATGAGCCACCATGCCTGGCCCATCACATCTTTCTGGAATTGCCGAGCCTTTGGAATATTTCATCTCTTTGCTAATTGACCTCCGTAGTGTATGCGGCTTCTGCAAGGATACTCACATTGGGTGGACACGGAAACTTTAGCAAATGGCAGTCACTTCTGCTATAAACAACAGGCACATTTCTTGAGTATCATCTGCCTGTACTCAGTCACTCCACGGCCACAGATGTCGAGAAATGGAAATAGGGATACTTTTTTTTTTATTTTTTGAGATGGAGTTTCGCTCTTGTTGCCCAGACTGGAGTGCAATGGTGCCATCTTGGCTCACCACAACCTCCACCTCCCGGGTTCAAGCGATTCTCCTGCCTCAGCCTCCCGAGTAGCTGGGATGACAGGCATGCACCACCACGCCTGGCTAATTTTTGTGTTTTTAGTAGAGACAGGGGTTTCACCATGTTGGTCAGGCTGGTCTCGAACTGCCGACCTCAGGTGATCCACCCACCTAAAAAAGACAACAATGTAATCAAGTGGTAGCGTGTTTTTATGCATGTTAACTGCTCACAAAATGTATACATATGGCCGGGTGAGGTGGCTCACGCCTGTAATCCCAGGACTTTGGGAGGCCGAGGTGGGCAGATTGCCTGAGGTCAGGAGTTTGAGACCAGCCTGGCCAAAATGACGAAACCCTGTGTATACTAATAATGCAAAGATTAGTCAGCCATGGTGGCAGGTGTCTGTAATCCCAGCTACTCTGGAGGCTGAGGCAGGAGGATCGCTTGAACCCGGGAGGCGGAGGTTGCAGTGAGCCGAGATTGTGCCTCTGCACTCCAGCCTGGGCGACAGAGCAAGACTCTGTCCCAAAAAAAAAAAAAAATATCTGGGTGCAGTGGCTCACTTCTGTAATCTCAGCACTTTGGGAGGCTGAGGCGGGCAGATCATGAGGTCAGTAGTTCAATACCAGCCTGGCCAAAATGAAGAAACGTCCTGTCTACTAAAAATACCAAAATAAGCCAGGTGTGGTGGCAGGTGCTTGTAATCCCAGCTACTCAGGAGGCTGAGGCAGGAGAATCATTTGAACATGGGAGGCAGAAGTTGCAGTGAGTCAAGATCATGCCACTGCACTCCAGCCTGGGTGACAGAGCGAGACTCTGCCTCAAAAAGAAAAAAAGAAAATAAAAAAGCAGGCTGGGCGTAGTGGCTCACGCCTGTAATGCCAGCACTTTGGGAGGCTGAGGTGGGCAGATCATGAGGTCAGTAGTTCGATACCAGCCTGGCCAAAATGAAGAAACGTCCTCTCTACTAAAAATACCAAAATAAGCCAGGTGTGGTGGCAGGTGCCTGTAATCCCAGCTACTCAGGAGGCTGAGGCAGGATAATCATTTGAACCTGGGAGGCAGAAGTTGCAGTGAGTCAAGATCATGCCACTGCACTCCAGCCTGGGTGACAGAGCGAGACTCTGTCTCAAAAAGAAGAAAAGAAAAGAAAAAAAGCAGGCTGGGCGCGGTGGCTCATGCCTGTAATCCCAGCAATTTGGGAGGCTGAGGCGGGCAGATCACGAGGTCAGTAGTTCGATACCAGCCTGGCCAAAATGACGAAACCCCCTGTCTACTAAAAATACCAAAATAAGCCAGGTGTGGTGGCGGGTGCCTGTAATCCCAGCTACTCAGGAGGCTGAGGCAGGAGAATCGCTTCAACCCGGGAGGCAGAAGTTGCAGTGAGTCAAGATCATGCCACTGCACTCCAGCCTGGGTGACAGAGCGAGACTCTGCCTCAAAAAAAAAAAAAAAAAAAAAAAGCCATTTTAAAGTCTTGAGTTAGCCATGCACAGGCAAGCCGCATCCATTAAAAACATTCCTCCAGGATCCCCAAGTTGGGAGAGTTCAGGAGACAGTATCCGGTGCCGTCTGGGGGCTTATGATGGAAAAATATCCCTCATCTGTCTAATAGCATAGACGCTGGGGCTGAACACAGGACAGGTCGGCTTCGGAAAGGCTTGGGAGGAGGCGGCAGTTGCATAAATACAACCCGGCATTTGCAGCATTTGCAAGCTCAAGCCCCTGGCAGGTGCACATGTGGATGAAAAAAGCCAGCTGTGCATTTATCTTGAGACAATGTTTTAATTGTATCCAGTGTTCCCTGCCTGGTGAAATTAAGGCAAAGGGGTAACTGCCTTAGAAATCCTACTTGTTTTGTTCCATCTTTAAATCCTACTTGTTTTGTTCCGTCTTTAAAACCTATGCTCTTCCTTGTGGAGGTCAGCTTGCAAGATCTCTCCAGCGTCCCCTGCAATGACACCAGGAAGAGAAAATACCCCAGCAACTGTACCCACTGGGGCATAGACTGGAAATAGAGTCTGGGGTGTCGTTTTTCCAAATCCCCTGTCCCCCCCCCCTTCCCTGCAAGAGAAAAGCTTCTGAAGCAACCAGATACTGCTATTCTCTCTCCCTGGGTTCTAAACTTAGAAAAATGCTAAATGATTTTCATCTCGGGATTTGCATCTTCCACACATTTTTTTTATTGATGATGACTCTTCTAATTTATTTGGGAACGAAATCTACAAAGGTACATGTTAGACAATACTGAAGGGTACATGAAGAGGAGGTGACCGTCGCTATTTTAATTTCATTAGAAATGTTTCCAGGCTATTTTTAACTAATCAAGTCCACATTGTGGCAGAACAGAGCGTGGGGCTTTGTTTAAGGACGGAAACTAAAAATAAACTCCCCTAAACATCCTAAGGAATTCTAATATTTAGAGTGTGTGTTAAAGTTCATCACGGCTGAAATGCAATTATTTTGCCCTCATATTCAGTGAAAATACTCAAACCGCAGGCAGAAAAAGCATCTCAGAAACATAAAAGTTTGCATGGGCAAATTGCTTCTTTTTTGCTAGACCATCTAACAAACAGGTATAGCTGTGGGATCTTTTTTCTTCGGTGGCTCTTCAAAGCGAGATAAAAATGTTCTGGTAAACCGTGCCTGCATTTTATTTTGAATCAAAGTGCTTTTTTTTTTTTTTTTTTTTTTTTGGACAGGAACAAATGTTCCACAATGGTTTTATTGGCCCGTGGTGAGATTAAAAAAAAATCGGTAGGACTATAAGGAAAGGTTTAATTCAAATTGTTGATCTGTCATCTAGGTGCATTTGTAGCAGAGGAAAATCAGGCGAGAATTCATGAGCCTGCATAGCTCACTTATTATGCGGCCGGCAGGCTGGGCCGCGCTGCACACAACCGAGAGACATCCCAGAAGCAGGGGGAAGATATTTCGTATAGAACAGTTCATTTTCATATGGCTTCATTTTCGCTGTATGTATTTTTGAGGCACTGAGTGAGGGAGGGGGGGAAGGACCATGCACATGTCTGAATAAAATTGATTTTCAGCTGAGTTTATAGAGGAAGGAGGCAATTGCCTGACTGAGCACTGAAGCCTGATGACCACAGATTTTCCCTCAATTAAAAAGGCATGTTTGTAAACGGCGCTGTTTATTTATCGTTAGAACTCAAACTGGGGGGAAAAAAAGAGGGAAGGGTGGGGGATTCTGTGCAAAGACAGCGTTGCATTCAGAAGGATTTGTGTCAAAAACTGGATACAGAAGGAAAACCTGCCTCACCCATTTCAGGCACAAAAATAAGCAAAGTGGAAGAGGATTTAGTTGGCCCTTTGTCCATCAGGATTCTTCCAAAAGCTCGCGGACATCCTACGCACATAAACACAGCTCATTCCCTGGAAGTGCGTGGCAGGTAAAATACTGGAAAGTCTCTGGTTGTGGAACTCAAATGGCTGGGAATGGGAAGTAACAGCGTTGCATTCAGAAGGATTTGTGTCAAAAACTAGATACAGAAGAAAGACCTGCCTCACCCATTTCAGGCACAAAAATAAGCAAGGTGGAAGAGGATTTAGTTGGCCATTTGTCCATTAGGGTTCTTCTGAAAGCTCGCGGATATCCTATGCACATAAACACAGCCCATTCCCTGGAAGTGCATGGCAGGTAAAATACTGGAAAGTCTCTGGTTATGGAACTCAAATGGCTGGGAATGGGAAGTAACAGCTCCGCTCGCTAAAGAGAGAGAGGGTCGTCGTATGCAGCTGCTATAAACACACCTCTGCGTTACTGGAATCACTCCTCATTATAAGATCCATCCCAAAATATTAACACCGGAGCAGGGCACGAATGTAGCATCTACCAGAATGTCTATTCCTTGGAATTCCTCAGGCGTCTTCCCATGGCCACTCCGCGTGTCTTCGCCACCAAGCAGGTGCGTTGCAAAGCTTCTCTGATTAATAACAAGAGACCAGGACTCAAGGAAAGACTGGGGTTATTTCAGGGTTCTCGATGACAGGAAGGAATGCTCAGCCAGGAAGGAAACTCAGGTGGTGTGGCTGGGATTACAAAGACGACGGTCGCCTTTGAAGAAAACAGAGAGCTGAGGCTGTTTTCCAGGATGCAGAAGTCATGCTCTATTTAGACCGAGCTGCTTTTATTCCTACACAGAGACACCCCTACATGCATGAGGTTTCTTTCCACTGCACTTTCCCCATAAACAGACAATCTTTTTCTAAACACTAATGTCCCTGCTGTCACAGAGGTGTGGGAGTTTTCTGACCTTGGCATTGTTTGTCCTCCAAATAACAGAGGAATCTGCAGAGATCAAAGGGCACCAGGGGTAAGTCCAAGTTTTTCTGCTGGCAACTTTACGAAAGAGGACCTGAATCAAAAACTTGCTGACTGGCAACAACAGATGGTGGAGAGGATGTGGAGAAATAGGAAGGCTTTTACACTGTTGGTGGGAGTGTAAATTAGTTCAACCATTGTGGAAGACAGTGTGGCAATTCCTCAAGGATCTAGAACCAGAAATAACATTTGGTCCAGCAATCTCATTACCGGGTACATACCCAAAGGATTATAAGTCATTCTACTATAAAGACACATGCACACATATGTACATCATAACACTGTTTGCAATAGCAAAGACTTGGAACCAACCCAAATGCCCATCAGTGAAAGACTGGAGAAAGAAAATGTGGCACATAGACACCATGGAATACTATGCAGCCATAGAAAAGGACGAGTTCGTGTCCTTTGCAGGGACATGGATGAAGCTGGAAACCATCATTCTCAGTAAACTATCACAAGAACAGAAAACCAAACACCGCATGTTCTCACTCATAAGTGGGAGTTGAGCAATGAGAACACATGGACATAGGGAGGGAAATATTACACGCTGGGGCCTGTTGGGGGATTGGGGGGCAGGCAGAGGGAGAGCATTAGGACAAATACCTAATGCATGTGGGGCTTAAAACCTAGATGATGGGTTGATGGGTACAGCAAACAATCATGGCTAAAAATACAAATACAAATACAAAATACCTAGTAGCTGGGGCTACAGGTGCCCGCCACCACACCTGGCTAATTTTTGTATTTTTAGTAAAGATGGGGTTTCACCATGTTGGCCAGGCTGGTCTCAAACTGCTGACCTTGTGATCCACCTGCCTCAGCCTCCCAAAGTACTGGGATTACAGGCGTGAGCCACCCCACCTGGCCCTAAACTCTCTTTTGTCTACACTACCAAGCAGCCTTCAGTAGAAAAAGCCTCTCTTCCATCACCCACACCCAGAGGTAAAATGCCTCTAAGACACAATGGGAAGTGGATGGAAACAGGACATAATCAATCAATATCCATTAGACCCGCTCACCAATTGGGTCTGCCTGAGTATTATTTTTAAACTTCGAAGCTGACAGGTCTGGCTTATTTTGTCACTCGAATAATTAGTACCATTTAGTTTCAAAATCGAAGATTTAAAGGCTCATCTAAACCTGACTACATTTGGGTTACTTAATAGAGCCTTCGGTGAAACCATTATTAAATAATAAGCCATATGTTTGGAATTCTCACCTGAATCCTGTCAAAGCAATTATTTTATTTCATGACGAGAAAATCAACGGAGCCAGCGCCGGGAAGGAAAACGTGAATCCAGTCCGGTTGAATTCCATTAGGACCTGACAGAGCCCCAGATAACCATCTCATCAAGAAACCAGAAAAAGGTAGGAAGGGAAGGATCATTATACAGCAACCGTCTAAAAACTCAAGGACGGTGGAGTAATCATTAATGATTTCATGTCAGGTTGGTAAGTCGTGAGAAAGGTCTACAGACCTCTGATACCCATGCACTATTGTACTGTAGCTTTATTAACTCAAAGAGGGGACCACAGTTTGATACTCTTGACAGATGCTATGAAAGCAGCAGAGATCATAAACTCCTTGAAAAAGTACATTAAAATACAGCACGGCTTGGAAGGGAGGGCAATGAATTCAGGAGAGACCCGTGTGAGCTGGTCAGCAGCCCTGAGCTGTCAGGAGAGGGGTGACGGCGGCTCTATTGGGGAGGAAGACTCTGTGACCCAACAGGAAACTACACCAGCTGCCAGGCGTTTGGTCTCTCCAAGGGCGACTGTGTGGAGATACCCAGAAAGGGACAGAAGCAAGCCCACTAGTATATGTGCAAAGGAAGATCTCCAGAGTTAAAGGCTCCCAGAACAGAAAGGTGGAGGACCTTGTTTCTTTTCAAATGGAGTGCTATATTCTTAGAATAAAAGCGGACGCCTGGAATGTTCATGATTTTAACTGATTCCCTTTCTATGACACCAACATGGCACCTGAGAGCAGAATGTCCTGGTGTCAGGTCATCCTGGGTGAAGCCATATTTCAGAGAGATGTGAAGATGTGCACAATGCTTAATGTTTTGTCCTCAAGGTGCTCTCCCTCTTACTCCCCACTCAGGGCTGACTGCGTGGTGTGGACTACATGGCCCCTCACTCAGCGTTGACTGAGTCAACTCACTCAGCATTGACTGCATAACTGACGTGTCTGCACTCCGGCCATACCTCTTGGGAAAGCCCCAGGGAGAAGTTAGTTTCTCTTTACCCACTCTGCAGACGGGTGTCTCTGTAGAGTCTTGGTGGGATAAAGACAAGATGGATGGATGGATGGATGCATGGATGGATGGATGGATGCATGGACTCATGGATGGATGCATGGATGGATGCATGGATGGAATGGTAGATAGATGGATGGAATGGTAGATGGATGGACAGATGAACGGATGGATAGATGCATTGGTGGATGCAAGAATGGAATGGTAGATAGATGGATGGAATGCTAGGTGGATGGATGAATGGATGAATGGATGCATGGATGGATGCATGGATTCATGGACGAATGCATGGATGGAGGCATGGATGGAATGGTAGGTAGATGGATGGATGAATGGATGGATGGATGCATGGAAGAATGCATGGATGGATGCATGGATGGAATGGTAGATAGATGGATGGAATGGTAGATGGAGGGATGAATGAATGGATGGATGCATGGATGGATGCATGGATGGAATGGTAGATAGATGGATGGAATGGTAGATGGAGGGATGAATGAATGGATGGATGCATGGATGGATGCATGGATGGAATGGTAGATAGATTGATGGAATGTTAGATGGATGGATGAATGGATGGATGGATGCATGGATGGATGCATGGATTCATGTATGAATGCATGGATGGATACATGGACGGAATGGTAGGTAGATGGATGGATGAATGGATGGATGGATGCATGGATGGATCCATGGATGGATGGAATGGTAGATAGATGGATGGATGGATGTGTGGATTCATGGATGGATGGATGCATGGATGGAATGGTAGATAGATGGATGGATGGATGGATGGATGGATGGATGGATGCATGGATGCATGGATACATGGATGAATGCATGGATGAATGCATGGATGGAATGGTAGATGGATGCATGAATGGATGGATGGATGCATGGATGCATGGATGGATACATGGATGAATGCATGGATGGAATGGTAGATAGATGATGGATGGATGCATGGATGGATGGATGCATGGATGGATGCGTGGATGGATGCATGGATGGAATGGTAGATAGATGGATGCATGGATGGAATGGTAGATAGATGGATGCATGAATGGATGGACAGATGGACGGCTTCCATCGTCACGTGCTGCCTACAGCTGAATATAAAGGCAGGGCATCCTCATTGTGGCTCAAGGACACCTTAGCTGCATTGAAAGCAAGGAGACACCTGTTTGTTGGTTGCTTGTGCGGTTTCCTTAGGTTTATTTTAAATCAATCTTGTAAAATTGCAAATAGTACCTCCCTGATGGGGATACTGTAAGGGACGCCCACTGGAAGTTACCTGTTTTTGCGTGATTATGTTGCAGAAGTCCTCTTTAAGTGGCTCAAACTGGGTTATGGCTTCATGATTCTCCCTCTCCCACACGGCTTCTGGGGCTGCTCCTCTGTGTCCAATGACCTTGTTGGCGTCATTCAATTTGCCCACACACCTCCATGATAATCAGCTTCCCCAGGGGATAGTGAGCTCTTCTTGGGCAGAGGGGTATGTTTCGTTCATCTCTCAGTGAGTGAAGGAAGGATGGACGGATGGATGGATGGATTGATGGATGGATGAATGAATGGGTGGATGGATGGATGGATGGACAGATGGGTAGGTGGCTGGCTGGCTGGATGAATGGATGGATGAGGGGATGGATGTATGGATGGGAGGGTGAATTGGTGGGTGGATGGATTAATGATGGATGAATAAATGGGAGGGTGAATGAATGTGTGGGCATGTGGGTGGATGAATGAGTGGATGGATGAATGGATAGATGGATGGGTGGAAAGATGGATGAATGAGTGGATGGATGGATGGATAAACATGTAGGTGGATGGATGGATGAGAGGGTAGATGAATGGATGGATGAATGGATGCATGGATGGATGGATAGATGGAGGTGGCTGGATGGATGAATAGATGGGTGGATGGATGGATGCATAAATGAAATGGTAGATAAGTGGATGGATGAATGGATGGATAGATAGATGGGAGGGTGGATGGATGGATGGATGGAATGATAGATAGATGGATGGATGAATAGATGGGAAGGTGGATGAATGGATGGATGGGTGGATGGATGGATGGATGGATGGATGGATGGAATGCTAGATAGATGGATGGATGAATGAATGGGAGGGTGGATGAATGGATGGATGAATGGATGGATAGATGGATAGATGGATTGATGAATGGATGGATGGATGGATAGATGTGTAGGTGGCTGTCTGGCTGAATGAATGGATGGATGAGGGGATTGAAGGATGGATGGGAGGGTGAATGGGTGGGTGAGTGGATGGATGAATAAATGGATGAATAAACGGGGGAGTGAATGAATATATGGGTGTGTGTGTGGATGAATGGGTGGATGGATGAATGGATAGATGGATGGGTGGAAATATGGATGAATGAGTGGATGGGTGGATAGATAAATGTGTAAGTAGATGAATGGATGGGTGGGTGGATGGATGGATGGACAGATAGATGGGAGAGTGGAGGAATGGATGGATGGGTGGGTGGATGAATGGATGGATGGAATGGTAGATAAATGGATGGACAGATAGATGGGAGGGTGGATGGATGAATGGATGGATGGATGAGTGGAATGGTACATAGATGGATGGATTAATGGATGGACAGATGGATGGAAGGGTGGATGAATGGATGGATGGACAGATGGGTGGATGGATAGATAGATAAGTGGATGGATGGGTGGATGAGTCTATGGATGGGTAGGTGGATGGGTGAATAGGTGGCTGGACACATAAATAAATGGATGAGTGGATGTGTGGGTAAAGAGATGAGTGGATGGATGGATCAATGAATTGATTGATCAGTGCATTAATGGATGAACGGATGGCAATATGTTTGCTGCATTAAACAGAACCCTTCATCACGGTCTTAGAGCAGAAGGCACATGGATGGGTTCTTGAGCATCTTGAGAAGGGCAGGGAGGAGAATGACCCCAGGGCAGGAGGCTGTAGAAGCACATAACACAGATGTGAAGGGTAGTCTCTCTCCCCAACCCCCGAAGGTCACCAGAGCATACTGGGCCAGCCCTCTTCAGAAACCAGGTGGCTCCCCTGAGAAAGCTGCAGTTGTGACCAGAAACCTTTTGCTTGAGGATGCCAAAGGAGAGATCAGACTCTGGACACAACCCTCTGCCCCCGTGTGGAGCCCACCTCTTACCATTGGCACATTTGCAAACATGAAGCCCATTGAAGAGGTTGCTGTTTATATGGTTACCCCAAACACCGTGTAATTAAGGTTAATTTGTACGATCTCTCTGGGTTCATAAACCCGGTCATAGAAACACAGCTCTGAACCGCAAATGAAAGGCCAAATTCATCCTAATTGGATTGTATTCAATTTGACTTTTCAAAGCCCCGAGACTTTGTTCATTGAAGTTTGAATGTGAGAGAAACAGAAGAAAATGAGGAATTGATTTTAGCAGCTCCCCCTCTATTTCGGGAGGGTTTACAATTTCCTCTTAATTTGTGATGGACAGATATAATTATAATAATTTAAAATGCTTTCCTGGTTCCGTTTTCCTTTTTCTTCATATGCCACGATAACTTTACATCACAGAAATTATTAACTCCCAGCATATGGATCAATCAACTCTTTGGAGATATTTCAAACATTTCCTAGAGCACTTTTTTTTTTTCCAGAAGAAATTTTATCCCAAAGACAATACTGTCCCTTTAAGTGCTGCTTCTAGGAATGACTTTTATGGTCGGGTTTACCAGCTGTTACTAGAAACGGGCAGACGTTTCTGTGAGCTTTTCTGGGGAAAACGAGAGACAATCTTATTCATAACTGAGAATTCAATTTTGCCAAATGTTCAAGGGTGTGGGTTGCTGTTGGTTTTCAAGTTCTTAAGTTTCTGAAAACTTGCAGAATGATTATATTTTCCAAAGTAGTTTTGGAGTTTTAATATATCTAATAACATGAGATCAATAGTATCAATGCCACATGGTGTATTACAGAAAGCAGAAATACCTACATAGGGAGACTAAGTGAATTTACCCACGTGTCGGCCCCGTGAGCTTGTCTATAATTGGCCAGAAGGCTTTCAGGGAGAGAAAATTAATGCGCTGAATTTTAATGCCTGCAACTTTCTCCAACGTGGTATAATACAAAAGATATTAACTATTATAAAGCAAGTATTTTGGGAGGTGTTTAGACATGCAAACTTTTCTTGCAAACATTTTTTTTAATAAAGGAATATTCTGTTTTATCTGAGCTCTGTCTTATTTTAGCTTTATTATAGGCAGATGGTTCTTATTTAAAATATTACATATAACTATGTGGTTTGCTTTTTCAATAATATCCGTGCCTGAGAGTTGAGTGAGATTTCTGTTTCTTTTTCCTGAAGAGGGATCTACGTTTTAATTTTACTAAGATTTTTATAACCTTAAGTTACCATGTGTAATTTCTAGGACAATTAAAATTCTTGGCAGGGATGTAGATGTTTAACAAAAATGTTTACAATGAATATAGGGAAACCAGGTCAGTATACAGACTTCACCTCCATTTGCATTTTGGAGACAAGTGCAATGTACCTTAAATGGATTTTTTTTGGTTTGTTTTTTAAGAGACAGGGTCTTGCTCTGTTGCCCAGGCTAGAATGCAGTGGTGCCATCACAGCTCAATGCAGCCTCAAACTCCTGGACTCAAGCAGCCCTCATACCTCAGCCTCCTGCGTAGCTGGGATCACAGGCACACGACACCATGCCCAGCTAATTTTATATTTTTAGAGATGGGGTCTTGCCCTGTTGTCCAGGCTGGTCTCAAACTCCTGGACTCAAATGATCCTCCCACCTTGGCCTCCCAAAGTGCTGGGATTGTGGATGTGAGCTGCTGCACTCGGCTGTAGGCTTGTTTTAAAAACCTAAAACTGGCTGGGTGCAGTGGCTCACGCCTGTAATCCCAGCACTTTGGGAGGCTGAGGCGGGTGGATCACCTGAGGTCAGGAGTTTCAGACCAGCCTGGCCAACATGGTGAAACCCTATCTCTACTAAAAATACACAAGTGAGCTGGCCATACCTGCTTGTAATCCCAGCTACTTGGGAGGCTGAGACAGGAGTAACGTTTGAACCCAGGATGCAGAGGTTGCAGTGAGCTGAGATCGCACCACTGCACTCCAGCCTGGATGACACAGGGGGACTCCATCTCAAGAAAAAAAAAAGAGAGAGAGAGACAGAGAAAGAAAAGAAGGAAAGAAAGAAAGAAAGAAAGAAAGAAAGAAAGAAAGAAAGAAAGAAAGAAAGAAAGAAAAGAAAGAAAGGAAGAAAGAAAGGAAGAAAGAAAGAAAGCGGGGAGAAAGAGAGAAAAAAGAGAGAAAGAAGAAAGAGATAAAGAAGGAAAAGAGAGAGAAAGAAGAAAGAAAAGGAAAGAAGAAAGAGAAAGGGAAAGAAAGAAAGAAAGAAAGAAAGAAAGAAAGAAAGAAAGAAAAAAGTTTTCTTGTCTCTTCAAGTGTCTATTTTACTTCTATTTTACTAGGCAATGTGTTCTGAGATATTAATATAGCTTATGTGCTGCTGAAGCAAGCACATGTTCTGAGATATTAATTCCACTATTTTGGAAAGGATCCTTTCTAGGGTATAGTGCCAGACACATTGGACTTAATAATAAGTAAAAATAAGGATTAAAATAAAGATCACTTGAGCCCAGGAGTTTGGGACCAGCCTGGACAACATAGCAAGACCCCTTCTCTACAAAAAAAATCTAAAAACTAGCTGGGCTTGGTGGTGCATGGTTCTAGTCTCAGCTCCTTGGGAGGCTGAGGGAGGAGGATTGCTTGAGCCCAGGAGGTGGAGGCTGCAGTGAGCCCTGATCATACCACTGCACTCCAGCCTGGAAAACAGAGCAAGATCCCATCTCTACAAAAATAAAAAATTTAACCAGGCAGGCATTGTTGTGCATGCCTGTAGTCTCAGCTCCTTGGGAGGCTGAGGCGGGAGGATCACTTGAGCCCAGGAGGTGGAGGCTGCAGGGAGCTATGATCATACCATTGCACCTCAGCATTGGACAATCAATGCAATGTACCTGAATCCTTCCAAAACCATCCCAGCACCAATCCATGGAAAAATTATCTTCCACAAAACTGGTTCCCGATGCCAAAAAGGCTGAAGACAGCTGGTCTCTGGGTTTGAACAAAGATATAATGCCACACATCCACCACTGTAAGATTCCACAGAATACTTTCACTGCCCTGAAAAGCCTCCACTCCCCTCCTATCCATCACTGCATCCTCACTCTTTGCAACCACACATCTTTTCACCATCTCCACAGTTTGACCTCTTCTACCATATTCTATTATTGGAATCCTGTAGCAAGTGCCTATTTGTTTATTTAGAGACGGAGTCTTGCTCTGTCATCCAGGCTGGTGCACTATCTTGCCTCACTGCAACCTCTGCCTTCCGGTTTCAAGCCATTCTCCTGCCTCAGCCTCCCGAGTAGCTGGGATTACAGGTGCCTGCCACCACGCCCAGTTAATTTATCTATTTTTAGTAGAGACGGGGTTTCACCATGTTGGTCAGGCTGGTCTCAAACTCCTGACCTCATGATCCACTTGCCTTGGCCCTCCAAAGTGCTGGGATTACAGGCGTGAGCCATCGCTTTTAGACTAGCTTCTTTCTCATCCGTGTGGCTTTTGTGACACGCACAAAGCAATCCTGAATGTTGCTTGTTGATATATCAGCCTTGAACGTGTTAAGAACGGAGGTGCAGGAAAAACACTCCAATACAGAGAAGTTGCTCTGGGGAAGGAGGGTCTGTAGTGACCAGGAGGTTTCCAGGGAGAACCTCAGCTGTGTTTCTGTCTCTTAAAAGAGAATGAACCTGACTGGGCGAGGTGGCTCACGCCTGTAATCCCAGCACTTTGGGAGGCCGAGGCGGGTGGATCACATCAGGTCAGGAGTTCAAGACCAGCCTGGCCAACACAGTAAATCCCCGTCTCTACTAAAAATACAAAAATTAGCCGGGCATGTTGGCGGACGCCGTAATCCCAGCTTCTCGGAAGGTTGAGGCAGGAGAATTGCTTGAACTCGGGAGGCGGAGGTTGCAGTGAGCTACAATCACACCACTGCACTCCAGCCTGGGTGACAGAGTGAGACTCTGTCTCAAAAAGGAAAAAAAAAAAAGACTGAGTCTTAAATCTTCCATTCCTGTTGGGTGCTGAGTCTACTGTCTCTGCCCCATTGCTCTCTGTACCTGTCAGTCTATTTAAAACCTTACAAAACTAAGAAAAGTCTCAGGCTGGGCACCGTGGCTCACACCTGTAATCCCAGCACTTTGGGAGGCTGAGGTGGGTGTATCACGAGGTCAGGAGTTCAATACCAGCCTGGCAAAGATGGTGAAATCCCATCTGTACTAAAAATACAAAAATTAGCTGAGTGTGGTGGTGGGCGCCTGTAATCCCAGCTACTCAGGAGGCTGAGGCAGGAGAATCGCTTGAACCCAGGAGGTGGAGGTTGCAGTGAGCTGAGATCATGCCACTGCACTCCAGCCTGGATGACAGAGCGAGACTCCATCTCAAACTCAAAGGGTCTCATCGCAGGTCAGGGTGGAGGCAAAGATGCTAGGCTCAGAGCCAAGACACTTGAGTGTCTGACTTTGAAGGACTTGCTTTGTTTTCCTGAGTCATGTTCCTCTTTGTTTTGAGAGAGCTTCCACCTCTAATGCTCCTTCCAACAAAACAATCCCAAGACATTCCAGACCACCATTGCTTGAGCGTGTTCATCTTGAAGGAGAAAAGGGTAGATGGATGAGGTCAGTTCTTCCTCTTGGAAGCCTCACCCATCTGCCATTTTCTTGGAAGAATCAGGAAGGGACCAAGGTCTCCACATTCACTCTTCTTGCTATGAGATTTCAGCTAAATTCCCACAGGACCATTATCTCTAGGCTGGACACCAAGATAGACACTCCAGTGTAGAGAGGTCACTCTGGGGAAGGAGGGTCTGTGGTTGAAGGCCATGGATTCCTTTGTTTTAGATGTAGAGAGGGAAAGGTTATTAAGGAAGATGCTTTGCTGAGTCCAAGAGAATTGGCCAATCAATATGGTGGCATCTTCTGGCTTGAAGATTGGAAAACATTGACTATGCTCAGTCCTTGGGACCCTTGAGGGACCCGTGGTATCTGGTCTGGTTTGAAGATTGTGAAACATGGACTTTGCTCACCCCTTGGGATCCTTGAGGGACTCGTGGTATTTGGCCTGGTTTGAAGAGCAGAAAACATGGACTTTGCTCACCCCTTGGGACCCCTGAGGGACCCGTGGTATTGGCCTGGTTTGAAGATTGGAAAACATTGACTTTGCTCACCCCTTGGGACCCTTGAGGGATCCATGGCATCTGGTCTGGTTTGAAGATTGGAAAACATTGACTTTGCTCACCCCTTGGGACCCTTGAGGGATCCATGGCATCTGGTCTGGTTTGAAGATTGGAAAACATTGACTTTGCTCACCCCTTGGGACCCTTGAGGGATCCATGGCATCTGGTCTGGTTTGAAGATTGGAAAACATTGACTTTGCTCACCCCTTGGGACCGTTGAGGGACCCGTGATATCCGGCCTGGTTTGAAGATTGGAAAACATTGACTTTGCTCACCCTTTGAGATCCTTGAGGGACTTGTGGTATCCGGTCTGGTATGAAGATTGTGAAATGTTGACTTTGCTCACCCTTTGGGACCCTTGAGGGACTCGTGGAATCCGGCCTGGTTTGAAGAGCAGAAAACATTGACTTTGCTCACCCCTTGGGGCCTTTGAGGAATCCATGGTATCTGCTCTGGTTTGAAGATTGGAAAACACTGACTTTGCTCACCCCTTGGGGCCTTTGAGGAATCCATGGTATCTGCTCTGGTTTGAAGATTGGAAAACATTGACTTTGCTCACCCCTTGGGGCCTTTGAGGAATCCATGGTATCTGCTCTGGTTTGAAGATTGGAAAACACTGACTTTGCTCACCCCTTGGGACCCTTGAGGGACACCTGTTATCCAGAGGTCTAGAGAGGACAGAGAAGGTCCAGTCCACTTTTTTCCTTTTTCCTTCTTGGGCACAGTGGACGCTTGGTTCCCTGAGAGACCCAGAGAGGCCAGGGAGCCATCGTACACTATAATACAAAACAGAAACACAAAGAAAACCAATGGCGCCGTTCCAAACAACATGAGCAGAGGGCTTGGTGCTGAGACCTACTCTCTTTGTCTCGAGACCCCGTTGTGGGTGGAGACGCCTTGCAAACATGAGCTTTGCAACAGTATTTCATAAATTTCTTATTTGCAAATACATCCATCTTTGCTTGCAACCTTGTTGAGGGAAATATCCTACACTGCTCTTTCCAATTTTTTCTCTAATATCTTATGTTGGCGAGACTGCCTCATAAGTGTCTCTCTCTGCGTCTAATATAAAAATTGGGGAGCAATTTGCACCGCATTTCAAGAGGACCAGCCTCCAAATTTCTACTTTAAATGTATTTTTGGTAGCAAGTCAGATAACAGGCTGGAAACCGTTCTTTAGTGTAGGCTGTAGTTTGGCTTAAAATACTTTCCAGGTACAGCTTGGAACGCCTTTGCCCCTTGAATTATTAATAAGTCTCCTTTCAAAATGTCCCCTGAAAATATTTCTTTCTCTCTGTCTCTCGACATCCAAATGCCCAAGAGTCCTCCCTCACATCCTACTCCTAAATAAAATGATTCCTTTGAACGTATTCTCATCGCACCCCTATTTAAATCATATCTGCCAGTGCAATAAAAACGTGGCTTTCAATCGCGTCACTGCTGGCTTTTCCCAATTTTGCCCCTGTTTTGTGGACGTGGGTCTCTGTTCCGGGTGGCGACCTTGCCTCATCCTACCCCTTCCCATTGGCAGATACCGCATAAAGCTGGTTGTATCTGCCTTGAAGTCCTTGGCTGCCAGATCTCACACCCGGTCTGTGGTCTGTGATGCCCACAGCCTCTTCCTACCCTGCTGTGGACAGGGCACCTTCACTTGAGTGAGGCACTCACACTACCTCACCCGTTTCTACCTGTATTAATCAGGGTTCTCTAGAGGAACAGAACTAATAAAATCTATCTATCTATCTATCTATCTATCTATCTATCTATCTATCTATCTATCATCTATCTGTCTATCTATGTATCTATGTATCTATCTGTGTATCTATGTATGTATGTATCTATCTATCATCTATCTATCTATCTTCTGTGTATCTATGTATCTATCTGTGTATCTATGTATGTATGTATGTATCTATCTATCTATCTATGTATCTATGTATCTATCTATCTATCATCTATCTGTGCATCTATGTATCTATCTGTGTATGTATCTATCTATCTATTATCTATCTATCATCTAACTGTGTATCTATCTGTGTATGTATCTATCTGTGTACATATGTATGTATGCATCTATCTATCTATGTATCTATGTATCTATCATCTAACTGTGTATCTATGTATCTATCTGTGTATCTATGTATGTATGTATGTATGTATCTATCTATCTATCTATCTATCTATCTATCTATCTATGTATCTATCTATCTATCATCTATCTGTGCATCTATCTATCTATCTGTGTATGTATGTATGTATCTATCTATTATCTATCTATCTATCTATCATCTAACTGTGTATCTATGTATGTATGTATGTATCTATCTATCTATCTATCTATGTATGTATCTATCTATCTATCATCTATCTGTGCATCTATCTATCTATCTGTGTATGTATGTATGTATCTATCTATTATCTATCTATCTATCTATCTATCTATCATCTAACTGTGTATCTATGTATCTATGTGTCTGTGTATGTATGTATGTATCTATCTATCTATGTATCTATCTATCATCTATCTGTGCATCTATCTGTGTATGTATATATCTATTATCTATCTATCATCTATCTATCTATCTATCATCTAACTGTGTATCTATCTATCTATGTATCTATCTGTGTATGTATGTATGTATGCATCTATCTATCTATCTATGTATCTATGTATCTATCTATCTATGTATCTGTCTATGTATGTATGTATGTATCTATCTATCTATGTATCTTTCTATGTATCTATGTATGTATGTATCTATCTATGTACCTATCTATTTATCTATGTATGTATGTATCTATCTATGTATGTACCTATGTATCTATGTATATATGTATCTATGTATATATGTATATATGTATGTATGTATCTATCTATGTATCTATGTATGTATGTATCTATGTATCTATGTGTTTATGTATGTATGTATGTATGTATCTATCTATCTATGTATCAATCCGTCTACCTATGTATCTTTCTATCTATCTATGTATCTGTATATCTATCTATGTATCTATCTGTCTATCTATCTATCTATCATCTATCTATGTACGTACGTATGTATGTATGTATGTATGTATGTATGTATGTATGTATCTTTCTATCTGTGTATCTATGTATCAATCTATGTATCTATCTATGTATCTATGTATCTATCTATCTATCTATCTATCTATCTATATATCTATCTGTGTATCTGTCTATGTATCTATCTATCTGTCTATCTATCTATCTATCTATCTGTCTGTCTGTCTGTCTATCTATCATCTATCTATCTATGTATCTATCTATAAATGGGAGTTTATTAAGTATGAACTCACACAATCACCAGGTCCTACAACAGGCTGTCTGCAGGCTGAGGAGCAAGAAGAGCCATTCCCAGTCCCAAAACTGAAGAACTTGCAGTCAGATGTTCGAGGGCAGGAAGCATCCAGCATGGGAGAAAGATGGAGGCTGGGAGGCTAGGCCACTCTCTCTTTGCACATTTTTGTGCCTGATTATATTCTAGCTGTGCCAACAGCTGATTAGATGATGCCTGCCCAGATTGAAGGTGATTCTGCCTCTCCCAGCCCACTGACTCCAATGTTGATATCCTTTGGCAACACCCTCACAGACACACCCAGGATCAATACTTTGCATCCTTCAATCCAATCAACTTCACATTCAGTATTAATCATCACGGTACCCAAACCTGGTATTCTCCAGCTGTCTTGCTTGGCAAATGGTGCTGCATTTTTTTTTTTTTTTCTGGGACCGAGTTTCTTTCTGTCGCCCAGTCTGGAGTGTAATGGTGTGATCTCGGCTCTCTGCAACCTCCGCCTCCCGGGTTCAAGCGATTCTCCTGCCTCAGCCTCCGGAATAGCTGGGATGACAGGCACCTGCCACCACACCTGGCTAATTTTTGTATTTTTAGTAGAGATGGAGTTTCTCCATGTGGGCCAGGCTGGTCTTGAACTCCTGACCTCAAGTGATCCACCTGCCTTGGCCTCCCAAAGGGCTGGGATTACAGGTGTGAGCCACCGCCTCCAGCCTGGTGCTGCTTTTGACACGAGCAACTAAGACAAAAATATCAAGGCCCTCCTAGAATCCCTGTTTGGCCTTTATTGGGTAATAATGCTGGTATATCGAGTCTGACTCTCAAACTCGCATCACGGTTTTGGGTCATCCTTTCCCGTGTGTCTTGCTGCAAATGCCTTCTACCCTCTCTTCTGTCTACAGTTCAGCTGCTTCACTGTCTATCCTGGTGGGCTTGTGTGTGGACCAGCAAATGAAGAGCCGCTGACTCTGTTTCTTTATCTCTCCTTCTCTTTATTTCCTTCTCTCACTCTTTCTCAGTACCTCTCTCTTTCCCCTCTCCTCTCTTTCTCTCTCTCTCTTTTTCTGTACACCCTCCTCTCTCTCCTCTCATCTCTTCTTCTCTCTCTCTCTCTCGCTTTCTCAGTACCTCTCTCCTTCTATCCCCTCTCCTCTCTCCTCTCTCTCTGTCTCTCTCACTCTTTCTCTGTATGTTCTCCTCTCTCTCTTTCTCAGTACCTCTCTCTTTCCTCTCTCCTCTCTCTCTTTCTTTCTCTCTCTCTTTCTCTATACACCCCCCTCTCTTTCCTCTCCTCTCTTCTTCTTTCTCTCTCTGTCTCTCTCCCTCTCTCTCTTTCTTGGTACCTCTCTCCCTCTATCTCCTCTCCTGTCATCTCTCTCTGTCTCTCTCTTTCTCTGTATTTTTTCCTCTCTCTCTTTCTCAGTACCTCTCTTTCCCCTCTACTCTCTCTCTGTACACCCCCTCTCCTCTCCTCTCTTCTTTCTGTCTTTCTGTCTCTCTGTCTCTCTCTCTTTCCTGGTACGTCTCTCCCTCTATCTCCTCTCCTCTCATTTCTCTCTTTCTCTCTCTCTCTTTTTTCTCTCTTTCTCAGTACTGCTCTCTTTCCCCTCTCCTCTCTTTCTTTCTTTCCCTCTCTCTCTTTCTCAGTACACCCCCTCTCTCTCCTCTCTTCTTCTTTCTCTCTGCCTCTCTCTCTCTCTTTCTTGGTACCTCTCTCCCTCTATCTCCTCTCCTCTCGTTTCTCTCTGTCTTTCTCTCTCTCTCTTTATTGTCTCCTCTCTCTCTTTCTCAGCACCTCTCTCTTTCCCCTCTCCTCTCTCTTTCTTTCTCTCTCTCTTTCTCCATACACCTCCCCTTTCCTCTCCTCTCTTCTTCCTTCTCTCTGTCTCTTTCTCTCTTTCTTGGTACCTCTCTCCCTCTATCTCTTCTCCTCTCGTTTCTCTCTGTCTTTCTCTCTCTCTCTCTTTATTTTCTCCTCTCTCTCTTTCTCAGCACCTCTCTCTTTCCTCTCTCCTCTCTCTCTTTCTCAGCACCTCTCTCTTTCCTCTCTCCTCTCTCTCTTTCTCAGCACCTCTCTCTTTCCTCTCTCCTCTCTCTCTTTCTGTCTCTCTCTCTGTTTCTCTGTACACCCCCCCCCCTCTTCTTCTTTCTCTCTGTCTGTCTCTTTCTCTTCCTTTTCTCCTACTTCCCTCTCTTTCTCGGTACCTTTCTCTTTCTCTCTCTCTTTGTCTCTCTCTCCTCTCATGTCGTCTCCTCTTTCTGTTTCTTTCTCTCTCTGTCTCTCTTTCCCCCTCATCTCTCTCTTTGTTTCTCTTTCTCTGTACACCCTCTCTCTCTCTTCTCCTCTCTTCTTCTTTCTTTCTGTCTCTCTCTCTCTCTCTCTCTGCAGGAGCATACACACCTGGGAAAGGCCCTGAGAGGATAGAGCGAGAAGGCGGCTGTCTCCACCCTCGAAGGAGGAAGGAAGCCCTTGATAAAAGCCACCCATGCCAGCGGGTGGCCAGAGCCGCTGACTCTGTGAGTGAATGAATATGACTTAGGCCGCCTGAGACTCTCTAAACCTGCAAAGGCCCTAAGCCTCACACACCAGTGAACACCCTGTGCTCTCTGCAGTGAGAGCTTTGACAGAGCCCTCCAAGCTCCACAGGGTCCCATGGAGAAGCTACAGACCCTTCTTGACGCCCAGATCCTTCGTCTCAAAAGGAGGGGCTCTGTTTTGATCTCAAATCGCTCCATGGCTTAAAGGATGTTTCCTAAATACTGAGACGGAATAAAGAAACAAGTTTGGGGCCGGGAGCGGAGGCTCATGCCTGTCATCCCAGCACTTTGGGAGGCCGAGGCGGGGGGATCACCTGAGGCCAGGAGTTCGAGACCAGCCTGGCCAACACGGTGAAAACCCCATCTCTACTAACAATACAAAAATTAGCCGGGTGTGGTGGTGGCACCTGTCATCCCAGCTACTTGGGAGGCTGAGGCGGGAGAGTCGCTTGAACCTGGGAGGCGGAGGTGGCAGTGAGCCGAGATCACACCAGCCTGGGCGACAGAGAGAGACTCCATCTCAAAAATAAAAATAAATAAATAAAAATAAAAAGAAATCAGTTTGGTTAAGCCGCCGTTGAGGCCTCCTAGAGGAGTGGGTGATTGTACTCAGATGGTTCATATTTATTAAAAACTCTTGCAACAGAGCACACGTAATCAGTTTATCATGTTTGGGGGCAGTTGGACTGGACCGTCATAAAAAATAGTCCAATCGGTACGAAAAAGGCCTAATTAAGTAGAAACACTGGCCGAGACATGTTCCCCATTAAGCCTGGCCCTGAACGCCGAGCTCTTTGGACCCAGCTTGTCACGTCGGGCACCACTGCAAAGTCTGTCAGCAGCTTCCTCTAAAAGGAGTGAAGACGCTTTTACAGAAATGAGCTTTTCCTGACAGCTTCGGGACCTTCCAGGGCCGTGGGGATGGGTCGACAACATGAGGCGCTTGCCAGTTTTGTCCTGAGCTAGGAGGGAATGTTGGGTGGATCCTTATGTACCTGAGCCTACACAGCGCAGTTCGTCAGCTCGGGCTGGTTATTGCAAAACAGCTCAGAATGTGCAGCCTGCAAAAGAGACCTTTATTTTCTCACAGCTCTAGAAGCTGCAAGTCCAGAATTGGGGAGTCGCTGGCATGGGTGGGTTTTGGAGAGGGTTCCCTTGCCCCTTCCAGGGTGCAGACAGCTGCCTTCCCTCTCTGTCCTCACAGGGCATTTCCCTGATGTATGCTTCTGCAGACAGAGAGAGGGAGGGAGAGAGAGAGAGGGAGGGAGAGAGAGAGAGAGAGAGGAAGAGAGAGACAGAGAGAGATAGAGAGAGGAAGGGGGGTACAGAGAAAGAGAAAGACAGAAAGAAAGAAAGAGAGAGGAGGGGGAAAGAGAGAGGTACTGAGAAAGAGATAGAGGAGAAAATACAGAGAAAGAGAGAGAGAGAGAAGAAGAGAGGAGAGGAGAGAGAGAAGGGGGTACAGAGAAAGAGAAAGACAGAGAGAAAGAAGAAGAGAGGGGAGGAGAAAGAGAGAGGTACTGAGAGATAGAGGAGAAAATACAGAGAAAGAGAGAGAGCGAGTGAGACAGAGAGAAAGAACTGCACACAGAGAAAGAGAGAGAGAGAAAGAAGAGAGGAGAGGAGAGAGAAAGGTGGGTACAGAGAAAGAGAAAGACAGAAAGAAGGAGAGAGGAGAGGGGAAAGAGAGAGGTACTGAGAGATAGAGGAGAAAATACAGAGAAAGAGAGAGAGTGAGTGAGACAGAGAGAAAGAACTCCTGCACACAGAGAAAGAGAGAGAGAGAAAGAAGAAGAGAGGAGAGGAGAGAGAAAGGTGGGTACAGAGAAAGAGAAAGACAGAGAGAAAGAAAGAGAGAGGAGAGGGGAAAGAGAGAGGTACTGAGAAAGCGATAGAGGAGAAAATACAGAGAAAGAGAGAGAGGGAGAGAGAGAGAAGAGAGGAGAGGAGATAGAGGGAGAGAGGTACCGAGAAAGAGAGAGAGAGAGAAACAAAGAGGAGAAGAGACGAGAGGAGACACAGAGAGAGACAGGTACCGAGAAAGAGAGGGAGAGAGGAGAAAATAAAGAGAAAGAGAGACGGACAGACAGACAGAGAGAGAAGAGAAAAGAGGAGGAGGGGGGTACCGAGAAGGAGGAGGAGAGAAATAAACAGAGAGAGGAGAAGAGAGGAGACGAGAGAGAAGTACCGAGAAAGAGAGACAGAGGAGAAAATAAAGAGACAGAGAGAGAGAGAGTAGAGAGGAGAGAGAGAGATCAAGAAAGAGAGACAGAGAGAGAGGAGAAAATACAGAGTAAGAGAGAGAGACAGAGAGAGAAAAGAGGAGACAAGAGGGGAAGGGGTACCAAAAAGCAGAGGGAGAGAAAGAGACAGAGGAGAAGAGAGGAGAGAGAGGAAGGTACTGAGAAAGAGACAGAGGAGAAAACAGAGAAAGGAGAAGAGAGGTGAGGAGAGAGAGAGAGAAAGAGAGATACCAAGAATGACAGAGAGAGGAGAAAATAAGGAGAAAGAGAGAGAGGGAGGAGAAAAGAAGAGGAGAGAGAGAGCATGGTATCGAGAGAGAGGAGAAAATAAGCAGAAATAGAGAGACAGACAGAGAGACAGAGGGAGAGGAGAAGAGTGGAGAGGAGAGACAGAGAGGGGGAGAGAGAGGTACCAAGAAAGAGAGAAAGAGAAAAAGAGAGAGGAGATGAGAAGAGAGATGGAGAGATATCGAAAGAGAAAAGAGAGAGAGAGAGAAAGAGGAGAAGAGAGGAGAGGAGAGACAGAGACAGAGAGGTGCTGAGAAAGAGAAAAAGAGAGAGAGAGGAGATGAGAAGAGAGATGGAGAGATATCGAAAGAGAAAAGAGAGAGAGAGAGAAAGAGGAGAAGAGAGGAGAGGAGAGACAGAGACAGAGAGGTGCTGAGAAAGAGAAAAAGAGAGAGAGAGAGGAGATGAGAAGAGAGATGGAGAGATATCGAAAGAGAAAAGAGAGAGAGAGAGAAAGAGGAGAAGAGAGGAGAGGAGAGACAGAGACAGAGAGGTGCTGAGAAAGAGAAAAAGAGAGAGAGAGAGGAGATGAGAAGAGAGATGGAGAGATATCGAAAGAGAAAAGAGAGAGAGAGAGAAAGAGGAGAAGAGAGGAGAGGAGAGACAGAGACAGAGAGGTGCTGAGAAAGAGAAAAAGAGAGAGAGAGGAGATGAGAAGAGAGATGGAGAGGTATCAAGAGAGGAGAGACAGAGAGAGATTTCTTCCTCTTTCTTAGGAGGTCACCAACCTTTTTGCATTGGGACACCACCCTCATTATCTTGTTTAGCTTTGAGGTACCTCCTCAAAGCCCTGTTTCTGTTCCAGAACTTTCTTGGGTCCTCCCACCGGACACAGCAAAGCCCAACATCCACATTGGGATTTGCCGTGAGAGAAAGGAGGGTGTTTTCTTTGGCAAGAGGATCGGGCACCCCATGCTTTACTCCTGACCTCCCCAGGGGCCCCCACGTATGGGATTTTCAAGGCAGAGGAGGCATAAGTAACATTGGTTTGCTATAAAAAGCTGGGACATCTCAAAGCTTACAGGTCATAGGTGAAGTCCAAACTTCCCTGATTTGCAACTGGCTAAGGAGGCGAAGGGTTCTGTAAAAATTTGGGGTCAGCAGAAAAAAATGTCAGCCGTAGCTTGTCGGTGTGACTTTCTGCAGGTCCCTCAGGAAGTTCTCCTGCCTCAGCCTCCCGAGTAGCTAGGACTGCAGGAGTCCGCCTCCACGCCCGGCTAATTTTTGTATTTTTAGTAGAGACGGGGTTTCTCCACGTTGGTCAGGCTGGTCTTGAACTCCCGACCTCAGGGGATCCACCTGCCTCGGCCTCCCAAAGTGCTGGGATGACAGGCGTGAGCCACCGTGCCGGGCTGACTATTGTTTTAAGCTACTGTAGCGAGGTGCCTGGAATTTTCCTGGAAAGAACTCATGATTTTCCTTGATTTCCATCCTGGGGTTGGGAGAGGGTGCAGGTTCCTCAGGGAAGGTCCCTTCTCCCACCTCATATGGGGTCTCACTCTGCTGTCCAGTCTGGAGTGCAGTGGCACGATCACGGCTCACAGCAGACTCCACCTCCTGGGCTCAAGTGTGTGTGTGTGTGTGTGTGTGTGTGTGTGTGTGTGTGTGCGTGCGTGTGTGTGTGCAGAGATGGGGGTCTTCCCATGTTGCCCAGGCTGGTCTCGAACTCCTGGCTTCAAGCAATCCTCTCCAGCCTCGAATTCCCAAAGTGTTGCAATCACAGGCACGAGGCACCGCACCTGGCCAGCATCATCTTTTACTTCTGCACTGCGAATGTCCTTTCGCTCTTGTTTGGACACTGACGGTGTCACGGTTGGTGGTGATGTCACCCCGTGACGGGCAGATTGGGGCTCACGTTCACAAAGAGGGTTCTCAGCTATAGTTGCTCCTGATTTGTCTGCAGCCTTAGCTACGGGGCTGACTTCAGTGAAATGAAAGTCATTCTCCTGCTGAGTCTTTGAGAAAAGTCTTCCTTTTGCCCCAGCGACTCCCAGCACCCACTGAACCCCGACACAACAATGGAACCATCTGCAAATGATTTTCTGTGAATTTGTCTCATGTATAAAATAGATCCATTCTGATGACAACATCCAGTCTATTTTCTATTTTCTGTTTTACAGCTTGTCACATAACCGCTATGAGCACGCGGGCTCCCTGTAAACGGCTTCGGAGATTGATTAAGTGCCTCGGCTGAGTCTCACTATTTAATCAACACCAACAGTCATTTATTACACGGTATCTTTCGGCTTACAAGAGCTGATCTTAAATCCATTGATTAACTGCTAAGCGGTAACTGCTTCTCAATGTTTGCAAGGCACGGTTTACATATTTCTGAAAATAGACCTGCTTGGTTAACAGTAAAAAATTCTCCCTGTTGAGAGGCGAGTGCTCAGAAGGTGACATGAAATCACGCCAGCCTCCTTCTTACCAGCCAAGCCCATATTGCTTTGTACCGAGCCATAAATATTACGAATCTGGGGTGAATTAAAAAAATAACTACTGGCTGGGCACGGCGACTCATGTCTGTCATCCCAGCACTTTGGGAGGCTGAGGTGGGTGGATCAACTGAGGTCAGGAGTTCGAGACCAGCCTGGCCAACACGGTGAAACCCCGTCTCTACTAAAAATACAAAAATTAGCCGGGTGTGGTGGCGGGTGCCTGTAGTCCCAGCTACTCGGGAGGCTGAGGCAGGAGACTCACTTGAACCTGGGAGGCAGAGGTTGCAGTGAGCCAAGATTGCACCACTGCATTCCAGCCTGGGCAACAGGAGTAAAACTCTGAAAAAAAAAAAGAAAGAAAGAAGGAAGAAAGAAGAAAGAAAGGAAGGAAGGAAGGAAGGAGGAAGAAAAGAAAGAAGGAAAGAAGAAAGAAAGAAAGAAAGAAAGAAAGAAGAAAGAAAGAAAGAAAGAAAGAAAGAAAGAAAGAAAGAAAGAAAGAAAGAAAGAAAGAAAGAAAGAGAAAGAAAACTGTTGGGCTGGATCAACGTTGCAAGCCCAGAAGAAATGCAGAATCTAGGATCCTTTCAACAGCCACCACCCTCCCATCAGATGGGCTTTTAGATTTCACTTGATATAAGAAATTACACAGAGGCCGGGCGCAGTGGCTCACGCTTGTAATCCCAGCACTTTGGGAGGCTGAGGCGGGTGGATCACCTGAGGTCAGGAGTTCGAGACCGGCCTGGCCAACATGATGAAACCCCGTATCTACTAAAAATACACAAATTAGCCGGGCATGGTGGCGGGTGCCTGTAATCCCAGCTACTCAGGAGGCTGAGGCAGGAAAATCACTTGGACACGGGAGGCGCCCGGCTGATTAGTGCCTTTTATATGACCAGTGCCACTTATAAATACAGTCAAATCCACTGAAGGAAGTTAAATAATGCTGGGTGCCAAGGAATTTTCTCTCAAGCCTCTTTTTTTTTTTTTTTTTTTTTTGAGATGGAGTCTCGCTCTGTCGCCCAGGCTGGAGTGCAGTGATACGATCTCAGCTCATCGCAACCTCTGCCTCCTGGGTTCAAGCGATTCTCCTACCTTAGCCTCCCGAGTAGCTGGGATGACAGGTACACACCACCACACCTGGCTAATTTTTGTATTTTTAGTAGAGATGGGGTTTTGTGCCATGTTGGCCAGGCTGGTCTCGAACTCCTGACCTCAAGTGATCCACCTGCCTCGGCCCCCCAGAGTGCCGGGTTAACAGGCTTGAGCCACTGCGCCCGGCTGATTAGTGCCTTTTATATGACCAGTGCCACTTAGAAATACTGTGGAACCCACAGAAATAACTTAAATCATGCTGGATGCCAAGGAATTTCTCTCTCAACCCTGCCTTTAACTCACAGTTTCTGGATGAGGCCGTTGAAGCTCGTAGATTCTATTTCTATCACCCCCAAGTCTCTGGGGCTTGATTTCCCGGCCTCTAACAGGTGGACACGCAAGCTGCCTCCTGTCCTTCTAGACCAGAATGCATGGATTTTTCCCTCGGTTTAATCAGCTACGAAACCAGCAGAGAGGAACGCTTAAAGATACTGCACCCCCACACCCCACTGGTTATTTGAGGTGGGTTTTCTCCTAGCTCCCTCAGTTCAACCTTCTCCCAGCTCTTTCAGTGGGATTGCTGCGTTGAAAGAAAACCTCCATGCTGAGGCACTTAGTATAAAAGTGAAAGTCCATTTCAACAGGGTGGAGGTCCTAAGACGCGCTTGTCAACATTTTGCTCTTAGGGGCCCCGGAGGGCTCATGGGGAGGGGAAGATCCCTGAGGGAGTGAAACCTCTCATCAGGACATGAAATCATCCCACTAAGACACTCTGTTTTTGTCTGTTTGTTTTTGAGACACAGTTTCACTCTTGTTGCCCAGGCTGGAGTGCAGTGGCACAATCTTGGCTCGCTGCAACCTCCACCTCCCAGGTTCAAGCGATCCTCCTGCCTGGGCCTCCCGAGTAGCTGGGATTACAGGCATTTGCCACCACGCCTGGCTAATTTTCTTGTATATTTAGTAGAGACAGGGTTTCACCATGTTGGCTAGGCAGGTCTTTTTGTTGTTGTTGTTGTTTTTGAGATGGAGTCTCGCTGTGCTGCCCAGGCTGGAGTGCAGTGGTGCAATCTCGGCTCACTGCAACCTCGAACTCCTGGGGGTCAAGCAATTCTCCTGCCTCAGCCTACTGAGTAGCTGGGACTACAGGCGTGCGCCACCATGCCCAGCTAATTTTTTTGTATATTTAGTAGAGACAGTTTTCACCATGTTGGCCAGGCTGGTCAACAAAATACAAAATTACAAAAATTAGCCGGGCATGGTGGCAGGTACCTGTAACCCCAGCTACTCGGGAGACTGAGGCAGGGGAATAGCTTGAACCCGGGAGGTGGAGGTTGCAGTGAGCCGAGATCAAGCCACTGCACTTCAGCCTGGATGACAAGAGTGAAGCTCTGTTTCAAAAAAAAAAAAAAAAAAAAAAAAAAAACAAAACAAAAAACAACAAAAAAAAAACAAGACTGGGCGAGGTGGTTCATGCTTGTAATCCCAGCACTTTGGGAGGCTGACGCAGGTGGATCACAAGGTCAGGAGATCGGGACCATCCTGGCCAACATGGTGAAACCCCATCTCTACTAAAAACACAAAAATTAGCCGGGTGTGGTGGCGGGCACCTGTAGTCCCAGCTACTAGGGAGGCTGAGGCAGGAGAATCACTTGAACCCAGGAGGTGGAGGTTGCAGTGAGCCAAGATCGAGCCATTGCACTCCAGCCTGGGTGACAGAGTGAAACTCTGTCTCAAACAATAACAACAACAACAAAATCATATTATTAATTACCAGCTTCACCCCACGTACACTTCTAAGAACCGTTAATGCACGTCTCTTTTCCAAACAAAAATGGGAGGCATGGGGGCCCGGGAAGAAGATTTAAATAATTCACTACAAAAACAAATTAACTACGGCGAGAGTTCCTTAAATCCCACTCACGCCTCATTACTTTAATGATTATTTTTAATCCTCCACGCAGAGGATGGTCACAGGGTAATTGCTACCCTTCAGCGTCGTCAGAATCGCTCCCACATCTAAAAGCCTCCCCTCTTCACGTGGAGAGAATTTGATGACGGTTTTCAATTTTATGATAATGGCACTTTCACAAAGCATTGGTAATAAAATGGTAATCTCCAACATAAAAAGAATTAGCGTTAACTCCTTCAGGCCTGGAGGCATAGGGGCTGCATGGAGTTGTGAAGTGTGGCTTGATCTAATCAAACTGTATTAAGAAATTTTATTAAAGAATGGATACAGCGACCAGGTGTGGTGTCTCACGCCTGTAGTCGCAGCACTTTGGGAGGCCGAGGTGGGTGGATCACCTGAGGTCAGGAGTTTGAGACCAGCCTGGCCAACGTGCTGAAACGCCGTCTCTACTGAAAATACAAAAATTAGCCGGGCGTGGTGGCGGGCGCCTGGAATCCCAGCTACTGGGGAGGCTGAGGCAGGAGAATGGCTTGAACCCAGGAGGTGGAGGTTGCAGTGAGCTGAGATTGTGCCAATGCACTCTGGCCTGGGTGACAGAGGGAGACTCTGTCCGTAAATAAATAAATAAAAATATAATAAAATAAAAGATAAACAGAATGAGACTCCATCTCAAAACAAAAAAACCATATACAGGTGATTGTTGAACAACACTACAAATATATGAAAGGCCATAAAATCGTTCCTTTTAAAAATGGTTAATTTTATGTTGTGTGAAGCTCACCTCAGTGCATTTTTTACATAGAAAAATATATAAAATAATATAACAATATAACATATTTATTATAAAATTATATTATACTTAATATATCATATATATTTATATTATTTATTATATAACATAGAATATTTATTATATTAACAATCATGGTATTATTAATACTTAATGAATATCAATAATTAGTTAATATTAATAATTATTATATAGTATTACATTATATATTGATATATAATATATGTTATATTAAATATTGTTTAATATTATTTAAATTATATATTTAAATATATAATTTATACATATTTATATAACATAATATATATATTATATATTTATATAACATAATATATATATTATATATTTATATAACATAATATATATTATATATTTATATAACATAATATATATAATATATTTATATAACATAATATATATATAATATATTTATATAACATAATATATATTATATATTTATATAACATAATATATATTATATATTTATATAACATAATATATATATTATATATTTATATAACATAATATATATATTATATATTTATATAACATAATATATATATTATATATTTATATAACATAATATATATATTATATATTTATATAACATAATATATATTATATATTTATATAACATAATATAAATATATATTATATATTTATATAACATAATATAAATATATATTATATATTTATATAACATAATATATATTATATATTTATATAACATAATATATATATTATATATTTATATAACATAATATATATATTATATATTTATATAACATAATATATACATTATATATTTATATAACATAATATATACATTATATATTTATATAACATAATATATACATTATATATTTATATAACATAATGTATACATTATATATTTATATAACATAATGTATACATTATATATTTATATAACATAATGTATACATTATATATTTATATAACATAATGTATATATTGTATATTTATATAACATAATGTATATATTGTATATTTATATAACATAATGTATATGATATATTTATATAACATAATATACATATGATATATTTATATAACATAATATATATATTATATTTATATATGATATATGAATAATATATTATAATTAATATATAATTATATATTATAAAGTAATATAAATATATATATAATTATATACATTTGTCTCAGGTCTCATTTTAAAGAGATACTTGAGAAAAATCAGTAAATATAACAAGGTGACCTTGTTTCAGTTTTGGCTCAAACAAACCAACTGTAGAAATTCATCTTTGACATTCCAAAGCAAACCTGGGGCCAGGTGCGGTGGCTCACGCCTGTAATCCCAGCACTTTGGGAGGCCCAGGCGGGCAGACCACCTCAGGTCAGGAGTTCGAGACCAGCCTGGCCAACATGGTGAAACCCCGTTTCTACTAAAAATACAAAAATTAGCTGGGTGTGGTGGTGCATGCCTGTGATCCCAGGTACTTGGGAGGCTGAGGCAGGAGAATCGCTTGAACCCGGGAGGCGGAGGTTGCAGTGAGCTGAGATTGCACCGTTGCACTCCAGCCTGGGTGACAAGAGTGAAACTCCATCTCAATAAATAAATAAATAAATGAAGCAAATCTGAACAAAGTCCCTTAAGGACTTACTGTTATTATGAAGGCTTCATAATTAGTGTTCTGGTTATGAAATAAAACATGTTATTATCTGTTAGATTTACATCCTAAAGTAATTTTAGGCTAAATGATGTAATGTCTGGACTATTGCCTTAAAATATCACAGCCTCAAAGAAACAGGTGCATGGAAAACAGTTGATGGGAATGCTTCCAGATAATCTTCTCCCGGATTCTGGATTTGCAAATTTGCATAAGAAAAGTTTAAAGCAGCGTGTGAAATTCAGGTCGACTTGCTTACTCCACAAATGGGCGTTATGTAGCAAATATGTGATTTTGCATTCACCGGAAGCAGTTATGATTCCTTAAAAAATGGAAAATCACAAGAGTTGGTGAGGAGGAGAAGGATGTAGAGAAATTGGACACTTCATATATTGTCTACTATTTTTGAAAAGATCCTTTCGGCCGGGCGCAGTGGCTCACACCTGTAATCTCAGCACTTTGGGAGGCTGAAGTGGGTGGATCACCAGGTCAAGAGTTCGAGACCATCCTGGCCAATGTGGTGAAACCCCATCTCTACTAAAGATACAAAAATTAGCTGGGTGTGGTGGTGCATGCCTGTAATCCCAGCTACTCAGGAGGCTGAGGCAGGAGAATGGCTTGAACCCGGGAGGTGGAGGTTGCAGTGAGCCGAGATCACACCACTGCACTGCAGCCTGGGTGACAGAGCGAGACTCCATCTCAAAAAATACATAAATAAATAATAAATAAAAATAAAAACAAAAGAAAGGATCCTTTCTAGGGTGTAGCACTACAGATCTTTGACTTAACAATCAGTCAAAATAAGAATTAAAACAATACACTTCGCTTGAGCCCAGGAGTTCAGGACAAGCGTGAACAACATAGCAAGACCCGATCTGTCCAAAAGTTACAAGAATTAGCTTGGCGTGGTGGCACTCACCTGTAGTCTCAGCTACTTGGGAGGCCGAAATGGGAGGATCACTTGAGCCCAGGTGGTCGAGGCTGCAGTGAGCCATGATTGCACCACCGCACTCCAGCCTGGGCAGCACAGTGAGACTCTGATTGCAGTGGAAAAATAGGAACACTTTTTTTTTTTTTTTTTTTTTGAGATGGAGTCTCGCTCTGTCACCCAGGCTGGACTGCAGTGGTGCGATCTCGGCTCACTGCAAGCTCCGCCTCCCAGGTTCATGCCATTCTCCTGCCTCAGCCTCCTGAGTAGCTGGGACTACAGGCACCCGCCACCATGCCCAGCTAATTTTTTGTATTTTTAGTAGAGACGGGGTTTCACCGTGTTAGGCAGGATGGTCTCGATCTCCTGACCTCGTGACCTGCCCGCCTCAGCCTCCCAAAGTACTGGGATTACAGGCGTGAGCCACCGCGCCTGGCGAAATAGGAACACTTTTACACTGTTTGTGGGAGCGTAAATTAGTTCAAACATGTGGAAGACAGTGTGGTGATTCCTCAAGGATCTAGAACCAGAAATACCATTTGATCCAGCCATCCCATTACTGGGTATATACCCAAAGGATTATAAATCATTCTACTATAAAGACACATGCACACGTATGTTTTTGCAGCACTATTCACAATAGCAAAGACTTGGAACCAACCCAAATGCCCCTCAATGACAGACTGGATAAAGAAAATGTGGCACGTAGACACCGTGGAATACTATGCAGCCATAAAAAAGGATGAGTTCATGTCCTTTGCAGGGACATGGATGAAGCTGGAAAGTATCATCCTCAGCAAACTCACACAGGAACAGAAAACCAAACACTGCATGTTCTCACTCATAAGTGGGAGTTGAACAATGAGAACATATGGACACAGGGAGGGGAACATCACACACTGGGGCCTGTCGGGGCGGCATGGGGTACTAGGGGAGGGAGAGCATTAGGACAAATGCCTTATGCATATGGGGCTTAAAACCTAGATGATGGGTTGATAGGTGCAGCAAGCCACCATGGCACATGTATACCTATGCAACAAACCTGCACGTTCTGCACATGTATCCCTGAAGTTAAAGTAAAATTTAAAAAATAAGAAATGATTGCATGGGCTGGCACAGTGGCTCACGCATGTAATCCCAGCACTTTGGGAGGCCAAGGTGGGCAGATCACCTGAGATCAGGTGTTCCAGACCAGCCTGACCAACATGGAGAAACGCCGTCTCTACTAAAAATACAAAATTAGACGGGCGTGGTGGCAGGTGCCTGTAGTCCCAGCTACTCGGGAGGCTGAGGCCAGAGAATCGCTTGAACCTGGGAGGCAGAGGTTGCAGTGAGCTGAGATTGCACCATTGCACTCCAATCTGGGCGACAAGAGCGAAACTCTGTCTCAACAAAGAAAAAAAAAAAAAGATTGCAATGGCAAATTTATGGTATGTGTATTTTACCAGAATAGAAAAAGTAGTTCATGAAGGTATTTTAAAATGTTTAAGAGATAACATCTCCTACTGCACTCCAGCCTGGGCAACAGAGCGAGACTCTGTCTCAAAAAAAAAAAAAAAAAAAAAAAAAAAAAAGGAAAAAAATAGCATCTCTTAAATGATACCATGCATCCTCTCATATATTTCTTCTAGCCCCACCTTTTTCTTTCTCAAATATGTTCTCATGAATTGGGAAACAGAACTGCCATTTCCACACCTCATTTGACCCCATCCCTAAATGTTTACTAAGGCGTCCTTGCTCAACAGCACCCACTCCACTTCCCCTGTCCTTCTGTTTCTGTCCTGCATTCTGTGCAGACACCACTCAGAGGAACTGTGGTTAGAGAAAAGCTTGATAGCTTTTCTCTAACCACAGTTCCTCTGAGCAGCCAGGATGGATGGGGCCTGGCTTAGAACTGATGCTTCCGTTGCAGAGAAAGGGAGAAGGTCCCGTCTGGTATCTGACGGAGATGTCTGGGCAACAAGAGAGGCAAGCATTAGGGATCACATTCAGCCCAGGGAATGTGGCCGGGATACACAGATAGATAGATAGATGATAAATACGTAGATAGATGATAGATAGCTGATAGACTGATGATAGACAGATGATAGACTGATGATAGATAGATAGATACATGACAGACAGATACATGGACACATAGATTGATGATAGGTTGATGATTAATAGACTCATGATAGATAGATAATAGATGAGATCAATCAAAAGTTAGATGATAGATGAGAATAGATAAATAGATACATAGACAGATAGATAATGGATAGATAGATACACAGATAGTAGATAGATAGACGAATGGATAGATCTATAGTTACATAGGTGATAGATAGAAAATAGAAGATAGATAGATGGATGATTGATAGACTGATGATAGATACATGACAGATTGATACATAGATAGATTGATGATAGATTGATGATTAATAGACTGATGATAGATAATAGATGAGATCGATCGATAGTTAAATGATAGATGAGAATAAATAGATGATAGAGAAATAGATAGGTCGAGAAATAGGTAGATAGATAATGGATAGATACATAGATAGTAGATGAATGGATGGTTCTATAGATACATAGATAATAGACAGGTAGATGGAAGATAGAAGATAGACAGATGAATGATTTATAGAAAGACTGATGATACATAGGTGGATAGATAGATACATACATGATAGATGATAATATATGCAATCAATAGAATATAGATGATGGATAGATAGATAGATAATAGATTAGATAGATAGATAGATGATACATGATACATAGATACATAGACAGATGGATGATAGATGATAGATAGATACATACATACATAGATACATAGATGGATAGATAGATGATAGATAAAAAGATGATAGAAAAACAGAAAGATGATAGATGATAGATAAATAGATAGATGCATAGATGGATGGATGGATGGATAGATGGATGGATAGATACATAGATACATAGATGGATGGATAGATAGCTAGTACACAGATACATAGATACATAGATAGATGGATGGATGGATGGATAGACAGACAGACAGACAGATAGATAGACAGACAGACAGACACATAGATAGATACCAATGTGAGGTGGGTTGGATCCCAGGAGGTGAGGGATGAGAGGGAATTCAGAGTTGAGACAGGTGGCAGGGACAGATGAGCCTCTCAAGGGTCCCAGTTGCCCAATTGACGAAGGGTGTGGACTCCAGAGGGAGAAGTGGGGTCCAGGAAGTAATGAAGTCAGGCTGGAAACCACCAGAACAGAGACACAGGGACAGACCCAGGCCCAGAGCTGGGAGTCAGTGACCAGTTCCCAAAACAGAGTGAGGCTTGGGGATGTAGTGAGGCCAGAAGTCAGAGCTGACGCTGTGGAATTTCCAATGTGGGGATGCCTCAGGCCAGACTGTGTGTGGGCAGTGGGCTCAATGGAGGCCTCCCCAAAAGATATGTCCACCCGGATCCTGGGAAAGTGACCTTATTTGGAAACAGGGTCTTTGCAGATGTAATTAGGTGAAGGATCTTGAGATGGGATCATCCTGGAGTAGGGTGGGCCCTAAATCTAATGACAGGTGTCCTTCTAAGAGACAGAAGAGGAGACACAGTCACAGAGGAGAAGGCCACATAGAGATGAAGGCAGAGACTGGAGTGATGTGGCCACAAGCCCAGGGATGCCTGGAGCCCCCAGGAGCTGAGAGAGGCAGGAAGGACCCTCCCCTAGAGCCTGCAGAAGGAACTGGATACAATTGTAATGGATTGAACAGTGGCCCTCAGAAGCACATATTCACGTAATAACCCCCAGAACCTGGGAATGGGACCTCATTTGGAAAAAGGGTCTTTGCAGATGTGATTAAGGATCTGGAAACGAGATCATCCCGAATTAGGATGGGCCCTAAACACAATGACAGGTGTCCTTGTAAGAGACAGAAGAGGGGACACAGACACAGGGGAGAAGGCCACGTGGAGATGGAGGCAGAGACTGCAGTGAAGTGGCCACAAGCCCAGGGACACCTGGAGCCCCAGGAGCTGGGAGAGGCAGGAAGGACCCTCCCCTAGAGCTTCCAGAGGAAGCACGTTTCTGCCCACACCTTGATCTCAGACTTCCATTCTCCAGGGCTTGGAGAGGATGACTTGCTGATGAATTTAGGTCCCACTTTGGTAGTTCATGTGAGTCACTCGTTGGAGAAGTGAGCCCTTCCTCTGGGGTCCTGTGGAGAATCCTGACTCGTACAGGAGCCGGTGGTATGTCTTCAATCCATGTCCACATTTGGCTTTGACGGCTGCCATCTCAGCGCCTCCATTTGGGATTCCTACAGGGAATTTCCCATGGGAGGTGGGGACAGAGTCCAGAGGGAGGCCGTGCAGCAAAGAATGAAAATCATCCGCCTTGGTTTCCCCATCTTTAAAAGGAAGCGTCTTCACCAATGACCTCTGTGGCAGCTTCCAGCTCTAGGGTTTGAACCCTGCTGACGTTTGAGCTCATGTCTGCACATATGTGGGCAGTGACCCACAGCACAGGTGATGAGACATTTTCCAGGTCCAGGAAACCCACTCCTTGTGCCTCAGGAAATCCCTCCAGGACACCTGAGTTCATGTCTCTCCTTTTTACATCTGTCCAGTGACCCAGACTGGAGGCGTGGCTGCAGCTGGTTCATCGGTGCTTGTAGTTGTGAACTAGTGAGACTCACCCCAGCTGGCTTATGCACAAAAGGAATTTAGTGAAAAGATCCGAGAGCTCATTTTCCCCCTGAGAGAACCCGGGCACTGAGCTTGGGGGCTGATGCATGGGTGGAGGGATGGGCAGGTGCCTAGGGGGTGCCCTGTCCACAGCTCTTCCCACCAGCTGGACTCAAAGCAGCAGCGTGTCCTGGAGCTCAGCCCCAATTCTGCTTCTGCGAGTTGGGGTACCTGACCCCACCTACACCAAAGGGTCCCAGATGGCACCGGCTTCTCCATGCTGTTAGATCTACCTAGCCATCATCTGCCTATCTATTATCTATCTATCTATCTATCTATCTATCTATCTATCTATCTATCATCTATCTACCTATCATCTATCTATCTATCTATCAAATCTATCATCTATCAAATCTATCATCTATCTATCAAATCTATCGTCTATCTATCTACCTATTATTTATCTATTTATCATCTATCATTTATCTATCCATCCATCTATTCATCCATCCATCCACCATCCATCCATCCATCCACCATCCATCCATCCATCCATCCATCCATCTATCCATCATTTGTCCATCCATTCATTCTATCTATCGTCTATCTATCTATCTACCTACCTACCTATCTATTATCTATTTATCATCTATCTAACCATCCATTTATTCATCCATCCATCCACCATCCTTCCATCTATTCATCCATCATTCATCCATCCATCCATCCATCCATCCATCATTTATCCATCCATTCTATCTATCTATCTATCTATCTATCCATCTATCTATCATCTATCTATCTATTGTCTGTCTCCATTTATCTATCTCTAATCTATCTGCAATTTATATATGTATCAATCACTTATTGTCTATCAATCACCTATGTAGTTATCATTTATCATATCTATCATCTCTCACCTATTTCCTCTATTATCAATATATCCATGTATATATCCATCTACCTATTATCTATCTATCTATCATATCTATCTCAACTTTATTTATTGTCTTTTTATCTATTTGTCTCTAATTCATCAATCACCTATCATCTTCCTTTCATTATGTATCATCTATCTTATCTACCTATCTGCAATCTCTCATCTATCAATCTAATCTATCATGTACTTCCAGTTTTTTAGCATCTATCTATCTATCTATCTATCTATCTATCTATCTATCTATCTATCTATCTATCTTCTATCAATTTCTAGTTTATCCATCATCTATCTATCTAATCTATATCTATCTAATCTATCATCTGTCTATCATCTATCAATTTCTAGTTCATCCATCATCTATCTAATCTATCATCTATCTATCTATCATCTATCATCTATCAATTTCTAGTTTACCCATCATCTATCTATCTACCTAATCTATCATCTATCTGTCTATGTAATCTATCGTCTATCTATCATCTATCAATTTCTAGTCTATCCATCATCCATCCATCTATCTATCTATCTATCTATCTATCTATCTATCTATCTATCTATCTATCTGATCTATCATCTATCTGTCTATCTGTCTGTCTATGGAAGTGGTTTGCAACCAGGGATAATTTTGTCCCCCAGAGGACACTGGACAATGTCTGGAGACATCTTTGGTTTTCACAGCTGGGGAGAGGGTGGCCCTAGCACCTGCTTGGGGAGCCCAGGGCCGCTGCTCAACACCCTACAGTGCCCAGGACGGCCCCACCACAGAGAGTCCTCCAGCCCCAAATGTCAGCTGTGCCAGGGCTGAAAAAGCCTGTGTTAGACTTAATTCTGGGAAGTGGTAGAAATATGGTCCCATGTTTTTCAGGGTTATATTAGATAATTCATTCTTCTCCTCTCCTGCCCTGCCTGGATGATAGATACATAAATGATGATGATGATGATGATGATGATGAAGATAGATAGATAGATAGATAGATACATATAGATAATAAATAAATTAGAGATAGATGATAGATACATACACACATAGATGATAGAAAGACAGAAACGATAGATGAGATAGATAAATGGGTAGTAAATAAATTAGAGATAGATGATGGATAAACAGGTAGATGATAAACAGATAGAGATGAGAGGATAGATGATAGATATATGGATGAGAAATAAATTAGAGATAGATAATAGATACACACATAGATAGATGAGATAGGTACATAAACGGATAATAAATTAGAGAGATAGATGATTGATAGATAGATGATTGATAAACTAGAAATTGATAGATAGATGATAGATAGATAGATAGATGATAGATAGATAGATAGATAGATAGATAGATAGATAGATAGATAGATGATAGATAGATAGATAGATTAGACAGATTTGCCCAGCACGGGGACTCACGCCTGTAATCCCAGCACTTTGGGAGGCCGACTCAGGTGGATTGCCTGAGCTCAGGAGTCTGCGACCAGCCTGGGCAAGACGGTGAAACCCCGTCTCTACTAAAATACAAAAAATTAGCCGGGTGTGGCGACGGGTGCCTGTCGTCCTAGCTACTCGGGAGGCTGAGGCAGGAGAATCGCTTGAACCCAGGAGGCAGAGGTTGCAGTGAGCGGAGATGAGCCGAGATCACACCACTGCACTCCAGCCTGGGTAACAAGAGCAAAACTCCATCTCTAAATAAATAAATAAATAAATAGAGAGAGAGAGAGAGAGATGATAGAAAGATTAAACAGATTGGCCGTGCACAGTGGCTCACGCGTATAATCCCAGCACTTTGGGAGACCGAGGTGAGTGGACCACCTGAGGTCAGGAGTTCAAGACCAGCCTAATCAACATGGTGAAACCCCGTCTCTACTAAAAATACAAAAATTTGCTGGGCAAGGTGGCGGCGGCTGTAATCCCAGCTACTGGAGAGGCTGAGGCAGGATAATTGCTTGAACCCAGGAAGGGGAGTTTGCAGTGAGCGGAGATCATGCCACTGCACTCCAGCCTGGGTGACAGAGCAAAACTCCGTCTCTAAATAAATAAATAAGTAGAGAGAGAGAGAGGGAGAGAGAGACGATAGAAAGATTAAACAGATTGACTGGGCACGGTGGCTCACACCTATAATCCCAGCATTTTGGGAGGCTGAGGCAGGCAGAGAACTTGAGGTCAGGAGTTTGAGACTAGCCTGGCCAACATGGTGAAATACTATCTCTACTAAAAATACAAAAATCAGCTGGGCCTGGTGGCAGACACCTGTAATCCCAGCTACTTGGGAGGCTGAGGCAGGAGAATCGCTTGAACCTGGGAGGCGGAGGTTGCGGTGAGCTGAGATGGCGCCACTGCACTCCAGGCTGGGCAACAGAGTGAGACTCTGTCTGTAAATAAATAAATAAATAAATAAGAGTGTGAGAGAGAGATGATAGAAAAATTAAACAGATGAGCTGGGCATGGTGGCTCATGCCTATAATCCCAGCACTTTGGGAGGCCGAGGTGGGTGGATCACCTGAGGTCAGGAGTTTGAGACTAGCCTGGCCATCATGGTGAAACCCTGTCTCTACTAAAAATACAAAAATTAGCCGGGCGTGGTGAGGCACGCCTACAGTCCCAGCTACTCAGGAGGCTGAGGCAGGAGAATCGCTTGAACCTGGGAGGTGGAGCTTGCAGTGAGCTGAGATTGTGCCACTGCACTCCAGCCTGGGCAACAAGAGCAAAACTCTGTCTCAAAATAAATAAATAAATAAATAAATAAATAAATAAATAAATAAGAGAGAGAGAGAGATGATAGAAAGATTAAACAGATTAGCCAGGCACGGTGGCTTCCGCCTGTAATCTCAGCACTTTGGGAGGCTAAGGCGGGTGGATCACCTGAGGTCAGGAGTTCGAGACCAGCCTGGCCAACATGGCGAAACCCCGTCTTTACTAAAAATACAAAAATTAGCCGGGCATGTTGGCTGGCGCCTGTAGTCCCAGCTACTCGGGAGGCTGAGGCAGGAGAATCGCTTGAACCCGGGAGGCGGAGGTTGCAGTGAGCTGAGATCGCGCCATTGCACTCCAGCCTGGGTGACAGAGCGAGACTCTGTCTCTAAATAAATAAATAAATAAATAAATTAATTAATAAGAGTGTGTGAGAGAGACATGATAGAAAGATTAAACAGATTGGCTGGGCATGGTGGCTCATGCCTATAATCCCAGCACTCTGGGAGGCCGAGGCAGGTGGATCACCTGAGGTCGGGAGTTTGAGACCATCCTGGCCAACATGGTGAAACCCTGTCTCTACTAAAAATACAAAAATCAGCCGGGCGTGGTGGCGGGCGCCTAGAGTCCCAGCTACTTGGGAGGCTGAGGCAGGAGAATCACTTCAACCCGGGAGGGGGAGGTTGCAGTGAGCCGAGATCGTGCCATTGCACTCCAGCCTGGGCAACAAGAGCAAAATTCCGTCTCAAAATAAATAAATAAATAAATAAATAAATAAATAAATAAATAAGAGAGAGAGAGATGATAGAAAGATTAAACAGCTTAGCCAGGCACGGTGGCTCGTGCCTGTTATCCCAGCACTTTGGGAGGCCGAGGCAGGCGGATAACCTGAGGTCAGGAGTTTGAGACCAGCCTGGCCAACACGGTGAAACCCCGTCTCTATTAAAAATACAAAAATTAGCCAGGCATGATGGTGCACGCCTATAGTCCCAGCTACTTGGGAGGCTGAGGCAGGAGAATCCTTTGAACCTGGGAGGTGGAGCTTGCAGTGAGCCGAGATTGTGCCACTGCACTCCAGCCTGGGCAACAAGAGCAAAACTACGTCTCAAAATAAATAGATAAATAAATAAATAAATAAATAAATAAATAAAAGAGAGAGAGATGATAGAAAGATTGAACAGATTGGCTGGGCATGGTGGCTTATCCCTATAATCCCAGCACTTTGGGAGGCCGAGGCAGGCGGATCACCTGAGGTCAGGAGTTCGAGACCAGCCTGGCCATCATGGCAAAACCCAGTCTCTATTAAAAATACAAAAATTAGCCGGGCATGACGGCGGGTGCTTGTAATTCCAGCTGCTCGGGAGGCTGAGGCAGGAGAATCACTTGAACCCGGGAGGCGGAGGTTGCGGTGAGCCGAGATCACGCCATTGCACTCCAGCCTGGGCAACAAGAGTGAAACTTCTTCTCAAAACAAAACCACAAAAAGAAAAAAAAAAAACAACAATCTGTGCACCATCTGTCACAGAGAACCACTCAGCACGACCCCGGGGCGTTTTGACATTTTATACCCTAGACACGAGCCCATAGATCATTCGTACCTTGTGCGTTTGGCCGTCTCATTATGGGAATTTATTTCCTTGCTTTGTAGTCGGTGGAGGCTCCGTCCTAATTGTTTCTTCCATGTGCTGTAAATCTGTCTGCCAATCAGCAGAACATGAGGCAGGGAGCCGGCAATTTCCTCTCTGACCGCCGTGCGGGTCGAGGCTGAGTGTTGAAATAAAATGAAACATGTTTGCACCCCTCCCCGGTCCCCTCACGCCAGACCCCTCGCATTCATCTGCTGCAGGAATTTTTAATATTCTGGCCATACCCTCGGCATGAGGTCATCCCGGGCTGTAATTGGAACAACCGTCCTCGGGGCCTGAAACGCTGCCTCACACCTGGCTTCAGGCCACGGCCATTCTCTGACTCCCAGACTTTAATTCCGTCACGCCTCATCTGGTTTGATGTAGTCTTTTGTAGTGAGTTCACAAATATATTCTGAGGTTTCCAGTGCGATGGGGCGGCCGTTGAGTGGCGTCTGGGATCCTGCAGCACGCCGGCCCCAAACAGGCCAATTTGTCCTGTCTCTGTGGGATCTCTTGGTTCTAGGAGATCAGATTTGGTCTGGGTCACCCAAATCTGTGTGCACCCCAACCTCCACTGTCTGCCCTTCCATCCCTAGGTGCTGGCTCAGGTACTGGGCAAACTTTACAAGGAATATATACATGGTGTGGAATTTCTTAGCTTCTATCTGAACAAAGTTGAAACTTGGGGAAAATAATGATCGTTTGCTTTTCAAATCTCTCTAGTTAACCAATCAAAGTACGGCATGCGTACCCAGGTAGAGTGGAATTCGAGGTAAACAGCAGAACAGTTGCATGCTCAGGTACATTTGAGTTGGAGATAAACAGCAGAACAGATGCGTGCCCAGGTACACTTGAATTCGAGGTGAACAGCAGTATGGATGCATGCCCAGGTACACTTGAATTCGAGATAAACAGCAGTATGGATGCATGCCCAGGTACACTTGAATTCGAGGTGAACAGGAGTATGGATGCATGCCCAGGTACACTTGAATTCGAGGTGAACAGGAGTATGGATGCGTGCCCAGGTACACTTGAATTCGAGATAAACAGCAGAACAGATGCGTGCCCAGGTACACTTGAATTCGAGGTGAACAGCAGTATGCATGCGTGCCCAGGTACACTTGAATTCGAGGTGAACAGGAGTATGGATGCATGCCCAGGTACACTTGAATTCGAGGTGAACAGGAGTATGGATGCGTGCCCAGGTACACTTGAATTCGAGATAAACAGCAGAACAGATGCGTGCCCAGGTACACTTGAATTCGAGGTGAACAGCAGTATGGATGCATGCTCAGGTACACTTGAATTCGAGGTGAACAGCAGTATGCATGCGTGCCCAGGTACACTTGAATTCGAGGTGAACAGGAGTATGGATGCATGCCCAGGTACACTTGAATTCGAGGTGAACAGGAGTATGGATGCATGCCCAGGTACACTTGAATTCGAGATAAACAGCAGAACAGATGCGTGCCCAGGTACACTTGAATTCGAGATAAACAGCAGTATGGATGCATGCCCAGGTACACTTGAATTCGAGGTGAACAGCAGTATGCATGCGTGCCCAGGTATACTTGAATTCGAGGTGAACAGGAGTATGGATGCATGCCCAGGTACACCTGAATTCGAGATAAACAGCAGTATGGATGCATGCCCAGGTACACTTGAATTCGAGGTGAACAGGAGTATGGATGCATGCCCAGGTACACTTGAATTCGAGATAAACAGCAGTATGGATGCATGCCCAGGTACACTTGAATTCGAGGTGAACAGCAGTATGGATGCATGCCCAGGTACACTTGAATTCGAGGTGAACAGCAGTATGGATGCATGCCCAGGTACACTTGAATTCGAGATGAACAGCAGTATGGATGCATGCCCAGGTACACTTGAATTCGAGATGAACAGCAGTATGGATGCATGCCCAGGTACACTTGAATTCGAGGTGAACAGCAGTATGGATGCATGCCCAGGTACACTTGAATTCGAGATGAACAGCAGTATGGATGCATGCCCAGGTACACTTGAATTCGAGGTGAACAGCAGTATGGATGCATGCTCAGGTACACTTGAATTCGAGGTGAACAGCAGTATGGATGCATGCCCAGGTACACTTGAATTCGAGGTGAACAGCAGTATGGATGCGTGCCCAGGTACACTTGAATTCGAGGTGAACAGCAGTATGGATGCATGCCCAGGTACACTTGAATTCGAGGTGAACAGCAGTATGGATGCATGCCCAGGTACACTTGAATTCGAGATAAACAGCAGTATGGATGCATGCTCAGGTACACTTGAATTCGAGATAAACAGCAGTATGGATGCATGCCCAGGTACACTTGAATTCGAGGTGAACAGCAGTATGGATGCATGCCCAGGTACACTTGAATTCGAGATAAACAGCAGTATGGATGCATGCCCAGGTATACTTGAATTCGAGGTGAACAGCAGTATGGATGCATGCTCAGGTACACTTGAATTCGAGATAAACAGCAGAACAGATGCGTGCCCAGGTACACTTGAATTCGAGGTGAACAGGAGTATGCATGCGTGCCCAGGTACACTTGAATTCGAGATAAACAGCAGTATGGATGCATGCTCAGGTACACTTGAATTCGAGATAAACAGCAGTATGGATGCGTGCCCAGGTATACTTGAATTCGAGGTGAACAGGAGTATGGATGCATGCCCAGGTATACTTGAATTCAAGGTGAACAGCAGTATGCATGCGTGCCCAGGTATACTTGAATTCAAGATAAATAGCAGAACAGATGCATGCCCGGGTACACTTGAATTCGAGGTGAACAGCAGTATGCATGCGTGCCCAGGTACACTTGAATTCGAGGTGAACAGCAGTATGGATGCATGCCCAGGTACACTTGAATTCGAGGTGAACAGCAGTATGCATGCGTGCCTAGGTATACTTGAATTCGAGATAAACAGCAGTATGCATGCATGCCCAGGTATACTTGAATTCTACATAAACAGCAGAACAGATGCGTGCTCAGGTGCACTTGAATTCGAGGTGAACAGCAGTATGCATGCTTGCCCAGGTACACTTGAATTCGAGGTGAACAGCAGTATGGATGCATGCCCAGGTACACTTGAATTCGAGGTGAACAGCAGTATGCATGCGTGCCCAGGTACACTTGAATTCGAGGTGAACAGCAGTATGCATGCGTGCCCAGGTATACTTGAATTCAAGATAAATAGCAGAACAGATGCATGCCCGGGTACACTTGAATTCGAGGTGAACAGCAGTATGCATGCGTGCCCAGGTACACTTGAATTCGAGATCAACAGCAATATTGCATGGGACGTACTTCTACCAAAAATGCATATGCCGTTTCTCTGAATAAATGTGGAAGAAATGAAAGTTCTACATGCCCAACAACTCTTTGCCTCCATTTCCTTACGGTCGTGAAGCCACACCTGCCAGGAGCTACTAATCTATTTCCTCAGCACCAGAACCCTCTTGCTCATTTGGGGAATCCGTCTCCCTGCAGTTGACCTGTGGACCTCCAGCATCCTTGGGCAACCTGAGGACCCTAAGCCTGTAGCTGAGTCTATGATACGCAGGCTGGGAGGAATGTCCCCTCCACGAGGCTGCTGTGGACTCCCATTGCAGGAGAAATGAAACTTCGTAATACAGCGGAGGTCCCTGAATGAGCTTTTCTCCCTGGTGCATGGAAGTGAACTCAGTGTGTCTCTGGAAATCTGGAAACCTCCTTTTCTCAGTTCAGGCTGCCTGCATCATGCTGGTTTGCTTCCTGCAACAAAACAGGCCATCCAGACACCTCTCTGTTTTCCTTCAAATATATCCCCACGTTACCACAACATTCGTGGGCAGGACCTCGGTGCCTGAGGTCGGAATACAGACACCTCTGACATGGCATGGCTGTACCTGCAGATAACCCTTCCTCGGCCGTCACTGAAGCCACACCTCTACACAGCTGTCTGTTGTCTTACAGCGGCATAAGCTTAGAACAGATTTTTTTTTGACACGTATTATAGCACCTGCTGGCTTCATTTCCCTCCCTTATATCATAACATTGCTTGTTGATTTGTGTCAATGGATTTGCATCTTCTGCCCGGCACACACACACACACACATACACACACACACACACGTCCACCCCACTCCCCCCACTAGTGACCATGTATACTTGAATTCGAAGTAAATAGCACACACAAGAGGTATGTCCAGCACGTCATTCTCACAGGCCTGATTTCACAGCGGTGCTGGAGGCAAACCTCTCAGCCTCCAGCCTGTACAGATGGAATAATGACAAATTGTATAAATATGTGCAAATTGTCCAAATGATGTCATGTGTGCCCCGGCCTGCTCCCCAAGCGGGCAGAACGCTTCAGCGGAAGGTCAGGGCAGGCCTTGCTCTGAATTCAATTGAGGTAATTACATTCAATTTGCTTAAATGTATCACAGAGAAAAGCCCGGTCTGTTGATCTCAATCGTATTAAGAAGTTTATTTTCCGCTGGGGCAGGACTCCACGGCCTCACGGAGAGCAAGCCTTCTCTAGATGATGTCCTTCTCTCTCCTGCTTGATTCCAGGTTCTGGGGGCAGCCCTGAGAATGCCAGAGAGGGCCCCCGCCCCTGCCACAAGAAATACCTTATGGCTCTCTCCCTAGCCACCTGCAGGGCTCAGAATGGCCCCAGATAAGCGTGAGGATTTCTGTGCTTAGGGAATAGTTTGCCAGCTCTTTGCAGGTGTGGTTTGACAATGCCAGTGGTTTGACAATGCCAGTGAGTGAACAGAGCCTGAGGTTTCACCCCAAAAGATCATTGTGTGGTTTGTCTACCAGAGGCTCTCCTCGTTTCTGAGAAGAGGGAAGCAGGGCCCATATGCCTTTCGAGGTTGCCTCTGTCTCTAACGCAGTGTCACTCAATGCCAGCCTCATGACGGTGAGAGTCCCCTGAGTGGCCCACGCTGTCTTGTGACAATGCCACTTGTCTGTGAAGGAGAAAGCCAGGCTGACTTGCACACTGAGTGCTCCAAGGATGGAGGGGGTCCCCGGAGTGGGTACCACACCTCCCTCTTTGCAGACAAGGAGGGGGCAGCTCTGAGACCCACAGGGATGTAGGAGTGAGTGCGTGTGAGGCAGAACCGAACCTCCCCAGGAAGGGAGGGAAAAGCAGGTGGCTGATATCTGCAGGGTCCTCTTGTACCTGAAACTCCAAAACTTTACACTATTTTCAGAATAACAGCAGCAGCAGATAGAAAAGAACTCATGAGGGTTATGTCTTATAAAATAACAGAAAATATCTTAGGCAGACTGGGGAGTTCCTACCTATCTATTACCCATCTATCATCTATCGATCTATTGATCTATTTATCTATAATCTATCTAACATCTATCATCTATCAATCATCTATCATCTACTATATATCCATCATCATCTATCCATCCACCTATCTATCCATCTATCTATATGTGTATTTATCTATTGAATCTATAATCTATGTATCAGTTATCTATCTACCTATCATCTATCCCTGTAACTATCCACTTACCTATCTATCTACCTATCTATCCATCTATCTATCCATCTAATGTATTATCTATGTATTTATCTATTGAATCTATAATCTATGTATCAATTATCTACCTATCATCTATCTGTCTGGCTAGCTAGCTATCTATCTACCTATCATCTCTCTACTATCTATCTATCATTAACTATATATCCATCATCTATCATCCATCCATGTATCCATCTGTCTATCCATCTATCTATATATATTATCTATTGAATCTATAACCTATGTATCAATTATCTATCTACCTATCATCTATCCCTGTAGCTATCTATTCATCTATCCATCTAATGTATTATCTATTTATCTATTGAATGTATAATCTATGTATCAATTATCTATCTTCTATCCATCTAGCTAGCTAGCTGTCTATCTACCTATCATCTCTCTACTATCACCTACTATATATCCATCATCTATCTATTATCCATCCATCTATATATGTATTTATCTATCGAATCTATAATCTATGTATCAATTATCTGTCTACCTATCATCTATCCCTGTATCTATCTATTCATCTATCCATCTAATGTATTATCTATCTATTGAATCTATAATCTATGTATCACTTATCTACCTATCATCTATCCATCTAGCTGTCTATCTACCTATCATCTTTCTACTATTTATCATCTACTATATATCCATCCTCTATCTATTATCCATCCATCTATATATGTATTTATCTACCAAATCTATAATCTATGTATCAATTATCTGTCTACCTAACATCTATTCCTGTATCTATCTACCTATCATCCCTGTACTATCTGCCTATCTAGCTATCATCTATGCATCTATCCAGTTATCTCCCTATATATCTGTTATATATTTATCTACCTATCTCTATCATTTATGTAATCTAACTCATCTATTCCTATGTATTAATAATATAATATTAACTCATCTATTATTAACTAACATTAATAGTATAATAACTAATAAGTAACTAATTATTAACTAATTATATATTATTATATATTATTATATATAATTAGTTAATTATTAACTAATTATTAACTAATTAGCTAATATTATTAGTATAACTAATATAATTAGTATTATTAATGTTATTTAATATATTAACTAATATTTAATATATTATAATATATTAAATAATATTAGTTAATATATTATAATATATTATATTATATTAATTATTATTAATAACAATATATTATTAAATAATATATCATTAACTAATATAATATTAACGAATATATTAGTTATTAACTAATAACTAATATATTATTATTAATATATCATTAACTAATATATTAACTAATATTATTAACTAATAATTAACTAATTATTAACTAATAGTAGTATAGTAACTAATATTAATATAATATTATTAACTAATATATTATTAACTCATCTATTCCTATGTATTAATAATATATCTGTTATCTATCATTTATTTACCTAGGTCTGTCATTGCTTTAATTGTCCTAATTTATCTCTTTTCTATTAATTATCTATCTACCATCTATCTCGTTCTGACAGTTATCTATTTCTATCTAGTTTAACCTATCTAGTTTATTTCTTTCCATCTGTGATATAGTATGTCTATTGTCTATATATCCTTTTTTTCTTTTTTTGAGACAGAGTCTTATTCTGTCGCCCAAGGTAGAGGGCAGTGGCACCATCTCAGCTCACTGCAACCTCCACCTCCCGGGTTCAAGTGATTCTCTTGCCTCAGCCTCCCGAGTAGCCGGGACTACAGGCCCAGCCAATTTTTTACAGACCACCACGCCCAGCCAATTTTTGTATTTTTAGTAGAGACGGGTTTTCATCATGTTGGTCAGGCTGGTCTCGAACTCCTGACCTCCGGTGATCCGCCTGCCTCAGCCTCCCAAAGTGCTGGGATTAACGGTGTGAACCACCGCGCCCGGTCTGTCAATATACCTTTCTATCTCTCTCTCCACACACACACGCACACACATAATTGTTTTTGTAAGCGTCTGGAGAATACGTCTAATCATCTAATCTCCCATTTCAATTTGGGATCCATTTACCTCCACAGTCAACACCATCCAATTAGCAATAGCCACTTAAACACTTCAGGCATCTTGGAATGTCTATTTTTCTAAGCCAAGATCTAAAACCTTGGATGTCAGATTTTCCAGATCTCCTGCTTTGGGGACTGGTGTGAAAACGTCATTCGATGACAGGCCGACCCAGGTGGCCCCTGCCTGAACATCAAACGCCACATCAAACGCTCTGAACACGCTTCGGGCTCCAGGCCGGTGCTGTGTTTTTCCCCCCCGGAAAGGTCAGCTAGAGTCACCCTTAAAATAATGCACTTGTGTATTTTTCATTGTTTGGACAAGAAATTGGGAACAGGTTCGGGGTGCTCCAGAAAAACGTGTTAAGTTTATTTTTGAACAGAGGTTTATTTAAAAAAAAAAAGCCAAGGAAAAGTCACGCATGGGTTTGAGCTTCTGCCTGGCAGTACCTGGTAGACGCTGGTGTTGCAAAGTGGACACTTATCAACTTGATCCCTTCCCCGGGTCATCGGGGAAACCCGTGCCCCACACTCCTCTCACCTGCAGATGTGTAAAAGTGGCTGAGATGGTTTCTTTTAGAAGTGCGTTAAAAAGGACTGTAAAGGGCCAGGTGCAGTGGCTCACGCCTGTAATCCCAGCATTTTGGGAGGCCGAGGCGGGCAGATCACGAGGTCAGGAGATCGAGACCATCCTGGCTAACATGGTGAAACCCCATCTCTACTAAAATAAAAAAAAAAAATCAGCCGGGCATGGTGGTGGGCCCCTGTAGTCCCAGCTACTCGGGAGGCTGAGGCAGGAGAATTGCTTGAACCCGGGAGACAGAGCTTGCAGTGAGCCGAGGTCGCACCACTGCACTCCAGCCTGGGCAACAGAGCGAGACTCCATCTCAAAAAAAAAAAAAAAAAAAAAACCCATTAAAGATCGGATCACAAGGTCAAGAGATCGAGACCATCCTGGTCAACACGGTGAAACCCCTTCTCTACTAGAAATACAAAAATTAGCCAGATGTGGTGGCCCATACCTGTAGTCCCAGCTCCTCAGGAGGCTGAGACAGGAGAATCGCTTGAACCCGGGAGGCAGAGGTTGCAGTGACCCAAGATCGCGCCACTGCACTCCAGCCTGGGCGACAGAGCGAGACTCTGTCTCAAAAAAAGGAATTAAAAAGAAGAAAAAAAAAAAGGGCGACACAGTGGCTCACGCCTGTAATCTCAGGATTTTGGGAGGCCGAGGCGGGCAGATCATGAGGTCAGGAGATCGAGACCATCCTGGCTAACACGGTGAAACCCCGTCTCTACTAAAAGTATAAAAAATCAGCCGGGCGTGGTGGTGGGCACCTGTAGTCCCAGCTACTCGGGAGGCTGAGGCAGGAGAATGGCTTGAACCCGGGAGGTGGAGGTTGCAGTGAGCCGAGATCGCGCCACTGCACTCCAGCCTGGGTGACAGAGCAAGACTCTGTCTCAAAAAAAAAAAAAGGACTGTAAAACCACTTGTCCTAACCATGCTGGTTTGTTGATCTTCTTGATCCTTGGACGACCCAGTGTGGGGCTGTGACTCACACGCTTCTCTAATGTGCGGCCCTGAGCGTATAATCAACACGCTCGCGTCTGAAGTGAACTGGGATGCTGGTTTCCCGCAGACACCTGCCAGCGAGAAAAAGCTGAGATGCTGCTGGTTGCATGGGTCCCCCATAGAGTCACTTAAGAAAAGCAAAGGGACCGGGCGCGGTGGCTCACGCCTGTCATCCCAGCACTTTGGGAGGCTGAGGCGGGTGGATCACGAGGTCAGAAGTTCGAGACCAGCCTGACCAACGTGGCGAAACCCCGTCTCTACTAAAAATACAAAAATTAGCCAGGCGTGGTGGCAAGTGCCTGTAATCCCAGCTACTCGGGAGGCTGAGGCAGGAGAATGGCTTGAACCCGGGAGGTGGAGGTTGCAGTGAGCCAAGATCACGCCACTGCACTCCAGCCTGGGCAACAGAGTGAGACTTTGTCTCAAAAAAATAATAATAAATAAATACATAAAAAATAAATAAAAATTAAATTAAAATTAAAAAAAAAAAAGAGAGGCAGCACAGTAGCTCAGGCCTGTAATCCCAGGACTTTGGGAGTCAGAGGAAGGCAGATTGCCTGAGTTCATGAGTTTCAGACCAGCCTGGGCAACATGGTGAACCCACTGTCTCTATAAGAAGTACAAAAGTGAGCTGGGCATGGTGGTGCACTTCTGTAGTCCTAGCTACTTGGGAGGCTGAGGTGGGAGGATCGTTTGAGCCCAGTAGGCAGAGCTTGTAGTAAGCTGAGATGATACCACTTCACTCCAGCCTGGGTGATATAGCCAGACCTTCTGTGAAAAAAATTAAAAAAAAATAACAAAATAACAACATAACATGAATTTAAAAAGGGGTGATCAGGGCATGGAGGCAACTTTCTCATGAATGGGCTTAAGGCTTTTATGAAAGAGGCTTCCTGGTCGGGCGCGGTGGCTCATGCCTGTAATCCCAGCATTTTGGGAGGCCGAGGCAGGTGGCTCACGAGGTCAGGAGATCAAGACCAGCCTGGCCAACATGGTGAAACCCCATCTCTGCTAAAAATACAAAAATTAGCTGGGTGTGGTGGCAGGCACCTGTAATCCCAGCTACTCAGGAGGCTGAGGCAGGAGAATTGTTTCAACCTGGGAGCTGGAGGTTGCAGTGAGCCGAGGTCAAGCCACTGTACTCCAGCCTGGGCAACAGAGCAAGATTCCATCTTGAAAAAAGAAAGAAAGAAAGAAAGAAAGTAAGAAAGAAAGAAAGAAAGAAAGAGAAAGAAAGAAAGAGGCTTCCTGTAGCATTCATTTCCCTTGGTCTTCCACCTATACCATGTAAGGACAAGGTGTTTCTTCCTTCTGGAAGATTCAGCAGGAAGGCGCCATCTTGGAGGCAGAGAACAGCACTCATCAGATATAGAATCTGCTGGTGCCTTCATCTTGGACTTCTCCACCTCCAGAACCAGGAGTAAATAAATCTCTGCTCTTTATAAACCACAGTCTCAGGGATTCTGTTCTAGCAGTGAAAACAAATCCAGGCAGATGTAGATACATGATTTACGTGGACTCGAAGGCTAATAGAGATGAGGTTCACCTGGAAACTCCACAGGTGGGACCTTGACTAGCTAAGTCTAGGCTGACTGGAGAGTTCCTATCTGTATATTGCTTATCTATCACCTATTGATCTATTGATCTATGTATCTAAATATCTATCTAACATCTATCATCTATCTATATATTCATCATCTATCTTCTACCTATCAATCAATCATCTATGTATCTATCTATCCACCTACCTATCTGTTGATCTATCTATCTATGTCTGTGTCCATCCATTCATCCATCTATCCATCCATCTATCTAATGTATTATCTATCCATGTATTTATCTATTGAATCTATAATCTATGTATCAATTATCTATCTGTCCACCTACCTATTGATATATCTATCTATCCATTCATCTATCTATCCATCCATCTATTAATGTATTATCTATGTATTTATCTATTGAATCTATATGTATCAATTATCTATCTATCATCTCTCTATCCACCTACCTATCTATCTATTGATATATCTATCTATCCATTCATCCATCTATCTATCCATCCATCTATCTAATGTATTCTCTGTGTATTTATCTATTGAATCTATAATCTATGTATCAATTATCTATCTGTCATCTATCTATCTGTCTAGCTAGCTGCCTCCCTATCTGCATATCCTCTCTCTACTACCAGGAGTTCATCAGTGGGTCTTGATCCTCTCATGTGGTAAGTATCATCACAGCTTAGAATCTCACGTCTTCACCATCACCTCCTCTCTGTCCTATATAATTAGTTCCAAGGGTCTTAATTAGGCACTTATGTAACCCAGCACTGCTTATTGCAAAAGTTGAATCTCCAATGAAACGTTCTTAGCCTCCATGGAGATCCTGAGATTCTCTGCTTGGCTGTTCCCAACTTCCATGTCAACCTGGGGCTTGGGGCAACCCCTTCTCCATCTGGCATCTTGCCTCCTCCTTGGTGGCCTGGGCAGAGACCCTGTTCTCCCTGCCTGCCCGCGTCTCCATAAGCAAGGTTGCCCTGCTCATTTAGACCTCAGATCTGTGGAGCTGAGTTTCTGCATGCCTTAGGAGATGAGCTTTGAGGCCGGGTGCGGTGGCTCACGTCTGTATCCCAGCACTCTGGGAGGCCGAGGCAGGTGGATTGCCTGAGGTCAGGAGTTCAACACCAGCCTGGCCAACATGGTGAAACCCCATCTTTTCTAAAGATACAAAAAATTAGCCGGGGGTAGTGGCAGGTGCCTGTAATCCCAGCTACTCGGGAGGCCGAGGCAGGAGAACTGCTTGAACCCCGGAGGCGGAGGTTGCGGTGAGCCGAGATCACGCCATTGTGCTCCAGCCTGGGCGACAGAGTGAGACTCCATCTCAAAAAAAAGAAAAAAAAAGAAGATGAGCTTTGAAGGATGTGTGCAAAACTGTAAAAGCTGCAATGCTTGGTAGCATTTGCATACCCTTTTCCTTTGCAGGCTTAACCTTTGTTTGGGTAAACACGCTAATTGTTTTAAACACGATTTGAAAAGTCTGTTTTGTTTCACGAATGTTGAGGAATGAACCCAAGGACTGAGGCTTGCCAAACTCCTCAGGAAACCATCGACCCTGGCTTATCGCTGTGACAGCTCAGAATCCCAGAACCCACAGGGACTCCAAGCGCCTGTCACCCTCCTCACCGGTGCCCATTGAGGAGGGTGGCAAGGTGCTCCAATGGCCATCACAGGTGGCATCTCACTTTCATCTTAGTGGGCTGGCGAGGGTAGTGGCATCTTTGTAAATCCTAGCACTTTCTATGAAACGCAAAAGGTTAAGAGTTTGGGGACCTGGGACAGCATGGCTGAACAACTCTTAATTTTATGTATGTATGTATGTATGTATGTATGTATTGGAGATGGAGTCTCGCTCTGTCTCCCAGGCTGGAGTGCAGTGGCGCAATCTCGGCTCACTGCAACCTCCACCTCCCAGCTTCACGTGATTCTCATGCCTCAACCTCCTGAGTAGCTGGGACTACAGGCACCTACCACCACGCCTGGCTAATTTTGGTATTTTTAGTAGAGACGGGTTTCCACCATGTTGGTCAGGCTGGTCTCGAACTCCTGACCTCAGGTGATCCGCCCGCCTCGGCCTCCCAAAGTGTTGGGATGAGAGGCGTGAGCCACTGTACCCGGCCAACCCTTGAATTTAGGCTCAGAAGTTGCAATTTCCTCGGTTTTGCAACTTGTTCTCTGAAGAGGCACTGAACAATCACCCACCTTCTAGAAAGTTCTGATGTCTCTTCTGTAAAATGCCTGCCTCTCATGGTCTGAGGATCAAGCTGCATTTTAAAACAAAAGCACTACGTAGAAATTGCGTATTTCTCTCCATAAAGTAAAGATAAGAGGATCGCTGGAGCCCAGGAGTTTGAGACCAGCCTGGGCAATATAGTGAGGCCCCATCTCTCCAAATTTTTATCTTTTTTTGGAGACGGAGTCTCGCTCTGTCACCCAGGCTGGAGTGCAGAGGCGCGATCTTGGCTCACTGCAAGCTCCGCCTCCCGGGTTCACGTCATTCTCCTGCCTCAGCCTCCCCAGTAGCTGGGACTACAGGCGCCCGCCACCACGCCCGGCTAATTTTTTGTATTTTTAGTAGACGGGGTTCTACCATGTTAGCCAGGATGGTCTCGATCTCCTGACCTCATGATCTGCCCGCCTCAGCCTCCCAAAGTGCTGGGATGACAGGCGTGAGCCACCTTGTCTGGCCCCAATATTTTTTTTTAATGAATGGGACATGGTGGTCTGCTTCTGTGGTCCCAGCTACTTGGGGGGCTGAGATGGGACGATCGCTTGAGCCCAGGAGTTTGAGACCAGCCTGGGCAACATAGCAAGACCCCATCTCTACAAAATTTTTTTTTTAATTAATGAGGCACGGTGGTGCTCTGGGTTTGAGACCAGCCTGGGCAACATAGCAAAACCCCATCTCTACAAATTTTTTTTTTAATTAATGGGGCATGGTGGTACTCTGGGCAACATAGTGAGACCCCAACTCTCCAAAACATGTTTAAAAATTAATGGGGCATGGTGGGTCTGCTCCTGTGGTCCCGGCTACTTGGGAGTCTGAGGCGGGAGGATGGCTTGAGTCCAGGAGCTTGAGGTTGCAGTGAGCTATGATTGCTCCATTGCACTCCAGTCTGGGTAACAAAGCAAGACTGTCTCTCAAAAAAAGACAGAGAGAAACAGCTGTGGACAAAGGCAGGATGCCCTCTGCAAAGGCAAAGTCAAGGGATGGGGTCACGGTGTGGCAGATGGAGAGGAAGAGAGGAGAGATCCTTCCCTGTGTGGGTGGCTGTTGCTTCCTCCTCTCCTCCCTCCCTGACTCCAGCTCCCCACCTCCCTGATTTTTGGAGAACTTGACAATGAGTTGCCAAAGTGACATCTTCCTCTTCCTCAACTCTGGCACTGACCTTCCGCAAAACCACCAGCATGATCCCTTTTCTTCCAAAATATGCCCTGGAATTGGAGCACAGAGAAAATACCTTCCAGGGTCTCTCTCTCTGTATCTCTCTCTGTCTCTCTCTCTCCTCTGTCTCTCTCTCTCCCCTTTCTCTCTCTCTCCCCTCTGTCTCTGTCTCTCTCTCTCTCTCTCCTCTCTCTCTCTCCCCTCTCTCTCTGTCTCTCTCTCTCCCCTCTCTCTCTGTCTCTCTCTCTCCCCTCTCTCTGTCTCTGTCTCTCTCTCTCCCCTCTTTCTCTCTCTCCTCTCTGTCTGTCTCTCTCTCCCCTCTCCCTCTGTCTGTCTCTCTCTCTCTCCTCTCTCTCTCTCTCTTTCCGACCAGAGCAGCTGTGGGACCGCCCGTCACAAGAGACCACATAACTTCCCTTCATCAGTTTCCAGCAATCAGCTTGGAAAATTGTCCCATATGTGGGAGCGCCAAGCGGGGTGCGGGGTTAGGGCTGGGACACAGGCCACAGCGAGGTTACTGTCTGGCTGCAATTACGTGCACACTGCGGGAATCCGGGGGTGCCTTGGGGAGCTGCTGCACTCCGGTTCTTTATAATTGCACGCTCGGAAATTACTCACCCTGCAACGGCTGGGGGCCTTCCCGGTGCAGCCTCTGCCCATGTGTTCCCCGAGGAGGAACGGCGTAGTCTTGGCGGGCTTGTGGCATCTCTGCTGTGTTTATTTATTTATTTATTGTTATTTATTTATTTTTGAGATGGAGTCTCACTCTCTCGCCCAGGCTGGAGTGTAGGGGCACGATCTTGGCTCACTGCAACCTCCGCCTCCCGGGTTCAAGTGATTCTCCTGCCCCAGCCTCCCGAGTAGCTGGGTTGACAGGCACCTGCTACCAAGCCCGGCTAAATTTTTGTATTTTTTTATTTTTAGTAGAGATGGGGTTTCACCGTGTTAGCCAGGATGGTCTCGATCTCCTGACCTCGTGATCCGCCCGCCTCGGCCTCCCAAAGTGCTGGGATGACAGGCGTGAGCCACCGCGCCTGGCCCAATCTGTGGTTTTTTGGGGCCTGCCTTTTTTCACAGAGTGGTATCTTTTCAGATTCATGCACATTGTAGCCTGTCTCAGAGCTTCACTCCTTTACTGTTTTTATTTTATTTTACATTTATTTATTGCTTTACTTATTTATCTTTTGAGATGAAGACTTGCTGTCGCCAGGCTGGACTGTAGTGGCGCGATCTCAGCTCACGGAAACCTCTGCCTCCCAGGTTCAAGTGATTCTCCTGCCTCAGCCTCCCGAGTAGCTGGGTTGACAGGCACCTGCCACCACGCCAGGCTAATTTTTGTATTTTTAGTAGAGACGAGGGTTCCCCATATTGGCCAGGCTGGTCTCGAACTCCTGACCTCAGATGATCCACCTGCCTTGCGCTCTCAAAGTGCTGGGATGACAGGCGTGAGCCACCGCGCCTGGCCCTTCGTTGTGCTGGGTTTTAAAATCATCCCAAAGAGACCCTGTGGGCCAGTTATAGAGACAGTGGCCGGTGCTTTTTGAGGGGGATTCTGCTATTTAAAAGTCCAGAGGGTGCCCTGAGGGTGGATCACCTGAGGTCAGGAGTTCGAGACCAGCCTGGCCAGCGTGGTGAAACTCCATCTCTACTAAAAATACAAAAATTAGCTGGGCATGGTAATGGATGCCTGTCATCCCAGCTACTCGGGAGGCTGAGGCAGGAGAATCGCTTAAACCTGGGAGGCAGAGGTTGCAGTGAGCCAAGATTGCGCCACTGCACTCCAGCCTGGGCGACAGAGCGAGACTGTCTCAAAAATAAATAAATAGGCCAGGCGCTGTGGCTCACGCCTGTCATCCCAGCATTTTGGGAGGCTGAGGCGGGTGGATCATGAGGTCAGGAGATTGAGACTACCCTGGCTAACACGGTGAAACCCCATATCTATTAAAAAAAAATACAAAAAATTAGCCGGGGGTGGTGGCAGGTGCCTGTGCATCCAGCTACTCGGGAGGCTGAGGCAGGAGAATTGCTTGAACCTGGGAGGCGGAGGTAGCAGTGAGCCAAGATCACACCAGTGCACTCCAGCCTGGGAGACAAGAGCAAGATTTTGTCTCAAAAATAAATAAATAAATAAATAAATAAATGAAATTCCAGCATTATTATATACAAATATATATGCAGCTTTCCAGGGACAAATGGACTGTTCTAGAAAAAAAAACAAAAACAAAAACAAGGCCGGGCGCGGTGGCTCACGCCTGTAATCCCGGCACTTTGGGAGGCCGAGGCGGGTGGATCACGAGGTCAGGAGATCGAGACCATCCTGGATAACATGGTGAAACCCCATCTCTACTAAAAAAAAAATACAAAAAATTATCCGGGCGCGGTGGCAGGTGCCTGTCAACCCAGCTACTCGGGAGGCTGAGGCAGGAGAATCGCTTGAACCTGGGAGGCGGAGGCTGCAGTGAGCCGAGATCGCACCACTGCACTCCAGCCTGGGCGACAAGAGCGAGATTTTGTCTCCAAAAATAAATAAATAAATAAATAATGAAATACCAACATTATTATATACAAATATATATGCAGCTTTCCAGGGACAAATGGCCTCTTCTAAAAAAAAAAAAAAAAAAAAAAAAAAAGCCAGGCGTGGTGGCTCACGCCTGTCATCCCAGCACTTTGGGAGGCCGAGGCGGGTGGATCACGAGGTCAGGAGATCGAGACCATCTTGGCTAACACGGTGAAACCCCGTCTCTACTAAAAAATACAAAAAATTAGCCGGGCGTGGTGGCGGGTGCCTGTAATCCCAGCTACTCGGGAGGCTGAGGCAGGAGGATGGCTTGAACCCGGGAGGCGGAGGTTGCAGTGAACCGAGATCGCACCACTGCACTCCACCCTGGGCGACAAGACTGAGATTTTGTCTCAAAAAAAATAAATAAATAAATAAATAAATGAAATTCCAACATTATTATATACAAATATATATGCAGCTTTCCAGGGACAAATGGACTGTTCTAAAAAAAAAAAAAAAAAAAAAAAGCTTAAGTGTTAAAAAAAAAAAAAAGGAAACCGTTAGAGGTTTTTGTCAAATGATTCATGGAGACTGGCCTGGCAAATCCCGTTGAAAAGAAGGGCCGTCCTCCCAGACTCTGGGTGATAGACAGGTGGACGCCTAAGAGGAAAGCATTTATTTTCCGTGGTTAAATCGTTATTAAACAAGACACATACTGCAAACATTTCTTGGAAGGGAGCAACGTGAACGAGCCGTGGGCTGCCTGAAGAGCCCCAGATGTAAACCATTACATTATCCGAGAATTAAAGTGTTTTCACATTTCCAGTTTCACCCATCGGGAAGGCATTTGATTTGAAAGTGTAATTGGCTGATGTCATTTTTGGGGAAACACACAGCGTGCTGTGGGAGTATTAAGTCGCCGAAAAGAATGTATGGGGCGCGTGGCCTCCTTGCCTCTTTGCAGGTTTCTGGAACATGGGGTGAAGTCCGCACTATCTATGGGCATCCACAGTTGTGTGGATACCCCACCCACCAGAGGCTCCAGAATGATTTACCCACCAGAAGCTCCAGCATGATCCACCCCCCAGAAGCTCCAGCATGATCCACCCACCAGAAGCTCCACCATGGTCCACCCACCAGAAGCTCCAGCATAATTTACCCCCCAGAAGCTCCACTATGGTCCACCCACCAGAAGCTCCAGCATGGTCCACCCATCAGAAGCTCCACTATGGTCCACCCACCAGAAGCTCCAGCATAATTTACCCCCCAGAAGCTCCCACCATGGTCTACTCACCAGAAGCTCCAGCATGGTCCATCCACCAGAAGCTCCACCATAGTCCACCCACCAGAAGCTCCAGCATAATTTACCCCCCAGAAGCTCCACCATGGTCCACCCACCAGAAGCTCCAGCATAATTTACCCCCCAGAAGCTCCACCATGGTCCACCCATCAGAAGCTCCACCATGGTCCACCCACCAGAAGCTTCAGCATGGTCCACCCATCAGAAGCTCCACTATGGTCCACCCACCAGAAGCTCCAGCATAATTTACCCCCCAGAATCTCCCACCATGGTCTACTCACCAGAAGCTCCAGCATGATCCATCCACCAGAAGCTCCACCATAGTCCACCTACCAGAAGCTCCAGCATGATTTATCCACCAGAGGGTCCAGCATGATTTACCCACCAGAGGCTCCAGCATGATTTACCCACCAGAAGCTCCAGCATGGTTCACCCACCAGAAGCTCCACCATGGTCCACCCACCAGAAGCTTCAGCATTATTTAGCCACCAGAAGCCCCAGCATGGTCCACCCACCAGAAGCTCCAGCATGATTTACCCACCAGAAGCTCCAGCATAATTTACCCACCAGAAGCTCCACCCTGGTCTACTCACCAGAAGCTCCAGCATTATTTACCCACCAGAAGCTCCACCAGGTCTACCCACCAGAAGCTCCAGCATGGTCCACCCACCAGAAGCTCCAGCGTCTTCTAGAAAGCTGATGCTGCATGCCGTGTTTGCTTTCTTTTTCTGGGAGGTGGAGGTTGCAGTGAGCCAAGATTGCACCACTGTACTCTGGCCTGAGTGACAGAGGCAGAGACTCTGTCTCAAACAAACAAACAAACACAACAAAAACAAACAAACAAACCAAAAACCAAAAACACTTTTATTTTAGGTCCAGGGGTACCTGTGTGGGTTTGTTATATAGGTAAACTTGTGTCATAGGAGTTTGTTGTACAGATTATTTTGTCACCCAGGTACTAAGCTTTGTACCCAGTAAGTTATTTTTTCTGATCCTTTCCCTTCTCCCAACTTGCACCCTTAAAGAAAATGTGCCACATATGCGTGGAATACTATGCAGCCATAAAAAAGGATGAGCTCATATCCTTTGCAGGAACACAGCTGGAGCTATGGTATGCTTAGCAAACCAATGCAGGAACAGAAAACTAAATACCACATGTTTTCATTTAAAAGTGGGAGCCAGCCGGGCATGGTGGCTCACACCTGTAATTCCATCACATTGGGAGGCCAAGGTGGGTGGATCACTTAAGGTCAGGAGCTTGAGACCAGCCTGGCCAACATGATGAAACCTCATTTCTACTAAAAATACAAAAATTGGCTGGGCCTGGTGTCGCGTGCCTGTAATCCTAGACACTCGGGGGGCGCTGAGGCAGGATAATCACTTGAACCCGAGTGGTAAAAGTTGCAGTGAGCTGAGATCATGCCACTGTACTCCATCCTGGGTGGCAGAGTGGGACTGTGTCTCAAAATAAATAAATAAATTTAAAAATAAAGAATCTATCATGAAAGAGAGTTACCGGCCAGGCACAGTGGCTTACACCTGTAATCCCAGCACTTTGGGAAGCCGAGGTAGGCAGATCACCTGAGGACAGGAGTTCTAGACCAGCCTGACCAACATGATGAAACCCCGTCTCTACTAAAATTACAAAAGTTAGCCGGGCATGGTGGTGGACACCTGTAATCCCAGCTACTCTGGAGGCTGAGGCAGGAGAATCGCTTGAACCCAGGAGGCAGAGTCTGCAGTGAGCCGAGATCACGCCACTGCAGTCCAGCCTGGGTGACAGAGTGAGACTCTGTCTCAAAAAAAAATTAATTAATTAAAAATAAAAGTGAGAGCTAAATGATGAGAACATATGGACAAGAGACACTGATTTTTTTTTTCCTGGTGTTACCCGCATCACGAAGAATATTGTTTCTTCACCCCACTGATGCTTGGAACCACCTGTCAAGCAGTTTTCTCATATTGTTTTATTTAAATAGAAGGAAGAAGGGAAGACCCTGACCCTCCAGTGTACCTGGGGAGGAAAGAAGTAATCTATGTAACAGGAATGGGGAGAGAGAGCAGGTAGGTAGAGAGCTGAGTGTTTTTCCTCCTTCAGAGCCAGTGGTCATCCGACTGACTGTGACATGGTGTGGTTCCTTCCTCTTACACTTGTAGAGCTGACTGTTTTATACTTGTAGAGCTGACTGTTTTTTTGTTATTTTGCTTTTTTTTTTTTTTTTTTTTTTTTTGGAGATGGAGTTTCACTCTGTCACACAGGCTGGAGCGATCTCTGATCACTGCAACCTCCACCTCCCGGGTTCAAGCAATTCTCCTGCCTCAGCCTCCCAAGTAATTGGGATTACAGGCACACACCACCATCCCTGGTTAATTTTTGTATTTTTGGTAGAGACAGGGTTTCACCATGTTGGGCAGGCTGGTCTCGATCTCCTGACCTCATGATCTACCCGCCTTGGCCTCCCAAAGTGCTGGGATTACAGGCATGAGCCACTGTGCCTGCCTAGTTGACTGTTTTTGTAATCAAGAAACCTTGTGATATATAAACAGCCACTTTCCCCCCCCCAAAAAAAAATCACCAGAATATCTCCAGTATTGACAAACTGTGGGGTGTTGAGAGAATTCGAGATTGTCTTAGCAGCCTGGGACCTTTCCGTAGGCCTGAACAGAACAGTGGACAATGTTCTCATTGTTGAATCGGAGGACATGCTGCTATTTACAACAGCAAAGACTTGGAACCAACCCAAATGCCCATCAGTGATAGACTGAATAAAGTAAATGTGGCACATAGACACCATGGAATACTATGCAGCCGTAAAAAAGGATGTGTTCATGTCCTTTGCAGGGACATGGATGAAGCTGGAAGCCATCATTTTCAGCAAACTAACACAGGTACAGAAAACCAAACACCACATGTTCTCACTCATAAGAGGGAGTTGAACAGTGAGAACACATGGACACAGAGAGGGGAACATCACACACCAGGGCCTGTCTGGGGGTTGGGGGAAAGGTGAGGGAGAGCATTAGGACAAGTACATAAAGCATGCAGGGCTTAAAACCTAGGTGATGGGTTGATGGGTGCAGCAAACCACCATGGCACATGTATACCTATGTAACAAACCTGCATGTTCTGCACGTGTATCCCATAACTTGAAACATTCTGCACATGTATCCCATAACTTGAAGTGAAGAAGGAGAAGGAGAAGGAAAACAAGAAGGAGAAGTAAGAAGAAGAAGAAGAAGAAGAAGAAGAAGAAGAAGAAGAAGAAGAAGAAGAAGAAGAAGAAGAAGAAGAAAAGGAAGAAGAAGAAGAAGAAAAAGAAGAAGAAGAGGAGGAGGAGGAGGAGAAGGAGGAGGAAGGGGAAGGGGAAGGGGAAGTGGAAGGGGATGGGGAAGGGGAAAAGGGAGAAGGAGAGGAGGAAGAAGAGGAAGAGGGAGAAGAGGGAGAAGGAGAAGAAGGAGAAGAAGCAGAGGAGGGAGAGGAGGAAGAGGAAGAAGAGGAAGAAGAAGGAGAAGGAGAAGGAGAAAAGAAGGAGGAGGAGGAGCGGGAGGAGCAGGAGGAGCGGGAGGAGAAGAAGAAAGAGGGCGTGCTCACATGGAAATTTGCTTCTGGCACCCAATGATTAAAATGCACGCAAAATCTGCAATCACAGAGAGGGTGGTGATGATGGTTTTTAAACATGTCATTCGTTTGGAAGAAAACACTCATGTCCTTACTTTTCTGGATGTAATGCCAAGTACCCACGCTTCCTGTACAGACAGAACTTCATTTACTATTTATTCAGTTCCCTCAAAGAGCAGGGGGAAATAGTTCCCTTTTCTATTTTGGGGGGAAATGGGTTATTATTCATGGGGGTTTTATTAAGAGAATTGTAAATGATTTCTTCCCTGTCATCTGTCCAAACAGCTCAAGGGGGAATTTTATTAGAACCAAAGCATGTATTAAAAAGAGTCTCGGCCGGGCACGGTGGCTCACATCTGTAATCCCAGCACTTTGGGAGGCCGAGGTGGGTGGATTACCTGAGGTCAGGAGTTCAAGGCCAGCCTGGCCAAGAAGGTGAAATCCTGTCTCTACTAAAAATACAAAAATTAGCCAGCCACGGTGGCAGGTGCCTGTAATTCCATCTACTTGGGAGGCTGAGGCAGGAGAATTGCTTGAACCCGGGAGGCGGAGGTTGCAGTGAACCGAGATCACGCCACTGCACTACAGCCAGGGTGACAGAGTGAGACTCTGTCTAAAAAAAAAAAAAAAAAAAAAAAAAAAAAAAAGAGTCTCTAAAATCTTCATTGAAAATTCATTTAGTCTCAAGACATCATTTATTTTGCAAATGTATTCTTCACGGGAGGCACGTGAATTTGTAACATGATATAGCAATTTTGAAATTTACTTTTAAAAAGCTTTAAATAAGAAGGAAATATTTTCTAGGTAAATTTAATTGTATATAGAAGACCTAATGGGTGGGAGTCTGCCTTGAAAGCAGGAGACACGTCAATAAATAAGAATAAACAATTAGAATAAGAAAGAGTAACAAAGACACTGCCCTCTAAAGCTTCCATCCTGCTTGGAGGTACCAAGAGAAAGCAGAGAATCTTGGCCAAATACAATCTCGGGTAATGCAGTCAGGGAGCTGCCTGGTGAGTGTTGGAGGCCCCATAGGAATGCTGAGGAAGAAGAAGTTGAGGAAGAAGCAGCTTGTTACTAGGAGAATTCTAAGAATAAGAAAGGAGGAAGACAAAGTGATTTCACCAAAGATGTCCAAGTTCTAATTATCTAGGGGTAGACAGAATAATGGCCCCAAAGATATCCATGTCCTAATCCCCATGTGGGAGACAGAATAATGGCCCTAAAAATGTTACCAACATCCTATTCCCCATGTGGTAGACAGAATAATGTCCCCAGAGATGTCCACATCCTAATCCTCATGTGGGAGACAGAATAATGGCCCTAAAGATGTTACCAACATCCTATTCCCCATGTGGTAGACAGAATAATGGCCCTAAAGATGTCCACATCCTAATCCCCGTGAGGTAGACAGTATAATGGCCCTAAAGATGTCCACATTCTAATCCCATGGGGTAGGCCGAATAATGGATTCCAAGACGTCCACTTCCTAATCCTCATGTGGTAGACAGAATAATGGTCCCAAAGATGCCCACATCCTTATCTTCATGTAGTAGACAGCATGATAGCATGAAAGATATCCACATCCTCATCCTCATGTAGTAGAATAATGGCCCCAAACAACGTCTATGTCCTAATTCTCATGCAGCAGACAGAATAATGACCTCAAAGATGTCCACGTCCTAATCCCCATGTGGTAGACAGAATAATGGTCCCAAAGATGCCCATGTCCTAATCCTCATGTGGTACAGAGAATAATGGTCCCAAAGACGTCCATGTCCTAATACTAGGTAGTAGACAGAATAATGGCCCCAAGGATGTCTACATCCTAATCCCCATGTGGTTGACAGAGTAAGCGCCCCCTGCCCCCCCTCAAAAAAAAACATCCACATCCTAATTCCAGAAATCTGTAAAAACCTTTCATGGCTAAAAAGATTTTGCAGATGTGATTAGTTTAAGAATCATGAGATGAAATGACCCTGGATTATCTAGGTGGGTCTAAGGTCATCACAGGATCTTTGTAAGAGGCAGGCAGGAGTGCCAGAGCCAGAGGAGGTGTTGTTAGGACAAAAGCAAAGGTCAGAGTCACAGAAAGATTAGAAGATGCTGCAGTACTGGCTTCGAAGATGGAGGAAGGGTCCAGGAGCCAAGGAATATTCTAGAAACATGCCTCTAGAAGTAGGAAATGGCAAAGAAACTGATTCTCCCCCAGAACTTGCATCAAGAGGGAAGTTTTGCTGACACCTTGGTTTTAGGCCAGTGAGACCTAGAGTGGGCTTCAAACCTACAACACTGTAAGACAATACATTTGTGTTGCTTTAAGCCAATACGAACATGATCATTGGTGATGGCGGCCACAGGACACTCACAGAAGGAGTAATGTGCTGGAGGTCTGCAACAGGAATGAATTTGGCATGACTGGGGGGACGCCCAAGGAGGTAGCAAAGAAGAACCAGCAAAGGCTAAATGTGACTCCTTGTTTTAGAAGAACCCTCTTCAGAAGAAGAATCAATAAAGCCAAGGCTGAACTCAACTTTGTTTTATTTTCTCCCCCAGACATAATTTACATTCTTTTATTGGGACCGCAGAGTCCCAATTGGAGCAAGTTGCCAGGGACAGAGTTACAAAGAAGCCATAGGGAAGTAGTCAGATTGTATTCCAACTTTGATGTGAAATTATTGGAGGGTTTTGAGTGGCATGAGGGATGTCTTAGTCAGCTTGGGTTGCCATAACAAAAATCATAGACTGGGTGGCTTAAGTAACAGCCATTGATTTCTCATAGTTCTGGAGATGGGAAAGTCCGAGTTCGAGGCATGGCAGATTTATTGGCTGGAGGGGGTTCTCTTGCTGGTTCACAGATGGTGCCTTCAGAGAGAGAAAGAGATAGAGAGAGAGCTTTTGTGTCTCTTGCTCTTCTTATAAGGATACTAATCCCATCATGAAGGTCCCATCCTCATGACCTCATCTAAACCTCATCACCTCCAGAGACTTCACCTCCTAATATCATCCCATTGGGGATTAGGGCTTCAGTATGGTGCATTTTGGAGGGACATAACCAGTAGGGGTTAGGCCTTCAACATACAAATTTTGGGAAACTGCTATTTAGTCAATAGGAAGGGATGAGGGCCACAAGCTAAAAATCATCTCCATTTTAAAAAGATTTCTCTGCTTAAGAATAATTCCAGGATCAAAGCAGAAACCAGGACAGAAGCCAAAAGATCAATCAAGAGGATGTGGCCATGATCCAGATGACATACGTCATGCATCAGGGCGAAGAAGGCAAAGGCAGGAAAATCTGATCCATTTTGACAAATGTTTGAGGTCATTCAAGAGACTTGCCAATGAATTGTATAAGGGGGAGATGAGAGAAAGGAGAGTTCAAAGTTTCCAAAATCTTCTGCCAAAACACTTGTCAGGGGTGGTGGTGAATCCAGTGAAGGCTGTCCAGATGGTTTGGGATGGGTTAACTTGAAAACCCTAATCATTTTCCTGAGCTGAGAAGTTGAGGATACAGTTACATGCTGAATCTGAAATAGAGAAAAGATGTCAAATCCAGAGATAGGAATTTAGGATTTTGAGTGGATGTGTCAAGTCTTGGAGCTGAGTGAGATCCCCCGGAGAGAGAAGGAAGCTTATGTTTGAGCCCTAGTTCAGCCCAACATTTAGAAAAACCCCTTTGGGAAGAGGAGAAGAACTAGCAAAGGCTAAATGTGACTCCTTGTTTTAGAAGAACCCCCTTCAGAAGAAGAATCAATAAAGCAAAGGCTGAACTCAACTTTGTCTTCTTTTCTCCCCCAGACATAATTTATGTTCTTTTATTGGGAGTTTGTTTCCCACTCAACTTTTCAGGTTAGAGCCCTGAAGTCACGTTTGATTCTTCCCTCAACATCAAAGAGACACAACAGTTTGCTTCTGTGGTGACTGTTATTTTTGTTTGTTTGTTTCTTTGTGTGTGTGTGTGTTATTTTAATTTGTTTGTTTGAGACAATGTCTCGCTCTGTCACCTGGGCTGGAGTGCAGTGGCACAATCTCAGCTCACTGCAATCTCCACCACCTGGGCTTAAGTGATCCTCCCACCTCATCTTCCCTAGTAGCTAGGACCACAGGCACACACCACCACTCTTGTCTATTTTTTTATTTTTAATAGAGGTGGGGTCTCGCCATGTTGCCCAGGCTGGTCTTGAACTCCTGAGCTCAAGTGATCTGCCTGTCTTGCCCTCTCAAACTGCTGGGATTACAGGTGTGAGCCATGGTGCCCAGCCTTACTGGTGACTTTGAATGCCTTCTCACTTCTTCCTTCCCACTCCATGCTCCAGGTTCAAAGATTCCATTACCACCATCCATCCCATGCCAGAGGCTCCAGGCTTCCACCTTCAGTGCCATCCCTTCTGATCCATCCTATGCATGGGTTCCAAGGTAATAGGTCTAAACACATTTAGACCTATTTAATATGTATAAGCATAAATGTGGACATGACTGGTCACACAATGTTGGTGGTTTCTCATCAACTGCAGAGAACAGTTCAGGATCCTTACCTAAGTGTCTGAGATCTTTCATAAATTCACACATGGAAAGATGTGGCCTCTCTGTCTGTACTTCATCACCTCACACCCAACACCTCAATCTCTGCCTCCATCATCAATTTCCTAGTTCCCTGACTTTGCCTGCCCAGCCCTGAGTCATTGTAACATCTGATTCATCTTTTAAAGTTTAACAACAACAACAACAACAACAAAATCATCTGTTCTGAGAAGCCAGCCTTTCTCAGGTGCAGAGATTATCCCAGAGATAGACATATGGTGCAAGACAGGCTAATTAACCCTTCCCTTGAATTTGATCAGCAAAGACTGAGAGAAGGTGGGAGAAGCTCAGACTCTAAATCTATAGCCTCAGCAGCTGGATTTTTTTTTCCATCCTATCTTCCAAGACTTTTTCCAAGAGAATCTAGTCTGGAACACAGAGAGAAGCAGAGAGTTGAGAGAGTGACCAGAACTTGGGGGATCCCTGAGAAGCTGTCCACCTCTACTTTTTCAGACTGTTTTTCCTAGACTCCCTTGCAGCTCTGTGTGACAGTATGATGAACTTTGAGCTCATGGGAAGTAAGTAGGAATGTATTAAGACCGTAAAAATCTCCTTAATTTCTTAAAAAAGTGAACGTGAACTCTTCCCTCTCCTTTTGCTGCTAGCTGCAATGGAGATGTGAGGGCTGGAGACCATGTCACCATATTGAACCATGAGTAGAAAGTCACATACTAAAATGGTGGAGGCACAACATGGAGGATGTCTGACATCTTGAATCTGTACAACAACTTGGACCCCTTGTTCTGGCCTCCTATCATATCAGAGAGAAGCAAACTTCCATCTTATTGAAGTCATGATTATTTGCTTATTTCCATACATTTCTTTATGCAGTTATATGATATTTATTCCATCTATCTATCTATTATCTATCTATCATCTATCCTGTCTATCTATCCATCTATCCATCTACCCATCATCTATCCTATCTATCTATCTATCTATCTATCTATCTATCTATCTATCATCCATCTTATTCTATCTATCTATCTATCATCCATCTTATTCTATCTATCTATCTATCTATCTATCATCCATCTTATTCTATCTATCTATCTATCATCCATCTTATTCTATCTATCTATCATCCATCTTATTCTATCTATCTATCATCCATCTTATTCTATCTATCTATCCATCCTATGTATCTATTATGTATCTATCCATCTTATCTATCTACCTATCATTTATCTATCCTGTGTATCAATGTATCTATTATGTATCTATCTGTCCTAGTTATCTATCAATTACGTATCTATCCATCTTATTTATCTATCTACCTATTTTATGTATCTATTAAATAACTACATATCTATATATATTATGTATCATCTAGCTATCTATTTATCTATCTATCCTATGTATTTATCTATCATCTATTTATTCTATCTATATCTATTTTTTCTCTATCTATGTCTCTATCTATCTATCTATCTATCTATCTATCTATCTATCTCTCTATCTAGAGATTTCTTAAGTCCTTGGGAATCCTGAGGTCAGCTCCATCGTAGGATCTCACAGTTATATTAGGTCAACAATCTTCTTTCTTTGCCTAACTTAGTCTGAGTTGTGTTTCAGTTGCTGTTGATTGGAACAAACCTCAAAAAGAAATTGGGACTCTTATAACGTTGCATTTATGAGTGGCTGACTTGTGATGCTGCCTTCCTTGTCTCTGGATCCTGAGCCCTGCAACCAACCCAGTTCCACAGCCTGAGTATCTAACCGTTTCCCTGGCACTCAGTAACATTTGAACTGAAATGCCATTTTCTTGTTGGGATCATTATAATACTTTGGAAAACTGCCTCAGAATTAATGTGGTTATCCTTTGTATCTGTAAAATAAACACACATTTCTTTAGAAGGAGAAACTAAAGTGTCACAAAGACCTTCAGGGTCTGTTTTTCTTACACCAGAAGTCACACTCAGGCCAAGTAACATGTTCTGGTTCTGGCCCTTAGTGCTCCTGGTTGGACTAATGCCTGGGCCTCCCCCAAGGATTTCCTTCCCCATCTCTGCCTATTTTAGCCTCTCCCCAGGAGAAGAGGACATTGCTTTCATATTCTAACACCTTACCTGAAAATCCCACATGTCTCTAAAATAAAGATGGAGGAAGCCCCTCCATTATTTATTTATTTATTTATTTATGTTTTTGAAACAGAGTCTCGCTCTGTCACCCAGGCTGGAGTGCAGTGGGTCCATCTCGGCTCACTGCAAGCTCCGCCTCCCGGGTTCACACCATTCTCCTGCCTCAGGCTCCCGAGTAGCTGGGACTACAGGTGCCCGCCACCATGCCTGGCTAATTTTTTTGTATTTTTAGGAGAGATGGGGTTTCACTGTGTTAGCCAGGATGGCCTCGATCTCCTGACGTCGTGATCTGCCCGCCTCAGCCTCCCAAAGTGCTGGGATTACAGGTGTGAGCCACCGCACCCGGCCAAAGCCCCCTCATTATTAACCCCAAGCCATCCTTTTACGCATTGGATCCAGTGGGATCTCACATGGCTTTTGCCAACCACCCCCATCACTATACCTGGCAAGTGCTCAGAGTTCACCCACAACTCAAAACGTATTTGCTATTTCTGGCCTCGATATAAATCCTAAATTTCATGGCACAGCATATTACTCACTCTGGGGCCCAACCCAGTCTTGCCTTTTCAACAATACCACATCTGAAAACCATGCCGAAACCTCTTCTCCTTGGATTACCTCGGGGTCACCCTCCTCGGCCACTATTTTGCATTTCTACCTGCTCATTCATTAAATAATTCAAAAACGTTGACTGGGCATTTATTGAGTACAATTTATGGAGTATCTACAAGAGGAAAATATCATGCTGAACAAAACAGGAGCATGCTTGAGCTCATCCATCTCATGTGTTGGTGAAGAACAACAGTGAGAGGTAAAATTTAAAGTTTATTCCCCGGTAACAGATGATATGAAGGAATATAAGTCGGGAAGAAGATTGGAGGTTGGTGAGGTGAGTAGCCCCCTCACTCAATGTACATTTGGTCATATTGATCCCCCCAAAACACCCATTCTTAGTGATGTCATCTCTCCCCGTCTATCCATAACCCCCTCAACTCTTACCCCATCCATGAAGCCATCCTGGTCCATGGTCAACCTAGTCAACACCAATACTGTCAGAAAAGGCAATGATCCCCTTAGACAAGGGAAACTGATGTGTCTGTATTTTGACATGGAATTCTGTCTATATTGGACACACAGGAGCTGCAGCCCTGCTGCCCTCCCTATGTGCTTGTTCAAAGCCTGGCTGGTCTTTCTAGCAGGTTCCTCATGAAAGCAGGACTCATTTCAAGGTCTTCCCACTTTAGACAATGACAAATTGCTCCTGCTTCCACTTGAGCTCCTTAATGAGGAGAGAGAGAGCCTCTGGGGCTCCCTCTACCACTTGCCAGATGCAAACGCATAAACGAGGGTTGAATATTTATGGCATAAAGAGTGGGTGTTTACAAAAACAAATTTGCAATAATGTGTCTTATGGAGAATATGGATAGAAAAGTCAAAGCCTTCTAAAGCTGGCAAGCATTCCTTCCCCTCCTAAAGCCTCTTTAATTAATTTAAAGACTTTCTCATTGAAAAGCACAAATGAAGATCCTTATTAATCAGGGAAGCTTTCAGGCTGCTATCAATCATCTCTTATGTAAACTACTGTCTCATCACCCAAACTAGGTGTTTGATTATACTGATATGATTTATTTATCTAAATGGATCTATTTGTTCTTGAAACCCATGCCAAGTGACTGGAAGTCTTGCAGTAAACAACTCTCTGATGACTAGAGGTGCAAGGCAGCAGGAGTCCCTCTCTCCACATCTTTTCTTGTTGCTTAATCTCAGAAATGGGTGTTAAGGGGATTCCAGGGGACTCCAGATGATAGAATACAACAGAGTGGGCCTAGATGCTCTACCATATTGCACTATCATTCAACACAGAAATCCACACACCCCAGGATGGAATGCCCACCATTGGTGTACACTGGGAGATCCCGCATCTCTTAAAGGGTGGCTTTGAAGCCTGTATAATCCACATTGGCCAGTGGCAAAAAATAAATAAAATCAATAAAAAGAAGTGTACAAACATTTTCACAGGGAAGAGATGACGTCATGAAGACTCAGCCCCATGACTCTATGCCTCCCCTGACCCATTTTAAGACCATCCTTATAAGCCAAGGTGTATGAGTACATTCAGCCTCTGGTGCACCCAATCTCTAATAGGGAAGCCCATCATTTTGATGAATGATGACTATTTATTATCCATCTCTAAAAAGAAAACAAGTTGAGATTTATTAGCCCAGATGCAAGAAAGGAATTGAAGCAGACAACTCTCCTTGCTTCTCTGTCTAGACAGGGGGCAGTGGCTGACATTTTTGATACCCCTCCCTGCCTCACTTTTATACCCAGCTCATGTATCCTGCAGCTTCAGATTCATTGGGTTTGATAGCATCTTTGCCTGCTGAGTAGGGCCAGCCGTCCATTGTTAAATACGAATACTTCTGTTCTTCAACAAACCACTAATGAAGACCACCAGAGAATCATGAGGTGCCCCAGGGATTCTCTAGTTTCTACCCATAAGCTGCTGACCCCGTTGTATTATGTTCCCCTGACTTCTTTTGAGGTGAGGGTATCTAAGTTTTGGTCTTTGCCCTGCACCTATCTGAAGACCCTGCAGAAGAGTCTAGCTCAGGGCTTCCTCATTTCAGCACCATTCACATTGGCAGTGTCTCTGTCAGCACGTGCTGCTATAACAAAATACCACAGACTGGGAGGCTTCAACCACCAACATTTATTTCTCACAATTTGGGAGACTGGAAATCAGAGGTTGGAAAGCTAGTATGGTTGGGTTCCTGGTTTGCATGTGGCTACTTTCTAATTGTATCTTCACATGATACAGGGGGAGAGAGAGAGACAGAGAGGGAGAAAACACACCACCCTGGTCTCTTCTTATAAGGGCAGTAATTCTATTAAGACGATCCAACTATCATAACATCATCTAACCCTAATTATGTCCCCAAAGCCACACCTTCTAATATCATCACTCTGGTGATTAGATCTTCATCCCATAAATTTGGGGTGAACACAGCATTCCGTTCATAACAGGATGGGATGATTATTTGTTGTGTAGCTGTCTTGTGCTTTGCAGAATGTTTAGCAACATCTCCGGTATCAACCCCCAGAGGTCAATAACTTGCCTTCTTCTGTCATGACAACCAACAGTGTCTCCAAACATGGCCAAATGCCCCTGGTGGGGGCACAATTACCTCTGGTTTAGATTAAGGCTGAACAAACTTGACTTCTTTGCTCCTTACACTTGACAGGAAGGGCTCCATGAAGAACCATAGGCTCTTCATATGGTGCTGTCTGTGTCTCTTCTTGTTCTTTTCAGAGCCATTTTGTGGATTTGGAACCTGCTGGGCATGGTGGCTCAAGCCTGTAATCCCAGCACTTTGGGAGGCCGAAGCTGGCAGATCCTTTGAGGTCAGGGGTTTGAGACCAGCCTGGCTAACATGGCCAAATCCCGTCTCTACTAAAAATACAAAAGTTAGCCGGGTGTGGTGGTGTGTGCCTGTCATCCCAGCTACTTGGGAAGTGGAGGCAGGAGAATCACTTGAACCCAGGAGGTGGAGGTGGCAGTGAGCCAAGATCACACCACTGCAGTCCAGCCTGGGCAACAGAGACTCTGTCTCAAAAAAAAAAAAGGAACTTGAGGAGTCAAACAGAGGAAGGAGGACCCAGGTCAGGTGCAGACACAAGCTTCTGGGGCGGCCTGGAAACATCAGAAGCTCTGTCTAAAATCAAATCACAAGGCAGTGTCGGGAGCCCACTGAAGTGTAACAGTGAGCTCCAAGAGTATTTGTTAATGCTGTAACAAGCATACCCCCTTTCAAAAGTCTCATATGGGAAGGAGTCCCATGACTTAAAATACCCACGGCATGAGTCATGCCATCGTGTGGTTCTGGAATTATCGTACAGTGGAAGGCCACCATTCTCCCCACAGAGAACCGACTTCTCATCATAGCCTCTCAGACCTCATGGTAAACACACAGTCAAGGACCGTGGCTGGGAACATTTCCTCAAGGGAAAGTTATCAGTCGTGGAGTCTTTTCTGTCTCCAAGGAAGAAACTCAGGGCAGAACGTAGGTCGTCTTTGATGCAGGGAACACAAAGGATGCTCAAGGCAATGAGGTGATATCAGCCAACGTGGAGAGGGTATATCCTCAAGCGCTGTAGTGATTCATACGTCATCTCTGCCTTCTCTTCTGTGTATGGCACAGATTGTCATCGCTTGGAAACCTTATTCTAAAATTGCCTGATTCCGGCCGGGCGCAGTGGCTCATGCCTGTAATCCCAGCACTTTGGGAGGCCGAGGCGGGTGGATCACGAGGTCAGGAGATCGAGACCATCCTGGCTAACACGGTGAAACCCCGTCTCTACTAAAAACACAAAAAATTAGCCGGGTGTGATTGTAGGCGCCTGTCGTCCCAGCTACTGGGGAGGCTGAGACAGGAGAATGGCGTGAACCCGGGAGGCGGAGGTTGTAGTGAGCCGAGATTGCGACACTGCACTCCAGCCTGGGCGCCAGAGCAAGACTCCGTCTTAAAAAAATAAAATAATAAAATAAAATAAAATAAAATAAAATAAAATAAAATAAAATAAAATTAAAATAAAATAAAATAAAAATAAAAAATAAATAAAATTGCCTGATACCTATGTTTCTGCAGCCACGAGGGCTTGCCCATCAAAGACAGCATCTCTCAGCAGGTTAGAGTATTTTCTTCCGGAAGGCCAAATGCAGTGGCTCATGCCTGTCATCCCAGCCGTTTGGAAGCCAAGCTGGGAGGGTGCTTGAGCCCAGGAGTTCCAGAGAAGCCTGGTCAACATACAGAGATCCTGTCTCTGCAAAAAGTTAAAACGTTAACCAGGCATGGGGGTGCACAAGCGTAGTTCCAGCTACTCAGGAGGCTGAGGCAGGAGCATCACTTGAGCCCAGGAGTTGGAGGCTATAGTGAGCCGTGATTATGCCTCTGCACTCCAGCCTGGGTGACAGAGCCAGACCCTGTCTCTCTGTCTCTCCCTCTGAAAAAAAAAAAGAATATTTCCTTCCAAAATTGAAGACCTGAGCTTCCCCGTGACATCACCTCCAGAGAAGTTTCTTTTCTTTTTTTCTTTTCTTTCCTTTTTTTTTTTTTTGAGATGGAGTCTCGCTCTTGTCTAGGCTGGAGTGCAGTGGCACGACCTCGGCTCACAGCAGCCTCCCAGGTTCATCTGATTCTCAGCCTCCTGAGTAGCTGGAATTAAGACATGTGCCACTGTGCCTGGCTAATTTTTGTACTTTTAGTAGAGACGGAGTTTTGCCATGTTGTCCAGGCTGGTCTCAAACTACCGACCTCAGGTGATCTGCGTGTCTCGGCCTCCCAAAGTGTTGGGCTTACAGCTGGAAGTTTCTTTAAAAATGTAAATGTCCCAGGCCGGGCGCAGTGGCTCACGCCTGTAATCCCAGCACTTTGGGAGGCCGAGGCGGGAGGATCACGAGGTCAGGACATCGAGACCATCCTGGCTAACACGGTGAAACCCCATCTCTAGTAAAAATACAAAAATTAGCCAGGCGTGGTGGCAGGTGCCTGTAGTCCCAGCTACTCGGGAGGCTGAGGCAGGAGAATGGCGTGAACCTGGGAGGCGGAGGTTGCAGTGAGCCGAGATTACACCACTGCACTCCAGCCTGGGTGACAGAGCGAGACTCCGTCTCAAACAAACAAACAAACAAAAATGTAAATGTCCCTAACATTGAGATCTCTGCTTCAGATTTTGTGATTATTCAGAAAAGGTGAGATTGCGTTTTCCTCTTGTCCTATGAAAAAGCATGTGTGTTTTTGGTGAATGTCTATGTAGACAGTTTTCCAGAAAACAAATTATCTGCACTTAGAAGGGAAAAGTTATTTAAAATATATATGATAATTGTACGTCTGCTGTCATGTATGTGGCAGAAATTCCACATGGTAAATTTTTACAAATTATTAGATCAAATGACTGTATCTACTAAAAACATTTTTTTTTTTTTGAGACGGAGTCTTGTTCTGTCTCCCAGGCTGGAGTGCAGTGGAGAGATTTCAGCTCACTGCAACCTCCGCCTCCTGGGTTTAAGCAATTCTCCTGCCTCAGCCTCTCAAGTAGGTGGGACTACAGGCATGTGCCACTACGCCCAGCTAATTTTGTATTTTTAGTAGAGACAGGATTTTTCCATGTTGTTCAGGCTGGTCTCAAACTCCCGACCTCAGGTGATTCGCCCGTCTTGGCCTCCCAATTTTTTTTCTTTTTTTTTTTGAGATGGAGTTTTGCTCCGTCGCCCAGGCTGGAGTGCAGGGGTGCGATCTCGGCTCACTGCAACATCCGCCTCCCGGGTTCAAGCAATGCTCCTGCCTCAGCCTCCAGAGTAGCTGGGATTACAGGCATGTGCCACTGCACCCAGCTACTTTTTGTATTTTTAGTAGAGACGGGTTTTCAACATGTTGGCCAGGCTGGTCTCGAACCGCTGACCTCAGGTGATCCGCCCACCTCTGCCTCCCAAAGTGCTGGGATGACAGGCGTAAGCCACCGCACCCGGCCTGTTTTTTTTCCTAAAAGATCTTCTTCTCCAGTGTTTCATAAATTCAAAGTACTTATTTTCTGTGGTTAGTCTGTGTCATGAGACAGTCTCGCACCTGCTCGAATTGCGGTACCTAGAAACTAAACAACTTACCTATTTTTCACCCCAAACCATCTAAAGTTTAAGGTGACCTCCATAAAACGTGTCTTTTTTTTTTTCTTTTCTGAGCACCATCTTCCAGTTTCTCAAGTCATCTCTCTTTGTTGAATGTCAAACGGGATCCCAAAGTAATGCGTAGACTTTGTCCCGGCCATCGACCGCGGTCTGTGAAATAACTTGCGTGTGTTATGTTTTATTTTTATTTTTTTAATACCTCTCTGGGGAGCTGCGTGATCATTTAATTATTTATAGATTAAAGAGCATCGTCCCTAATTAACACTGCTCTACTTGTCGGTGGGCACAGTTTCTCGCTTTGAAGTTTGTCTGATGCTGTATTTTGGGAATTGCATCCACAGTTAGAGTTGGCATAGTTTTGGAATTCAGAACCTGCTTTTCCAAGCAATTATCTGATGGACGGCGATGGCGTCTGTCTGTTATCTGGGTTTGGGCTTCACCGTATCACTTCCTGAGAACCTGTTCTTCTATGTCAGTTCAAATGGATTCCTGATGCAAAGCCTTGTGTTCGCCCACGGCAGAATGTCTACATGAGTCTTTATGCTTCTCACGAAGCACTTTTGTGGAAAAGGGGTGATTACTGTTTGTCTTAGTTCATCTGAATTGCTATGAGAAAAATGTCATACAATTGGCCGGGCGCGGTGGCTCACCCCTGTCATCCCAGCACTTTGGGAGGCCGAGGCGGGCGGATCATGAGGTCAGGAGATCAAGACCATCCTGGCTAACATGGTGAAACCCCGTCTCTACTAAAAATACAAAAAATTAGCCGGGCGTGGTGGCGGGCGCCTGTAGTCCCAGCTACTGGGGAGGCTGAGGCAGGAGAATCGCTTGAACCCGGGAGGTGGAGGTTGCAGTGAGCTGAGATCGCACCACTGCACTCCAGCCTGGGTGACAGAGCGAGACTCCGTCTCAAAAAAAAAGAATAAAAACGACTCACTTGGCTCACTTGGCTCACGTCTGTAATCTCAGAAATCTGGGAGGCCGAGGCAGGTGGATCACCTGAGGTCAGGAGTTCAAGACCAGCCCGGCTAAGATGGCGAAACCCCATATCTACTAAAAATACAAACAATTAGCAGGATGTGGTGGCAGGTGCCTGTAATCCCAGCTACTTGGGAGGCTGAGGCAGGAGAATCACTTGAACCCGGGAAGAGGAGCTTGCAGTGAGCCGAGATCACGCCACTGCACTCCAGCCTGGGTGACAGAGCGAGACTCGGTCTCAGAAAAAAAAAAAAAAAAACGACTCACCAAGTCCATAGGCACCTCAGCCTTCCCTCATTGCAGTGAGAAAGCAGATCTTGCTATGTTTGTAACATGCAGAGGCAATTTTCTGTCCCTTCAATTTGAAGGCAGGATGGCGTTTTCTGCCTTTCACGTTTCCTCCAGGACGCCCCGACTTTACAGACAGCAGAAATTCCAGATACTTTTCTTGTCGTTACCATTTTGTTGGCTGTTGCTGGCGCCTTCCTCCTGTCTGAAGGGAAACTCGAGATCCCGGTACGGTGTGAACCCGGTTCACGCTTTGATTGTGTTTCGGGAGGAAACGCAAGGATTGTCAAGGGTACACCCTGCAGGTCATCACACATCAAAGACAGATTAAGCAGAAGTGAGGGATGCACTGGGCGTGTCTGACAGACGCCCGCAGGCCTCTTGAGTTTCCAGGAAATATTAGACCAGGGTTATGATTTGGAAGAGCGTCCACACCTCACAACAATCCACTAAAATTTCCGTTGCTGGTTATCAAAGAGGGCTGTGGGGTTGCTCACTCCACTCTTATCAGTGTTAACGGGGAGAAGGCTGAGGCTGAGTAGCTCAGATTCTCCAGTGTCTTGGAGGGGGCATGAGGTTCCCATCCACACAGCAGGTCTCGACGTGAAATCAGAAACAGAGGCAGGTGCCCGTGGCTGCACTGGGACCCAGGGACACAGCCCCGGACGGCCGCGCTGCTGGAGAAATCTCCCAGGCACCTGCAACACCATGGGGCCACCCGTCTCTGGAAGACCTGCTCACACCCTGCACAGCTGGGGCCCTCGCATCTATGAGAGCTTGTGTGGGCTCAGGGCACCTGCCTGGAGGTCTTGTCTGGTGTAGCCAGGCCTCCGTCTCTCTCTGTCTTTCCTCCTCTGTTTCTCTCTCTCTCTCCTTTTCTGTCCCTGTTTCTGTCTCTACCTCTTCCTCCCTCTTTCTCTCTCTCTCTCCCTCTCTCTCCCTCTGTCTGTCTCTTTCTCTATCTCTCTGTGTCTCTTTCTCCCCCGTCTATCTCTTGGTCTCTCCCTCCTTCTTTCTCTCTCTGTCTCTTCTTTTCTTTCTGTTCTCTCTCTCTGTCTCTCTCTCTTTCTGTCTGTCTCTCCCTCTGTCTCTCTGTCTCTTTGTGTGTTTCTGTTTCTCCCTCCCTCTTTCTCTGTCTCTCTCTCTCTCTTCCTCTGTCTCTCTGTCTTTGTTTCTTTCTTGTGTGTCTTTGTCTCTCCCTCCCTCTTTCTCTCTCTCTCTTCCTCTGTCTCTCTGTCTTTGTTTCTTTCTCTGTGTGTCTCTCTGTCTCTCCCTCCCTCTTTCTCTCTCTCTCTTCCTCTGTCTCTCTGTCTGTTTCTTTCTCTGTGTGTCTCTGTCTCTCCCTCCCTCTTTCTCTGTCTTTCTCTCTTCCTCTGTCTCTCTGTCTGTTTCTTTCTCTGTGTGTCTCTATCTCTCCCTCCCTTTTTCTCTGTCTCTCCCTCTCCCTCTCTTCCTCTGTCTGTCTGTTTCTTTCTCTGTGTGTCTCTGTCTCTCCCTCCCTCTTTCTCTGTCTCTCCCTCTCTCTCTCTTCCTCTGTCTCTCTGTCTTTGTTTCTTTCTCTCTGTATGTCTCTCTCTCTCTCTTCCTATCTTTCTGTCTCTGTCACTGTCTCTCCCTCTCTTTGTGTCTCTCCCTCCCTCTCTGTCTCTGTTTCTCTCTCCCCCTCTCTCTATGTCTGTCTCTGTCTCTACCTCTTTGACTCTCTCTCTTTGTGTGTGTGTCTCTCTCTCTCCCTCTTTTTTTTTTCTTTGAGATGGAGTCTCCCTCTGCCACCCAGGCTGGAGTGCAGTGGCGCGATCTCGGCTCATTGCAACCTCCGCCTCCCGGGTTCACGCCATTCTCCTGCCTCAGCCTCCCGAGTAGCTGGGACTACAGGCGCCCACCACCATGCCCGGCTAATTTTTTGTATTTTTTTTTTTTAGTAGAGACGGGGTTTCACCATGTTAGTCAGGATGGTCTCGATCTCCTGACCTCGTGATCCGCCCGCCTCGGCCTCCCAAAGTGCTGGGATGACAGGCGTGAGCCACCGCGCCCGGCCTCTCTCCTTCTTTCTATGTATATGTCTGTCTCTCTTTCTCTCTCTGTGTCTCTCTCAGTGTCTCTCTGTCTGTCTTTCTCTCTGTCTCTGTATCTGTCCCTCTGTTTCTGCGTCTCCCTCTTTCTATCACTGTCTCTCTGTGTGTTTCTGTCTCTTCATCTCTGTCTCCCTCTCTCTCTCTGTGTCTGTTTCTGCCTCTCTGTCTCTGTCTCTCTGTCTCCATCTCTTTCTCTCCACCTCCCTGTGAGGTGGGAGCCTCACCCTTAGCCCACTGCCTACCACCCTGGTCCACGCCTTTCCCCCTAACACCAACAGACGTAAAAATCACAGGTCCTTCCAGGACACTGCCTCAAAGTGGCCCCATTTCTCTTCATCAGATCTCTCCCTTCAATGCTAAGAAGTCTGTCTCCAACTCTGTGTTTCTTTCGGAAAAAAAAAAAAAAAAGGAGAGGAAGGCTGGGCGCAGTGGCTCACACCTGTCATCGCAGGACTTTGGGAGGCCGAGGCAGGTGAATCACAAGGTCAGGAGATCGAGACCAGCCTGGCCAGCAGGGTGAAATTCCGTCTCTACTAAAAACACAAAAAATTAGCCAGGCATGGTGGCGGGCGCCTATAATCTCAGCTACTTGGGAGGCTGAGGCAGGAGAATCGCTTGAAACCAGGCGGCAGAGGTTGCGGTGAGCCGAGATCACACCACTGCACTCCAGCCTGGGTGGCAGAGTGAGACTCTGTCTCAAAAAAAAAAAAGGGGGGGGGAATATTCAATTAATAAACAACAGCCTCACATATGCTCGCCACGGGGTTGAAGCAAAGCCTTCTTCCAAAAGCAAAAATTGGGAAAATATGCTACCGACAGCCTGGCTCTAAAGGGAATATTAAAGAGGGACTCCAAAGACAGAAGAGAAGCTGACCCAATGTGACATGAAAATTTAGGAAGGACTCAACAGCAGTGAGAACTCAAGATAATGTCAGTAATTGTAAATATATATTGACATTATAAAACCATCATGTCTTCAGGGATTTAAAACACACAGAGAATTAAAATGCATGACAATGGTGATATCCGAATCAGGAGGAAGTGCATGAATTTAGATGTTACAAGTTTTTTATTTTTATTTTTATTTTTATTATTCTTTTTGAGACAAAGTTTCACTCTTGTCCACCAGGCTGGAGTGCAATGGCACAATCTTAGCTCACTGCAACCTCTGCCTCCTGGGTTCAAGTGATTCTCCTGCCTCAGCCTCTGCAGTACCTGGGATTAAAGGCATGTACCACCACGCCCAGATAATTTTGTATTTTTAGTAGAGACGGGGTTTCTCCATGTGGGTCAGGCTCGTCCCAAACTCCCAAGCTCAGGTGATCCACCCTCCTCCACCTCCCAAAGTGCTGGGATTACAGGTGTGAGCCACCACACCCAGAGAATTTTGTATTTTTAGTAGAGACGTGGTTTCTCCATGTTGGTCAGGCTCGTCCCGAACTCCCAACCTCAGGTGATCTGCCTGCCTCGCCCTCCCAAATTGCTGGGATTACAGGTGTGAGCCACCGCACCCAGATAATTTTGTATTTTTAGTAGAGACAGGGTTTCTCCATGTTGGTCAGGCTCGTCCCGAACTCCCAAGCTCAGGTGATCCGCCCTCCTCCACGTCCCAAAGTGCTGGGATTACAGGCGTGAACCACAGCACCCGGCCTAGTGCAATGAATGTAAATGTTCCAAGGTATTTTTGCTTTGTCAGAAAAGAGGAGTAAAAGTAGTGAGAATTAGACTTTGAAAACCCAGGGGTGTGCTGTGATGTTTACGATAACCTCGGCAAGGCTAGTTAAAGAGTATATTACTTTCAAGTTAATGGTGCTGGTGAAGAGAGTAATTATACTGGAAAACAAAAAACTTAAATACACTAAAAGAAGATATAGACTAGGAAACAAAAACCGTAAATACACTAAAAGAAGATATAGCCTACAAAACAAAAACCGTAAATACACTAAAAGAAGAAATATACCAGAAAACAAAAATCGTAAATACACTAAAAGAAGATATATACTAGGAAACAAAAACCGTAAATACACTAAAAGAAGATATATACTAGGAAACAAAAACCGTAAATACACTAAAAGAAGATATAGACTAGAAAACAAAAACTGTAAATACACTAAAAGAAGAAATATACTAGAAAACAAAAGCTTAAATACACTAAAAGAAGATATATACTAGGAAACAAAACCCTTAAATACACTGAAAGAAGAAATATACTAGAAAACAAAAACCTTAAAGACACTAAAAGAAGAAATACACTAGAAAACAAAAGCCGTAAATACACTAAAAGAAGAAATATACTAGAAAACAAAACCTTTAAATACACTAAAAGAAGATATATACTAGGAAACAAAACCCTTAAATACACTAAAAGAAGATACATACTAGAAAACTATAACCTTAAATACACTAAAAGAAGAAATATACTAGAAAACAAAAGCCGTAAATACACTAAAAGAAGAAATGTACTAGAAAACAAAAGCCGTAAATACACTAAAAGAAGATATATACTAGAAAACAAAACCCTTAAATACACTAAAAGAAGAAATATACTAGAAAACAAAACGCTTAAATACACTAAAAGAAGAAATATACTAGAAAACAAAAGCCGTAAATACACTAAAAGAAGAAATGTACTAGAGAACAAAAGCCGTAAATACACTAAAAGAAGATATATATAGAAAACAAAAATCTTAAATACACCAAAAGAAGAAATATACTAGAAAACAAAAAGCTTAAATACACTAAAAGAAGATATATACTAGGAAACAAAAACCTTAAATACACTAAAAGAAGATACATACTAGAAAACAAAAATCTTAAATACACTAAAAGAAGAAATATACTAGAAAACAAAAACCTTAAAGACACTAAAAGAAGAAATATACTAGGAAACAAAAAACTTAAATACACTAAAAGAAGATAAGACAAAAAATATATGTAAAAAAGATAAGACCAGCAGAAAGCAAAAGCTGCTAATAAGCTGGTAGATATTAACATATGTATCAATAATTTTATTAAATGGAAATAAACTAGAGGTTCTAGTCACAAGATCATCAGATTAATAAAAACCAAGGCTAAGGCCAGGCGTGGTGGCTCACTCCTGTAATCTCAGCACTTTAGGAGGCTGAGGCAGGCAGATCACCTGAGGTCAGGAGTTTGAGACCAGCCTGGCCAACATGAAAAAACCCTGTCTCTATTGAAAAGACATAAATTAGCCAGGCATGGTGGCATGTGCTTGTAATCCCAGCTACTTGGGAGGCTGAGGAAGGAGAATCTCTTGAACCTGGGAGATGGAGGTTACAGTGAGCCGAGATTGCACCATTGCACTCCAGCCTGGCCAACAAGAGTAAAACTCTATCTCAAAAAAAAAAATAAATAAATAAAATAAAAATTAAAATAAATAAAAAAGAATAAAAATGAAAAAATTAAAGATCATTTTAAGATAAAGTCTTAACTAGTGATAAAGAGTAATAATCCTAGTTTAAAATGTTTTATTAATCAAGAAACATAAACATTCTAAATAGGTATGCATATAAAACCACAGCTAAAACATATATAAAGCAAAATGTGAAATTACTAAAAGAAAATGTAAAATATATACAATCGTAGTAAGAGATTTGAACATACTTTTCTCAGTAACTAAAAACAAGCATATAAACCAAGGGCATACTTTGAACAAAAAGATTAACAAGCTTGATGAGCTTGCAGTTATATATGCTGGCAACAAAGAATTAATTTTGTAAACACATATAATAACACATATTCACATAATGTGGAATAAAATACTATTTATGTTTGCATAAAATGATAGCAAAAGCCAGGGAGAAAAGATCAGAAAAAATAACTAATGGGTACTAAGCCTAGTACCTGGTTGATAAAATAATCTGTACAAGAAACCGCCATGACAGATGTTTACTTATGTAACAAACCTGCACATGTACCCTTGAACTTAAAATAAAAGTTTATTTTATATATATAAAATAAAAGTTTACTATGTATATATAATAAAAGTTTTATTTTATATATATAAGTGTATTTTATATAAAATAAAAGTTTTATTATATATACATTATATTATCTATAATATACACTATATTATAGATAATAGGTTATATAAAGTTTACAAATATAGAGTTTATATATAAACTTATTATCTATAATATAATGTATATTACATATAAACTTTTGTATAAAATTTATATACACTTTTATTATATATGATATATAATAGCATATTGTAATGTAAAACTTATATTTATTTATAATATCATCAATTAATTTATTTATAATAGCATAAAATATATTTAAACATAGTATAATAGCATAAATATCTAATATTTATAATAGGATAAAATGTAATATTAAAGAAAAAATCTGACAGTTATATATGATGTCTAGTCAGATAACTGCAAAATCTCACTGAGAGAAATAAAATAGACCATAAATAAATAGTAATATATGCCACGCCAGGTATTCTCCTTCTGAAATCTAAGTTTACCAAATTAGTGTTTGCACAGTGCCTCACACATTCCAGGTGCTTTAAAATGGTGAACTGAATTGTGCAAAGTATTTCATCATCAAGAAGAAGAGACTGAGTCACAGTTTCATGAAAGGTCCCAGTGAGGTCAGACTGTGGGATGCTGGGGAAGTTGAGCCTTGAGCTCCATCATATGCAACTGCAAATGGTGCCTCCACACCTGGTAGACAGGTGAGCCCAGCTAAACTCTGCTATTCTCACACTAGGAATGTGAATGCTTATGGGAATACAGAATTCACTCATTGGGAAACCTTACATGAATGTGAGTTTACAGCCCTAAAGTGAAGCCAATGGGCAACGATGGCTTGATCCCCAGCTGTATGGACTTAGGTATCCTTGTACTGTTACAAGACTACCGTGTGAATGCTCCCTGCAGAGTAACAGACCAAGACACTGAGACAGCAGGGTATGCAACAGAGAAAGAATTCAAAGATTGCAAGGTGCAGAGGGAGGAGATGGGAGGAGACCCTGAAGTCCATCTCCCTGAGGAGTTGTAGGCTGGAGATTTTTTCTTTTTTTTCTGAGACAGAGTCTTGCTCTGTTGCCCAGGCTGGAGTGCAGTGGCATGATCTCAGCTGACTGCAACCTCCGCCTCCCAGATTCAAGCAATTTTCCTGCCTCAGCCTCCCGTGTAGCTGGGATTACAGGCACACATCACCATAACTGGCTAATTTTTAGTAGAGGCAGGGTTTCACCATGTTGGCCAGGCTGGTCTCGAACTCCTGACCTCGTGATCTGCCTGCCTCGGCCTCCCAAAGTGCTGGGATTACAGACGTGAGCCACCGCACCCAGCCAGGCTGGAGTTTTAAAAGGGATCATGAACAGATCAGGACACCAAGAAAGCAGACTTTGCAGCAGATAAAAAACTCAATGCTTGCAAGGTGCAGAGCGAGGATATGGGAGGAGACCCTGAAGTCTGTCTCCCTGAGGAGTTCTGGGCTGGAGTTTTTAAAGGGATTATGAAGCACAAGGGGCTGGAAAATTGGGGTCATTAATTGGCTGGGGTAAGGGGGATGAAGCCATCTGGATGGGGAAACTGAAGTCTTTGGTGAGTCAGCTCCTGTGGGGTCCTTCAGCCCAGCTGGTGTCAGTATTATTTTTTTAAGCTATTATAAATATTAGATATCTATGGTGTCAGTAGCTGGCATGCAGGACCTGGAAGACTATCTCAAAGGGAAAACTAAATGTTTCCTGATGCTTAAGTTGTCACCTATAGAGCAGGGAAGGGGGACCGTAAGCTAGGATCTATGTGACTCTGGGACAATCAGCACCAAACAGCTATGAGGAAGCAGGTCAAAAAGAAAGCTTTTGGGAGGCCATGGTGGGTGGATTACCTGAGGTCAGGAGTTCCAGACCAGCCTGGCCAACATGGTGAAACCCCATCTCTACTGAAAATACAAAAATTAGGTGGGCATGGTGGCACATGCCTGTAATCTCAGCTACTCCGGAGGCTGAGGTAGGAGAATCACTTGAACCTGGGAGGCGGAGGTTGCAGTGAGCCCAGATCATGCCATTGCACTCCAGCCTGGGCAACAGAGTGACACTCTGTCTCCAAAAAACACAAAAAAAGAAAGAAAAAAAGAAAGCTGATTTCATGATGAATGCTGAGGGTTCTGCAGGCTTGGCCTATTTTCGTTTCTTCCCCTCCCTTCTTCCCTGGTTAATTTTATGGAGTTTATAGGGACTGGTTCAATACCCTCATTGACTGAGCCACCTCTTAGGCAATTGGCTGGAGAAGAAACTGAGGCACACAGAGGGAAGGTGGCGGAGCCAGGACCTCTGAGCTGCAGTGGCATGAATCAGGGTTCAGTCCTAGTCCCACCGTGTTTGTGTGTGTGTTTTGAGACAGAATTTTTGCTCCTGTCGCCCAGGCTGGAGTGCAATGGTGCCATCTCGGCTCACTGCAACCTCCACCTCCCAGGTTGAAGGGATTCTCCTGCCTCAGCCTCCCAAGTAGCTGGGACTACAGGCACCTGCCACCACGTCTGGCTGATATTTTGTATTTAGTAGAGATAGAGTTTCATCATGTTGGTCATGCTGATCTTGAACTGCTGATCTCAAGTGATCCACCCACCTCGGCCTCCCAGAGTGCTGAGATTACAGGCCTGAGCCACCACACCTGGGCCTTCCATGTATTTAATGGTGGCATGGATCCTAGCTGATTCTATGGTTATCTGCAGATATGTTGTTCCTGGGTCCTTGTTAGGCTGAACTGTAATCCCAGCACTTTGGGAGGCTGAGGCAGACGGATCACCAGGTCAGGAGTCTGAGACCAGCCTGGCCAACACAGTGAAACCCCATCGCTACTAAAAATACAAAAAATTAGCTGGGTGTGGTGGCGGGCACCTTGTCATCCCAGCTACTTGGGAGGCTGAGGCAGGAGAATCGCTTGAACCTGGGAGGTGGAGGTTGTGGTGAGCCAAGATCGTGCCACTGCACTCCTGCCTGGGGAACAGAACGAGACTCCTGTAATTAAAAAAAAAAAGAGCCAGACTCTGTCTCAAAAAATAAATAAATAAGCAAAAATTAAAAAAAGAGGAATTGTCATTCTATGTATAAAATGTTGGAAATGGAGAGTGGATTTGTCCTTAGCATTATTAAGATAAATTGCAGGGCTGAGATGGGGCAAATAAGAGAGGACCCAGAGATCCGGGTGTGGTGGTTCACGCCTATAATCCCACCATTTTGGGAGGCCGATGCCTGAGGATCACCTGAGGTCAGGAGTTCGAGACCAGCCTGGCCAACATGGTGAAGCTCTGTCTCTAATAAAAATACAAAAACTTAGCCAGGCGTGGTGGCGCGCGCCTGTCATCCCAGCTACTCGGGAGGCTGAGGCAGGAGAATCGCTTGAACCCGGGAGGCAGAGGTTGCAAAGCCAAGATTGCACCACTGCACTCCAGCCTGGGAAACAAGAGTGAAAAGCCGTCTCAAAAAAAAAAAAAAAAAAAAAGAGAGAGAGGACCCAGTGAGGTTTCTCAGGGTCCGTCTTGGAGGGTCCCAGTCGGCTCTGTGCAGCCCCGTCCTCCTGGCAGCCTCACGTACTCAGAAAACGGTCCAACAGTCCCAGGGGGACCCTCCCTACATCCCAGCCAGCCAGGCCTCTTGTGTCTGCAGTGTCCCCTTAACATAAATCTTGGTCCTGTAAAGCAGTCCACCTAAAGACGTCTCCGTGTGGTTTTTGAACACGGGAAGTTAATAATAAATATCATCTTTGTTTTCTAATTTTTTTTTTTTTTTTTTACTGAGTTGATTGAAATACCCGTGACAGCCCCAATCCAATCCTCGGGTGCAACGTGATACGGATGACAGGCGGTGTCTCTATGCAAACGTTCAGTTATGCAGAATCCAATGTTTTCTGGATTTTTAATTGAATCACTCGTCTCAAACTTGTTATTTTTAATTTACGACATTTGATTTCTGACACTGGCTTCTGCATCTCATCAATTATGCAGTCTGGAGACTCGGTTGCACGGGTGATTAAAAAAAAACTAATTAGGCAAGATTAAAATAAAAAAAAAAAAACCTAAAACAGAGACCTCTTAACTATGGACATGTTCCTGGGTAAAGGGAGGCTGATTTCACTGGAAATGCCTCATTTTCTTTGCAAGCGATTACGTTCGGTTTGGTACAATGTGATTGATTCTGACAGATGTGAAGGAACCCGGACTGTTTGCTTCCCCCTTCTCGAATATTCACCAGAAATTGCGTGACGCGGCCCGTTGATGTCAATTCCCCCCACAACTCATTGAATATAATTTTGTTAAGTGGGCAGGAAAAGGAAAATGAACAACGTGGAAGGGAACCCGGCGTTTTCTTTGGCAGCACGACGGGGTCGAGACAGGACTCTGTGCCCCACAGAGGAAACACAATTAGAGTTCCTGCCCTTTCAAGTCCTAGCTAATGACAGCAAAGAAGTAAAGTATAGGGGGAAAAAAAGTGCAACTTTTTGAAAAAAGGCCCTTCCTCATCCAGCAACGTGCAGGTTTTTTTTTTCTTTTTCTTTCTTTTTTTTTTTTAGACAGAGTCTGGCTCTGCCCCCCAGGCTGGAGTGCAGTGGTGCAATCTCGCTTCACTGCAACCTCCGCCTCCGAGGGTCAAGCGATCCTCCTGCCTCAGCCTCCCCAGTAGCTGGTGGTGGCGGGCGCCTGTAATCCCAGCTACTCGGGAGGCTTAGGCAGGAGGATCGCTTGAGCCTGGAAGGCGGAGGTTGCAGTGAGCAGAGATCATGTCACTGCACTCCAGCCTGGGGGACAGAGCAAGACTCCAATAAATAAATAAATAAAACTATCCAAATATGTATATTATATATAATTTAAATATATGTATACATTATATATAAATATATGTATACATTATATATAATTTAAATATATGTATACATTATATATAATTTAAATATATGTATACATTATATATAATTTAAATATATGTATACATTATATATAATTTAAATATATGTATACATTATATATAATTTAAATATATGTATACATTATATATAATTTAAATATATGTATATATTTTATATATATATATATATATTTCTTTATATATATATATATATATTTTTTGAGATGAGACCTTGCTCTGTTGCCAAGGCTGGAGGGCAGTGGCGTGATCTCGAGTCACTGCAACCTCTGCCTCCCAGGCTTAAGCAATCCTCCTGCCTCAGCCTCTCGAACAGCTGGGACCACACGCATGCACCACCATGCCCCACTAACTTTTGTATTTTTTAGAGTTGACGTCTCGCCATGCTGACCAGGCAAGGTGATGCACGCCTGTGGTCCCAGACACTCAGGAGCCTGGGGTGGGAGCATTGTTTGAGCCTGGGAGGCAGGGGCTGTAGTGAGCTGTGATTAAACCACTGTATTCCAGCCTGGGTGACAAAGTGAGACCTTGTCTCAAAAGGAAAAGAAGAAAAAAGGAAAGGAAAGGAAAGGAAGGGAAGGGGAGGGGAAAGGGAAGGGGAAGGGGAGGGGAGAGGAGGGGAAAGGAGGGGGAGAAGGCAGGGAAGGGGAGTGGACAGGGAAAGGGAGGAGAGGGGAGGGGAAGGGGAGGGGAAAAGGGAGGGGAGAGGGAGGGGAAGGGAGGGGAAGGGAGGGGAGAGGGGAAGGGGAGGGGAGAGGGGAAGGGGAGGGGAGAGGGAGGGGAGGGGAGAGGGAGAGGAGAGGAGGGGAAGGGAAGGGAGGGGAGAGGGGAAGGGAAGGGGAGGGGAGAGGAGGGGAGGGGAGAGGAGGGAAGGGGAGAGGAGGGAAGGGACGGGAAGGAAAGAAAAAAAAGAAATTGGAGAAAAGCATTAGGTTTTGGGACTGCAATTTCCAGCGGAGTTAATTCAACTTCTTTGACCAAATAACCAGCCACCCCGACCCCTGTCAATTAAACATCAGCCCCAGATTGCAAACCATTCTGAAGAATTTCGTTTACACACACACACACAGGCACAGTCACACACACATGCACACACACGTGCGTGCACACACACGTACACGCACACGCACACACATACACACACATACATGCATGCACACGCACACACACTCACATACATGCACACATGCACACTCACACATGTACATGCACATACACATGCACACACGCACACTCACACACATGCACGCACGCATGCACACACACATACATGCACACACGTATGTGCACACACATGCAACCTCACAGATTCATGCACACAGAATACATGCACACATACATACATGCACACCCATGCACGCACTCACATACATACATGCACACGTGCACGCATATGCACACTCACACACGTACATGCACATACACACATGCGTGCACACATGCACACACATGCGCGCACACACGAGCGCACACATACATGCACACACGCAACCTCACACACATTCATGCACACACATGCACAAACACACATGCGCATGCAGACACACACGTACCCACACATGCACAAGCTGAATGAGAATCCACCATCGTGTCATTATCGGGTTGATATTTATAGTTCCAAGCTCCAGGGGAAAGGCAGCATATGGAATATGGAGCAATCCTCCTGTAAAAGCTAATTTCTCAGCCTAATAGCTGGTCGCCGTGAAAGCCTTGAATTGCCGAAGGGGAATTAAGAAGTTAACTGCTGCCTGCCCTGATTTGTTGCGTTGCTTAAATTGCAAGGGGACCTCCGTTGCAACTCATGGATGGTGTGTCGGGTCTATGAAGGGGCCTAACCCCCAATTTCTCCCAAATTCCTGCCTAGATCCAAGGAACTTTTAGTCCATGCATGAGACTGTTGGAGAGGCTTTCCCTAAGAATTCCCGCAGAAGAGAAAGCATTCCTGGCAGAGAATTAGGCTCACCAAGTTCAGCCTGGTCTTCTCAAGAGACCACGATGCTGGCATGAGGAACATTTGACTTCTTTTTCATTTATTATTATTTTTTTTTGGAGAGGGAGTCTCGCTCTGTCACCCAGGCTGGAGTGCAGTGGCGTGATCTCTGCAACCTCCGCCTCCCGGGTTCAAGTGATTCTCCTGCCTCAGCCTCCGGAGTAGCTGGGATTACAGGCACACCACTACACCCTGCTAATTTTTATATTTTTAGTAGAGACGGGGTTTCACCATGTTGGCCAGGCTGGTCTTGAACTCCTGACCTCATGATCCTCCCGCCTCGCCTTCCCAAAGTGGTGGGATGACAGGCATGAGGCACCGCACCTGGCCAGAACATTTGACTTCTACCAGGCACGTTGGAAAGTGAACGCCGACCTCTCTGCATTCCCTGACTTATTTCCCCCAGAGTTTTCTTAGCTGGGAATCAGAAATGTGGCTTCCAACTTGATCCTTTCAAAGCTACAAACTCCAGCCAAACACACAGCATCAAGTCTTACTCATTACATCATTACAACCTTGGAACTGACACCGATAATTAGAAACGGGAAAAAAGAACAAATCTTTTTTTTTTTTTTTTTTTTTGAGACAGAGCCTCATTCTGTCAGCAGGCTGGAGTTCAGTGGCGCCATCTCGGCTCACTGCAACCGCCGCCTCCCAGGTTCAAGCGATTCTCCTGCCTCAGCCTCCCGAGTAGCTGGGATTACAGGAGTGAGCCACCACACCCCGCTAATTTTTGTATTTTTAGTAGAGACGGGGTGTCACCATGTTGGACAGCATGGTCTCGATCTCTTGACCTCATGATCCATCCACCTCAGCCTCCCAAAGCACTGGGATTACAGGCATCCACCACCACGCCCGGCTAATTTCTATATTTTTAGTAGAGATGGGGTTTCACCATGTCGGACAGTATGGTCTCCATCTCTTGACTTCATGATCTGTCTGCCTCAGCCTCCAAAAGCACTGGGATTACAGGCATCCACCATCATGCCCGGCTAATTTTTGTATTTTTAGTAGAGAAGGGGTTTCACCATGTTGGACAGTATGGTCTCGATCTCTTGACTTCATGTTCTGTCTGCCTCAGCCTCCAAAAGCACTGGGATTACAGGCATCCACCATCACGCCTGGCTAATTTTTGTATTTTTAGTAGAGATGGGGTTTCACCATGTTGAACAGCATGGTCTCGATCTCTTGACGTCATGATCCATCCACCTTGGCCTCCCAAAGCACTGGGATGACAGGCATCCACCACCATGCCCAGCTAATTTTTGTATTTTTAGTAGAGATGGGGTTTCACCATGTTGAACAGCATGGTCTCGATCTCTTGACCTCATGATCCATCCACCTTGGCCTCCCAAAGCACTGGGATGACAGGTATCCACCACCATGCCTGGCTAATTTCTGCATTTTTAGCAGAGATGGGGTTTCACCTTGTTGGACAGTACGGTCTCCATCTCTTGACTTCATGATCTGTCTGCCTCAGCCTCCAAAAGCACTGGGATTACAGGCGTGAGCCACCACGCTGGGCTAATCTTGAAAACTAGGCTCCTCATTGAGAGAGAAAAGGATTTTTCTGCATAGGAAGTTGGAGCCACGGTATGGAAGATTACCTTAAAATACTGCCATCTGCTTCACTAAAAACAAAAAAAAAACAAAAATCAATGACTTTCCGTTTCCTTCAAAAACATGTCTGTTGTGAACTGAATTGTGTTTCTTCAAAATATCTGTTAAGGTCCTAACTGTACATACCTGTGAACGTGGTGTTGTAGGAAATAGGGTCTTTGCAGATATTATGGACGTATAATGAGGAAAGACTGGAGCAGAGGGGATGCTCAATCCAATCAGTCGCGTCCTGGTAAAAAGAGGGAAGTTTCCATACACTTAGAGAGGAGAAGTCCACATAGAGACGGAGGCAGAGACTGGAGTGATGGGGCCACAAGCCCAGGGACGCCTGGAGCCCCCAGGAGCTGGGAGAGGCAGAAAGGACCCTCCCCTAGAGCCTCCAGAAGGAACTGAACACAATTCTAGTAGATTGAATGGTGATCCCTAAGAAACACGTTTATGTCCTGACTCATAGAACCTGTGAATGAAACCCTTCTTGAAAACAGAGTATTTGCAGATGTAATAAATTAAGGATATTGAGATGAGATCATCCTGGATTAGGGTGGATTCTAATTCCAATAACAAGTGTCCTTGTAAGAGACAGAAGAGGAGACACAGACACAGAGGAGAAGGCCACATGGAGATGGCAGCAGAGACTGGAGTGAAGCGGCCACAAGCCCAGGGATGCCTGGAGCCCCCAGGACCTGGGAGAGGCAGGAAGGACCCTCCCCTACAGCCTCCAGAGGGAAGATAATACAATTGTTTTGAATTGAACTACAGTCCCCCTAAAGGCTATCTCTACAGCCTAACTTCCAGAATATGTGAATGGCACGTTAATTGGATATAAGGTCTCTGCAAATGTAACTAAGTCAAGGATTTCTACATGAGATCATCCTGGAGTAGGGTGGGTCCTAAATGCAATGGCAGGTGTCTTTCTAAGAGACAGAAGAGGAGACACAGACACAGAGGAGAAGGCCACGTGGAGACGGAGGCAGAGACTGGAGTGATGCGGCCACAAGCCCAGGGACGCCTGGAGCCCCCAGGAGCTGGGAGAGGCAGGAAGGACCCTCCCCTAGAGCCTCCAGGAGGAACTAAACACAATCATAGTGGACCCAATACTGGCCTTCCTGGAGTCCAGAAGTCCTCCCTGTCTCTCCTCCATCTCCACGTGGCCTTCTCCTCCGTGTCTGTGTCTCCTCTTCTGTCTCTTAGAAAGACACCTGTCATTGCATTTAGGATCCACCTTACTTCAGGATGATCTCATGTTGAAATCCTTAACTACCTGCATCTGCAGAAACCCTATTTCCAAATAAGGTCCCGTTCACAGGCTATGAGACTGAGGATGTATATACAGTTTTTAGGAGGACTGTAGTTCAGGACGCGGAGAGATGAAATTTTTCTTGTTTGATCCTCTGGTTTTTGGCATCTTGTGACAGCATCCCCAGGAAACCCTTACAATATCTAAACCTTTTTCTTCTTCCAAGCGCTAGTCTGTCCGTTCCCTTCCCTTATCTGCCTCATCCCCTTGCCTCCGGAGTCCACCCTCATGGATCAGAGAGCAGAGAGTCAGGGCTCACGGCCTCAAGAGAGACACCCCCAAGCAGGGCCAATCCAATCCCCCACACTGCCCGTTTTCCAGCCCGTTACATTGCAGATGCCAGTTTGTGGTGAAAACATCCAGAACAGGTTTAGGCAGGAAGAGACGCAGCGTCTCAGCCCACCAGCCTACGGGAAGAAAGGGTGCTTGCAGCTGACCGTCTCATCTCTGCCTTGCTTTTCTGAGTCTGGGTTAAACTGCCACAGTGTCCGGAACCCGCTTACTCTGTCAACCCATCAGCAGCGATATGAGCTCACAGGAGCTTGTGGTTTCGTGCCCACACCCTTGAAATAGGTGCCCAAACTGCCATGCCCAAGATGTAGACGGGTAAGCTCCCTTTTACACCCCAAAGTCTCATTCTTTGAAGACCCCTCGTCAACAAGGATTACAATCTTTATATTTCCTGCACAAACCAGACATTAAAAAAAGAAGAAGAAAAAAACCCCACCAAAATGGCTCTTATTGATGACTGGAGAAATTCGAAACCCAGAGCAGCCCCTTTTAAAGTCAGTGGTGCCAAATCTATGAAAATGCAAAATCCTTTCCAGAATTTCACACACACACACATACACACTCTTCTCTAGGGACGTCGTTACAGGCTCATAAAAAGTCAAATTGCCATTCCCGCAGTGCTCCAATAATTTATACGTATCATTTGCTGTAGCGTCGGTGCGTTGGCCGGCTGACCTGACCACCTACGTACACACGGAGCCCTGGAACCCTCCACCCTGTCTTAGGAAGACAGGAATTTGCAATCAGAGGAGAGTTCCAAAGCCCAGTATCAATGTGGGTTTCTGAGTGAAAACACAAAAGCAAATGAATGCCTTCTCAAGAGCCAGCCCCCAAGTTTACAACCCAATCATCTCCTAGCTGGCCCAAGAAGCACCTAATGATAACTATATCTTTATCAAGGTGGTACATTTTCTGACTCTTACTGTCATCACAGAAAAATAATCGTGACCATCATACTCTGGGGACTGTGGTGGGGTGGGGGGACGGGGGAGGGATAGCATCGGGAGATACACCTAATGTTAAATGACGAGTTAATGGGTGCACCACACCAGCATGGCACATGGATACATATGTAACTAACCTGCACATTGTGCACCTGTACCCTAAAACTTAAAGTATAATAATAATAAAATAAAAAATAAAAAAATAAAAAAATAAAAAAAATGTCATATCTGCCTATTAAAAAGATTAGAAGCAAAAAATAATAATAATAATAATCGTGACGACGTCTCGGAAAAGACGGAGTTAATTTTGCTGAGGTTGACTTGGCTGTGTGGACATAAGACTCCTTTTCCTGCTTCAATCCTGGATTCTTTTTTTTTTTTTTTTTTTTGCTTCTAATCTTTTTAATAGGCAGATATGATATTTTTTTTTATTTTTTTATTTTTTTTTTACATTTTTTTTTCCCCATGAGGACGCCAAAGTTCAGGAGAAGTTGGCAACACAGCGAAACATTCATACCTCTGCAAAGCCCAGGTCTTTAGCCTGTGTGGCTGTTTCATAACTTTGCAACTGTTTGACCCGGCCTTTTTAACGACCGGCCATAAAACCCAAGCTAATTAGTGGCGGCAGGAAGCGGGCCCCACGTCTGGCCTCCCCACATTCTGGGGTGAGCCCGTGACTCCTGCTCACACTTTGCTGCAAACCCCACGTTTATCCCAAAGTCATTTGTCTTTACACCTCGGACCAGCCAAGGGCGAGAGTGGCTTAAAACAAGAGCGGCATCCAAGTAATTTTCCCATAGAGGGGGAAGCAAACAAAGGTCCCCATGATGGACGCTGCAAATCGGTGCTTCCTTGTAGAAATGGTCTATGGACATGTCTATGTAGAAACGGTCATTTTTTCCTTGAAAAATTAAATCTCAGAGCATTAGTTAACTTCTGCAATGAGCCCACACGCCTCATTCTTCTTTTTTCAGTTCTAAAACGGCAGGAAACCTACATTAAACTGTGTTGTGTGTCCATGTGTGTCTTGAGTGCGTGTGTTGTGTTTATGATGTGTTTGTGCGTGTGTCTCTTGTGTGTTGTGTGTCTGTTGAGCGTGTTGTGTGTGTGTCTGTTGTGTGTTGTGTATGTGTGTGTCTGTTGAGTGTGTTGTGTTGTGTATAGATGTGTGTGTCTTGTATATATGATGTGTTTGTGCGTGTCTCTTGTGTGTTGTGTGTGTTGAGCGTGTTGTGTGTCTGTTGTGTGTTGTGTATGTGTGTGTCTGTTGATTGTGTTGTGTATAGATGTGTGTGTCTTGTATATATGATGTGTTTGTGCGTGTGTCTGTGTGTTGTGTGTCTGTTGAGCGTGTTGTGTATGTGTCTGTTGTGTGTTGTGTATGTGTGTGTCTGTTGAGTGTGTTGTGTTGTGTATAGATGTGTGTGTCTTGTATATATGATGTGTTTGTGCGTGTGTCTCTTGTGTGTTGTGTGTCTGTTGAGCGTGTTGTGTGTGTGTCTGTTGTGTGTTGTGTATGTGTGTGTCTGTTGAGTGTGTTGTGTTGTGTATAGATGTGTGTGTCTTGTATATATGATGTGTTTGTGCGTGTCTCTTGTGTGTTGTGTGTCTGTTGAGCATGTTATGTTGTGTGTGTGTCTGTTGTTTCTGTGTCTGTTCAGTGTGTTGTGTTGTGTATAGATGTGTGTGTCTTCTATATATGATGTGTTTGTGCATTTGTCTGTTGAATGTGTGTTGCGTATTAGTGTCTGTTGATCCCATGTGTGGTATTGTGTATATACATGTGTGTTCTGTATAGATGTTGTGTCTTGCGTGTGTGTCTGTTAAGCATGTGTGGTATTGTGTATATACATGGGTGTTGTGGATAGATGTTATTTCTTGATTGTGTGTTTGTGTGTGTCTGTTGTGTGTATACGTGTGTTCTCTATAGATGTGTCTTGACTGTGTTGTGTGTGTGTCTGTTGATTGTGTGTGGCATTGTGTATACACATATGTGTTGTGTATAGATGTTGTGTCTTCAGTGTGTCTTGTGGGTGTGTCTGTTAAGCATGTGTGGTATTGTGTATATACATGTGTGTTGTGTATAGATGTTGCTTCTTGACTGTGTGTTGTGTGTGTGTGTCTGTTGTGTATATACACGTGTGTTCTATGTAGATGTGTCTTGAGTGTATGTTGTGTGTGTGTGTTGATCGTGTGTGGCATTATTTATATATATGTGTGTCGTGTACAGCCGTTGTGTCTTGAGTGTGTGTTGTATGTGTATGATATGTTTGTGTCTGTTGACTGTGTGTTGTGTATGCGTGCGTGTGTCTGTTGAGCGTGCTGTGTTGTGTCTATACATGTACGTTGTCTAAAGGTGTGTGTGTGTGTCTTGAGTGTCTGTGTTGTGTATGGATCTGTGTTTGCACCTCGGACCAACCAAGGGGGAAAGTGGGTTGAAGCAAGATTGGTATTGGCCGGGCGCGGTGGCTCACGCCTGTCATCCCAGCACTTTGGGAGGCCGAGGCGGGTGGATCACGAGGTCAGGAGATCGAGACCATCCTGGCTAACACGGTGAAACCCCGTCTCTACTAAAAATACAAAAAAATAGCCTGGCGTGGTGGCACACGCCTGTCATCCCAGCACTTTGGGAGGCTGAGACGGGCAGATCACCTGAGGTTAGGGGTTCGAGACCAGCCTGCCCAACATGATGAAACCCCGTCTCTCTACTAAAAATACAAAAAATTAGCCAGGCAGGGTGGCGGGTGCCTGTCATCCCAGCTACTCGGGAGGCGGAGGCAGGAGCATCACTTGAACCCGGGAGGCGGAGGTTGCAGCGAGCCGAGATCGTGCCACTGCACTCCAGCCTGGGCTGCAGAGCGAGACTCTATCTCACACACACACAAAAAGGCTGTGGGGAGGCAGATAATTTGTAACAATTCAATCCTGCAGCTTTCCACCTGCAAAAGCACCGCATGGTATTTGATGAACCTTTTTTTTTTTTTTTTTTTTTTTTTTCCCAGACGGTGCCTCGCTCTTTTGCCCAGGCTGGAGTGCAGTGGCACAATTTTGGCTCACTGCAACCTCCGCTTCCCGGGTTCAAGTGATTCTCCTGCCTCAGCCTCGCGAGTAGCTGGGATGACAGGCACCCGCCACCACGCCTGGCTCATTTTTGTATTTTTAGTAGAGATGGGGTTTCGCCATGTTGGTCAGGCTGGTCATAATTAACGTCTTGTTGGGTTTAACTCGAAATGCAAAAACGTCGAGTCTGTACAGCCTATATTTGTAGGTTTATTGCAGTTCACTTCCTTTGGCTGCTAGACCACACGTAATTCATGGCAAACTCTAGGAGGAAAAGAAAAAGAGAGAAAGAGAGAAAAAACAAAAACAAAAACAAAAACAGAGTTTCCACCATTCCATCATTCCCCTTCTTTATTCATTCTGTTTGGTGCCTTAAAAAAATCATTAAAGAAAACATATATAAAATGTAGATTTACTGTTGACGTTTTTAATTTGGACTCAAGACACTCATCTGTTGAGCACACGCTGGAGTGAAAGACACCGTCTGCTGTAACTTAAAGTGTCTGGGCCGGGCGCAGTGGCTCACGCCTGTCATCCCAGCACTTTGGGAGGCCGAGGCGGGTGGATCACGAGGTCAGGAGATCGAGACCATCCTGGCTAACACGGTGAAACCCCATCTCTACTAAAAACACAAAAAAATTAGCCGGGCGTGGGGGCAGGTGCCTGTAGTCCCAGCTACTCAGGAGGCTGAGGCAGGAGAGTGGCTTGAACCCGGGAGGCGGAGCTTGCAGTGAGCCGAGATCGCGCCACTGCACTCCAGCCTGGGCCACAGAGCAAGACTCCATCTCAAAAAAAAAAAAAAAAAAAAAAAAAAAGCCATCGTACCCGGCCAGGAAAAGAGTTTAAATGCTTTTGGAGTTACAGGGGAAGGAAGCTGAGCTTGTGTCCAAAGGCATGGAGGGCCCTTTCTCGGGGGCTGGAAAGCATCTCTCTCTGTGCAGAGTGACAGGTGACAACATCATCTTTCACCACAGAGCCCAGGAAAAGCTGATTCTGAGAGTTAGTACGATGTTGCCTGTTATGAAAATGAAACCAAAATGATCCTACATAGGAGTGATCTTTTTGGGTTTAGGGTTGGTAACACCCATCTACACCGGGGCTTAAAATGTGTGGGTCCTAGGCTGGGCGCGGTGGTTCACACCTGGAATCCCAGCACTTTGGGAGGCCGAGGCAGGTGGATTATCTGAGGTCAGGAGTTCGAGACCAGCCTGGTCAACATGGTGAAATCCCATCTCCACTAAAAATACAAAAATTAGCCGGGCGTGGTGGCGTGCACCTGTAGTCCCAGCTACTCGGGAGGGTGAGGCAGGAGGATTTCTTGAACCTGGGAGGTGGAGGTTGCAGTGAGCTGAGATGGCACCATTGCACTCCAGCCTGGGTCCATCTCAAAAAAAAAAAAAAAGGGATGAAACATCTGATCCAAAAGAGATTGGGTCTGCCGGGCGCGCTGGCTGACGCCTGTAATCCCAGCACTTTGGGAGGCCGAGGTGGGTGGACCACAAGATCAGGAGATCGAGACCATCCTGGCTAACACAGTGAAACCCCGTCTCTACTACAAAAAAAATACAAAAAATTAGCCGGGCGTGGTGGCGGGCGCCTGTAGTCCAAGCTCTCGGGAGGCTGAGGCATACCCGGGAATGGCGTGAACCCGGGTGGTGGAGCTTGCAGTGAGCCGAGATCACGCCACTGCACTCCAGCCTGGGCGACAGAGTGAAAGTCCATCTCAAAAAATAATAATAATAATAATAAAAGGGATGAAGTATCCGAGAAATACCAAAAGAGGTTCACCTAGACTACCAAAAGAGATTGGGTAAAGAAAACCCAAAACACACACACACACACACACACACACACACACACACGCACACAGAGAGAGGGAATTGGAGAATGCGGTTTGTTAAAATGAGGTTTCTGAGAGACCCAAATTGCAGGTGTGCGAGGACCTGACAGTGGTTACGATTTCCCGACTGTGTCTGTGTTCCGGGGTCTGACCCTGCCTGGGGCCACCCTCAGGAGGAAGGAGGTCATTTTCATCCCAAATGTTCACTTTCTTTGATGATTGCATTTTCCTCCTTTCCACGATGAGGAATCCACAGACTAAAGAGTTAATATGTGTTAAACTGTGAGTTGCAACTTCCTCTGACTTTCTTCCCAGCTGGATTTCAGAGCACTGTTCCAGAATCTTACCTGACGCCCATGAATTGTGCATACGGGTCCGCCCCCTGGGACACACGATGTCTCCTTGCTGTTTAGGCAAAAAGACAACCATATGCTGTGTGCACTGCCTGAACCCCTTGGATAGGAGTCCTGGGCGGACGACGAGTTATTTGGGGATTGAAGTGTTTCCATTTGGGAGGAGTCCATTTAAGAAAAAAAAAAAAGAATGCAAAATCACAGAAGTGACTGTGTGTCCTTGTACACGGGGGCTTGAAATGTGGGTCCTGGCTGTGGACTGTGTGTCTGTCTACACCGGGGGTTAAATATGGGTCCTGCCTGTGGACTGTGTGTCTGTCTACACCGGGGGTTAAATGTGGGTCCTGCCTGTGGACTGTGTGTCTGTCTACACCGGGGGTTAAATGTGGGTCCTGCCTGTGGACTGTGTGTCCATCTATACGGGGGCTTGAAATGTGGGTCCTGGCTGTGGACTGTGTGTCTGTCTACACGGGGGCTTCAAATGTGGGTCCTGGCTGTGGGCTCTGTCTAGGGAATGTCTATGGAATGTATTGTTCATCCGAGATGGGGTACAGAAACAGAAAGGGCCAGCAGTCTCAACTCTTACCAGGAGGCCGGCCAAATACCTTCTGCAAATGTCACAGAAAAATATGTGACTCCATGAACACACAGCTTGGGCCCTTCCCCACGTCGGGAACGCAGCTCTTGTTTCTTTCTGACCTGCTCACTCAGGGCGAAGCTTCCTGTCCTGGTGGTGGAGATAAACCTCCTTCTGTCAGGCTGGAGTTTTCTTCTGGGATTCCCGGAGCAGGAGGGACGTCTTTTCCTCTACGTTCCGAGCAAAGTTCAGAGGGGTTGTGGGAGGACAGAGCTGGGGTAGTGTCTGATACTCGAATAAGATATCCTTCTTCTTGATTCTATATCACCCTTCATGTGTCTTCACAATATTAAAGACAGGGGCAGGTGATTCTCCTGCCTCAGCCTCCCAAGTAGCTGGGATTACAGGTGCCCGCCACCACGCCCGGCTAATTTTTGTATTATTAGTACAGATGGGGTTTCACCATGTTGGACAGACTCATCTCGAACTCCTGACCTCAAGTAACCCGCCCGCCTTGGCCTCCCAAAGTGCTGGGATTACAGGCGTAATCTCACCCCATCCACTGTGGGTGGGGATGTAAATTCGTGCAACCGCAATGGGGAGCAATTTGGAGGTTCCCTTACAAATCGAGCTATCGTAATTGGGGAGGCCGAGGCAGGCAGATCACCTGAGGCCAGGAGTTCGAGACCAGCCTGGCCAACATGGTGAGACCCCGTTTCTACTAAAAATATATTAAAAAAAAAATTAGCCAGGAGTGTCGGCTGGTGCCTTAATCCAGCTACTGGGGAGGCTGAGGCAGGAGAATCACTTGAACCCGGGAGGTGGAGGTTGCGGTAAGCCGAGATCCCATCACTGCTCTCCAGGCTGGGCAACAGAGTGAGACTCCGTCTCAAAATAATAATAATAACAATAAATAAAATAAAATAGAGCTACCATAGAATTCAGCAATCATACTCACTGATGGGCATACACCCTCAATAAAAGAAGTCAGTATATTGAAGTTTAGGAGGCCGAGGCTTGTGGATCGCCTGAGGTCAGGAGTTGGAGACCAGCCTGGCCAACATGGTGAAACCCCGTCTCTACTAAAAATACAAAAAAGTAGGATTACTGAATTCTATGGTAGCTCTATTTTATTTTATTTTATTTTATTTTATTTTGAGATACCTGCAATCTCATAGTATATTGCAGCACTGTTCCCAAGAGCTGAGATTGGGAAACAACGTAAGTGTTCATCAACAGGTGAATGGATAAAGAAAATGAGCCGGGCGAGGGGGCTCACGCTTGTAATCCCAGCACTTTGGGAGGCCGAGGCAGATGGATCACTTGAGGTCAGGAGTTCGAGACCAGCCTGGCCAACACAGTGGAAACCTGTCTCTCATAAAAATACAAAAATGAGCCGGGCGTGGTGGCGGGTGCCCGTAATCCCAGCTACTTGGGAGGCTGAGGCAGGAGAATCGCTTGAACCTGGGAGGCAGAGGTTGCAGTGAGCTGAGATCACGCCACTGCACTCCCGCCTGAGTCACAGAGAGAGACTGCTCAAAAAAAAAAAAAAAAAAAAAAAAAAAAGAAGAAGAAGAAGAAAAGGCCGGGCAGGGTGGCTCACGCCTGTAATCCCAGCACTTTGGTAGGCCGAAGAGGGCAGATCACAAGGTCAAGAGATCGAGACCATCCTGGCTAACACGGTGAAGCCCCATCTCTACTAAAAATAGAAAAATCAGCTAGGCATGGTGGTGGGCGCCTGTCATTCCAGCTATTCCGGACGCTGAGGCAGGAGAATCGCTTGAATCTGGGAGACAGAGGTTGCAGTGAGCCGAGATCGCACCACTGCACTCCACCCTGGGTGACAGAGCGAGACTCTGTCAAAAAAAAAAAAAGAGAGGAGAGAGAGAGAGAGACAGAAAGAAAGAAAGGAAGGAAGGAAGAAAGGAAGGAAGAAAGAAAGAAAGAGAAAGGAAGGAAGGAAGAAAGAAAGAAAGAGAAAGAAAGAAAGAAAGAAAAAGAAAGAAAGAATGAAAGAAAGAAAAAGAAAGAAAGAAGAGAAAAGTGTTACACATATGGAATGGAATACTATTCAGCCATGAAAAAGAATGAGATCTTGCCATTTGCAATAAAACGGATGGTCATTATGTTCAGTGAAATAAGCCAGGCACAGAAAGACAAACTCTTCATGTTCTCACTTATTTGCAGGAGCTAAAATTGAAAACAATTGAACTCATGGAAATAGAAGAGTAGAAGGCTGGTTCTCAGAGGCTGAGAAAGATAGTGGGGAGTTTGTGTGGAAGAGGTGGGGAAGGTTAATGTGTACCAACAAATAATTAGAAAGAATAAATAAATCCTAGTTTTTGCTAGCATAACAGGGTGAGTATCATCAATAATCACTTCATCGTACATTTGTAAATAACTAAACGAGCATAATTGAATTGTAACACAAAGCCTCAATGCTTGAGTTCATGGATATCTTATTTACCCTAATGTGATTACTGCATATTGCATGTGGGCATGAAAACGTCTCACCTACCCCGTAACTATATACACCTACTATGTACTTGCAGTAATTAAAAAAATGAATAAAGACAGGAGTAGAGCAGGGGAGAATCCAATGAATAATTTGTCCCCACATTTATCAAAGGAGGTAAAGAGATAGAAACAGGGAAGACTTCCTGGGGGTTGACCATGGAGGGGGAAAAAAAATTCAATATTTCATTCACTTCCTTTAAAAAAAAATCAATGTAAAATTTCTTTTCTTTTCTTTTTCTTTTCTTTTATCTCCTCTTCTTCTTTTTTTCTTTTCTTCTTTTCTTTTCTCCCTTCCCTTCCTTTCCCTTCCCTTCCCTTCTCTTCCCTTCCCTTCTTTTGCCTTCCCTTCTTTTCTCTTCCTTCCCTTCCCTTCCCTTCCTTTTGTTTTCTTCCCTTCCCTTCCCTTCCTTTTGTTTTCTTCTCTTCCCTTCCCTTTTTTCTTTTCTTCTCTTTTCCTCTTGCTGGTAGCCAGCAACATATGTGAGACTTTGGTTACACCAAGAGATGAAACTCTGTGTTCCCTCAAACAAAAACCACCCAAACAGAGTTGGAGACTTTGTGGGTCCCAAGGTGGGGAGGTGAAGGAGTTATGGGGTTACAGAAGAACAGTGATAGGACGGGATTTTTTTTAGGAGATTTTCCCCAATCAGGGGTAGAGTAAGCTGTGTTTGTTTTGTGCTACACCTGCCTTGGGGAAGTAGGAGATCATGGAGGTCACCCTGGTCTCCCAAACTGGAGAGCCCACCCCAAAATCTACATCAGTAAGACGCACACCATCTCCACCATTTCTTAGAGTGTGGCTTGCAGCGACTGAGGTATGTGGGGGCGAATTAGACTCTTTACCTCATTATTTAGTGCTGTATTTGTGAGACGATACGCAATGCCGCTATTATTTTCAAGATGAAGAAAGTCACCGTGCATAGCAACCACCAGGAATCCGAAGGAGTTGCTATTCCTGCCTTCCACACACCCGGCTCTGTTTTCTGATGCCCACCCTGATTCTTGGGAGCCTATATTCCAGTCCACCACACGTTGCCCCATGACCACAAATTTAATTTTCCATAAATAAATCAATGTAAAATTTCTTTTCTTTTCTTCCTTTCTCTTCCCTTTCTTTTCTTTTCCTGTCTTTTCTTTTATCTTCTTTTCTTTTCTTTTTCTTCATTCTTTTCTTTTCTTCCTTTCCCTTCCCTTCCCTTCCCTTTCCTTCCCTTCCCTTCCTTCTCTTCCCTTCCCCTCCCTTCTCTTCTCTTCTCTTCTTCTCTTCTCTTCTCTTCTCTTCTCTTCTCTTCTCTTTTCTTTTCTTTTTTTTTCTTTTCTTCTTTTCCCATCTTGCTGGGAGCCAGCAACATATGTGAGACTTTGGATACACCAGAAGATGAAACTCTGTGTTCCTCCAAAGAAAAACCACCCAAGCACAGTTGAAGACCTTACGGGTCCCATGGGGACCATGAAGGAAAATTTATGGAAAATTAAGGTATTTTCCACTGATCTGTGTAGATATCTGCCATTTCATCGTTAAAAATTACAGCTTTGCATTCCAGAGCGCGGGCTCGTGGTAACAAGTCATTCCTATGCACTTCCTGCCTCTCATCCCAATTATAATTCAAATATAAATGCAGCCTGAGACTTATATGGAATAATTATTTTATGAATTATCAGCCATTGTGGCTTCAAGGTTTTTGTTTGTTTGTTTTGTGTTTTCGTTTTTGTTTTTCTGAGAAATTCATGCCGATAGAACCCTGGGAATAAAAATAAAATAAAACTCCATATTGTGAGTAAATAACCGACTCTCTTCTCTCATCTAGACTCTAAGAGCCTTCCCCACGGCCACTTCTAAATTAATTGCTCTTACTCTCCCTCCAGTTTTTGCTTTTCCTGGGTAGAAGGTAGATTAATATGCAACACGTCTGGCTTCTGTAATCCAAGCCTGCATTGCTTTGTCATCCTGAAAAGGATCCGGCCATGACTCAGTGGCCTGTAATCTTCCACTTTGGAGACCCCTCGGGAGGCAGAGAGATTTGTACAGGCATGGAGAGGAACTCCAAAAACCACAGGGGCCATTCAAAAAGCAGACATGCAACTTACAGAACATCGTAAAGTTATAATTCCTAAAACAAGCCTAGTGAAAAAAAAAAAAAAGAAATCCAGTTCTGTCTACTCCAATTCATATAACTCATAATGCTTTTTTTTTTTTTAATTTGAAAACTTTGGACTATTATTTGGAAAGGCCGATGTGACCCCACTTGATTGATTTCAACATTGATCGCTACGAATCAGGAAAAAGAATTAAGCGTTTTTCCTACAAGCTCATTTCTCAACGCCACAAGGGATTTGGAAAGGAACTGCTTTAAGATGTCAGAAGAATACTCAAGGACATTTATCTCAAATGCCTGTATTTAAAAATTGCATTAAAAAATAGGTTTCGAATTCTATGGTGAGCTATAATATCATCCAGTGATTTCTGCCACAGTAATACGACCACGTGTACCCTGGTCAGTAATCTGAGAGTCAGCGGGATGAATAACTGCCTGGATGTGACAGCGTCTGTTTAAAACGGCTCACACTGTTTCTTGAAATGTTTCTACAGTGGAAATCTTGCCTGTCTTGGAGAACTGCAAAGTCACTTTATTATTATTAATTATTATTATTATTATTATACTTTAAGTTGTGTGAGATACATGTGCAGAACGTGCAGGTTTGTTACATAGGTATACACGTGCCATGGTGGTTTGCTGCACCCATCGACCCGTCATCTACATTAGGTATTTGTCCTAATGCTATCCCTTCCCTAACCCTCCACCCCCCAGCAAGCCCTGGTGTGTGATGTTCCCCTCCCTGTGTCCATGTGTTCTCATTGTTCAACTTCCACTGATGAGTGAGAACATGCGGTGTTTGGTTTTCTGTTCCTGTGATAGTTTGCTGAGAATGATGGTTTCCAGCTTCATCCATGTCCCTGCAAAGGACATGAACTCATCCTTTTTGATGGCTGCATAGTATTCCATGGTGTCTATGTGCCACATTTTCTTTATCCAGTCTATCATTGATGGACATTTGGGTTGGTTCCAAGTCTTTAATATTGTGAATAGTGCTGCAATAAACATACGTGTGCATGTGTCTTTATAGTAGAATGATTTATAATCCTTTGGGTATATACCCAGTAATGGGATTGCTGGGTCAAATGGCATTTCTGGTTCTAGATCCTTGAAAAAGTCACTTTTTAAGAGCTTTGACTCTGTCCATTTTACCCACCCCAGCTAAAATGTATAACATTTATTTTTGGGGATTCAGAAATGATAGTCAATTATCAGCCAGAGAAAACCTTAATCCAAAATGCAAAAGGGTCATGGATGATGTTTTCAAAATCCAGAGTTTACAAAACTCACATGTGCTTCCTCTTACACAAGCAGGTGCCCCCAACCCCCATCAGCCTGATTTTTTAAAAACACTTTAAAATATGGGATGTTTTTGTTGGGCAGTCATTGAACTTTTGTTTGAGTACATCCTGGTTCACTGTCAGTTAAACGCACGGCAAGTCCAACAGAAATGCATTCCTGAAAGATGCGGCTGGACTCTGTGAAGATTTGCACCACTCTAGGAGGTTGAGGCAGGAGGATTGCTTGAGGCCAGGAATTCGACACCAGCCTGAGCTACAAAGTGAGACCCCATTTCTACAAAAACTGGAAAAAAAGTAGTGGGGCATGGTGGCGTGTGTCTGTGGCCCCAGCTACTCTGGAGTCTGAGGTGGAAGGTTTCCTTGAGCCTGGGAGTTTGAGGCTGCAGTGAGCTGTGTTTGCACCACTACACTCTGGTCTGAATGACAGAGTGAGATCCTGTGAAAGAGAGAAAGAAAGGAAGAAAAGGAGGGAGGGACAGAGGAAGGAAGGAAGAAAGGAAGGAAAAGAAGAAAGAAGGAAAGAAAGAAAGAGAAGAAAGGAAAAGAAAGAAAGAGGAAAGAAAGAAAGAAGGAAGAGAAAGGAAGGGAAGGAAGGAAGGAAAGGAGGGAGGGAGGGATAGAAAAAGAAAAAAGAAGAGAGAAAGAGAAAGGAAGAAAGAGAGGAGAAGAAGACAGAGAAAGGAACAAAAAAGAAAGGAGGAAGATAGAAAGGAAGGAAGGAAAGAAAGGAAGGGAGAGAGAGAGGGAATGGAGAAAGGAGGAAGGAAGGAAGGGAGGGAGGGAGGGAGGAGAGGAAAATGAGGAAAGATGGAAGGAAGGAGGGAAGGAAGGAGGGAGGGAAGGAAGGAAAGAAGGAAAGAAAGAAGGAAAGAAAGAAGGAAGGGAGAGGTAGGGAGGGAAAGAAAGTAGGGAGGGAAGAAAGGAAGAAAGAGACAGAAAGAAAAAGAATGAATGAAAGAGAAAGAGGAAGGAGAAAGAAAAGAAAGAAGAGAGTATAAAGAGGGAGAGAGAGAGAGAAAGCCATTTTTACACGATCACAGAACCTAGGAATTACTTTTACTATAAAATATCTTTAACACGTCAATGATCCTATGGTTGGAATTTTAGGTCAACAACGCTGTTTCATTTTACTGTCAAGAGTGAAAAATCACACTGATGTGAAATTGGGAGTAAGATTTTTTAGAGAAAGTTCAGCATAGGTCATCGGGCTGAGCACCTGGTCCTTTGGACAACAGTCAGTCACAGCGTGGGTATGGTAATTGAATATTTGGTACACTCATTTTGTATTAAAAAAATACACCCCTGGCAGGGCGCAGTGGCTCACACCTGAAATCCCAACACTTTGGGAGACCAAGGCGGGCAGATCAGTTGAGGTCAGGAGTTCGAGACCAGCCTGACCAACATGATGAAACCCTGTCTCTACTAAAAACACAAAAATTAGCCGGGCGTGGTGGCGTGCACCTGTCATCCCAGCTACTCGGGAGGCTGAGGCAGGAGGATCGCTTGAACCCAGGAGGCGGAGGTTGCAGTGAGCCAAGATCGCACCACTGCACTCCAGCCTGGGCAACAACAGCGAAACTCTGTCTCAAAAAATAAACAAATAAACACAGTCCTCGGTTCCTCTTGTCATCTCCCTCTTCTATTTATGACTCTTACACGTTCAAAACAGCAATTCCAGAATCAAATCATCATACATCACTGCACTGGTATTGTCCTGTTTCGGTATTTGCAAGTATTTTGGGGCTGGGCGCAGTGGCTCACGCCTGTAATCCCAGCACTTTGGGAGGCCGAGGCGGGCGGATCACTTGAGGTCAGGAGTTCGAGACCAGCCTGACTAACATGGTGAAATCCCATCTCTACTAAAAGTACAAAAATTAGCGGGTCATGGTGGCGGGCACCTGTAACCCCAGCTACTTGGGAGGCTGAGGCAGGAGAATCGCTTGAACCCGGGAGGCAGACGTTGCCGTGAGCTGAGATCACGCCACTGCACTCCAGCTTGGGTGACAGAGCGAGGCTCCATCTCAAAAAAAGGAAAAAGAAATTTGTCTCTTTTCAGGACTAAGGAAAGCAATCATGTTATGCGCACAACAACCATCCTGCTTTGAGTTCAAACACCAAAGAAAACCTCGTGCTGGCTCATTTCCCTTAACGTTAAGTTGTTGCAAAGTGGTGAGACTTCTTCCTTTTTGATGGCTGAATAGTATTCCATGGTGTGTGTGTATCACATTTTCTTTATCCATCCCCCACTGATACTTAGGTTAATTCTACATGTTGGCTCTCGTGAATAGCCTTGCAATGAACATGGGGGTGCAGACCTCCCCCCTTTTTTTTTTGATATACTGGTTTTATTTTCTGCGGATGCATACCCAGAAGTGAAATAAGACAAATGCAGCCAGTTCTCACTCCCATGTGGAAGCTAAAAGAGTTGATCTCCTGGCCGGGCACGGTGGCTCACACCTGTCATCTCAGCACTTTGGGAGGCTGAGGCGGGCAGATCACCTGAGGTCAGGAGTTCAAGACCAGCCTGACCAATACGGAGAAACTCCGTCTCTACTAAAAATACAAAAAGTAGCCAGGTGTGGTGGCACATGCCTGTAATCCCAGCTACTGGGGAGGCTGAGGCAGGAGAATCGCTTGAACCCGGGAGGCGGAGGTTGCAGTGAGCCAAGATCATGCTATTGCACTCCAGCCTGGGTGACAAGAGCAAAACTCTGTCTCAAAAAATAAATTATATAAAAAAAGAGTTGATCTCCTAGGAATAGACAGCACAGTGGTGATTACCATAAGCTGGGGAAGGGAGAGAGAAAGAAGGGATGGAGAGAGGTTGGTCCATGTGTACAAAGTTACGACTAAATAGGACTAAATTCTGTTGTTTTAATTCTCTGCAGGGTGACAATACTTAACAAGAATATATTGTATATTACAAAATAGTCCAAAGAGAGGATTTTGTTGGTGGGAAGTGTGGGAAGGGGACGAGGGATAAAAGACAACAAATTTGATACAATGTATACTGCTCGGGTGTTGGGCGCACCACGTTCTCAGAAATCTCCATTGAATAACTTCCTCATGTCACCAAATACCACCTGTACTCCAATAACTTATGGAAAAGGGGAAGATACATATTGCAGGGCATGGTGGCTCATGCCTGTAATACCAGCACTTTGGGAGGCTGAGGCGGGTGGATCACCTGAAGTCAGGAGTTCAAGACCAGCGTGACCAGCATGATGAAACCCTGTGTCTACTGAAAATACAAAATTAGCCAGGCGTGGTGGCTCATGCCTGTAATCCCAGCTACTCGGAAGGCTGAGGCAGGAGAATTGCTTGAATCTGGGAGGTGGAGGTTGCAGTGAGCCGAGATCATGCCATTGCACTCCAGCCTGGGTGACAAGAGCGAAACTCCGTCTCAAAAAAAAAAAAAGATACATATTCCTCAGCCACCGGAAAATGAGATTTCTGAGCAGCTGGATCTCATAATTACTGTGAGTTGTCATTACATGATATACACATGCTTGGAAACATTATATTATATGTCATAAATGTGTACAATCATTATGGAGATTTTTTCTTGAGACAGGGTCTTGCTCTGTTGCCTAAGCTGGAGTGCAGTGGTGCAATCACGGCTCAGTGCAGCCTCTACCTCCTGGACTCAAACGATCCTTCCACCTCAGCCTCCCCAGTAGCTGGAAATACAGGTCTGCACCAGTAGGTCCAGCTAATTTTTGTATTTTTTTTTTTTTGGAGATGGGGTCTTGCTATGTTGCCCAGGCTGGCCTTGAACTTCTGGCCTTCTGATTCTCACACCTCAGCCTCCCAAAGCGCCGGGATTACGAGCGTGAGCCACTGCGCCTGATCCAAACGATAATTGTTAAACATAAAATAAAACTGTAGAAAAGAAGAAAATCTAATGGCGGTTTTTGTCTTTTCATTGGCTCTGTGTTACTTTGTAGCTGCAACTTTTCTTTCCTTCATTAAGTCAGTTCCAAATTTGCAAACTTGAGTGAAAGGTGAGTGAGTTTTCTGTGTATCTTCTTGGCATGGGGTGGTGAGTGTGGGTGCCCGTGTGTGTGTGTGTGTGTGTGTGTGTGTGTGTGTGTGTATTTGTATGTCCAGGGTTCCTCCATATCCCTGCAGAGACTTGGGGCTCCTTAATATCCATATAATTTCTATTTTGACCAGAAAGAGGAAGAGTCAACGTTTTGGAAACTCCAAACTCCACCAAGGGCTTGGCTGAAACAGGTGTGTGTCGTTTCTCCCACCAGCCACCTCGCCTGCGAATCTTGGAACTTATCTTAATGAGAGTTGCCTCTGCCCACAGCTCTGCTATGAATAATGTTTTTGTATGTAAAGGAGAAGCAAAAACATTTTTTTGACCTCTTGGAGCACGGAAATCAATAAGAAGTTGATAAAGCAAAGTCTGTGCCTGCCGAAAATAAAACAAGTGTGGTTTGTTTATTCACCAAAACCTTCGCGTTGTCAGGCCTGCCTCGAGATGATTTATAGACCAACACCCCACGAAAATCATTTAAAGCAGATTAGGTTCCTAGGACAATCCCCTCTAATATGACAAGCTGATAGGGGCTGACAGGTAACTAGGTTGCTCAGGATGGCAAGCCAGTTCCAGAAATTCTGATGAAATTAAAATATTAATGGTACCGCCGGGAGAGGAAGATTGAGTGCAAGGTGGGTGAATTCTGTATGAGGACCGAGGTGCAAACACAACGTCGCAGTCGCTGTGCTGGAAGCAGAAGCCTGGGGGTGCCAGGGGAAGTTACCTTTGCTAAACCCAAAAGCAGGGCCTGCATTGCAATGGACTGTGCGGTGCTGGGGGCAGGGTGGGGACAACGCACCTGCCAGGCTCAGAGGGGAACACGGAGCTTCCCTAATCACCTCCTCTCTCCTGCAGCTGCAAAGGTGATGGCCACAGACCCTCGTCTCTGCAGCTCTTAATTCGCCGGTAGCCTCTCCCGTGCCCCTCTGCAAATGCCCGTTTGCAGGGTACTTTAAACCAATATGCAAATGAGCCCCCAGCACAATCACTGTGTACAGACTCTCCAGGAAACTGTCTTGTGCCGGCTGGATGAAAGCTTATTGCTGTGTGCGTGTGTGTGTGTGTGTGTGTGTGTGTGTGTGTGGTTTTGTTTTTACCCTGCAGAGAAAAATGCAAAGAATCTTGCCCCGGCCACAGGAAAAGGAGATTCCTCAGCAGTGTACATTTGCTTCTTTCTTTCTTTCTTTCTTTCTTTCTTTCTTTCTTTCTTTCTTTCTTTCTTTCTTTCTTTCTTTCTTTCTTTCTTTCTTTCTTTCTTTCTTTCTTCCTTTCCTTCAGACACAGTCTGGGTCAGTCGCCCAGGCTGCAGTGCAGTGGTGCGATCTGGGCTCACTGCAACCTCCGCCTCCCAGGTTCAAGCGATTCTCCTGCCTCAGCCTCCCAAATAGCTGGGACTACAGGTCTGAGCCACCACACCCAGCTGATTTTTGTACTTTTAGCAGAGACGGGGTTTCACCATGTTGGCCAGGCTGGTCTCGAACTCCGGACCTCAAATGATCCACCTGCTTCAGCCTCCCCAAGCGCTGGGATCACAGGCATGAGCTGCCTCTGCACCTGGCCTTGCTCATTCATTTCTACACCATTCGTAACTGTGAAGCGATTCTCGTCTGGGCCCCTTAAACGCGTTCTGCCAGATTCTGAGGATGGAATTGGCAAACACTATGGACAAAGTTCTACCGATGACACCCCGTGTTCTACTAAACCGGAGTGACTTCAGGTACAAGCAACCTGGTATCAATTAAAAAACAAACAGGGCAGGTGCGGTGGCTCATGCCTGTCATCCCAGCACTTTGGGAGGCCGAGGCGGGCGGATCACCTGAGGTCCGGAGTTCGAGACCGGCCTGGCCAACATGGTGAAACCCCGTCTCTACTAAAAATACAAAATTATCCAGGCGTGGTGGTGTGTGCCTGTAATCATGGCTATTTGGGAGGCTGAGACAGGGGAATTGCTTGCACCTCGGAGGCGGAGGTTGCAGTGAGCCAAGATTGTGCCACTGCACTCCAGTCTGGGCAACAGAGCCAGAATCTGTCAAAAAAAAACCAGAGAAAGAAAGAAGAGAGAGAGAGAAAGAAAAAGAAAGAAAGAAAGAAAGAAAAGAGAAGAGAGAGGAAGGAAAGAAGGAAGGAAGGAAACAAAGAAAGAGGAAGGAAGGAGAAAGAAAGAGGAAGGAAGGAAGAAGGAAAGAAAGAAAAGAAAAGAAAAGAAAGAAAGAGGAAAGAAGGAAAGAAAAAAGAAAGAAAGAGGAAGGGAGGACAGAAGGAAGAAAGAAAGAAGGAAAGAAAGGAAGGAAGGAAGGAAAAAAGAAAGAAGGGAAGGAAGGAAAAGAAAGGAAAGAAAGAAAGAGAAAAGAAAGAAAGGAAAGAAGAAAGAAAGAAAGGAAAGAAAGAAGAAAGAAAGAAGAAAGAAAGAAAGAAAGAAAGAAAGAAAGAAAGAAAGAAAGAAAGAAAGAAAGAAAGAGAAAGAAAAAGAAAAAAAAAAAGTTAAGCCCTCAACAGCTTAGGAAAGCTTTGGTTGCTCAGACAGAGAAACGAATAAATGGTTCAGAGATGGGTAGTTGGGTGGGGTGGGAGGCGCTTATTCTCAGGAAGCAATTCCCCAAAAGCAAATGAGATCCTTAAAATACTGAAACTCTCTCCAAAAAAAAGAAAAAAGAGGAAGCAGACGGCGTTTTGGAGGCCAGGCTTCCAGAGGGGAGCTCTTGGTGGTGTTCAGAAGGAGCTTGTGTTTGCTTCCAGTGTAGACTTTTACAACCTTAAGGCTACAAATTATAGACGCAGGAAAGGGCACCAGCTCTGCTGCAAGAGTATTACACAGACAACTGGTTTTTGTTTTTGATTTTGAAACTGGGTTCATTTTTATCTTTGAGAATGTGAGCAAAGTGACCCCTATGTGCAGAATCACTGAGGTCCTGCATTGCAGGGTGACCCTTGGCTGGACAGACTCAGGGACAGGGAGGCAGCTGGAGCAGACAGGCCCTGTCAGTCACCCCAGCCACCACTACCCGGGGCTCTGGAGTCCTAGGCCAGGCCGAGGCTGCTGGCCACTTTCATCCCAGGAGAGGTGGACGTCAGGAGTGAGTTTTACGGTGGGAACAGCTTGATGTGACCGTCTCAGAGCTCGGCTGTTCCCAGGCTGACTCCATCTCAGGTTTCTTGCATTCATGACTGGGTGTCCTAAAAATTCAGAAAGTGTTTCTTGTAAGAGGAAGAGAGAGAAACCCCATGCAGGGAAACTCTAGAGGGTCCACTGGCTGTGTCCTTCCCTACACAGCGCTGCCCCAGCCACACATGTCGCCCGATGGGGCCAGAAAACCTGCTTACACCTCACTCTTTGCTCTAAAATAAAATCATGTTGGTCCAGGCTGTGGGAAGCCCAAGGTGTTTTGTTACAAAATAAACGGATTTTATTTTTTTTTGCTATTACTGTAAGATCTTGATCTAGAAAAGGAGACAAGAAGCATGTAAATATATATATTTTTATAAACATGGACATATATTTACATATTAATATGAACATGCATTTATCTATTAAACTCAAATATACATTTTATATACTAAATACAGATATACATTTTGTCTATTAAATATGAGTGTATATTTACATACTAAGTATGAATATACATTTCATATATTAATACAAATATATGTATTCATTAAATATAAAAATATACATTAAATATAAATATAATTTATACATTAAACATGTTTTTATACATTAAATATAAACATCTTTTATATATTAAACATAAACATATACATTAAATATAAACATATCTTATATATTAAATATAACTTATTTTTATATATTTTATATATTATACAATATATAAGGTATATATAATATATAATATATAAAGTATATATAAACTTATATGTTAAATATAAACGTCTTTTATACATTAAATATAATACATTTGGTACATTAAATAAAAACATCGTATACATTTAATATAAACATGTTGTATACATTAAACATAAACATTTTATACGTTAAATGTAAACATATCTTTCATATAAAATATAAACATACCTTATATATTATATATAAATATATTTTGGACATTAAATATAATAATATATTTGGTACATTAAATATAAACATTGTATACATTAAATATAAACATCTTTTATACATCAAACATAAACATTTTATCCATTAAATGTAAACATATCTTATATATTAAATATAAACATCTTTTATACATTAAATATAAGAATACGTTTGGTACATTTAATGTTTACAATACATTAAATATAAACATGTATTTTAGACATTAAATATAAGCATATATTCCGCACATTAAATGTAAACATATTTTATACATTAAATATAAATACTATATATGTTAAATATAAATATATATTTTCCATATTAAATATAAATATATATTCTCTACGTTAAATATAAACATATTTTCTATATTAAATATAAACATGTATTTTGCATAGCAAATATAACTATACATTTTCTATTTTAAATATCAACATGTATTTTGTATATTAAACATAAACATATATTTCCCATATTAAATATAAACATATATTTTTATATGTCAAATATAATATACATTTTCTATATTAAATATAAATATATATTCCCTGTATTAAATATACACATATATGTTAAATATAAATGTATATTTTCCATACGAAATGTAAACATGTTTTGTACATTAAATATAAATATGCCTCTTAGATATGGCCTGTGTTGGAATGTGTACTAGATTGAGCATATAATGTCTATTCAATATAAAATTTATATTTATATAATGCAATAATGATTCACGTTGATTGTAGTTAAGAAAAACAAGCCCCAAATTCGAGAGAAATATGTAAGAAGAGAGACAGGAAGAAAAAATAATAAGGCAGGTAAATGCAACAGACAATTCGAGACCCACAAGTGCAGAGCAGGCTTCCCCAGGCCCGGGGAATGTCTCCTGGGCTGATAGGAAGCCCTCAACCCCCAAGTCCTTCTCAGCCATAAACCGCCTGAGCACAGAGCCAGAGGGACCATGTTGGGGCTGGGCCTCCCGACTTCAGTTCCTCTCATTCTGTGCAAAAGGAAAAACAATTCAGAATCTACAGAGATTTACACGTGTGTAGATGTGGACAGAGAAGGCAGGGCACGGTGGTTCACTGGCCCAAGAAGACAGTGAGTCCCCGGAGGAACAGAAGAATATACGTCATGCTAATATGTGTCATCCCGGTGCTTTGGGAGGCCGAGGCGGGTGGATCACTTGGGGTCAAGAGTTCGAGACCAGCCTGGCCAACATGGTGAAACCCCGTCTCTACTAAAAACACAGAAATTAGTTGGCCGTGGGGGTGGACGCCTGTGATCCCAGATACTCGGGAGACAGAGGCAGGATGAACTGCTTGAATGTGGGAGGAGGAGGTTGCAGTGAGCTGAGATCATGCCGTTGCACTCCAGCCTGGGGGACGGAGCAAGATCCTGTCTCAAAAAAAAAAAAAAAGAAAAGAAAAAGGAAAAAAGAAGTTGTCGGTGCTAAGTTCTCTCTGGATTTTCAGGAGGCCAGTTCTCCAGTCCACGGTGGCCTGGGAGGACAGGGGTTCCTGAGGGTGAACAGAGCCTGTGCCCGGTCAGGTAGGATCTCATGTACCTGAGGTTCAGAACCCAGGAGCATGGGGAGGGTCTAGGGGGTTCCTGCTGCTCGGGGGGAAGACCCTCTTTGCACAGGGGCCCCGGAGAGCGAGAGGAAGGAGGAGGACAGGTCAGTGAATGTGACGGGGTCACAGTGGAGAGGGAAGCACAAAGAAGTGCTCCCACAACAAGACACACACAGTGTCCACGCTGAAGCTACAGAGAGGACCTCTCCACCTGTGTCTGCCCCAAAGCAGTGGGGCATCTTCTGGCAGCCCAGAGTCACCTCCAGATCCCACCTGCCCCACGCTTCCTGAGGGGACTGCCTGTCTTCCTAATACACTGTCTTCTGAACAGAGTCTTCCAGACAAATCACCAGTTGCTATTTATGTACACATATTTTTTAATAGCTAATATCTTACACTGATATATTTATATTATATATAGTTATAAATATTTTTGTACTTTATGTTTATGCTATATGTACAGATGTAATTAGCTGTTTATGTTATATATAATATATTAACATGATGTATATTCTTATATTCCTCTGGGGACTCACTGTCTTCTTAATACAGTGTCTTCTGACCAAAGTCTTTCAGACAAATCAGCTGTTGCTATATATATACTATATATATATAGCAAATATATATGCTATATATTTTATTATATATAATATATATTATATTATGTCTTATATATAATATATATTATATTATGTCTTATATATAATATATATTATATTATGTCTTATATATAATATATATTATATTATGTCTTATATATAATATATATTATATTATGTCTTATATATAATACAATATATTATTTTATATTATGCTATATATTATATATTATATATGCTATATATGTATATATTATATATACACATATACACATACATACACACATATGTATATTTTAATAGCTAATATCTTACACATATATTTATATTATAGTTATATACAAATATTTTTGTACTTTATGTTTATACTATACATACAGATATAATTAGCTGTTTATGTTATATATAATATATTAACATGATGTATATTCTTATATTCCTCTAGGGACTCACTGTCTTCTTAATACACTGTCTTCTGACCAAAGTCTTCCAGACAAATCAGCTGTTGCTATATATATATATATATATTTATTTATTTATTTATTTTTTAATAGCTAGTATCTTACACTGTTGATCATGTCTGTAATCCCAGCACTTTGGGGGGCCGAGGCGAGTGGATCACCTGAGGTCAGGAGTTTGAGACCATCCTGGCTAACACGGTGAAACCCCATCTCTACTAAAAATACAAAAATTGATTGGGTGTGGTGGCGAGTGCCTGTAATCCCAGCTACTCGGGAGGTTTAGGCAGGAGAATCGCTTGAACCCGGGAGGCAGAGGTTGCAGTGAGCCGAGATCGTGTCACTGCACTCCAGCCTGGGTGACAGAGCGAGACTCCGTCTCACAAAAAAAAAAAAATCTTACACTGATGTATTTATATTACACGTAGCTGTATATAAATATTTTTGTACTTATATTCTACATATTACAAAACATATAAAATTACACATGTATAATAAAATGTTACATAAAAATTTTAATATACCATTTTACTATATATATTTCTAAATTTAATATAATGAAATTTTATATATAATAATGTATAACATTTCTAAATTTATTGTAATACAATGTTATATGTAATTATTTTCTCATATTATGATTATACATAAGGTAATTTATTATAAATAAAATTTTATATAATCTACATTTATTATATAAGGTTTTATTATATATAACACATTTCTAAATTTAATACAATAAAATACTATGTATAATAATTTATAAAGTTTCAAAATTTATTATATAATTTTATATACAATTATTTTATACATAATTATATGTGGTATGTAATTGTATTTATAGAAATATAATTATGCATATACAATATATAATTTTATTTTTACATAGTATATATACATAATTATGTATTAACAAATATAATATCAATTTTATTATATACTTATTTACATTAAGTTATATGTTATATAAATATGTTATATGTTATGTATATGTTACACATATTTTTGCTTAATATATTAAATTTAATCTACAAAATTATGTATTACAAATAAAAGTGTATTTTACATATACACTATATATAACTTTATTATTTATATAAAAATATAAAAATCATATGTTTATATTAATAAAATATACTTATTTATAGCAATCTATTGATATAAAATATACCCAATGCATATTTATATAAATACAAAGTATATAAAACTTTTACCAGTAGGATGCAAAGAGTTGCTGACCGTCTGCAGAAATCGTGAACCTCTGGAAACAGAATAAAATCTTACCTCCCTGTCCGCTTTGAAAGGATCAGTAACGAAGTCCGGGACCCCAAACCCGCCCTAAGGGGAGATGCGGGAGTTGGGATGGACGCGTTGGCCAGTGAGGACTTCCCTTTGCTGGTTTTGAGGTGTCTGAGCCCAGAAGCTACGAGGGAAAGTGATTCTGCAGCAGGTAAGCTGATCACAAGCCTGAGCCAAGAATCCATGAAGATCATTTACAGCAGAAGCCGGGGCCCTGTGCAAATCCTTCTGAAATATCCCCGGTTGACTGAGCTCCTAGGGGTGGGGAAGAAAAATTCCCTGACATCTCGGCCTCAGGGAAAGAGACACCCCACTGGCAGGACGTCTCTGCTGTTTCTCAGAAGACAGCTGGGGTGTCACTCTCCCAAACGACGGTGATTTTCAGAACGGTTCACTTTTTAGAGAGACGTTTCTGCCCTGGAGATCCGTACATATTGAACCCAAACGAATAATTTTTAATTAAAAAAATTAAACATTAGAAAGTTCAACATTGAGGCGGCTACGAGTTTGAATTCCTCCTGTTTCCTAAAAGCATGTTGTCGAAATCTGTATTGCATTTAGTAATTACTTATGTGTCTAATGCATATAAGGTTACACAATGTTTTCTTCTTTTTCTCCCCCTCGGTGTCAGAATTTGAAATAAAAGTTTTGGAAAGAAAAAACAGTCTTGTCTGTTTGTGCAAAAATAAAAAAAATCCATATTTTAAGAATATTTTAAAATAAATACAAATTGTGTGTGTGGGGTTGCTTATAAGAATTCTTCATATCCTAAATCAAACATAGACCTTGTTATTAACCAGAAAACAAAATGGGTGTGTATAAAGGTACAACACTCTTACACTCACACAGACACACATGCTCACACACACATTCACGCACTCACTGATGGACTCACACAAACACAGGCATTCACGTATAAATACACACATAAGCGTGTATTTATAGAAATATAATTATGCATATACAATATATAATTTTATTTTTACATAGTGTATATACATAATTACGTATTAATATAAGATCAATTTTATTTTATTTACATAAAGTTATATATTATATAAATGATGTTATATGGCATGTATATATTACACGTAACTTTGCTTAGTATATAAAATTTAATCTATACAATTATGTATTACAAATAAAAGTATATTTTACATATACACCATATGTAACTTTATTATTTATGTAAACTATAAAAATCATATGTTTATATTAATAAAATACATTTATTTATATCAATATATTAATATAAAGTATACACAATGCATATTTATATAAACTTTTTTAATTAAAAAATATTCATTTGGGTTCAATATGTACGGATCTCCAGGGCAGAAACGTCTCTCCACAAAGTGAACCGTTCTGAAAATCACCGTCGTTTGGGAGAGTGACACCCCAGCTGTCTTCTGAGAAACAGCAGAGACGTCCTGCCAGTGGGGTGTCTCTTTCCCTGAGGCCGAGATGTCAGGGAATTTTTCTTCCCCACCCCTAGGAGCTCAGTCAATCGGGGATATTTCAGAAGGATTTGCACAGGGTCCCGGCTTCTGCTGTAAATGATCTCCATGGATTCTTGACTCAGGCTTGTGATCAGCTCACCTGCTCCAGAATCACGGACACAAATGCAACCACACGCTTACACAAACGCACATCAACGCAAAGACAGAATCACAAAACACACTCAGAGAAGCACATGGACACACAAAGACATGCACACTCACACAAACACAGGGACACACACACACAAACACAATTACAAAAACCCTCACATGCACACGTGGGTGCAGAGGCACATGGATGTTCTCACAAAGCACACAAACACGTATACGTACAAAGACGCATAAACAGAATCATGAAAACACTCTCATATAAACACGTGGATGGCCATTCACCCACATAGACACTCACATATGTCATACACACTCATACACACACTCAGAATCACACAAGCACACACAGACACATACATACAGTCACACTCGTGCAAACGCAGTCACAAAAAGACTCACGTAATCACGTGGACACACAAACGTAAAAATTCACACACTGGGGCCAGGCACGGTGGCTCAAGCCTGTCATCCCAGCACTTTGGGAGGCCGAGGCTGCTGGATCAGTTAGGGTCTGGAGTTCGAGACCAGCCTGGCCAACATGATGAAACCCCGTCTCTACTAAAAATACAAAAATTAGCCAGATATGGTGGCATATGCCTGTAATCCCAGCTACTCAGGAGGCTGAGGCAGGAGAATCATTTGAACCCGGGAGGCAGAGGTTGCAGTGAGCCGAGATCGCACCACTGCACTCCAGGCTGAGTAACAGAGCGAGACTCCATATCAAAAAAGAAAAATTAGCCAGATGTGGTGGCGGGTGCCCGTAATCCCAGGTACTCAGGAGGCTGAGGCAGGAGAATCGTTTGAACCCTGGAGGCGGAGGTTGCAGTGAGCCGAGATTGCACCATTGCACTCCAGTGTGGGTGACAAAGCGAGACGCCGTCTCAAAAAAAAAAAAAAAAAGAATTTATACATTGCCATACAGATTTACACACATACACTCATATTCACAAACACACAAACACAATAAACGCAGGGACACACACAAACACCATCACAAAAACACACTTCCGTAAAACACAGGAATGCACGCTCACACAGAAACACACATGTAAACACACATTGTCTTACAGACCCACAGACACACTCATCGTCACATAAACAGGCACACACACACAGCCACACAAGCACACACCCACACCCACGTCAACACACACACGGCCCCACGGTACCCATGCGCTCACGCACACAGGTAGAACAGGCCTGCGTTACCTGATAACACAGATAAATCAGACGTGATGCTGCCTGCCGAGGAGACCTGGAGGCTTCCCATGAATGGCCTTTTGGACGAGAGGTCTCTGGGTGCATTAGGTGACACCCCAGGCAGTGGGGGGGATGTCCAGGCTGGGGGGGCCAGCCACAGCCAGCCCTGCCCGAGGATGCCACGCCCCTTTGCTTCAGTAGGATCTGCACCCTGGAAACCCTGGTTCCTGCCTCTCCGGGACACCCCACTGAGGTCAGCACACCCTGCAGGTTTAGGAGGGGTGTCTGGGTGCATTTGGTGACACCGCAGGCAGAGGGGGGACGCCACAGCCAGCTCTGCCTGAGGATGCCACGTCCATTTGCTTCAGCAGGATCTGCACCCTGTAAACCCTGGTTCCTGCCTCTCCGGGACACCCCACTGAGGTCAGCACACCCTGCAGGTTTAGAAGGGGTGTCTGGGTGCATTTGGTGACACCGCAGGCAGAGGGGGGACGCCACAGCCAGCTCTGCCCAAGGATGCCACGTCCATTTGCTTCAGCAGGATCTGCATCCTGGAAACCCTGGTTCCTGCCTCTCCAGGACACCCCACTGAGGTCAGCACACCCTCCAGGTTTAGGAGGGGTCTCTGGGTGCATTTGGTGACACCGCAGGCAGAGGGGGGACGCCACAGCCAGCTCTGCCCGCGGATGCCACGTCCATTTGCTTCAGCAGGATCTGCATCCTGGAAACCCTGGTTCCTGCCTCTCCGGGACACCCCACTGAGGTCAGCACACCCTGCAGGTTTAGAAGGGGTGTCTGGGTGCATTTGGTGACACCGCAGGCAGAGGGGGGACGCCACAGCCAGCTCTGCCCGCGGATGCCACGTCCATTTGCTTCAGCAGGATCTGCATCCTGGAAACCCTGGTTCTTGCCTCTCCGGGACACCCCACTGAGGTCAGCACACCCTGCAGGTTTAGGAGGGGTGTCTGGGTGCATTTGGTGACACCGCAGGCAGAGGGGGGACGCCACAGCCAGCTCTGCCTGAGGATGCCACGTCCATTTGCTTCAGCAGGATCTGCACCCTGTAAACCCTGGTTCCTGCCTCTCCGGGACACCCCACTGAGGTCAGCACACCCTGCAGGTTTAGAAGGGGTGTCTGGGTGCATTTGGTGACACCGCAGGCAGAGGGGGGACGCCACAGCCAGCTCTGCCCAAGGATGCCACGTCCATTTGCTTCAGCAGGATCTGCATCCTGGAAACCCTGGTTCCTGCCTCTCCAGGACACCCCACTGAGGTCAGCACACCCTCCAGGTTTAGGAGGGGTCTCTGGGTGCATTTGGTGACACCGCAGGCAGAGGGGGGACGCCACAGCCAGCTCTGCCCGCGGATGCCACGTCCATTTGCTTCAGCAGGATCTGCATCCTGGAAACCCTGGTTCCTGCCTCTCCGGGACACCCCACTGAGGTCAGCACACCCTGCAGGTTTAGAAGGGGTGTCTGGGTGCATTTGGTGACACCGCAGGCAGAGGGGGGACGCCACAGCCAGCTCTGCCCGCGGATGCCACGTCCATTTGCTTCAGTAGGATCTGCATCCTGGAAACCCTGGTTCCTGCCTCTCCAGGACACCCCACTGAGGTCAGCACACCCTCCAGGTTTAGGAGGGGTCTCTGGGTGCATTTGATGACACCGCAGGCAGAGGGGGGACGCCACAGCCAGCTCTGCCCGCGGATGCCACGTCCATTTGCTTCAGCAGGATCTGCACCCTGGAAACCCTGGTTCCTGCCTCTCCAGGACACCCCACTGAAGTCAGCACCCCCCCACCCCCACCCCCCCAGGTTTGTCCAGCTTCGCTGTCTGGGGAGAGACACAGAAAGACCACATTCGGTGGAATTCTGGCTGTAATCTGGCGGAGCCGGCAAGAAGAATCACCCAGCTGTCCTGTTACCTTGCTGGAGCGCTCACTGGTTTCATGTTTGGCCCCCGTGCTGTGAGTCCTCTGGGCCAGGCTCGATTCCTGGAGCTCCGGTGAAATTTGGGCTTGGAGCTCATGCCTGCACCATCCAGAAAGCAGAAGGCAGCCGGCCCGGGGCTGTACGGTTCGTAGAATCAAAGAGAACACTGCTTGCCTTCAGGTCTGTACCACAATAAATCTGCCAGCTGCGGTCAAAGCCTTTGGATTCCTGCCCCCTCATTTTATTTTGTCTATTACGGAGCGGAAGGAGCGAGAAAGATTTTGCTTCCTATTTTGTTTTGCAAAGCGCTTCTAAGAAAAACAACCCGCGTTCTGAAAATGAGATTCTGAGTTTCCCCTAGGGGTGTTGAAAACAAACTTTGGGAATCCAAGGGACTGAGAGGCAGAGGGGGTTTCCCTGTGAATTACAAAGTCACTTTTTATTTATTATTATTATAGATTCAGGAGATCCACATGCAGCTTTGTGACCTGGGGATATTGTACGATGCTGAGGTTTGGGGTATGAATGATCCCATCACCCAGGCACTGAGCATTGTACATCCATGAGGTATATAATATGTATTAAATATAAAATGTATATTTATACATGCAATAATGATTCAACTTGGTTCCTTGTAATTAAGAAAAACAAACCCCAAATTCTAGAGGAGTTCTAGAAATACATAAGAAGAGAGGCCGGGTGCGGTGGCTCAGGCCTGTAATCCCAGCACTTTGGGAGGCCCAGGCAGGGTGATCGCCTGAGGTCAGGAGTTCAAGACCAGCCTGACCAACCTTGTGAAACCCCGTCTCTGCTAAAAATACAAAAATTAACCAGGTGTGGTGGCGGGTGCCTGTAGTCCCAGCTACTCAGGAGGCTGAGGCAGGAGAATCGCTTGAATCCAGGAGGCGGAAGTCGCAGGGAGCCGAGATTGCACCACTGCACTCCAGCCTGGGCGACAGAGCTAGACTCCTTCTCAAAAAAAAAAAAAAAAAAAAAAAAAAAAAAAAAAAAGAAAGAGAGAGAGAGACAGAAAAAAACAAACAAACAGGCAAGAAAATGCAACAGAAAAATCCGTGACCCAAAGATCTCTCCAGTCGCTGCCTTCTGCCTGACATTCCAAGAACCTCAGGGTAGTTTTTCAACGCTGGTACCCCTGCCCCTGCTTCCTGCTCTATTAGTCCTGAGGGTCTGTGGTGTCCCTTCATTGTGTCCAGGCGCAGGCAACGTTTAGCTCCCACCTATAAGCAAGAACATGTGGTATTTGATTTTCTGTTACTGGCATTAATTCACTAAGCATAGTGCCCTTCAGCTTCATCCATGTGAATACAAAGGGCATGATTTTATTGTTTTTCATTGCTGTGTAGTATTCCATGATGCAGAAGGACCCCATTTGCTTTATCTAATTGAGAACATGTGGTATTTGATTTTCTGTTTCTGGCATTAATTCACTAAGCATAATGCCCTTCAGCTGCATCCATGAGGCTGCAAAGACATGATTTTATTCTTTTTCATGGCTGTGTAGTATTCCATGATGCATGATGCAGAAGGACCACATTTGCTTTATCTAGTTGAGAACATGTAGTATTCATTTTCTGTTTCTGGCATTAATTCACTAAGCATAATGCCCTTCAGCTGCATCCATGTGCCTGCAAAGACATGATTTTATTCTTTTTCATGACTCTGTAGTATTCCATGCTGTAGAAGGGCCACATTTGCTTTATCTAGTTGAGAACATGTAGTATTCGATTTTCTGTTCCTGGCATTAATTCACTAAGCATAATGCCCTTCAGCTGCATCCATGTGGCTGCAAAGACATGATTTTATTCTTTTTCATGGCTGTGTAGTATTCCATGATGCAGAAGGGCCACAATTGCTTTATCCAGTTGAGAACGTGTGGTATTTGAGTTTTCTGTTCTTGGGTTAATTCATTAAGCATAATGCCCTTCAGCTACAACCACGTGGCTGCAAAGGACATGATTTTATTCTTTTTCGTGGCTGTGTAGTATTCCATGGTGTAGAAGAACCACATTTGCTTTATCTGATCCCCTACTGATGGACAACTAGGTCGATTCCATGACTTTCCTATTGTGAGTCGTGCTGTGATGAACCTTACAGGGCTGGGCACTGTAATCCCAGCACTCTGGAGGGCTGAGGTGGGCAGATCACCTGAGGTCAGGAGTTCGAGACCAGCCTGATCAACATGGTGAAACCCTATCTCTACTAAAAATACAAAACTGAGCCAGGCGTGGTGGCACATGCCTGTAATCCCAGCTGCTCAGGAGGCTGAGACAGGAGAATCGCCTGAACCTGGGAGGCAGAGGTTGCAGTGAGCCGAGATTGCTACTGCACTCCAGCCTGGGCAACAGAGCGAGACTCCATCTCAAAAAAAAAAAAAAGGAACTTTACCATGCATTTGTCTTTTTGGTAGAATGACTTCTTTTCCTTTGGGTAGATGACCAGTCTTGGAATTGCTGGGGCAAATGTTGGAGCAGTTTAGATTCGGGAGGTACATGTACAGGTTTATTACATGGGTACCATGTGTGATGTAGAGGTCTGGGGTATGAGTGATCCCATCACCCAGGTAGTGAGCATAACACCCTGCAGTTGGTTTTTTCAACTCTTGTGCTTCTACCTTCCTCTCTCCCCCTAACTAGACCTCAGTATCTGTTCCCTTCTCTGCATCTACGTATACACAACATTTAGCTCCCACTTATAAGTGAGAATGTGCAGCATTCTGTGAATTTACTTAAGATAATGGCCTCCACACTGTTCACAATAGCAAAGACACGGAACCAACCCAAATGCTCATCAGTGATAGACTGGATAAAGAAAATGTAGCACATAGACACCTTGGAATACTATGCAGCCATGAAAAAGGATGAGTTCATGTCCTTTGCAGGGGGACATGGATGAAGCTGGAAACCATCATTCTCAGCAAATTCACACAGGAACAGAAAACCAAACACCACATGTTCTCACTCATAAGTGAGAGTTGAACAATGAGAACACATGGACCCGGAGAGGGGAACATCATACACTGGGGCCTGTTGCAGGGGTGGGGGACTGGGGGGGGAGGGAGAGCATTATGAGAAACACCTAATGTAGATGATGGGTTGATGGGTGCAGCAAATCACTATGGCACATGTATACCTATGTAACAACCCTGCACATTCTGCACATATACCCCAGAACTTAAAGTAGAATAGAAAAAATAAAAAATAATAAAAATAATTTTAAAAAGATAATGGCCTCCAGCTACATCCATGTTGCTGCAAAAAAAACCCATGATTTTGTTTCTTTTCAGGGTTGCGTAGTATTCCATGGTGTAGATGTACCACATTTTCTTTGAGTGTGGACGGTGGGAGGAGGGAGAAAATCAGCAAAAATAAACTGTGTCTGGGTGTGGTGGCTCACACCTGTATTCTCAGCAATTTTGGAGGCCAAGGTGAGCAGATCACCTGAGGTCAGGAGTTTGAGATCAGTCTGGCCAACATGGCAAGACCCTATGTCTACTAAAAGTACAAAAATTAGCTGGGCATGGTGGCGTGTGCCTCTAATCCCGGCTCCTCTGCAGGTTGAGGCAGGAGAATCTCTTGAACCCAGGAGGCGGACGTTGCAGTGAGCCGAGATCGCGCCACTGCCCTCCAGCCTGGGCCACAGAGTGGGACTCCATCTCAAAAAATAATAATAAAAAAATAATAATAACCTGCTAGGCTTAGGATCTAGGTTGATTCCATGACAAAAGAAAGAAAGAAAGAAAAAAAAAAACCTAACTTTTTAAATGAAGGATCTCTCTGTTCAAAAACAAAACCAATGTCCTGTCAGGAAAGATGTTGTGTGTTTTTCTGGCAAAGCTGGAAGGAACCTACAGGAAGGAGTCACCCCATAAAATGAGTGGAACAACATTGCCTTTTGGGGTGAGGGCTGCCTCTGTTAGTCCACCAGGATGGGTGCCTTCCTGGGGAGTGGGGTTCATCCTACAGCATCCAGGAAGCAATTCCTGCCCCCAAAATCACCTGCCAGCTTCTGCCCTGTAAGTAAAATCTCCAGCAAGCGGGGAGGAGGGAGCTGCTTGCCTTGGAAGGCAGCTGAAGTCTCTGCCCACCACCCAGGCTCTGTCCTCTGGGCAAGGCCAGGGCTTCCAGTTGGATGGTTTTCACATTAGCGGGTGCTGTTTAGAATCATCAACATTGGCCAGGCGTGGTGGCTCATGCCTGTCATCGCAGCACTTTGGGAAGCCGAGGTGGGCGGATCACAAGGTCAGGGACCAGCCTGGCCAACATGGTGAAACCCCGTCTCTACTAAAAAAACAAAACAAAACAAAAATTAGCCTGGTGTGGCTGGGCGCGGTGGCTCACGCCTGTAATCCCAGCACTTTGGGAGGCCAAGGCAAGCGGATCACGAGGTCAGGAGATTGAGACCATCCTGGCTAACATGGTGAAACCACATCTCTACTAAAAATACAAAAAATTAGCCGGGCGTGGTGGCGGGCACCTGTAGTCCCAGCTACTCGGGAGGCTGAGGCAGGAGAATGGCGTGAACCCGGGAGGCGGAGCTTGCACTGAGCCGAGATTGTGCCATTGCACTCCAGCCTAGACAAAGAGCAAGACTCTGTCACCAAAAAAAAAAAAGAATCATCAGCATTGCCATGGCCCAACATCTTCCAAGACTTGTCAAAACTTTACCACTGGACCTCCACATTCTAGTTTCAAAGCTTTGCCAGCCCCGGTGGCTCATGTCTGTAATCCCAGCACTTTGGGAGGCTGAGGCAGGAGGACTGCTTGAACCCGGGAGTATAAGCCCATCCTAGGCAACATAGTGAGACCCCCATCTCTGCAAAACAATGAGAAAATTAGCCCAGTGAAGTCACTCACACCTGTAATCCCAGCATTTTGGGAGGGTGAGGAAGGAGGATGCTTGAACCCAGGAGTTTCACTCCAGACGGGACAACATAGTGAAACCCCACCTCTACGAAACAATTAGAAAATTAGCCAGGCACGGTGGTTCACACCTGTAATCCCAGCACTTTCGGAGGCCGAGGTGGAAGGATCCCTTGAGCATAGGAAGTGGAGGCTGCAGTAAAGTATAATTGTGCCACTGCACTCCAGCCCGGGAGACAGAGAAAAACCCGTCTCAAACACAAAACAAAGAAACACTAAACACCAAAGCTTCCTCCCATCCAGGGTTGAGAACCTCGTTCTGAATGACATTTCCTCCAGGAGCCGCAGTAACAGTGAAACAGCAAAATAAGGAACATATCTAACTCTACTTTTTGTTTAAGGGGACCTTACCCATTCTTGCACATAGGATAGGATAGTTTCAGAGCACAGAGATAAAACAAAAACAGCAATCATGTAGTTTTTTTCTTTGTTTGTTTGTTTGTTTGTTTGAGATGGAGTCTTGCTCTGTTGCCCAGGCTGGAGTGCAGCGGTGCAATCTCGGCTCACTACAACCTCCGCCTCCCGGGTTCAAACAATTCTCCTGCCTCAGCCTCCCGAGTAACTTGGATTACAAGTGCCCGCCACCATGCCCGGCTAATTTTTGTATTTTTAGTAGAGACAGGTTTTCACCATGTTGGCCACGCTGGTGTCGAACTCCTGACCTCAGGTGATCCACCTGCCTCGGACTCCCAAAGTGCTGGGATGACAGACATGAGCTACCATGCCTGTTAGGCACGAAACTGTTAGGAGTTCCTAATTTGCTGACTGTCAGAGGTAGCTTGCTGATACAACTGGATCCCAGCAGTGATCCACCTGCCTCGGCCTCCCAAAGTGCTGGGATGACAGGTGTGAGCCACCACCCCCAGCCGCAATCATGTAGTTTTTAAAACTAACTCTGCGATTAAAGGGAAAACATGTAAAACAACTATGTTTTGTTAAAGATTTTTGGGAGCATGGTGACTTGACCAAGGACAAAAAAGTCTTCAACTTCTTTGGACCCTGACTAGCATTCAGAGGTCCGTGGCCATCGGTCATCTCTCTATCCCAACCCCCTCCTCTTTCCCATGCCCTTCATATAAAAAGAGCCTGAAAGATGTACTTATTTAAGGGGGTACACTCGGACTTTTGTTCAACAGATTCTTGGTTTGCCAGCTCTCCAAATAAACCTGGTTTTCCTCCCACCAACTCTCCAGATTGGTTTTCAAGCCACGAGCCACGGAGCCTGGGTTTGGTTATACCATGTTCATGGATATGTGCATAACAACAGCAGCCTTGCCTTCTTTGGTCTTGCCCTTAGCATCATGTTCTGTTATTGCCATGCTGAAAACCTGAATGATTTCTTAGCAAGGGACTACCTCATTTTCATTTTTCTTTTTTTGTTTTTTCTGTTTTTGTTTTTGAGGTGCAGTCTCGCTCTGACACCAGGCTGGAGTGCAGTGGCGTGATCTCGGCTCACAGCCACCTCTGCCTCCCAGGTTCAAGCAATTCTCCTGCCACCTCCACCTCCCAGGTTCAAGCAATTCTCCTGCCTCAGCCTCCCGAGTAGCTGAGACTACAGGCGCCTGCCACCATGCCCAGCTAATTTTTATATTTTTAGTAGAGACAGGGTTTCACCATGTTGGCCAGGCTGGTCTCGATCTCTTGACCTCGTGATCCATCCATCTTGGCCTCCCAAAGTGCTGGGATTACAGGCGTGAGCCACTGCTCCCGGCCTCGTTTTCATTTATCATGGGGTTCTATGGAGTAAACATTGCTTTACCTACTTGCAGGGAAGTAGCTCCAAAGCAGGTGCCTCTCTTCTCTGTTAAGTGGCAGTAGTTGTACCTCCCTCAGACTGACCCAAGCCCCCATCTGGGCCACTGAGCTTGAGATCCAAGCCGCTGGGGAGGTCTTGCTTAGTTCAGGGCGTCTGATCACCCTGTGGTTCCCTTGGAATTCCAGTGCATGGACATTAGGAGGAGACGCTGTTTCAGTTTCTTTTTTCTTTTCTTTTCTTTCTTTTTTTTTTTTTTGAGATAGAATTTCACTCTTGTTGCACAGGCTGGAGTGCAATGGCATGGTATCGGCTCACTGCAACCTCCACCTCCTGGGTTCAAGAGATTCTCCTGCCTCAGCCTCCCGAGTAGCTGGGACTACTGGTTCCTGCTACCAGGCCCAGCTAATTTTTTGTATTAGACGGGGTTTCACCATGTTGGCCAGGCTGGTCTCGAACTCCTGACCTCAGGTGATCCACCCACCTCAGCCTCCCAAAGTGCTGGGATGACAGACATGAGCCACCATGCCTGTTAGGCATGAAACTGTTAGGAGTTTCTAATTTGCTGACTGTCAGAGGTAGCTTGCTGATACATCTGGATCCCAGCAGCGGGTGGAGACAAACATCCCCAGAAGCTGGAGAAAAGTTGGACAGGTGGGCTTGTAAGCAAACAGAGCTGTGCTATTTATTTTTTAAACCAATGAGTGTTTTTCACTCGTTCACTTAAGGCAGCAGGCAGGGAGGAGTGTTTTCCACCACACGAGAGGAAATTTGAGCCCTTTGCTACAATCTGCTCTTTCTCATGGAAATAATTGTTGAGTGAACATGGCTTCCAGCTCCCCGTGGTGTATTAAGGAAACAGTATGGAAATAAAGATATTACCATGTTATTAATGCTTATTGTGGAAATAGAAATACAGAAAATATACGGCTGAGTGTAGTATTTAAATTGCAAAAACGTGGAGATGTTTAATAAGGTAGAGGCAATTCTGGGTTGTTGGATTTTTTTTCCCCTCCCCTTCATAATTTTCAATATAATCTAAATTAAGCTATAAAAAATCATTACCTATAGCAATTTTTAAAATCATCTTTCATCTCGGGGAAACTAACTTAGGGCGCAAGGAAAATATTACAAGTAAATACCGTATTGAGAACATTGATTATTTTCCTTAATCCAATTCAAGCATATTGAGACGTAAAGCAAAATTGTGGGAAATTACAGACATGCCTGGAGGGCCGGGGGAGCCCCTTGAAGCATCTTAAAGGGGGAAATGTGTTATTTTTTAAGGGACACCTTCTCATTCCTGATTAGCTGTGCCAAGTTCTCCTCGAAGGAATGCATTTGTGCCCTACGGTTTTAACCCAGCTGCTTGCAAAGGTTTGGGGAAATGTGGAATGTTTCAGGAAGACGTATGGTAGCATTTTGGAGGCAAACGCTGTTTTTAAGTCACCCTGGGTGTAGGACAAGTAGAATAACAAAGTGACTCCACATTCCTCTGGCCACTCGCAGAGCTCTGCCTTGAGGTTGGAGGAAGGGGTGTACCCTCTTCCGCAGAGACACAGATAAAGAGGCAGATTAACTCTCAAACCCAAGTCTTGATATACTCACTCCTTAGACTGCCCTTTTTTTTTTTTTTTAGACAGAGTCTTGTTCTGTCACTCAGGCTGGAGTGCAGTGGCATGATCTTGGCTCACTGCAACCTCTGCCTCCCCGGTTCAAGCAATTCTCCTGCCTCAGCCTCCCGAGTAGCTGGGATTACAGGCACCCGCCACTGCCTGTAATTTTTGTATTTTTAATAGACACAGGGTTTCACCATGTTAGCCAGGCTGGTCTCGAACTCCTGACCTCACGGTCCACCTGCCTCGTGCTGGGATTACAGGCATGAGCTGGATTGCTTTCTTAATGAGAAAGTAATTATGAGCCAGCCCACAGGACATAGGGCCCTGAGCAGGTGCCAAGGTAAAACCATGCAGGTCCCAGGCTCTGTGTTCCCACCCCCGGGTACCTTTTTTCCCCCTTACTCTGGAAACAGGATTAAGAAAGAAAACTTCTGCGGAGATGTTGTTGCCCTGGTAGAAACTGCTTCATATCTGTTTCTGCCCCTCCTGAGGCCCCAGGAGCAAAAGTCAGATGAAAAACTGTAGATTTCTGTCTGCTCCATCCAACCAAAGCATTCAGCCAGCCATGGTGAACCAGCTTCGTTCCAAGCTTTTGTCTGAAGTTGCACGGATTGGACCTTCCAACCCACCGTGGGCGCTGACCTTTCTTCCAGGTTTCCTGATATCCACCATGAGCCTGGCCTTGAATTACCAACTTCATGGGGCACCTCCATGGAGAAAGCATTCCTGGAGGCTGGATGGAAGACCTCCAAGCCTGGAAGACCCCCAAGTCTTGCTGTGTTACCTCTGGATTAAACTCGAGTGCTTTGGACTGGGTGCGGTGGCTCACACCTGTCATCCCAGCACTTTGAGAGGCCGAGGCGGGTGGATCTTTTGAGGTCAGGAGTTCGAGATCAGCCTGACCAACATGGTGAAACCCCATCTCTACTAAAAAAAATATAAAAGTTGGCCGGGCGCAGTGGCTGACACATGTGTTCAGATGACAGGCGTGAGCCACCACATCCGGCTAATTTTTGTATTTTTAGTAGAGACAGGGTTTCACCATGTTGGCCAGGCTGGTCTCGAATGAATGAATGAGTGAGCTTCTGAATAAATGAATGAATGAGTGAGTGAGCTTGTGAGTGAATGAATGAATGGAGTGAGCTTGTGAATGAACGAATGAGTGAGCTTGTGAATGAATGAGTGAGCTTGTGAATGAATGAGTGAGCTTTGAGTGAATGAATGAATGAATGAGTGAGCTTGTGAATGAATGAATGAGCTTGTGAGTGAATGAATGAGTGAGCTTATGAATGAATGAATGAGCTTGTGAGTGAATGAATGAATGAATGAATGGAGTGAGCTTGTGAATGAGTGAATGAATGAATGAATGGGTCGGGCATGGTGGGTCACACCTGTAATCCCAGCACTTTGGGAAGCTGAGGCAGGTCAATCACTTGAGGTCAGGAGTTCAAGACCAGCCTGGCCAACATGGTGAAACCCCATCTCTACTAAAAATACAAAAATTAGCCGGGTGTGGTGGCTTACACTTGTAATCCCAGCTACTCGGGAGGCTGAGGCAGGAGAATCGCTTGAACCCAGGAGGTTGCAGTGAGCCAATATAACCCCCGCTGCACTCCAGCCTGGGCCACAAGAGTCAGACTCTGTCTCAAAAAAACAAAAAAAAATGAATAGACTCTTGGGAGTGGTTTAAATCTGTAAAACTCATGTTGAATCATAGTAAAAACATTTCAGAGAGATACTCGTGTTGGACCTGCGTAAAGAAAAGACAAATCCAGATGGCGAATTTTTCAGCTGTGAGATGGGCCTGCCATTTCTAACCTCACCTTTCCAAAATATAAAATTACTTGGAAAAGCATAAGGCATCTAGAAACCAGCGAGAAAGATTTCCATATAGTAGAATTGGGGGGAAAAAACAGAAAAGAGACACATGGAGAGACAGATAAAAACTTCATCCCACAAGGAAAGAATTGGGGTAAATGTGGATGCAAGCAGGAAATCCTATACCTTGCCAGAAATGACTGCCTGTTTTTCTCATTCTTACATGATCTAATCAAACTTGAACACCAGTAACCCTGCATAATTTTTTAAGTATGAAACGGATTCCGGTGATATCATCAGCAAAACTGAAACCAAATACAAACGTCCCAACGGCTCAATTTGTTACTCAGTGTCAGAGTTCTAAGTTCCAAAGAGACACCAGGTCCGTTTATTATGATGATTTTAAAAATTCTCCTAGTTTCCTTAGAATGGCTTATAATTCTACAGAAGCAGCAGCTTGACAGGAAAAAAAATAACTACCATTTTGCCTCTTTGAGATATATATACATATATATATATATATATATATATAGAGAGAGAGAGAGAGAGAGAGAGGGAAAGATATTATATATCTATATAGATATATATTACACATAGATATATAGATAGAGAGAGATATATAGATAATATCTATATATCTCTATATAGATATATATCTATATATCTATATATGTCTATCTATATATCTCTATATATCTATATCTCTCTATATATCTATATATCTATATATATCTATATATCAATATATCTATATATATCTATATATCAATATATCTATATATCTATATATCATCTATATATCTCTATCTATATATAGATATATCTATATAAATATATATATCTATATGTCGATATATATCGATATGTCGATATATATCAATATGTCGATATATATCGATATGTCGATAAAGATATTATATATCTATATAGATATATAATATATAGACATATAGATATATATTACAGATATATAGATATATATTACAGATATATAGATATATAGATATATATTACAGATATATAGATATATAGATATATATTACAGATATATAGATATATAGATATATATTACAGATATATAGATATATATTACAGATATTTAGATATATAGATATATATTATAGATATATAGATATATAGATATATATTACAGATATATAGATATATATTATAGATATATAGATATATATTATAGATATACAGATATATATATATTATAGATATATAGATATATAGATATATATTATAGATATATAGATATATAGATATATATTATAGATATATAGATATATAGATATATATTATAGATATATAGATATATAGATATATATTATAGATATATAGATATATAGATATATATTATAGATATATAGATATATATTATAGATATATAGATATATGTTATAGATATATAGATATATAGATATATATTATAGATATATAAATATATATCATAGATATATAGATATTTATCATAGATATATAGATATATATCATAGATATATAGATATATATCATAGATATATAGATATATAGATATATATCATAGATATATAGATATAGATATATAATAGATGTATAGATATATATATTATAGATATATATTATAGATATATAGATATATATTATAGATATATAGATATATATTATAGATATATAGATATATATAGATATATATTATAGATATATAGATATATATAGATATATATTATAGATATATAGATATATATAGATAATATCTATATATATCTATATAGATAATATCTATACATATAATATCTATATATATCTATAGATATATATAGATATTATATATCTATCTATATATAGAGAGAGTCCAAAGCACTTCATTTTTCAACTTTTAAAATATAGGTAACAGATGAACATATTTCCTGTGTCACAGTTTTCCCTGCATTCAAATTCTTATTCTTGGTTTCTGATTACCAAAAACTGCCAAGACTGACTCTTCCGAAGCTAAAGGAAAGTCCCCTCACGCCAGACAGCTGAACGTTCAAAAGAGGCAGCAATTCTCATTCGTCAGGACAAAACGGGGGCGAGAAAGGCATCATAGCGTGAAACTATTATTCTTTTGGTAATTTAGGGGCTGGCGTAGCTCTCTTTAGTAAAAGCTGATTTAAGACAAATAAACACAAAAGATCCCAGTTTGTTGCCAAAAATAGGAGTGTGGGTTCTTTACAAAGGAGATTCCAATTGAGGATTCACTGAGTCTCAGCTTAGAGAATGACTGGAACAGTTCTAAGTATCAGCATCACCCACATGGATTTCTAAAAGCTACCGGAAATATGATTTTCATGTCATGATAAGCAGACAATTCTTAAAAGGAAAATGATCATTTTACACTGAAGGCCTTTCTTTCCTTATTTTGTGCTTTCCTATTTGCTTCTCTCCAGCGAATGTTAGTTTTAGCCCAAGAGGGATTTTTCTGGGAAAGTTTCAGAAATGTCCTCATCTATTTTTGAGTTATGCAACCACGGAGAAATGAACAGTTTCCACACATAAAAACATTTTTCAGATGCCTTTTGGAGATCTTGGTTAGACTTGTATTTTAAAAATGCAGAGAACCCTGGGGGAAGATTATGGGATGACAAATCGTTGCTTCTTCCTCCCCGGGCAGGTCGTTATGAAGGAAACATCCAGTTACTTAAAATTAGCAAAACCTGCGTAAACACACCGAAATAATCGTCCGACCGAAGTCACTGAGGGAGGCCTTCTAGGGAACATATGTCACTTCCCTCAAAATTCAACCTCTAATACAAGCCAGACGAGCCACAACTTTTCAAAAATATCTTTTTAAAAGCACGCTGTTATTGAAACACATGTAGTCCAACTCAGAAGGCAGAAAAAAAAAAAGGTGGCTTAACTTTCTTGTTAAACAGTTTTTTTTTTTCATCATCTGTTCAGTTAATTTTAAACAGTCTATTTCCAGTGATGTGTGTAAAAAGATATACATGTAGATATAAAAACATACATATGTCTATAATATACATAGATGAATATAAAAGACACATGTGGGGGCAATTTCCATAAATACAGGACATCTGTATCAATGATCTATATAAATGAATCTGTATCAATAGAATTAAAACCTAAACTTAAAATATATATAAATACCAGGTCGATGCAAAAGTAATTTCAGTTTTTGCCATTAACTTTTGCACCAAGCTAGTGGAGACATATGTATATATAAATAGATACGTATGTATGCATATGTATATATAAATAGATACGTATGTATGCATATGTATATATAAATAGATACGTATGTATGCATATGTATATATAAATAGATACGTATGTATGCATATGTATATATAAATAGATACGTATGTATGCATATGTATATATAAATAGATACGTATGTATGCATATGTATATATAAATAGATACGTATGTATGCATATGTATATATAAATAGATACGTATGTATGCATATGTATATATAAATAGATACATATAAATATATACATATGTATACAGATACATATGTATATATAAATAGATTTTATACATATATACATATGTATAAAATACATATAATGGACATAGATACATGAACATATTTATGTAAAGACATATAGATATACGCAATATACAATATGTATACAAAAGGTGTAATAAATATATAATTTCCATATACAGTAACTTCTCACTTGATATCACAAATAGGTTCTTGAAAGCAGCAACTTTAAGCAAAAGGACCTATTGTATGCTCTAGGAATTTAACTCTTGTTTATATCAATTGGCCTATGGTAAAATAGGTTATACGTAAGTCATTTTGCTTAAAGTTGCAGTTTGTTTTTTTGAGATGGAGTCTCGCTCTGTTGCCCAGGCTGGAATGCAGTGGTGCAATCTCTGCTCACTGCAAGCTCCGCCTCCCGGGTTCACGCCATTCTCCTGCCTCAGCCTCCCGAGTAGCTGGGACTACAGGCGCCCGCCACCACGCCAGGCTAATTTTTTGTGTTTTTAGTAGAGATGGGGTTTCACCATGTTAGCCAGGATGGTCTCGATCTCCTGACTTCATGATGCACCTGCCTCGGCCTCCCAAAATGCTGGGATTACAGGCATGAGCCACTGTGCCCGGTCTGCAGTTTCTCTTTTTGAGACAGAGTCTCACTCTGTTGCTCAGGCTGGAGTGCAGTGGTGTGATCTTGGCTCACTGCAACCTCCACCTCCTGGCTTCAAAGGATTGTCCTGCCTCAGCCTCCTGAGTAGCTGGGACTATAGGCATGCACCATCATGCCCAGCTAATTTTTGTATTTTTTAGTAGAGATGGGGTTTCACTATGTTGGCCAGGCTGGTCTTGAACTCTTGACCTCAGGTGATCCACCCACCTCAGCCTCCCAAAGTGCTGGGATTACAGGTGTGAGCCAGGATGCCTAGCGAAAGTTGTAATTTCTGATAACCTATTAATGATGTTGGGTGAGGCCTTACCGTATATATTGTATGGTGTCTCTGGTATTATATCTGATAGATGATAGTTATATTTACTTGGAAGCACCTAATTAAGAGGCAGTCAGTTGGTGCTTAAGTCAATGTTGTGAGGACCTTGGACCTATGTTTGCTGCTTCTCTGAGAGCTCCTTGTCCTCTTCTTTCTCATTCTCATAGTTAATAATAACGTATTGTATGTTTCAAAATTGCTGAAAGAGTCGATTTTAAATGCTCTTACCTCCTAAAGATGAGACGTATGTGAGGTGATGCATTTGTTAATGAGCTTGATCTAACCATTCCACATCCTATGCACGTATCAAAACATTGCATGGTGCTCTAGAAATGTATATAATTATTATTTGTCAATCACAAGGAAATAGTATTCAGCTGGAAAAAAAAACAAAAAACAATGAGGTCCTGGCCGGGTGTGGTGGCTCACACCTGTAATCCCAGCACTTTGGGAAGTTGAGGCAGGTGGATCACCTGAGATTGGGAGTTCGAGACCAGCCTGGCCAACATGGAGAAACCCTGTCTCTACTAAAAAAAAAAAAAAAAAAGACAAAATTAGTCAGGCATGGTGGTGGGTGCCAGTAATCCCAGTTACTCAGGAGGCTCAAGCAGGAGAATTGCTTGAACCCGGGAGGTGGAAGTTGCAGTGTGTTCAGATTGAGCCATTGCATTCCAGCCTGGGCAACAACAGCAAAACTCTGTCTCAAAAAAAAAAAAAAAAAAAAAAAAAAAAAAAAAAAAAGAGATCCTGTCATTTGCAAAAACATGGATGGAAGAGGAGGTCACTATGTTCAGTGAAACAAGCTGGCACAGAGAGACACATTTCACATGTTCTCACACATGTGTGGGAGCTAAAAATTACACAAAAAACACTAAACTCAAGGACATGGAGAGGAGGATGATGGTGACCGAAGGCTGAGAAAAGTAGCAGGAAGGAAGGAAATGGTAGAGATGGTAATGGGTACAAAAATATCCTTATACCCCATAACTATATACACTGCTATGATGGACTGGAGAAAGAAAATGTGGCATATATACACCATGGAATACTATGCAGCCATGAAAAAGGATGAGTTCATGTCCTTTGCAGGGACATGGATGAAGCTGGAAACCATCATTCTCAGCAAACTCACACAGGAACAGAAAACCAAACACTGCATGTTCTCTCTCATAAGTGGGAGTTGAACAATGAGATCACATGGACACAGGGAGGGGAATGTCACACACTGGGGCCTGTCAGGGTCTGGGGGGCCAAGGGGTGGGATTGCATTAAGAGAAATACCTAATGTAGATGAGGGGTTGATGGGTGCAGCAAACCACCATGGCACGTGAATACCTATGCAACAAACCTGCACGTTCTGCACATGTATCCTAGAACTTAAAGTATAATTGAAAAAAGTTAAAAATGGAGTGAGGTAGAATGAAAAGGATCTCTTATTTGGTAGCACTGTAAGGTGACTATACTTAACAATAACTTATTGTATATTTTAAAATAACTAAAACAGTGGATTTGACATCATGAAATAAAATGATAAATGATAAATAAAATGAAATGATAAATGCTTGAGGTGGTAAATACCCCAGTCACCCTGGTTTGATCACGATACATTGTATGCTTGTATCAAAACAGCACATGCACGGCATAAATATATACAACTATTATGTACCCATTATCATTGATACATTTTTTAAAAAAAACTTTAAAAATTCTTCCTTGTGATTACCATGTGCTCCCAATGACCAGTGTGTTAGAAGCTCAGGATAAAATGATTTAAAAAATTAAGTAAGGCCAGGCATGGTGGCTCAGGCCGATAATCCCAGCACTTTGGGAGGTCAAGGCACATGGATCACTTGAGGTCAGGAGTTTGAGACCAGCCTGGCCAACATGGTGAAACCCCGTCTCTACTAAAAATACAAAAATTAGCTGGGCGTGGTGGCGGGTGCCTGTAATCCCAGCTCCTTGGGAGGCTGAGGCGGGAGAATCACCTGAGCCTGGGAGGCAGAGGTTGCAGTGAGCCAAGATTGCACCACTGCACTCCAGCGTGGGTGACACAGCGAGACTCTCTCTTAAAAATAAAACAAAACAAAAATTAAATAAATAACCCTCCCCCTTCCAATCTGATCTCCTTTCTAAACTCCTCTTGACTGATTTTTGAAACAGAAAAAAAAGGATTTTTTTCCCACCTGGCAATTACTATTATATTTTCTTAATCTTTTAGTGAAATTACAAAATACTTCCCTCTCATTCTCTAAATTGCACTGAGCTATTTATGGTGGGAAATGACCTGAGGAACCGCTGTTGCCTGGCCCTTCTCCGTGTTAAACAGCTTCTTGCCAAATCTCAAGCTAGACCAAGCTTTTCATTCTGCATAGAGGGCCCTTGGGGTTTCCCAGAAAAAAATGCAGACATTTATGGAAAATAATATGGCTTGATTATTCTGGACCGCAATTCTGAATGTATCATAAGAAAAGAAAATTCAATCTTTCAGGATCTTTTTTGTTTTTTGTTTTTACTGCAATTGGACTACGAGGATAAGCATTTTTTGCATTGTTACGAACTGTTTTATGTCCACTGGGGACGAATTATGTATAACATGGGAATGGAGGCTAAGACCATGTTGTACAAACATTCCAGATAGGAGGTATTTGCCAAGTCTCTGCCTGGGATGATGAGGTTTTTCTTTGCATTGGAGACATTCTGCAGCCCACACTGATACAAAAATGCATTTTCAATGTTGAAGTGATCCATTTGCCATCCCTGGACTTGCAGAGAGGAAGCTGACACAGGCGGCAGCCCCCTGACGTCTTATGGACTCCAAGACTTAGCAGGGACGTGCAGGGCTGTGAAGTCCAACGTCTGACCCTTGCTTGGAACCTGCCTTTGGTTTTCTCTGGGTGGGACACAGGGGTCTCTGGGGTATGTCCAACGGAAGGAAACTCGCCTTCTCATTAAACCCTGTCTCTACTAAAATACATTTCACCCTGGTCATTAAAAGCCATTTCACCCTCACACAACTCTGGCATTGAGACATCTCTTCTTCCATATTGACCTGAAATTGGGCTCCCCAGGTGCATCATGCTTTGCTTTGGCATATTAGAATGGGTCTTTCTCATGGTAGACTTGATTTTCTGTCCTTGCGATGGTTTGCTGAGAATGATGGTTTCCAGCTTCATCCATGAGATCTCAGAATGTGATGATGCATGCCTTCAAATATTTTTAAAAAATTGAAAGATTATGGGATAAGGGCTGGGCGCAGTGGCTTATGCCTGTCATCCCAGCACTTTGGGAGGCCGAGGCGGGCGGATCACCTGAGGTCAGGAGTTCGAGACCAGCCTGGCCAACATGGTGAAACCCCGTCCCTACTAAAAACACAAAAATTGGCCGGGTGTGGTGGCGGGCGCCTGTAATCCCAGCTACTCGGGAGGCTGAGGCAGGAGAATCGCTTGAACCAGGGAGGTGGAGGTTGCAGGGAGCCAAGATCGTGCCACTGCACTCCAGCCTGGGCGACAGAATGAGAGTCCGTCTCAAAAGCAAAAGAAGTCAGCTTGGACCTAAGTCAAGGTGGACGGTCTCAACACAGGTAACCCAGTTATGATGAGTCTGTTACACCTGCTATTACAGCAGCGTGTGGAGAGAGACTTTTCCTCCCACAGACACCCAAGGAACGGCCCCAGGTGTCCCAAACAACCTTCGTACCCCAGCTGCCCAGAGCCATCTCTTAGCAATCCCTGCTTGCCTTGCTTTGTTTGCAAACCCCACAACCAGCAGCGCAGCAAATCGGGGTTCCCATAAGGCTCCCACAACCTCCCTGTGTGCCTCTCTAACGGCTCACATGAAACTGCACAGACCAGGTCTCCTGTTTCATGTTTCCAACGGACGTCTCATCCGGGGGCCGAGGCTGTGCTTTAATCACTCCTAATACGATAAAGTGGCACTTGGAAATATGATTAACCTCATCTGTCTAGATTTGGGGCTAATAGACCATCCCTGGCACATTGTCTTGTACCTGGCAGTTATGCATATACTTATTTATTAGTCTACTCCTCCACGGAAGGGGGAAAAAATACATTCTAAAGGAAGACGCACAGCAGCCCCCTCGTACGTGGCTGCAAGGTGAGGAGGGCAGTAATTAAATGTCAGGCTTGACAGATTAAAATTATGAAATTTAAAATCACCGCGGAGCTCTTTGTCATTGTCAAATTAGAAGTCAGGGAGATGAGGAGTCGGTGGAGGGAGCCGCGTAATGGATTGAATGGGAATGGGGTACAGCAGGCAGTTTGGCTGAATCCACATCAGCCCGGAGTTCAGATCAGAAGCGGTGGGTAAGTGGGGTGCAGCGGGGTGAGCTGCAGCCTCCAGCGTTGGAAACAGGAGCCTATATATCCACCCGGGGACCAGGAGGATTCTTTTGCCTTGAAAGACGGGCAAAAGGTACAGTCCCTACCAGGATGATGTGTAGACGCAGATGGACAAGGGGCAAACCCCCCTGTCTCCGTTTACAAGGGAGTGTGGAGAGCAGGTTTCACAGCATCTTACAGTAACAATGTCATATCCCGATTTTGATTCCATACCATTCAATACCCCTGCTATGGAACCAGGCATAACCGTAACGCTAAATATCCCGATCGGCTATTTAAAAGGACAAACCGAAGCCTGGGCAACACAGTGAGACCCCGTCTCTACCTGAAAGAAAAAAAAAATTAGCCAGGCACAGTGGCTGACACCTGTAATCCCAGCACTTTGGGAGGCCTGAGGCAGGAGGATTGCTTGAGCCCGGGAGTTCGAGACCAACCTGGGTACCATAGTGAAACCTCAATGTTAAAATTATCATAAAATTAGCCAGGAGTGGTATAAATTATAATTATAATTTATTATTATAATTATAATATAATTTTATTATATAAAATATATAATATAATTTATAAATATAATTATAAAATTATTATAATTATAATTATAATTATTATCAAATTATTATAATGATTATAATTGTAAAATTATTATAAATTATAATTATAACATTATTATAATTATAACAATAATAATTATAATTATAACATTATTATTAATTATAATTATAATGATTATAAAATTATTATAAAATCTCGGCTCAATGCAACCTCTGTCTCCCTGTTTCAATTAGCCAGGAGTGGTGCATGCCTGTAATCCCAGCTACTCAGGAGGCTGAGGCAGGAGAATTGCTTGAACCCAGGAGGTGGAGGCTGCAGTGAGTCAAGGTTGTGCCACTGCACTCCAGCCTGGGCGACAGAGCAAGACTCCGTCTCAAATAAATAAATAAATAAACATCACACCTGTAATCCCAGCACTTTGGGAGGCCTGAGGCAGGAGGATTGCTTGAGCCAGGGAGTTCGAGACCAGCCTGGGTACCATACTGAAACCTCAATGTTAAAATTATTATAAAATTAGCCAGGAGTGGTATAAATTATAATTTATAATTATAATTATAATATAATTTTATTATATAAAATATATAATTTATAAATATAATTATAAAATTATTATAAATTATAATTATAATTATAATAAAATTATAAATATTATTATAAATTATAATTATAATTATAATAAAATTATAAATATTATTATAAATTATAATTATAATAAAATTATAAATATAATTATAATTATAACATTATTATAATTAGAATTATAATTATAACATTATTATAACTATAATTATAACATTATTATAACTATAATTATAACATTATGATTATAATTATAACATTATTATAATTATAATTATAACATTATTATAATTATAATTATAACATTATTATAATTATAATTATAACATTATTATAATTATAACATTATTATAATTATAATTATAATTATAACATTATTATAATTATAACATTATTATAATTATAATTATAATTATAACATTATTATAATTATAATTATAATTATAATTATAACATTATTATAATTATAATTATAATTATAATTATAACATTATTATAATTATAATTATAATTATAATTATAACATTATTATAATTATAATTATAATTATAACATTATTATAATTATAATAATAATAATTATGATTATAACATTATGCTAAATTATAATTATAATAATTATAAAATTATTATAAAATCTCGGGTCACTGCAACCTGTGTCTCCCAGTTTCAATTAGCCAGGAGTGGTGCGTGCCTGTAATCCCAGCTACTCAGGAGGCTGAGATGGGAGGATTGCTTCACCCCAGGAATTTGAGGCTGCAATGAGCCGTGATCGAGCCACTGCACTCCAGCCCGGGGGACAGAGTAAGACCTTGTCTCAAACAAAATAGAATGAAATAAAAATAAAATTAAATAATGAAATAAAATACTAATACAATCAAAGATAAAATAAATAAATAAAATAATACATTAAATAAAATGTTAATAAAATAAAATATGAAATAAATAAATGAAATGAAATAAAAGAACCAGCCCAGGTGGGTGGCTGGTAGCACCTGTTCCGAAAGATTCTGGACATGCTAAACTTTCTAGGCGTTGATTTATAAAATAGGCATCATCCACCGGGCGTGGTGGCTCATGGCTGTCATCCCAGCACTTTGGGAGGCCGAGGCGGGTGGATCACTTGAGGTCGGGAGTTCGAGACCAGCCTGGCCAACATGGTGAAACCCCATCTCTACTAAAAATAGAAAAATTAGCCGGGCGTGGTGGCGGGTGCCTGTAATTCCAGCTACTCGGGAGGCTGAGGCAGGAGAATCACTTGAACCTGGGAGGCGGAGGTTGCAGTGAGCCAAGATCACACCATCACACTGCAGCCTGGGAGACAGAGCGAGACTCATCTCAAATAAATAAACAAAAATAAAAATAAAGGCTGGACGTGGTGGCTCATGCCTGTAATCTCAGCAATTTGGGAGGCCAAGGCAGGCAGATCAGCAGGTTGGGAGTTCAAAACCAGCCTGGCCTACATGGTGAAACCCTGTCTCTACTAAAAACACAAAAATTAGCTGGGCGTGGTGCCGGGTGCCTGTCATCCCAGCTACTCTGGAGGCTGAGGCAGGAGAATCGTTTGAACCCGGGAGACAGAGATTGCAGTGAGTCACGATCGTGCCATTGCACTCCAGCCTGGGTGACAGCACGAGACTCCATCTCAAATAAATAAATAAATATAAAAAAAGTAAAACAGACATCAACAGCCTCTTGGGGAGACCCCGAGGCAGTGCCGCCGTGCACGGTTCAACATCACAAGATTCAGGCTATGCTGTAGTTAATGTCCCCACCACAAAGGTAAGTACCTCGAGCCCCTCATCCCTCTGGCGATGAAGCCCCCCAGTCCCACCTCTCCCAGTAACGAGATGGGAGCGTCTCTCACGCTCATCGGCCAATACAGGTGCAAGATACGCGGAACCCGCTTGAGAATAATTCAGCAGCTTTAACAGGTGAAATATCACTTTCTTTCCAGAAGAGCTTTCGGATTAAAGGAAAACCGAACCGGGAAACCCAAAGTCTCCCTGTAGTTGTGTGTACAAATAGCCCTGAGCCCAAGGACTGGAGATTCTATTTATTTATTATTTATTTATTTTATGTTATTTTTTATTTTGAGATGGAGTCTCTCACTGTCTCCCAGGCTGCAGTGCAATGGCACAACCTCGGCTCACTGCAACCTCCCCGCCTCCCGGGTTCAAGCCATTTTTCCGCCTCAGCCTCCCAAGCAGCTGGGATTACAGGCGTGCACGGCCACACCCGGCTAATTGTTTTGTATTTTTTAGTAGAGACGGGGGTTTCACTACGTTGGCCAGACTGGTCTCGAACTCCTGACCTCGGGATCTGCCCGCCTCAGCCTCCCAAAAGTGCTGGGATTACAGGTGTGGTGTTTATTTATTTATTTATTTGAGATGGAGACTCGCTCTGTCGCCCAGGCTGGAGTGCAGTGGCGCAACCTTGGCTCACCACAGCCTCCTCCTCCTGGGTTCAAGCAATTCTCCTGCCTCAGCCTCCCGAGTAGCTGGGATGACAGGCACATGCACCACCGCTCTTTGTGCTCTGGTATTTCTTTGAGTCTGTTTTTAGTTATTTTGGGTGCACACAGCCAGGAGTGAGATCATGCGATCGTAGGATAAGTCTATGTTTCATTTTTTGGTGAGGTGCATGCCATTTCCCACAGCGGCTGTGCCATTTTACCCTCCAGCAGTAGACAGGACTTCCAGTTTCTCCACATTCTCATCAACGCTTGCTAATATTGCCTCAACTATCCTTCTTGCCATCCTCGTGGGTGTGAGGCCGTCTCTCAACGCGGTTTTGACGTCAGTAATGGTAAGTGATGCTGGGCATCTCTGCATGCCCTTCTTGGCCATTTCTTTATCTTCTTTTGGAGAAATGTCTATTTTAGTTCTTTGCCTACTTTTTAATTGGGTTGTTTGTCCTTTTGATGTTGAGGGGTTTTGTTTGTTTGTTTTTGTTTCTTTGTTTGTTTTCTTTGAGATGGAGTCTCGCTCCATCGCCCAGGCTGGAGTGCAGTGGTGCGATCTCCACTCACTGCAACCTCCGCCTCCCAGGTTCAAGTGGTTTTCCTGCCTCAGCCTCCCGAGTAGCTCGGATTACAGGCGCCCGCCACCATGCCTGGCTAATTATTGTATTTTTAGTAGAGTCGGGATTTCACCATGCTGGCCAGGCTGGTCTCGAACTCCTGACCTCAGGTGATCCTCCCGCCTCAGCCTCCAAAAGTGCTGGGATTATAGGAGTGAGCCACAGCGCCCAGCCTTGCTGTTGAGTTTTAATAGATCCTTTTAAGCTTAGCTTTTGACCTTCCAGAGTAATTCTCTGTTCGTAGAAGATTTGTTTTTCTTCTACTGTAGCCGCTTCAGGGCCTCTGTCAAAAGACCAAAAACAAAAAAAAAAAAATGCAAGTTCATAAATTCCTGGAGCTGGAAGCCCATTTGAGGTTTGTAGTCCAAACCCTTCACTTCAGGGCATCAGAGGTTGGAGTAAATGCAATCAAACAGAGCCCAAAGCAACGTGGAAGAAACTGCCTGTTTAATTTCTGCTTTCTTCTCTCTTCCAGCAAATGAAAATTCCCTTTCTGTGATAATTACAAGAATCAGCTGTCACTCTCTGTATTAGCTTAAAGTGTCCCCTAAAACACACCGTTGCCAGGACACTATTTGTAACCTTAATTAAAAATAAGGTGTTTACAGACACGTTAAATTCAGGATTTCAAGTTGAGAGTGTCCTGAATTAGATGGACTCTGCCGTCATTTCTATGTGGCCTCCTCCTCTGTGTCTGTGTCTCCTCCTCTGTCTCCTACAGGGATGCTTGTTATTGGAATTAGAGCCCACCCTAATCCAAGACGATTTCCTCTCAAGATCCTTAACTAATTATATGTGCAAAGACCCTATTTCCAAATGCGATCTCATTCCAGGTCCTGGGAGTTAGGACATGAATACGTCTTTCCGACAGCCACTGTTCAATCCATTACAATTGTATCCAGTTCCTTCTGGAGGCCCCAGGGGAGGGTCCTTCCTGCCTCTCCCAGCTCCTGGGGGCTCCAGGCATCCCTCGGCTTGTGGCCGCATCACTCCAGTCTCTGCCTCCGTCTCCTTGTGGCCTTCTCCTCTGTGTCTGTGTCTCCTCCTCTGTCTCCTACAGGGATGCTTGTTATTGGAATTAGAGCCCACCCTAATCCAAGACGATTTCCTCTCAAGATCCTTAACTAATTATATGTGCAAAGACCCTATTTCCAAATGCGATCTCATTCCAGGTCCTGGGAGTTAGGACATGAATACGTCTTTCCGACAGCCACTGTTCAATCCATTACAATTGTATCCAGTTCCTTCTGGAGGCCCCAGGGGAGGGTCCTTCCTGCCTCTCCCAGCTCCTGGGGGCTCCAGGCATCCCTCGGCTTGTGGACGCATCACTCCAGTCTCTGCCTCCGTCTCCTTGTGGCCTTCTCCTCTGTGTCTGTGTCTCCTCCTCTGTCTCCTACAGGGATGCTTGTTATTGGAATTAGAGCCCACCCTAATCCAAGACGATTTCCTCTCAAGATCCTTAACTAATTATATGTGCAAAGACCCTATTTCCAAATGCGATCTCATTCCAGGTTCTGGGGGTTAGGACATGAACGTGTCTATCTCATGGCCACTGTTCAATCCATTACAACTCTGTCTAGTTCCTTCTGGAGGCTCTAGTGGAGGATCCTTTCTGCCTTTCCCAGCTCCTGGGGGCTCCAGGCGTCCCTGGGCTTGTGGCCGCATCACTCCAGTCTCTGCCTCCGTCTCCACGTGGCCTTCTCCTCTGTGTCTGTGTCTCTTCTTCTGTCTCCCAGAAGGACACCTGCCATTGGATGTAGAGTCCACCCAGATAATCCAGGATAATTCTTCATCTCAAGATTCTTCATTCATCATGTCTGCAAAGACGCTTTTTACCACGTAAGTGAACATTCTCTGCTTCTTAGGGATTAGGACAAGGATCTATTTCTCCAGGTCATCAACATTCAGCCTACTTCAGTGGCCAACCAAGATGGTGCCTTCAGGAGATGGTGGAAGAAAGAGTTTGGCTTTGATGGGTCAAACACTCAGAGAAGGCAACGTTGTCATCAGCTGGAAAAGAGAGGTTTAGAATTCAGATGTGGTTCCTGCTGTTGAAGACTCCTTGAAAAAAAAAATACTAAGAAAATTTTTTAAAAAGCACTTCGGGAGGTCGAGGCAGGTGAATCACCTGAGGTCAGGAGTTCGAGACCAGCCTGGTCAACATGGCAAAACCCCATCTCTAATAAAAATACAAAAATTAGCCAGGCATGGTGGCAGGCGCCTGTAATCCCCACTACTCAAGAAGCTGAAGCAGGAAAATTGCATGAACCCGGAGGCAGAGGTTGCAGTGAGCTGAGATCACACCATTGCACTCCAGCTTGGGTGAAAGAGCAAGACTCCATCTCAAAAAAAAAAAAAAAGAAAGAAAGAAAAAAGAAATCAGATGTTGGGAGCAGGCTAGAGAAAGACCCCAAGTTTTCTCTCTGAGCCATTTTGTACATCTGTCTTACAATCCTGCAGTCTCTTATCAATGAAATCCATGCATCTTCTCCACCCAGCCAGGGTATTGTCTGGGACTCTGTATTCCAGTTTCACTGGTTCTCCTCTCTTTGGTCTTCATGACATCTTATATTTTATCTTAGCTCTGAGAGCCAGCCCATGGCTTCGTTTTCAGAGGTTCACTCCCTTCAACAGACAACCATATCCATTGCACCAACGAACACCCAAAGTGAAGTCAAATTCTTCAACTTTTCATTCTCTACTAATATGTGAAAGTAAAGGCAGGGACAAGACACAGGAGAATATCTCAGCTATAGGAAAACCTCTGAGCAGAAGAGTTCACCTACTGAAGACCACCATTTCAGTGCACTTTCATCTTTTTATCAAAGTCCTGGTAATAGAGCGGCCCAACAGTGAAGAGCTGTTGGCTGAGTTTTAATCCCCGTGTGTGCTTGAAAATGTCTGAGCTAATTTACATGCTTTTCAAACTCGCATGGATTTCTGTCTCAACCCTATCCCAGTGAATCAGAATTTGTGGTTTTTTAATCTCACAAAGATGACTAAGAATGGGTTCGAATGAATTATGTTGTGGGGTTTTTGTTTGTTTGTTTGTTTGTTTTGCTTGTTGAGACAAACTCTCACACTGTCCCCCAGGCTGGAGTGCAGTGGCATGATCTCAGCTCACTGCAACCTCCGCCTCCCAGGTTCAAGCGATTCTCCTGCCTCAGCCTCCCGGGTACCTGAGATTACAGGTGCGCACCAGCACACTCAGCTAATTTTTGTACTTTTAGTAGAGACGGGGTTTCACCATGTTGGTGAGGCTGGTCTCAAACTCCTGACCTCAGGTGATCCTCCCACCTCAGCCTCCAAAGTGCTGGGATGACAGGCATGAGCCACGTCACCCAGCTTGTATGCTGCGTTTTTAACCTGGGCTCATCCTAAAACTGATTTTCGAGTTGTTTTCTTTCTTGGTCATTTTCTACATCTGTGCTTTGCATTTTATGAGTTTCTTTAGTGAGGCCCCAAATCCAAGACTGCTCGTGAAAATAGAGTAGGTAGTCTCCAACCTCTCAGGTTAAATTGCTAAACTCTCCACTAGAGAACCAGGAGTATATTTATTTCCTTGCTGACTCTGTCCTGAGGATGGGTGTGTCCACCCCACCGACTCTCACCCCCTCCAGTCATGAAACTGAAGAGAAACACCATGATTTTGAGACTCATCCAAGAGGAATTCAGTATTAGGTTGAGATAGAAATGTCCCTTGAGATGCAGAAATATACCAAAGAGCCAGAGGCAAACTTTCTCCCCAAGAACCATTTGCAAAGAGGCCTCCTTCTGGAAGAAGGAGGACAAAATTCGTGCCTTCCCTCAGGCTGGTCCCCAGAATCAGCAGATGCCACGTCCTGGAAAACAATCATTGTGTTGTTGACCCAAATCTCAACTTAAGTTTCAGCATCCCCAGGGGTAAGGTCCTAGTGCATTCTACTAAATGTAGGGAATTTTTTCATGAAGGTCTATCTATCTGTCTATCTATCTATCTATCTATCTATCTATCTATCTATCTATCTATCATCTATCTATTGATCGATCTATCCATCCATCCATCCATCCATCCATCCATCCATCCATCCATCATGTCTATCTAGTATCTATCTGTTCATCTATCCATGTATCTATCTGTTCATCCACCATCACATCTATGTATCTATCTATTCATCCACTCATATCCTATTATCTATCTATCATCTATCTGTCTATTCATCCACTCATATCCTATTATCTATCATCTATCTATCTATCTACCTATCTATCAATCTATGTGTCTATCTATCTACCTATGTAGCCATCCACCCATCTATTATCTACGTATTCATACATTCACATCCTATTATCTATCATTTGTCTATTCATTCACTAACATTCTATCATCTATCATTTATCTATTCATCCACTCACATTCTATCATCTGTATATCTATCTTTTATCCATTACATCCTATTATCTATGTATCTATTTATGTATCTATCTTATCTATATATTATCTATCTATCTATCATCTATCAATTCATCCACTCACATTCTATCATCTTTCTGTCTATCTATCTATTAATAACTATCCATCTATTCATCTATCATCTGTCTACTATCTGTCATATCTATTAAAAGAAATCCATATATCATCTCTCTATCTATTGATCAATCTATCAATCTATTCATCCATCCATCTATCCATCCACCCATCACATCTGTCTAGTATCTATCTATTCACCTATCCATATATCTATCTATCTGTTCATCCACCTATCCACCCACCATCACATCTATCTATCCATCTATCTATTCATCCACTAACATCCTATCATCTGTTTATCTATCTATTCATCCACTCATATCCTATTATCTATCCATCCATCCATCTGTTATCTGTCTATTCATACATTCACATCCTTTTATCTATCTTTTATCTATTCATCCACGCACATTCTATCATCTGTGCCTCTATCTTTTATCCATTACATCCTATCATGTATTTATGTATGTATATATGTACGTATGTATGTATCTATCTATCATCTATCTATTCATCTACTCACATTCCATCATCTGCCTATCTGTCTATCTAATCTACATCTATCTACTACCTTCCTATCATCTACCTATTATCTGTCTATCTATCACCTATAGCTACCATCTATCTACTCTCTTTCATCTATCTATTTATCATCTACCTATTATCTATTTAGCTATGATCTAACTATCTTGCTACCCTTCTCATTCTTCGGTGAGTCCCCATAGAATCCCCTGTCCCCAAGAATCCTGGGGCATCATTGCAGCCAGGACAGGAGAGCCCCCGGAACGTTTAGAGTGGGGATGGTGGCCAAGGTGAGCAAGGAGCCTGAGGAAGAACTTACTGAGTGGTTGACCAGAAGACCGAACAATCAGTGTCAGCCCCTGAGGGATGCTTGGGATCCTGGGGCCATGCACGCACCCAGCCTTGATGGTTAGAGGTCAAGAGCCACTGAGAGAGTGTCTGTGTGTCTATATGTGTGTGCTCCAAAAAGGCAGGCATGCACCCTTCTCTACTGACAGATCCCAGCACTAACATACAACATCCAAGAGAAAGCTCATCCGCTTCAGTTCTTGGGGAAGAGGGAATGAAATGCCCGGTCATTGGTCCAATGAAGCTCTGGGACATGGGAATAGAACTGGCTCAAACTGGCAGGATGTGGTGGTGCATGCCTGTCATCCCAGCACTTTGGGAGGCTGAAGCAGGAGATCCTCTGAGTGTGAGACCAGACTGGGCAATGTAGCAAGACCCCACCTCTACAAAAAGTAAAAAATAAAAAATTAGCTGACTGTGGTGGCACAAGCCTGTAGTCCCAGCTACCCAGGAGGCTGAGGCAGGAGGACTGCTTGAGCCTGTGAGTTTGAGACCAGACTGGGCAATGTAGCAAGACCCCACCTCTACAAAAAGTAAAAAATAAAAAATTAGCTGACTTTGGTGGCACACTCCTGTAGTCCCAGCTACCCAGGAGGCTGAGGCAGGAGGACTGCTTGAGCCCAGGAGATTGAGGCTGCAGTGAGTTATAATTGCACCATTGCACTGTTGCCTGGGCAGCCTAGCCAGACCCTGTTTCAAAAATTTCTAAAAAAGCACTCTCCCAAATGGACAGCAAGAGGCTGGCACCTGTGTATACCCAGTTACAAAAGACTCTCTCTTTCCGAGATTTTTTTCCAACATCCAAACATACTCTCTCCACTGTATACCATCTTTTAATACGAAGAGAAGCTCGTTTGTATAAAATTAAAGTATATCATCGTGCAATAAACTTGTAAAACAAGAGCTCCTCTGTTCCTTGGGAGTTCAAACAAGCGGGGTCATCCGTACAGCCACATACTTTTAAATTTTGGTGGTCAAACTGTAAGTTTGCTTTCTGGGTGTGGGAGGCTGTGGGTGCCAGGAACTGCTGCTAATAAGGGGTAGTGGCCACGTCGAAGATGGCTGGTTAGATGGCTGGCGAGGGCCCTGCACAGATAGCAGATTCATTTCATTCGCGCTTAAATTGCCTTCTAAACAGGCAGAAACCTATGATTTAGCAAACAAAAATCACCATCCTCATCAGCATCGTAGGGCTGCGGTAGCAAAGTCCAATGCACAGATGGGTTTAAAACAGCAGGAATATGGCCGGGCGTGGTGGCTTACCCCTGTTATCCCAGCACTTTGGGAGGCCGAGGCGGGCGGATCAGGAGGTCAGGAGTTCGAGACCAGCCTGGCCAACATGGTGAAAACCCATCTCTACTAAAAACACAAAAAATTAGCCAGGCGTGGTGGCAGGCACCTATTAATCCCACATACTCAGGAGGCTGAGGCAGGAGAATCGCTTGAGCCTGGGAGGCAGAGGTTGCAGTGAGCAGAGATCACGCCACTGCACTCCAGCCTGGGTGACAGAAGCGAGACTCCATCTCAAAAAAACAAAACAACAACAACAAAGAATGCACGTGGTGTAAGACCTGATTAAGACCTGAAGTTTAATGTAGGACTGTTGCTAGCTAGTATTTATGATTCCAAAGACGTCTCTGCATATGTGGACCCGGTGAGTCTGTCATTCAAAAAGCCAGATGCGTCTTTTAATACGAAGAGAAGCTCGTTTGTATAAAATTAAAGATCTGGTAAGTCTATCCGTGTAACGTTGATTGCCCTAAGTACATATTTCTTTAATTTCTTGCTAGGCGTAAGTTTTTTATATGAGCTTCCCTATGATGTTTGATTTAGGAAATTGTATTAAAATAGGCGATAAGGATGTCCTCTAAGATTTGCTTGTTATTTTTTTTTACATGTCATTAAAATGATTGATAATTTAGGATACGGCGGGAGAATGTGTAAGATTAAACCTGAGGCCCTCTATAAATTAGAAGGTTTTACATAAGACATGATATGCCAGGCTGTCAAAAGCTACTTCCTACACAGCTTTGAATCTACAGACAAAGAGGTGCAGGGAGGGTGGGTCAGCACAACTAGAGACAGACAGTCAGTGCATCCTTCTGCAGATGGAGGCTCCCAGAGAGGCTGGGATGTGTGGCAGGAGACCCTCTCACCCAGCAAGGGGCCAAAGTGGTGAAACCCCATGTCTACTAAAAATACAAAAATTAGCCAGGCATGGTGGCACATGCCTGTAATCCCAGCTACTTGGGAGACTGAGGCAGGAGAATCACTTGAACCCGGGAGGTGGAGGTTGCAGGGAGCCGAGATCACACCACTGCACTCCAGCCTGGGCGACAGAGAGAGACTCCATCTCAAATAATAATAATACTATTAATATTAATAGTATTATTATAAAGTAAAAACCTTTTCTGTTTTTATTTTACTAATTGATTTATTTTATTTTTAATTTCATTATTTATTTATTATTTATTTATTTTTTATTATACTCATTATTTATTTGTAAGAAAGGAAGAAGGAAAGGAAAAGGGAAGAGAAGAAAGGAAAGAGGGAAGTATGGAAGGAAAGAGAAAGAGGGGAAGGAAGGAAGCAAGGAAGGAAGGAAGATTGGCTCAAGTTATCCTCCCACCTCATCCTCCCAGGTAGCTGGACTACAGGTGTGTGCCACTATTCTGGTTAATATTTGTTTATTGTTTTTGGTAGAGACAGGGTCTCACTGTGTTGTCCCGGCTGGTATTGAACTCCTGGGCTCAAGTGATCCTCCTGCCTCCACCTCCCAAAGTTTTTTTTTTTTTTTTTTTCAGAGTGCAGCCCACACCTCTGTGAAGACTTTGTAGATTTTGAGGTTTATGTATTTGACAGTCTACACCCACCATGTATATCCACCTATTTGTTCAAATAGAAAAAAACTTGAAATCTGGGCAACTGTCTCTAAGGAGAATTATCCGAGGGCATCGGCAATCCTTTCCTTAAATGCTTTGTTTCGTTTCAGATGGAGTTTCGCTCTGTTGCCCAGGCTGGCGTGCAGGAGTATGATCTCGGCTCACTGCAACGTCCACCTCCCAGGTTCAAGCAATTCTCCTGCCTCAGCCTCCCGAGTATCTGGGATTACAGGCACCCGCCACCAGGCGTGGCTAATGTTTGTATTTTTAGTAGAGACGGGGCTTCAGCATGTTGGCCAGGCTGGTCTCGAACTCCTGACTTCAAGTGATCCACCCACCTTGGCCTCCCAAAGTGCTGGGATGACAGGCGTGAGGCACTGCGCTCGGCCCCGTTTCCTTTAACTTTTACAATCCAGACTTACAGTGCAGCTACCGGGAGGATGAGGTGGGAGGATAACTTGAGCCAATCTTCCTTCCTCCATTCCTTCCCTCCTTCTTTCTTTCCTCCCTACTTTCTTTCCTTCCTTATTTCCTTCCTTCCTTCTTTCCTCAGACTTCAGGATAAGCCCACTCTCTCCATGCATCCAGCATTCTTGATTTTTGGATGCTGTGTCTGCAGAGCTGTGGTGGGAGATGGAACTCTGGCCCCAGGAGAAAATGCCCTGTGAGCCGGCAGGCGGGGTCAGCCGGTGTAGACCAGTCTTTGGCCTCCCCCCTTTCTCAAGCCCTCACTGACCGATATTTGCTGGAATATCTCTGTCTCACGCGTCCGTGTGAAGAGACCACCAAACAGGCTTTGTGTGAGCAATACAGCTTTTTAATCACCTGGGTGCAGGCGGGCTGTTTCCAAAAAGAGAGTCAGCAAAGGGTGGTGGGATTATCATTAGTTCTTATAGGTTTGGGGACAGGCGGTGGAGTTATAGGAGCAATGCTTTGGGGACAGGGGATGGATCTCAGAAAGTACATTCTGAAAGGTGGGGAGAATCGCAAAGAACCTTCTTAAGGGTTAGGGAGATTACAAAGAACCCTCTTGAGGGTAGGGGAGATTATAAACAACATTGGTCAGTTACGGTTGGGCAGAAACAAATCACAATGGTGGAATGTCAACAGTGAAGGCAGGAACTGGCCATTTTCACTTCTTTTGTGGATGTTCAGTTGCTTCAGGCCATCCGGATGTATGCGTGCAGGTCACAGGGGATATGATGGCTTAGCTCGGGCTCAGAGGCCTGACACTCTCTATTCCCCATGATCAGCTCAATGAGGACCTCCAACGATACCCAGGTCCCAATCTTTAGAAGCTACGAGCATGTGAGCACTCATAGCAACAGGTGCTTCCAGATGTGATTCAGTTACGGGCAGATGGACAGGTGACCTGGGATTATCCACGTGGGCCGATGGAATCCCAAGGGTCCTTGTGTGATGAAGACAGGCGGAGATTAGGAGACAGAAGAGGAAGAAGGAGAGGAGACGCGTAGCCAGGAGCCAAGGGTTGTGGGTTTCCTGTAGGACCCAGAAAACACCAAAGTACAGATTGTCTCCTGGAACCTGCAGAAGGAACTCAGTCCTGCACACCCGTTCACGGTAGCGCAGAGAGGCTGATTTGGGAGACGTGGCCTCCAGAACCATCATGCATTAAGAGCATTGGCTCTCTCTGAGTAAAGGGTGGCTGCCCTGTAGGTGCTCACAGTGTTTAGAAGAAACATCTGCGGATATTATATCGCAGGGATGGAAATCCGTCCTGGTAGGAAAAATCACTGCCTTTTCTCAGAGCTGGGATTCCTCCCCTGCAAATGGTAACAATAGCAGCTCACTCGCTGGGAGAACAAGTTAATCACCCACAGATAACTCCATCCCCCTCTTTTCCTACCCTAAGCCCTTCCTTCCCTTTTCTTTGTTTATCGTCACTAGCAGGGTTCAGAGTCCTGGCAAAAACAGGGTGTCAGTTGATTAGAGGAGGGTCAGCTTCTCCTCAGCAGCTTGCCGTCAAGAAATTAGCAAACCGGGTAGCTGCAATTCCGTAGAAACCCTCCAAAACGAAGCGGATGTAAAGTGACAAGATCCAATTAAATTTAATTACCCAAGCTGTATTTTCATTTTAACTGACACTTTTTATTAAGGGATCCCGCGCAGGAAAGCTAGCAACCTACAGCAAATTGCATCCCGGTAATACAGTTATCTTAGGCAAAATTCTGAGTATCTAATTTTCTAAAACGAAATTAGAGACAGGGGGTTTTGCAAAAGCTTTTCTTTGTTTCGACTCCGAAACAACGGCTTCTTGGGGGAATCTCTTCACCCTGTATTATATCAGAAGGAGCTTCCCTGCACCCCAGGAAAACGTATCCAGTGACAGTATGACGACGAGGTAACAGCATTATTTGCTTTCACCAGCCCGGTGTTCCAACACGCCGGTGATCACAAACAAACGACTTTCCACCGCATCTTTCTTGAAAGTGACTTTCCTTGAGAGGAAACAGGTGCATTTGAGTGGCAGCACGTTAATGTCACACACACACACACACACACACACACACACACACACACACACACACACAGGGATGAGGTTTCCCTTCCACATTTCCACCCCAATCCTCCTTGTCCTTGCACTAAACACAATACAATTCATTCAAACGGTCTTTTAAGGACAACCGCACATTCAGGCAGCGTTGACGTGACTTTTCAAAGTGGAAGTTGAGGCACTAACAGGCTTGACAAGGGAGATCGAATTGGGAAGGGCTGTCCCTTCCCTGGGACACTGTCCCTGGGGACAGTGAGAAGGAGAAAAAATTCGCAGTTGTGAAAGTTTACAGCTACTCGGGAGGCTGAGGCAGGAGAATCGCGTGAACCCAGGAGACAGAGGTTGCTGTGAGCCAAGATCATGCCACTGCCCTCCAGCCTGGGTGAGAGAAGAGACTCCATCTCAAAAAACACAAAACAAACAAAAGGCCAGGCCCGGTGGCTCACACCTGTAATCCCAGCACTTTGGGAGGCTGAGGTGGGTGGATCATCGGAAGTCAGGAGTTCGAGACCAGCCTGGCCAACAGGGCCAAACCCCGTCTCTACTAAAAAATCCAAAAAAAAAAAAAAAAAAAAAAAGAAATAGCTCGTGGAAAGTGGTTTCTTTTTTCATTTTTATTTTAGATTCGGGGGCACGTGTGCAGGATTGTTATATGGATATATTGTCTGAAGCGGAGGCTTGAGCTTCCATGGAACACATCCCTTAAATAGTGAGCGTAGCATCAGATGGAAAGTCTGTCTTTCTTTTCTTTTCTTTTCTTTCTTTCTTTCTTTCTTTCTTTCTTTCTTTCTTTCTTTCTTTCTTTCTTTCTCACTTGCTTGCTTTCTTACTTGTTTTCTTTCTTTTCTTCTTTCTTTCCTTCTTTCTTTCTTACTTGTTTGCTTTCTTAATTTCTAACTTTCTGTCTTGCTTGCTTGCTTGCTTTCTTACTTTCTTTCTTTTCCTTCTTTCTTTCTTGCTTTATTACTTGCTTGCTTTCTTACTTTCTTTCTTTCTTGCTTGCTTTCTTTCTTACTTGCTTGCTTTCTTAATTTCTTTTTCTTTCTTTCTTGCTTGCTTGCTTTCTTGCTTTCTTATTTGCTTGCTTTCTTCCTTTCTTTCTTTTTTTCTTCCTTTCTTTCTTTCCTGCTTGCTTGCTTGCTTTCTTGCTTTCTTGCCTTCTTGCTTTCTTCCTAGATGGAGTCTCACTCTGTTGTCCATGCTGGAGTGCAGTGGTGCTATGTCAGCTGACTGTAACTTCCACCTCCTGGGTTCAAGTGACTCTCCTGCCTCACCCTCCTGAGTAGCTGGGATTTCAGGCCCACACCATCACGCCCAACTAATTATTTGTATGTTTACTAGAGATGGGGTTTCACCATGTTGGCCAGGCTGGTCTTGAACCCTTGACCTCAGGTGATCCACCCACCTCAGCCTCCCAAAGTGCTGGGATTACAGGCTTGAGCTACCGTGCCTGGCCAACCTCTCTTCTTTATAAATTACTCAGTCTCAGGTATTTGTCTGTAGCAATGGAAGAACTGACTAATACATCAGTTCATGTAGCGTCAGAAGCCAGAGAACCTAGAGACCACCCAAGTCCATTAAGTTTGTTATGGATCAGAAAACTGTCCCAGAGGCTGCCACGGGTGCATGTCGTGCTGACCAACTCAGAAGAAGAAATGCCACCTCTGGCGAGTATCTCCCACCATCCAGGGCAGAGTCTGCCGTTCTCAGCCCTATTCATATCTCTCATGCTCATTGATGTCTGCCAATGCACATACCCCCCTTCCTGCTGGAGAAAAGCCACAGGCAGCCAGATACCCCCTGCTCAGAAGGAAGGCCACCTAGAAGTGCAAAGATGCCTACGTTCCAAGGGACCCCACGCACGCTAAGCCCGTGTGCAATTTTGTGTAGGCCCATGAAGTTTGCACCTTTAGAGCTGCCAAAAAGCACCACTTAGAGATTGGTTTTTGGACAACTGCCCAGCAGCTCTGGGAAGTCCTCCACTGCCATAACTGTGAAACAGCCTGGATCTGGCTTCCAGGGAAGTGCTTTTCAATGTCATTTAAGTAATGGTGTGGCCGGCCGTGGTGGCTCATGTCTACAATCCCAGCACTTTGGGAGGCTGAGGTGGGTGGATCACCTGAGGTCAGGAGTTCGAGGCCAGCCTGGCCAACATCGTGAAACCCTGTCTCTACTAAAAATACAAAAATTAGCCAGGCGTGATGGTGGGCGCCTGTAATCCCAGCTATTCTGGAGGCTGAGGCAGAAGAATGGTTTGAACCCAGGAGATGGAGGTTGCCCTGAGCTGAGATCGCTCCAGCCTAGGTGACAGAACGAGACTCTGTCTCAAAAACACAAACAAAAACACACAACACGAAAAAATATTTTGACTCACTCCTGTCATCCCAGCACTTTGGGAGGCCGAGGTGGGTGGATCACCTGAGGTCAGGAGTTTGAGACCAGCCTGGCCAACTTGGTGAAACCCAGTCCCAACTAAAAATACAAAAAAACAGCCGGGCATGGTGGTGGGCGCCTGTAATCCCAGCTACCTGGGAGGCAGGAGAATCGCTTGACCTGGGAGGTGGAGGTTGCAGTGAGCTAAGATGGCACCACTGCACTCCAGCCTGGGCAACAAGAGCAAAACTCCATCTCAAAAAAAAAGAAAAAAGAAAGAAAGAAAGGGAAAGAAAGAAAGAAAGAAAGAGAGAGAGAAAGAAGAGAGAGAAATGAAGAAAGAGAAAGAAGAGAGAGAAATGAAGAAAGAAAGAGAGGAAAGAAAGAAAGAAAGGAGGAAAGAAAGAAATGTTGATACTAGGTAAGTAACAGAAAACACTCAATTTGCCAGAAGTCAAGTTTGGATAACCTTGGTATGGGATGGAATATTTTGTTCGTTTTGTTTGTTTGTTTTTGAGGTTTTTTTCTTTTCCTTTTAAGACAAAGTCTTGCTCTTTCACCCAGGTCTGGGTGCAGTGGCTCAATCTCAGCTCACTGCAACCTCCAACTTCCAGGTTCAAGTGATTCTCCGACTTCAGCCTCCCAAGTAGCTGGGATTACAGGCTCAAGCCACCACACCTGGCTAATTTTCTAGCATTAGACTCTTCCCATGCTGCTAATAAAGACATATCCAAGACTGCCTAATTTATAAAGCAAAGAGATTCAATGGATTCACAGTTCCACATGGCTGGGGAGACCTCAGGAAACTCACAATCGTGGCGGAAGGCACCTCTTCACAGGGCGGCAGGAGAGAGAAGGAGTGCCAGCTGGGGAAATGGCAGATGCTTATAAAACCTTCAGATCTCATGAGACTCACTCATTATCACGAGGCCAGTGTGGGGAAACTGCACCCGTAATTCAATTACCTCCACCTGGTCCCCCCCTTGACCCATGGGGATCATTATGATTCAATGTGAGAGATGAGTGGGGACACAGAGTCAAACCGTATCAGTCAATCATCTATCTATGTACAAATTCATCAATCATCTAGCTAGCTATCACCTACATAATATCTTTCATCTATCGTCTATTTACTTATCAATTATCTATCATCTCTCAATCATGTATTATTTACCTAGCTATTAATGTTATCTGTTATCTATCTATTGAATTTTTTTTTTTTTTTTTTTTTGAGACGGAGTCTTACTCTGTCACCAAGGCTGGAGTACAGTGGTGTGATCTCGGCTCACTGCAACGTCCGCCACCCAGGTTCAAGCAATTCTCCTGCCTCAGCTTCCTCAGTAGCTGGGATTACAAGTGCACACCACGGCACCTGGCTAATTTTTGTATTTTTAGTAGAGACAGAGTTTCACCATGTTGGCCACGCTGGTCTCGAACTCCTGACCTCATGTGATCCACCCACTTCACCTCCCAAAGTGGTGGGATGACAGGCATGAGCCACTGCACCCGGCCTGATTTTTTTTTTTTTTTTGAGACAGAGTCTTACTCTGTCACCCAAGCTGGAGTGCAGTGGCGTGATCTCAGTTCACTGCAACCTCTACCACCCAGGTTCAAGCAATTCTCCTGCCTCAGCTCCCTGAGTAGCTGGGATTACAGGCGCCCACCACCCCGCCTGGCTAATTTTTGTATTTTTGGTAGAGACGAGGTTTCACCATATTGGCCAGGCTGGTCTCAAACACCTGACCCCAGGCGATCCGCCCGCCTTGGCCTCCCAAAGTGCTGGGATTACAGGCGTGAGCCACCGCACCTGACTTATCTATTGATTATATATCCATCATCTATATATCTTTCATCTATCATGTAACTATCATTGACCTATATATTATCAATGTATCTGAGCTTCGACCTTCATGCCCATACTCCCATCATCCCTCAGTGTTTACACTAACATTCCATCCCCGCACATCTTTTCCAGCTGCATGACAAAGGTGCATATCCCAGGACTTCCCAGGCCAGCCATTCTGAAGTCTATATCCAGGGAAGTCCTCGGCCAGCCATTCCTAGTGAGGCTCTATCCTTTTTCAGAGTCCCTCGGCTTCCCCGTCTATGAAATGAGAAGCTGGACTAGATGCTTGGTAAACTCACTGCACCTGCTGCGACAGCGGCCCTGGTCACCATCCTTGCCCTCCAGCCCTTTCTGGTCATTTGCTCACTTGGTCAGCTCTTCCTGCCCCCAGTTCTGGACACCACTTTCAGGGAAATGGCCTGGGAATGCGTGGATGAAGTATAGACCAATATGAGTTGTATATCTTGCTTGTCTTGTCAGTGCAGCAAGCAAAACTCTAGCTATTGGTTCATCAAAGAATGAAAAAAGTCAAACGTCAAATTCCCATACAGCCCAGCCATTCTACTTCTCAACAGCTACCCAAAAGGAATGAAAACAGAGATATTTAACCAAAACATGTACATACATGTTCACAGCAGTGTTACTCACAATAGCCAAAAGGTGGAAATAGCCATGGTCCTCAGCTGACAAACAGAGAAACAGAATGTGCTCCAACCACACTGTGGAATATTATACAGCCATGAAAAGGAATGAGGCTCTGACACAGGCTACAGCATGGATGAACCTTGAAGAGATCATGGTCAGTGAAAAAAAGCCAGATACAAAATATTTTATCTCACCGGGTGCAGTGGTTCATGCCTGTAATCCTAGCACTTTGGGAGGTCAGGGTGGATGGATCACCTGAGGTCAGGAGTTCGAGACCAGCCTGACCAACATGGTGAAACCCCGTCTCTACTAAAACTACAAAAATTAGCCAGGCGTGGTGGTGTGCACCTGTGATCCCAGCTACTCAGGAGGCTGAGGCAGGAGAATGGCTTGAACCTGGTGGGTGGAGGTTACAGTGAGCCGAGATCGCACCACTGCACTCCAGCCTGAGAGACAGAGCAAGACTCTGTCTCAAACAAAAACAGAAACAAACAACAACAAAAAATATTTTACTGGCCTGGCATGGTGGCTCACGCCTATAATCCCATCCCAGCACTTTGGGAGGCCGAGGCGGGTGGATCACCTGAGGTCAAGAGTTCAAGACCAGCCTGGCCAACATGGTGAAACCCCCGTCTCTACTAAAAATACAAAAACTTAGGCAGGCGTGGTGGCGGGTGCCTGTAGTCCCAGCTACTCGGGAGGCTGAGGCAGGAGAATCGCTTGAACCCAGGAGGTGGAGCTTGCAGTGAGCCGAGATTGCGCCACTGCACTCCAGCCTGGGAAACAGAGCGAGATTCTGTCTCAAAAACAACAAAAACAACAACAAATATTTACCTCACCCATTATATGAGTCCATTTACATGAAATGTGTACAAAAGGTAAACCGACAAAGACAGAAAGTGGATTCGTGGTTGCCACAGGGGCTGGGGGATGGGGCACGGGGAGTCACTGCTTTGCGGGTACAGGGTCTCCATTTGGGGTGATGAGAACGTTCTGACTAGAATGCAGTGGTGTGATCTCGGCTCACTGCAACCTCCGCCTCCCGGGTTTGAGCTATTCTCCTGCCTCAGCCTCCCGAGTAGCTGGGATTGCAGGCGCCCGCCACCACGCCTGGCTAATTTTGTATTTTTAGTAGAGACGGGTTTTCACCATGTTGGCCAGATGGTCTCGAACTCCTGACCTCAAGTGATCCACCCGCCTCAGCCTCCCAAAGTGTTGGGATTACAGGCGTGAGCCGCTGCACCTGTCCATTTAGGATATATTATTTTTAAAACAGATTGAAAAAAATTGGCATGTCAATAAACATTCAATTTTTTCAATTTTTAAAAAGCAGTTGGGACTGGGTGCGGTGGCTCATGTCTGTAATCCCAACACTTTGAAAGATGGAGGGCAGGTAGATCACTTCAAGTCAGGAGTTCAAGACCAGCCTGACCAACATGGTGAAACCCCGTCTCTACTAAAAGTACAAAAGTCAGCCAAGCGTGTTGGCAGGTGCCTATAATCCCAGCTACTTGGGAGGCTGAAGCAGGAGAATCACTTGAACCCTGGAGGAGGATGTTGTCGTGACCTGAGCTTGCGCCAGTGCATTCCAGCCTGGGTGACAGAGAAGGACGTGGTCTCAAAAAAAAAAAAAAGAAAAAAAAAAGCAATCGACATATAAGAGGAGAGGTTAGTGCCCTCCAAAACTTGTAGCGTCTTCGAGGAAAATATCAAGGAAGGCAGGTTTTCAGGAAGCAAAGGCACTGCTTACCTTAATTAATGTACGCATGGATTGCTAATGAGACCTCTGCATCCAGGGTCTGTCCCAGTTCCTGTAATCTCATTTCCAGCTTGCCGGAGAATCTTTACAGGTGATCTCCATGATATTCTAATAACTCATCCTGTCTGCAGCCCATACACTGTATTTATTGATTTTCAGACTCAATAAAACCCTCTGGTCTGGGGCTATGCCCAATTCTCCCCTTCCCCCAGTATACGTATATATGTATACATATGTATGTATATGTGTATGTATACGTATATATGTATATATATGTGTATATATGTATATATACGTATATATGTATATATGAGTATATACGTATATATGTATATACGTGTATATATGTATATATGTATATACGTGTATATATGTATATATGTATATACGTGTATATATGTATATATGTATATATGTATATACGTGTATATACGTATATATGTGTATATACGTATATATGTGTATATATGTGTATATATGTATATATGTGTATATATGTGTATATATGTGTATATGTGTATATATGTATATATGTATATATGTATATTTGTATATATGTATATATATGTATGTATGTGTGTGTCTGTGTGTGTGTGTGTGTGTGTGTGTGTATATATATATATATATATATATATATGGAGAGAGAGACAGAATAGCTTTTACTGTTTAACCTTAAAAGTGTTGGTAGTTGTGGCCACGCATGGTGGCCCATGCCTGTAATCCCAGCACTTTGGGAGACCGAGATGGGTGGATCACCTGAGGTCAAGAGTTGGAGACCAGCCTGACCAACGTGGTGAAACCCCGTCTCTACTAAAAATACAAAATTAGCCGGGCGTGGTGGTGCATGCCTGTAATCCCAGCTCCTCAGGTGGCTGAGGCAGGAGAATCGCTTGAACCCAGGAGGCAGAGGTTGCCGTGAGCCAAGATTGCGCCACTGTACTCCAGCCTGGGTGACAAGAGTGAAACTCCCTCTCAAAAAAATAAAAATAAAAATAAAAAAATTGTCATTACTTGTTTTAAGTCCTGTTGTACCTGGAAAAAAAATTACTTTTAAAGGTATATAGTTTTCTTTCTGGTGTCTCTCCATTGTCCCCATAAATGGTGATTGGCTTTATTCCTGAAATTCTCCAGGGAATTGTGTGTGTGTGTGTGTGTGTGTGTGTGTTTGTGTGTGTGTGTGTGTGTACAGAATTTTTTTTTTTGGTGCAGTAATTTCCCTTTTTGTGTGTGCAGGCATTTCCCTTTCTCTGATTTTCTGTGTGAAAACTGAAGAAGGAAAGATGTCAGATATATGAGGCTTTCCCTAATCCCATCAAACCAGCATTGGCAATGGTTTCCATCTTTGCAACAATTTCTGTGTCTGTTGGTCCAGCCCAGGTGCACCTCTGTCCCCGCTAGGGTTTCCAGAGGCCAACGTTATCTCCGCCTCTAACCTTTTAATTTACACAAGGCATTTGAACCTCATTCACCCCAAGACTGCCCTGTAACTCCCTACTTTACAAACTGGGGAGTGGGGTCCCTGAGTTATTCTAGATCAGAACTCTGGATTCCCAGGGACTCCCATCATGGTTTATTGGTTTAAAATTTGGGGCATTCTGGCCGGGCGCGGTGGCTCATTCTTGTCATCCCAGCACTTCGGGAGGCCGAGGTAGGGGGACCTCCCGAGGTCAGGAGTTTGAGACCAGCCTGGACAACGTGGAGAAACCCCGTCTCTAGTAATACATATGTAACAAACCTGCACGTTGTGCACATGTACCCTGGAACTTAAAAGTATAATAATAATAAAAAAAAGATTAAAAAAAATTAGCCAGGCATGGTGGCCGGTGGCTGTATTGCCAGCTATTTTGGAGGCTGAGGCAGGAGAATCCCTTGATCCCGGAAGGTGGAGCTTGCAGTGAGCCGAGATCGCACCACTGCACTCCAGCCTGGGTGACAGAGCGAGACTCTGTCTCAAAAAAAAAAAAAAAATAGGTAAAAGGAGCTGTCATCCCAGCATTCTGGGCGGCCAGGGTGAATGGATCACTTGAGACTAGGATTTTGAGATCAGCCTGGGTAACATGGCGAAACCCAGTCTCTACTAAAACTACAAATATTAGCCGGGCATGGTGGCAGGTGCCTGTAGTGCCAGCTACTCGGGAGGCTGAGGCAGGAGAATCACTTGATCCCGGAAGGTGGAGCTTGCAGTGAGCTGAGATCGCACCACTCACTGCACTCCAGCCTGGGCGACAGAGCAAGACTCCATCTCAAAAAAAGAAAAAAAAAAAAGCTGAAAGAAATCCTGTCCTCTGTCTCAGCCCCAGTGAGAGGATTAGCAAGATTTTGTCTTTGAAGACCTCCAAACTTCCAGAGAAGTCTTCCAAGTAAAATATCCAAAATTCAGGTCTGATTGGAAACGTATGTTATCAATATTTGCAAATGCTTCTGCCCTGTTGGAAAATTCAAGTCCAAACAGGGCTCGTTCTGAATATCCCTGTTCACATCCAGTTATTGATCAAATTTTTCCCGGATTCGTCGACATAACCCTTGGGGACAGTCCCCTAAAACCACCAAAGGGGACATTCCCCTGAAATCATCAGAGTTATTGTACTGGGTTCAAATGCAGCTGTGAAAGAGAAGAGAGGGTAGTGAAGTTTAAAAAAAAAAAAATTCTGTATTCTACTCCATTCCCCAGGGCCCTCTCAAAATACACAGTATGCTTTTATTGATGATTGCTGAATTTCCATTTTAATAAAATAAATGGAGATACATGCGGATAATAGCTCTGTTCAATATTTATGAAGTGTCTTTTTAGAATAATTTCAGAAATTCAGTATTAATCATTACAACCATTACACTCCACGAGCATATAAATAACAAACGGAAACACCATTTACTTCTTGAAAACCTATAATGAAAAGCAGGTGAGGACCCAATTTCATGTTTGAGGAATTCATCCTTTCAGGGTTGGATTTATGGGATTCTAGAGAGACATTCTCGGCTTACCCTGGGCCCGAAATATAGGTGTGATAATCATAGCTTTCTCCCACATTGAGGTGAATAAGCGGTTTTTTATTTAAGGCAAGAAACGCCGTCCAGAATTTTTTTTTTCTTTTTTCTTTTCTGGCGAGGAAGCTGAACATTTGTCTTGCAGAGCCGAGAGCCGAGCCAGCCAGGTTGTTGCAGACACCCAAAAGAGAGAAAAAAATAGATAAAAAATGGGATACAAAAAGTAAAGGGTACTCGTATTACTGGAGAACTCAAAAAGCAAAAGCAAGAGGACGGAGCCCAGGGGAGAACCACGGCTTCGCGTGTCTTAACAGAAACACACTGGGCACGTTGGCTCACGCCTGCAACATCCCAGCACTTTGGGAGGCCGAGGCAGGCAGATCACCTGAGGTCAGGAGTTCAAGACCAGCCTGGCCAACATGGCGAAACCCCGTCTCTACTACAAATATGAAAATTAGCCAGCTGTGGTGGCAGGTGCATGTAGTCCCAGCTACTCGGGAGGCTGAGGCAGGAGAATCGCTTGAACCCGGGAGGCGGAGGTTGCAGTGAGCTGAGATGGCACCACTGGACTCCAGCCTGGGCGACAGAGCGAGACTCCATCTCCAAAAAAAAAAAAAAAAAAAACAACCAGAAACACATTCGGTGTGACTCTTGGACGGGCTTTTACGCGAAAGGTAAAGTCAGCCTGGTACCCAGTTCCTCCTGCCCTTCTGTGCACTGCTACACATGAGGAAACATCCAACTCATTCATCGAGGCCCCTGTGGATAACCTAGGGCCCTCATCCCAGTGTTTCTCGGCTTTGATCCGTGATCTCCTGGTGACTGACATCCTACGTCTGCCACACAAATGACCCCAAACCCAGAAGCTTTTACAACAAGAATTTTTCCTGTCCCAGTCCTGGCATCCAGCAGTCTGAGAAGAAGGTGTCTCAGGGCCGTGTTCCCTCTGGAGGCTGTAGGGGAGGGTCCTTCCTAACTCTCCCAGCTCCTGGGGGCTCCAGGCATCCCTGGGCTTGTGGCCGCCTCACTGCAGTCTCTGCCTCCGTCTCTACGTGGCCTTCTCCTCTGTGTCTGTGTTTCCTCTTCTGTCTCTTAGAAGGACATTCCTCATTGGGTTTAGGGTCCCCCTAATGCAGGATGATCTCATCTCAAATTCCCCCACTTAATTCCAACTGCAGAAACCTTATTTCCAAATAAAGTCCCACTCATAGGTAGCACAGGTTAAAACAGCCCGTGTCCGGCTAATTTTTTATATTTTTAGTAGAGACGGGGTTTCACCATGTTGGCCAGGCTGGTCTCGAACTCCTGACCTTATGATCCTGTCTCTTTCGGGGGACATAGTCAAGCTACCACCACAGCCAATGATCAGAGTTCTGCTGGCTTAGCTGCTTTTTCCAAAGGAAGACATTTCAGTTTCTACCCATGGAGATTTAGCTGGGGGTGGGACTACCTTTGACCTGGAATAACGCGTTGTGAAGAATTAAACCTCATTCCTGGGCTGGGCACCGTGGCTCACACCTGTGATCCCAACACTTTGGGAGGCTGAGGTGGGAGGATCAGTTGAGGCCAGGAGTTTGAGACCAGCCTGAGCAACATACTGAGACCTTGTTTCTACAAAACAGAAACAATTTAAAAAAATTAGCCAGGTGTGTTGGTGCAAACCTGTAGTCCCAGCGCCCGGGAAGGCTTGAGCTCGGGGAGGTGGAGCCTATTTTCCCCACACAGCGTCGGACTTCTAATTCATCCTCCTCCCGCACTCAGCAACTCCGCTTGGCTAATTTATTCCGGGAACCTCTGGCCACGACGGGCAGCCCCTCGCCTCGCCCTGACTGCGGGATCATTGCGTTAGCGACTCCCCTGTCTCGTTAGCGCACCTCCTGCATTGCATTAGGGCTTGTGGTCCCCGCCAATGTGATAAGAGACCCACGTATGCGATAGGCACATAGCTGATCGGATTTTGCAAATCACGTTACTGGTGCAAGGGACAGGTTTTCCTTCTGTTTAATGCCTCAGTCATGCCTGGTTGGCACCACTGGGTTCCAGCCTGGATGACAGAGTGAGACTGTGCCTCAAAAAAACACAGGAAAACACCTTGGAAGCCCTTGTACACATCAGCTCCCATCATAAGAAGTGTGTAGGACGGGCGCCATGGCTCACGCCTGTCATCTCTGCACTTTGAGAGGCTGAGGTGGGTGGATCACAAGGTCAGGAGTTCGAGACCAGCCTGGCCAACATGGTGAAACCTCACCTCTACTAAAAATACAAAAGTTAGCCGGGCGTGATGGCGGGTGCCAGTAGTCCCAGCTACTCGGGAGGCTGAGGCAGGAGAGTCGCTTGAACCCAGGAGGCAGAGTTTGCAGTGAGCCGAGATTGCACCTCTGGACTCCAGCCTGGATGACAGAGTGAGACTCTGCCTCAAAAACACAAAGTGCTTAGTACAGGAAAACACCTTGGAAGCCCTTACTCAGCTCCTATCATAAGAAGTGTGTAGGACGGGCGCCATGGCTCACGCCTGTCATCCCAGCACTTCAGGAGGCTGAGGCAGACGGATCACAAGGTCAGGAGTTCGAGACCAGCGTGGCCAACATGGAGAAACCCCAACTCTACTAAAAATACAAAAAACTAGCCGGACATGGTGGTGGGCACCTGTAATCCCAGCTACTGGGGAGGCTGAGGCAGGAGAATCGCTTGAACCCGCGAGGCAGAGGTTGCGGTGAGCTGAGATCGTGCCACTGCACTCCAGCCTGGGCAACAAGAGCAAAACTCCGTCTCAAAAAAATAAAAGATAAAAATAAAAAAATAAAAAGTCAGGAAACAACAGATGCTGGCGAGGATGTGGGGAAATAGGAATGCTTTAATACTGTTGGTGAGAGGAAAACAGGGAAAGTTAGAGTCCTGTTTTTAGTTTTTTGTTAGCTTTTTTTTTTTTTTTTTTTTGAGACGTAGTCTCCCTCTGTCACCCAGGCTGGAGTGCAGTGGCGCGATCTCAGCTCACTGCAACCTCCACCTCCCAGGTTCAAGCGATTCTCCTGCCTCAGCTTCCAGAGCAGCTGGGATTACAGGCCACAAACCCAGCTAATTTTTTGTATTTTTAATAGAGACAGGGTTTCACCATGTCTCTAGTCTCCTGCGATACTCCTGCCTCAGTCTCCCTAGTAGTTGGGATTACAGGAGCCAGTGACCACACCCAGCTGATTTTTGTATTTTTAATAGAGACGGGGTTTCACCATGTTGGCCAGGCTGGTCTCGAACCCCTGACCTCAGGTGATCCACCCACCTCGGCCTCCCAAAGTGCTGGGATGACAGACATGAGCCACCACGCCGGGCCACCCAGTGTTTTTATAAGAAAAAGCCATGATCCCAACCCCATTGCATTTTCCAAACACACATGAGCGGGTTTTCTTGAGGGGAGCGTTCACAGACTCTGCTCTCCATTTTCTACCCAGATGTTGTCAAACAATTTGCCGAGCACCAGAAGGTGAAGAATTTCCCACTGTTACACTGTGAGCTTCTCCGGAACTTTCCACAGCTCCGTTTTTTTTTTTTTTTGTTTGTTTGTTTTTTTTTCTGCTGGACACTCTACGTTCACACCTACGTCCCTGTTCAAATGCAAAAGAGATTCTTAACGGTCTTGAAACCCCGCCGAGCTTTAGGTGTGCAAATCTGCAGAGGAGGCCTCTGTAAGGCTTTGGAGAGATGGCTGAGGCCAGACATAAGCCTCTTTTCACCCCTAGAGCTTCCCAGATCTCCTCTGTCACCCCTCCTGCCCTTACGGGACGCAGACATTTCTCTCTGTAGGGTGGGGGTAGTTAGAACCTTTTTCTCTCTGCACAGTGGGGAGTAGTTAGCACCTTTATTCACGATCAGAGCAGCCGATTATCCTGTAAACAGCCCAGCAGAGTCCATCTGTAATTCGACTTTGCCACTGTTGGTTGGCTTTAGAGATTTGGCATGTCGGCTGCAAGACGTAGATTTTCAAAACTTCATTTTGAGGCGGTCGGATGACACGAGACCTCCTATTTTTTTTCCTTTATTTTATTTTATTATGATTATACTTTAAGTTTTAGGGTACATGTGCACATTGTGCAGGTTAGTTACATACGTATACGTGTGCCACGCTGGTGAGCTGCAGCCATTGACCTGCGGGTGGCTGTCGATGAACTTTGTTCGTAGGAGGCTCAATCCAATTGTGAGTGTCCCGTCCATCGGCCGGGCTGCAGTTGAGACGGATTGAAACCGATTCGGATCAATCATCCTCATCCTGCCTTCGAAGGCAGACCGGGGAGGGGGTGCTGGTGACCGGGGACGCCCGTGTGATGCTGGAGACACACGGCCCCCTGTTCCACATCTCCCGTGTGTCACATTAATTTCCACGTCATCCCGCAATTCAATGAGATGTGGACCCCGTGTCACCACGTGCAGTCCTGCTCATCTCCTCACTAATTCTCAATTACCGTAAAATGAAGCCATAAATCACGCAGACAGGGGATCGATAGGAACGTGGTTTTCCGGGTGATTGGCACAGCCTCCCCAAAGGTTTTCTGTAAGTTGGTTTAAGATGACCAGGTCCTCCGAGGGTGGGGAGAGGGGGGCGTTGGGGGTGGCCGGGACAGGCCTCTGCGTCCCCAGGCCTTGGGAGACCAAACCGAGGGACGTCGCCAATTTCAGCCCATCAGACATCCAATTCTTCTCCTTTTTATACCTGCTTTAGTAAACGAGTGACAAATTAAATTTCGCCACCCTATAGCAGCACAGAAAACCATTTTAATTTTTCATGGAAACTAAATCGTCCCCAGACAAATAGCCCCTTGATTCTATGAAAATAGACTGCCTTGCTTGGGACAGAAATACATTTGTGTCACTCTGGATATGCCTTTCTCTGTAATGTCATTCACCGCGGGCCGGTAAATGAGACGGCTGCCGAACACAATGGCCAGGAAGGGGCTGTCGGCTTCTAGGGGTTGGAAACGAGGGGAGGTGGTGCCCCCCTTCCCAGTGCAGGGAGGCGTCCTCATCACCCTGTTATTAATTTGCCGGCTGAGCTTTTACATTCATGAGGTGAAGATTGAAATGTAAATGAACCCCCCCCCCCACACACACACACAGACACACACACACACACACACACACACTCGTCAGCTGTAGCCAGGGCCCGGCCCACAGTGTCAGAGACTCTGAGAAGAACACGGAAAATACTGATCACTCAGAGAGATGAGTGCCCTGAGCATCCATCATCGGGGCTGGGAGACAATAGATACAATCGCTCCCGAGGGAGGCGTGGAAGGGAAGGTGACGATAAGAGGGCCAGGGATATGAGGACGATGTTGCTACCTGTTGTCCGGGAGCGAAGGTTGCTGTTGTCCTACCTAGAATCCTCCTCATCTCTGGCATTCTACGTGCCAGTATTTCAACAGTGACTTTTTTTTTTTTTTTTTTTTTTTTTTTAAATCTTGGCCGGGCTTGTGGGCTCACGCCTGTCATCCCAGCACTTTGGGAGGCCGAGGCTGGCGGATCACTTGGGGTCAGGCGTTCGAGACCAGCCTGGCCAACATGCTGAAACCCCGTCTCTACTAAAAATACAAAAATTAGCCGTGCGTGGTGGCAGGTGCCTGTCATCCCAGCACTTTGGGAGGCTGAGGTGGGTGGATCACCTGCGGTCAGGCGTTTGAGACCAGCCTGGCCAACACGCTGAAACCCCGTCTCTACTAAAAATACAAAAATTAGCCGTGCGTGGTGGCGGGTGCCTGTCATCCCAGGTACTCTGGGAACCGAGACAGGAGAATCGCTTGAACCCGAGAGGCGGACGTTGCAGTGAGCCGAGATCACGCCGTTGCACTCCAGCCTGGGCCACAGAGCGAGACTCTGTCTCAAAAAAAATAGTGCCATGTTTTGTTTTGTTTTTTTTTTTTAATCTCAATTTATCTCCTCCCTCAGTCCCCCGGGAAGCCGTTTGGAGGTTTTGGAGGTGTGGCGGCCACCTCTCAGTGCTGACAGATGGAGGCCCACTCGGCTTGCCTTGGGGAAACAGGCCAGGGAGTTCACTGGCTGAGCCTCCCCAGGGGCCTCCCCGGCTCACTAATGGTTTTTATGCTTTAATTGAGCAGCTCAGACTGTGTGTGGAAAAGCAAACAAAAGGCCCAGAAGGCTTGATCCGCAGCATTGAGTGAGTGCGGGTCAGGTTGAGTTGCAGGAGGGACTGGGGGGTCTGGGGGAACGAGGACTTGTAAACGGCTGTGGGGATGAGTCCTGGTGAGGGGTTCCCCTGCTCAGCAGAGTCACGGGGCCTCGGCATCTTCCCTTCGGGCCACAAAGGACAATATTTTCTGTTTTCTGCTTCCACCTGGACCTCCGGTGGATAAAGGGAATATACGAACGGCCTTCAGAGTTTGGGGCTGGTACTAGCTTAGGGGTTCAGCTTGTCTTTGGAGCTCCTCATGGGGAGGTGGGCAGACACTGTAGTTCAGACCCCAACCGTTCTCCGCTCCCCGACGCTGAAGACCCATCTCAGTGCCCATACGGAAGCCTCATCTCTCCACCTTTCCCCTCTTAGCGTGTTCGGCCCTATTGTTACAGGAAAAGCGTCCCGATCCAGACGGCAAGAGAAGGTTCTTGGATCTTGTGCAAGAAAGACTTCAGGGAAAGCCCGTAATGCAAATTAAAGGAACTTTATTAAGAAAGTAAATTGGGGCCAGACACGGTGGCTCACGCCTGTAATCCCAGCACTCTGGGAGGCCGAGGCGGGCAGATCACCTGAGGCCAGGAGTTCGAGACCAGCCTGGCCAACATGGTCAAACTTGGTCTCTATTAAAAATAGAAAAATTAGCTGGGCATGGTGGTGGGCATCTGTAATCAATAGCTACTCAGGAGGCTGAGGCAGGAGAATCGCTTGAACCAGGGAGGCGGAGGTTGCAGTGAGCTGAGATTGCACCATTGCACTCCAGCCTGGGCGACACAGTGAGACTCTGTCTCAAAAAAAAAAAAAAAAAAAAGGCCGGGGGCGGTGGCTCACGCCTGTAATCCCAGCTCTTTGGGAGGCCCAGGCGGGTGGATCACCTGAGGCCAGGGGTTCGAGACCAGCATGGCCAACATGGTGAAACCTGGTCTCTATTAAAAATAGGAAAATTAGCCGGGCGTGGTGGCTGGTGCCTGTAGTCCCAGCTACTCGGGAGGCTGAGGCAGGAGAATCGCTTGAACCTGGGAGGTGGAGGTTGCAGTGAGCTGAGATTGCACCACTGCACTCCAGCCTGGGTGACAGAGCGAGACTCTCTCTCAAAAAAAAAAAAAAAAAAAAAAAAGGAAACTAAATTGGTAAAAGAACAGCTCCTCCATAGACAGAGTAGGGCATTTCTGAAACTGAGAGGGGGAAGCTTCCACCGCAGATGCAATAGTTGTTTATATATAGGATAAAAAAATATCTTGGGGACGTATGCTCTGCTAGGAGGGTTTGTGATAAAGGATTAATGTTCTTAATTACTATATGTTGCAAGAATCAATATCATTATCTTTAAAGCAAAATCAGGAATACCTTCATTCTTCAGATATTGAGATAGCTGGATAGTCCCAAGTCGGGGTCTATTTAGTAAACATTATTAATTTATTCCTTTTTTTTTTTTTTACTCTTTTGTTTTGTTTTTTGAGACAGAGTCTTACTCTATCACCCAGGCTGGAGCGCAGTGGAGCGATCTCGGCTCACTGCAACCTCTGCCTCCTGGGTTCAAGCGAGTCTCCTGCCTCAGTCTCCCTAGTAGCTGGAATTACAGGCACCAGCCACCGCGACTGGCTAATTTTTCTATTTTTAGTAGAGAGGGGGTTTCACCGTGTTAGCCAGGATGGTCTTGAACTCTTGACTTTATTATCCACCCGCCTCAACCTCCCAAAGTGCTGGGATTACAGGCGTGAGCCACTGTGCCTGGCCTAATTTGTTCTCTTAACCATAAATACATAGAGGCTAGGAATGTTTAACTTTCTGGGAATGCAGCCAGCAAGCCTCAGCCTCATTTTCCGAGCCCTCACTCAAGATGAAGTCGCTTTCGTTCGAACGCCTCTGACGCTATTGGCCTTAATCCTCCTGATTTTGCTTGGAGAAATCATGAAAATGTCTTTCCAATCACTAAGAAGGGGTTCCCAATAGCCCCAAACACACATGGGCAGGTGATGGACCAGGCAGTTAGTTTTTTTTTTTTTTTTTTTGAGATGGAGTTTCACTCTATTGCCCAGGCTGGAGTGCAGTGGCTCGATCTCAGCTCACTGCAACTTCTGCCTCCTGGGTTCAAGCGATTCTCCTGCCTCAGCCTCCCAAGTAGCTGGGATTACAGGTGCCCGCCACCATGCCCAGATAATTTTGTACTTTTAGTAGAGACGGGGTTTCACCATGTTGGCCACGCTGGTCTCGAACTCCTGACCTCAAGTGATCCACCCGCCTCGGCCTCCCAAAGTGCTGGGATCACAGGCGTGAGCCACCACCCTTGGGCAGGTGCTTTTTAAAAGTGTTACATTCTCATAACCACCCTGCAGGTTAAATCCTCTTCTCCTCCACAGTTGGGGAAAGTGAGTCCCAGGAATGTTGGAGAGCAGGCTTGGGTCACAGTCAATGCAGGCAGTGAGCAGTCACCGTGGGCCCCTTGGCTACAGCTGGTTGAGTGGATATTCCTGAAACGCCAGTCTCAGTGGATAGATAACCATCAGTAGATAAGTCTAATAGATAATAGATCATTTGAAGCCATCAGTACTATACTGCGTTTGTACGAGCAGGTGCTTGCACCGTATTCAGGGGTGAACTAAGCTAATGTCTTGTGTTCACTCACAAATGCACAGGCCTGGTGTGGCTTGCAGACTTGAGCTGAAAGCAGGCACCACACCTTGCTAGCTGGGTGATGTTAGGGCAGCCGGACCACCTAGCACTGAAGGAAGGCATGGAAGTTTTCAGCACTCCAGACCCCTCCCTGTTTTCACTGTGGAAATGGCATAGCTTGTGAAGTGCATCTGAGGCTCTGTTCTTTGCTTGCTGCCTTAGTGATCTCAACAGTGTCAGCTTCAGCAAGAAACAGACAATTTCCAGACCCCAATGGCGTTGTAAACAATTGCATGTGTTTTTTTGTTTGTTTCTTTGTTTTGTTCATTTTGTCTTTTTTTTTTTGAGACAGAGTCTCACCATGTCGCCCAGGTTGGAGTGCAGTAGCACAATCTCAGCTCACTGCAATCTCCGCCTCCCGGGCTCAAGCAATTCCCCTGCCTCAGCCTCCCGAATAGCTGGGATTACACGCGCACGCCAGCACACCCAGCTAATTTTTGTATTTTTAGTAGAGATGGGGTTTCGCCATGTTGTCCAGGCTGGTCTCAAACTCCTGACCTCAGGTGATCCACCTTCCTTGGCCTCCCAAAATGCTGGGATGACAGGTGTGAGCCACGGCGCCTGGCTTTTTTTTGTTTTTTTTTTTTTTTCTTTTCCAAATGTTGAGGTTTTGCGGAATCCCTCTCACCTACATGAGTATGTGTAGCTGCTGTGTTGCAGCCATATCCCTGTGTGATGCGGAGTCCATGTGCTGGAAGATAACTATATCGAGTGATAAGCCGCAAGTGTATGGAGTTATAAGCTGCAAGTGTATCCAGTTATAAGCCCCAAGTGTATCCAATTATAAGCCTCTCCATGCAAAAAAGAAGTGAAGTAAAGAAAACTCCCATTGTTGGCCTGGCGCGGTGGCTCACGCCTGTCCTCCCAGCACTTTGGGAGGCCTGAGGCGGGTGGATCACCTGAGGTCAGGAGTTCGAGACCATCCCGGCTAACATGGTGAAACCCCGTCTCTACTAAACATACAAAAAAGTTAGCCGGGCGAGGTGGCGGGTGCCCGTAATCCCAGCTACTCGGGAGACGGAGGAAGGAGAATGGCGTGAACCCGGGAGGCGGAGCTTGCAGTGAGCTGAGATCGCGCCACTGCACTCCAGCCTGGGCGACAGAGCAAGACTCCATCTGAGAGAAAGAAAGAAAGAAAGAGAAAGAAAGAGGAAGGAAGGAAGAAAGAAAGAAAGAAAGAAAGAAAGAAAGAAAGAAAGAAAAGAAAGAGAGCAACAAAGAAAGAAAGGAAGAAAGAAAGAAAATAACAAAGAAAGAAGGAAAGGAAGACAGAAAGGAAAGAGAGAAAGGGAGGGAGGAAGGGAGGGGAGGGAGGGAAGGAAGGAAGAAAGAAAAAGAAAGAAAGAAAGAGAAAGAGAGAGAAAGATCGCATTGCAAGGACAGGCATGGAGATGGGTGCCTACAGGTAACATGGTGATCTTGCGTTAGGCTGCGCAGGGCGGTGTCTGCTGGAATAAGCGGGGAAACTCCTTCTTCGTGCTTGCACTCCGGGAGTCCTCCCCGATGAGTGCTCCTGGTTCCTCTTGACGGCCCCTGCAAGTGCCCCCAGGAATGACCTGACTCTCAGAGAACGTGGGTTAGACCCTCTGGGGGTCTGTCTTTGGGACAACCGGCCTGCTCAGAGGAAGCTGAATGGGTCAGGTCTCCCCGACAAGGGGAATGTCCACCGTTTTCACCCCTCCTTGTTCCTCATTAGAAGGAGAGCAAGTTCAACTTAAGAGAACTAACGAGGAGGCTTAACTGCTCTCAGATCCAGATCTGAGAGGATCAGTACCTTTATCCGTTGGGGAAAGAAGAAAAAAATAAGGATGCTTTTCCCCGTGTGTTTGATCCCTGTGGCTGTATTTGTCAATAAGTCCTGAAGCAAAGAAAGGAAGAGAAGGGCAGGGTTTGCTGGCTCACACCTGTCATGCCAGCACTTTGGGAGGCCGAGGTGGGTGGATCATCTGAGGTCAGGAGTTCAAGACCAGCCTGGACAACATGGTGAAAACCCGTCTCTACTAAAAATACAAAAATTAGCTGGGCTTGGTTGCGTGCACCTGTAATCCCAGCTACTCGGGAGGCTGAGGCAGGAGAATCAATTGAACCTCAGGGGAGGAGGTTGCGGTGAGCTGAGATCATGCCACTGCATTCCAGCCTGGGAGACACAGAGATACACTGTCTTAATAATAATAATAATAATAATAATAATAGTTAGCCAGGCATGATGGCAGGTGCCTGTAATCCCAGCTACTCGGGAGGCTGAGGCAGGAGAATCGCTTGAACCCGGGAGGTGGAGGTTGCAGTGAGCCGAGATCACGCCACTGCATTCCAGTCTGGGAGACACAGAGAGACTCCGTCTCAAAAATAATAATAATAATAATAGTTAGCCAGGCATGATGGCAGGTGCCTGTAATCCCAACTACTCGGGAGGCTGAGGCAGGAGAATCAATTGAGCCTCAGAGGAGGATGTTGCAGTGAGCTGAGATCACACCACTGCACTCCAGCCTGGGCAATAGAGTGAGACTCTGTCTCAAAAAAAAAAAAAAAAAAAAAGAATTGGAAAATGACTCAAACAGGTACTTGTCCACAAACTTCCTAACAGCATTATTCACAATAGCTTAAAAAAAAAAAACCCAAATATCCATCAACAGAAGAATCAACAAATAGATTGTATTCCATTTGTACTATGAAATATTATTTAGCCATGAAAAAGAAGGCTTGGTTGGATGCGGTGGCTCACACCTACAATCCCAGCACTTTGGGAGGCTGAGGCGGGCAGATCACTGGAGGTCAGGAGTTCGAGACCAGCCTGATCAACATGGTGAAACCCCATCTCTACTAAAAATACAAAATTATCTTGGCGTGGTGGTGCACGCCTGTAATCCCAGCTACTCGGGAGGCTGAGGCAGGAGAATCACTTGAACCTGGGAGGCGGAGGTTGTGGTGAGCCGAGATCACGCCACTGCACTCCAGCCTGGGCGACAAGAGTGAAACTTCGTCTCAAAAAAATAAACAAATAAAAAAAAAAATAAAGAAAAAGAAAAAGACTCTCCGTGAAATAAGCCAGCCACACAAAAAACCACATAACGTAGGGTTCCATTTGTAGAAACAAACTTGAATAGGCAGATCCAGAGAGACAGGAAGTAAAATTAGACATTTCCAGGGGCTGGGGGACGGGGAGTATGAGGAATGATAGTTTAATACATAGAGAGTTCCTGTTTAGGTGAAAAAGAAAAACTTTGGCTTTAGACAGTGGGGATGATGCCACAACACTGTGAATGTATTTTATTTTATTTCATTTTTTATTTTCTTTTGGAGACGGAGTCTCGCTCTGTCACCCAGGTCGGAGTCCAGTGGTGTGATCTCGGCTCACTGCCACCTCCGCCTCCCAGATTCAAGCAATTCTCCTGCCTCAGCCTCCCGAGTAGCTGGGACTACAGGTGCGCGCCACCACACCTGGCTAATTTTTGTATTTTTAGTAGAGACGGGGTTTCACCATGTTGGCCGGGCTGGTCTTGAAATCCTGACCTCAGGTGATCCACCCGCCTCGGCCTCCCAAAGTGCTGGGATGACAGGTGTGAGCTGTGAACATATTTTATGCAACTTTAATTGTTCACCTTGAAATGGTCAAGTGGCCATGTTTAGGTTCTATACAGTTTGCCACAATTTTGAAAGAAGTCTGTGGCCGGGTGCAGTGGGTCATACCTGTCATCCCAGCACTTTGGGAGGTCAAGATGGCTGGATCCCTTGAGGTCAGGAGTTCAAGTCCAGCCTGGCCAGTATCATGAAACCCCGTCTCTACTAAAAACACAAAATTAGCCGGGCGTGGTGGCGGGTGCCTGTAGTCCCAGCTACTCGGGAGGCTGAGGCAGGAGAATCGCTTGAACCCAGGAGGCGGACGTTGCAGTGAGCCAAGATCACACCACTGCACTCCAGCCTGGGTGACAGAGCAAGACTCCATCTAAAAAAAAAAAAAAAAAAAAAAAAAAGGCCGGGCACGTCGGCTCACACCTGTAATCCCAGCACTTTGGGAGGCCGAGGCAGGCGGATCACAAGGTCAGGAATTCGAGTCCAGCCTGACCAGCATGGTGAAACCCCGTCTCTACTAAAATTACAAAATTAGCCGCGTGTGGTGGCAGGTGCCTGTAGTCCCAGCTACTCGGGAGGCTGAGGCAGGAGAATCGCTTGAACCCGGGAGGCGGAGGTTGCAGTGATCCCAGATCGCTCCATTGCACTCCAGCCTGGGCGACAAGAGTGAGACTCCGTCTCAAAGAAAAAAAGAAGTCTGTGATCCACACTTATCAGTCCCCACACCCAGATCCTGACAGTTGCCCCCAGTATCACAGAATAGTGTAAGGCAAAGACTATGGAAACAAGAATGGTTTTGAGATACTTTGATTTGCAGCTGTGAGTGCAGTAGGATGTTGTGGCATAATGACAGGTGCTTTGTCCTGCCTCCTGATGTCATGCGGAGAGTCCTGCGTGAATACCATAGCTTCTAGGTCACCACCCCACGCTGCTCCGGGAGCCAAACATGCCACTGACATCCACAGCTCAGGCTGAATCAAGCTCCATCCGTCATCAGCAAACGCGTTCCCCTGAAGCGTGGCACCCTCATGCCTCCCTCCTCCTCTCCGTTCCATTATCTTCACTCCTCGTGTCTCAAAATATCTTTTTAATTGCTTATCAAATAGATAGTTATTGTATCATAAGATCTTCAAAGCCATTCCCCAGTCCCATCGAGTTGCACAGATGAACTTCTGGATGATGATATATCACAATGGATTATGCTAATCGGCTTGTTAATAGCTGCAATGCCGTTTCCCCCTAAGACCATTAACAACCCACCAGCCTCCTCGGACGGACTTGAGGATGTTTTATATGGCAGAGCACCAGCAGCCGTCATGACAGGGCCGGTAAATAATGGCAGACACGCTGAAAACTCAAGAAATACTCAGTTAAATTATTTATACATTAATCAAAAATACAGTGGTTAAACAATATCATTACTTCCACACGAATTGTTTTATGGATTTGTGATGAGTGACAGCTCTGAGTGCCCAAGGACCCTGCGGTTTCCCCGTCCTATTATTTGCTTCCCCCTGTGAAAGCCGGATTCCTCGGCCAGACGGCGTGACTGACCACAGCTTGTAAAGGAGGGAGAGCCTGGGGCCGTCCCTTTGTGTAAATTTTAGCATAAAAATACAGCTCGCCCGCTCCTGACTGAGGTCTTTGTGAGCAGTGGGGTCTCCTCTGGGTGAGATTTCATATGTGTGTAGCTCAGAGTTAGTCTTTGATCCAGTTTATACAACACCTTTTCCCAAAAGTGCTGCTAGTGATTTTACATCGTCTATCTATCCAGTATCTGTCTATCTTCTATCTACCTAAGTATGTATCTATTACCATCATCTATCTATCTATCTATCTATCTATCTATCTATCTATCTATCTATCTCTCATCCTCTATCTACCTAAGTATGTATCTATTACCATTATCTGTCTGTCTGTCTGTCTATCTATCTATCATCTTCTATCTACCTAAGTATGTAACTATTACCATTATCTATCGGTCTATCTATCTATCTATCTATCTCTCATCCTCTATCTACCTAAGTATGTATCTATTACCATTATCTGTCTATCTATCCATCTCTCATCCTCTATCTACCTAAGTATGTATCTATTACCATTATCTGTCTATCTATCTATCTATCTATCTATCTATCTATCTATCATCTATCTATCTCTCATCCTCTATCTACCTAAGTATCTATCTATTACCATTATCTGTCTGTCTGTCTGTCTATCTATCATCTTCTATCTACCTAAGTATGTATCTATTACCATTATCTATCGGTCTATCTATCTATCTATCTATCTATCTATCTCTCATCCTCTGTCTACCTAAGTATGTATCTATTACCATCATCTATCTATCTATCTATCTATCTATCTATCTATCTATCTATCTCTCATCCTCTATCTACCTAAGTATGTATCTATTACCATTATCTGTCTGTCTGTCTATCTATCTATCATCTTCTATCTACCTAAGTATGTATCTATTACCATTATCTATCGGTCTATCTATCTATCTATCTCTCATCCTCTATCTACCTAAGTATGTATCTATTACCATTATCTGTCTATCTATCTATCTATCTATCTATCTATCTATCTATCTATCTCTCATCCTCTATCTACCTAAGTATGTATCTACTACCATTATCTATCTATCTATCTATCTATGATATTCTATCTACCTAAGTATGTATCTACTACCATTATCTATCTATCTATGATATTCTATCTACCTAAGTATGTATCTATTACCATCATCTATCTATCTATCTATCTATCTATCTATCTATCTATCTATCTCTCATCCTCTATCTACCTAAGTATGTATCTATTACCATTATCTGTCTGTCTGTCTATCTATCTATCATCTTCTATCTACCTAAGTATGTATCTATTACCATTATCTGTCGGTCTATCTATCTATCTATCTATCTATCTATCTATCTATCTCTCATCCTCTATCTACCTAAGTATGTATCTACTACCATTATCTATCTATCTATGATATTCTATCTACCTAAGTATGTATCTATTACCATCATCTATCTATCTATCTATCTATCTATCTATCTCTCATCCTCTATCTACCTATGTATCTATTACCATCATCTATCTATCTATCTATCTATCTATCTATCTATCTATCTATCTCTCATCCTCTATCTACCTAAGTATGTATCTATTACCATTATCTGTCTGTCTGTCTATCTATCTATCATCTTCTATCTACCTAAGTATGTATCTATTACCATTATCTATCGGTCTATCTATCTATCTATCTATCTGTCTCTCATCCTCTATCTACCTAAGTATGTATCTATTACCATTATCTATCGGTCTATCTATCTGTCTATCTATCTCTCATCCTCTATCTACCTAAGTATGTACCTATTACGATTATCTGTCTATCTATCCATCTCTCATCCTCTATCTACCTAAGTATGTATCTATTACCGTTATCTGTCTATCTATCTATCTATCTATCTATCTCTCATCCTCTATCTACCTAAGTATGTATCTACTACCATTATCTATCTATCTATCTATGATATTCTATCTACCTAAGTATGTATCTACTACCATTATCTATCTATCTATGATATTCTATCTACCTAAGTATGTGTCTATTACCATCATCTATCTATCTATCTATCTATGTATCTATCTATCTATCTATCTATCTATCTATCTATCTATCTATCTCCCTCTATCTACCTAAGTATGTATCTATTACCATCATCTATCTATCATCTATCTATCTTCTATCTACCTAAGTATGTATCTATTACCATCATCTATCTATGTATCTATGTATCTATGTATCTATGAATCTATCTATCTATCTATCTATCTATCTATCTATCGTCTTCTATCTACCTATGTATCTATTACCATCATCTGTCTATCATCTATCTATCTATCTATCTATCCATCCATCCGTCTTATCAGTTCTGTCTCTCTAGAGAACCCTGACTAATACATCCAGGTTTCCTGGAAGCTTCCCATGTTCTTCTTCCATAATCTTGTGGGTCCCAAGTCAAAGATAATTTAAATATATAGAGGCAGTCCAAAATGGAACACTGCCCTGTTTATCCTCACAATTTACTACAAGGAGCAGGTGGTTTTGGGAAGCAATGGATGGACAGCCTCCTATCCATTGCTTTGGTAAGAAAGGGTTTCTTGTGCTAGGATGCTAGGGATGGCTGACCATGGCATGTAGCACTGGAGGCATGACAGCTACAACCACATTGATTGCTCACGTCTATGCACAGATGGGGGAAGAGGACCCTTTACAGCATGCATGTGAAGTTGCATTCTAGTACAATGAACCATCAGAAGCCATGAAAGGCAGGCTTTGTAGGAACAAGTGGGTGAGGTGGCTCCTGGTTCCTGCAGAAGAAGGTGATGGGCTTTTCTGGACAATTCCATAGGTTGGCAGGGAACTGAAACCACTACTCAGGGATGAGCAGAAATGGTCCCTCGTCCCCTTGCTAAGGAGGTCAATTTGTCTAGAGTATCTTTTTGTTTGTTTGTTTTTGTTTTTTTGAGACTGAGTCTCGCTCTGTCGCCCAGGCTGGAGTGCAGTGGTGCGATCTTGACTCACTGCAAGCTCCACCTCCCGGGTTCAGGCCATTCTCCTGCCTCAGCTTCCGGAGTAGCTGGGATTACAGGCGCCCGCCACCGCGCCCGCCTAATTTTTTTTTGTATTTTTAGTAGAGACGGGGTTTCACCGTGTTAGCCAGGATGGTCTCCATCTCCTGACCTCGTGATCCACCCACCTCGGCCTCCCAAAGTGTGGGGATTACAGGCCTGAGCCACCGCGCCCGGCCAGTGGCTAGAGTATCTTATCCGTGGGAGCAGAGTGTGGGGGAGACTTGTGACTATGCTGTGAGGAGTGGGTTTCCAGTAGCTGGAGAGAGAGCAGTCTAGGGGTGGAGATGTGGCCACCTGTCAGGACTATGGCCTTCAAGAGCCGGGTGAGGCCAGCTCCTGCCATCCCTGTAGGGAGTCATCCTGAGAAGCCAACTGTCAGACTGAAGGTGGCATCTCTGTTCCTGCCATCTTCCTGGGGCTTCCTATAGACCAAATCCAGGGACACAGGAGTCCCACACACCCTTACCCTATAAGTCAGCCTGCAGCCACAGAGCAGGACTAAGGTGACCCTGGCTCTGGAGGAGCCCCAGACACTGAGCAGCATGTTAAGCTGATTGATCAAGGACTGATTGATTGATTCATGATTGATTATGGCACAGTGCTACTGGTGATGCAGAGAAGAAAACTATACAGTTGGTGTAGGTAAATAAGTGGCTCTCAGATGATTTTTAGGGCCGTGAAGCTTCTGTGTATGTCCAAACCCATAGGATGTAGAACGCCAAGACTGACCTCAGTGTAAACTACGTACAATGCCAAGAGTGACCTCAGTGTCAACTATCACCTTTAGTGAATAATAATCAATATGGGTTTATCAATTGCAACGCATGTCCTCCCTGAATTCAAGATGTTAATAATAGCAGAAACTGCTGGGAGAAAAATGAAGGGGATATAGGGGAATTCTTTATTTTCTGCCCTCCCTTTCTCTGAAACCAAAACTGCTCTGAAAAAACAAATCTATGCATTAAACAGCATATAGTCATCCCCCTTAGAGGACCTATGATCTGTTGCGGAATCTGAGGATAAAGCAATGACAATATGCCATAATTTAACACCTGTTTGATGGCAACAGTCAAGGTTCAGAGAAACCATGGAGATAGCTCAAGCTCCAACAGGTGTCAGGAAGAATTTCCCTCAAGAGCTGCCCTGGGGAGGTGGCATGTGTTCCGTGAAGAGAAATCAGCCAACACATCTCAGAGAAAAGAATGATGCCTGGGCAACCTCCAGCATGGCGGGTGCCATCTTGAGACTGTCTTCCCAGAAGGATAGCTGGAGACAGCTCCCGTCTCTCAGTAGCCCGTCTTTGGTTTCATGCCTCGAGGTTCAGCAACCCACGCCTGAATATGTAAGGTGCTTCCTACTGATCGGGATCAGTAATTTGTACACCCCAGCAGTAGACTTGAGCAGCATAGATCAAATTGAGAAAGAGGCTTACATGAGAGAAGAAATTCTCCAAAGATCACAGCTCCCTCTTCATCATTACAATAATATCTCAGTCCTCACCTTCAAAGCGCTGGACAGACTCTGACTAATCAATTAAACATGCTCTTATCTTTTCTGATTGGAGTCCTGCTAGGCAGGTCAAACTGGCAGGGCCACGTTCCTCTGCAATGAACAGTCTTTAAAGGAAAGGCAGACGTGGATATATTCTGAATTTCCTCCTTTAAAAGCGATATCAGCACAGTGAAGTCTGTGTCTTAGAAGAACGAGATTCTGTATTGAGGTTTGCTGTTGTTTTATCGTTTTATTTTTTTTTCCTTTTCGGATAAACAGATGATTTTTGGAGAAACACATTCCCACTATAGGGCTGGAGATCCAAGAAGACAATAGGTTACCTTTTTTTGTTTGTTTTTGTTTTTTGTTTTTCATTTCATTTTCTTGGATTGGTTTTGCAAGCTACAGAATGTTGCTTGAACTTTCTCCCCAGTCTTAAAGTCTCTGCAGCACACCAAGCTAGTTGCTTTCTCTTGCTGGTTAGACAGGTTTCTCTCTAGAGTGTGGTGACACCACCTCGGCTGTTCAGCTATAGACACAAAAGCCGAATCAGTGACGGCAACCGTCCGTCCTCTCAGCCGAAAGTTAAGCCTTTTCTTGGTTGCTTTGTCATTTTCTGTTTGATGTTTCATATGGCAGAGCACCGCACGTAGTAGGTACCTAAATAGCTTCACAATGTAAAAATTCTCTGGTCTTTCAAAGAGCTGCAGACGCTACTTCTTCCAAAAGGGATAAATGTATATCTGTGTGTGCTGTTGTTTTTTTCCTAGAGATTGGAAAACGGCTTGATATAGTGTATCACACAAATTACAACGTAGATTTTTTTTTTTTTTTTTGAGACAGACTCTCACTCTGTCACCCAGGCTGGAATGCAGGGGCGAGATCTCGGCTCACTGCAACCTCCACCTCCCGGGTTCAAGTGATTCTCCTGCCTCAGCCTCCCGAGTAGCTGAGACTACAGGCGCCCGCCACCATGCCCAGCTAACTTTTTGTATTTTTGGTAGAGATGGGGTTTCACCGTGTTAGCCAGGATGGTCTCGATCTCCTGACCTCGTGATCTGCCTGCCTCGGCCTCACAAAGTGCTGGGATGACAGGGGCAAGCCACCGGGCCCAGCCAATATGCTCAATTTCTAACCGCGGTATCTGTGAAGGGGACTTTACTTGGGAATAGGATCTTTGCAGATGTAAACACTCATTTATGCCTAGTGTTCCAATAATGGAACACTAGGCTTGTGGAAGTTATTGATATCCTATGGCTGAAGGTCATCACCAAGCTCTGATTGCAAAAATTCAAAAAACTTGCAACCTTGGGAATAAGTGGGTTAAGATGTAAATGACTAGGAGGTCATACTGGGTTAGGGTGAACCTTCAATTTAATGACTAGACTTCTCATAAACAAGACGAGAGAGTTCGTAAAAACACACACAGCTATCAAGACCATGAAGGTGACGGCAGAGATTGGAAAGACGCGTCTGCAAACCAAAGATGGCTGGGATCACCAGAACATAAGAGAAAGGCATGAGGCCAGGTGCAGTGGCTCACGCCTGTCATCCCAGCACTTTGGGAGGCCCAGGCGGGCGGATCACGAGGTCGGGAGATCGAGACCATCCTGGCTAGCATGGTGAAACCCTGTCTCTACTAAAAATACAAAAAGTTAGCTGGGCACGGTAGCAGGTGCCTGTAGTCCCAGCTACTCGAGAGGCTGAGGCAGGAGAATGGCGTGAACCCAGGAGACAGAGCTTGCAGTGAGCCGAGATCGTGCCACTGCACTCCAGCCAGGGCGACAGAGAGAGACTCTGTCCCCCCTCCCCAAAAAAAAAAAAAAAAAGAGAAAGGCATGAAATGAATATGCCATCATAGTTTCCAGAAGCAATCAACCCCAGGGACCCCTTCCTTCCAGCCTTCTGGCCTCCTCAACAAGCAGAGAATCTTATTTCTGCTGCTTCAAGTCCCCCAGTTTGGGGTCCTTTTTTTATGGTAGGCCCAGGGGACTCTTACAGAGATATATGTTGAGGCCACAGTGCTGGGGGCAAATGCGGTGTCCTATTGGTGAAGACCCCCTGGGTTGGCCACGTCCTCACAGGTACGCTCTCGGAAAAAAAGCAGGGGCAGCATCCACACAGTCGTCAAAAGCCCCTCAAGGCAAGTCAGACAGTAACAAAGAAGGAAGCAAGCCGTCTGATCTCATTAAGGCTGAGAGAGGGAGCTTGTGATATCTGCAGGAGCACCCTCCAACGCCAGCCCGTTCCCCTCTTTTCTCTCACACAGTATGAATAAAAACATGAAATTAGTTTTATGTCCGGAGAACAACCCCTAAGCCACTTGTAACTTATAATTATGATTTCTAAGCTGTTTGACTTGTCAGCATCAAGAAATTCACAGCCCGAGACTTCCTGCAGTTTATGGGCTCCGACGTTCTGGGCTCGCTGCGGAAAATTAACCATGAGTCTCTCATCTGCATTCTGATTTATGAACTACGGTGAGAAGCAGAAATTAGGAAAATGGACTCCCAGCTGCTGGAGTTGCCAAAGAGTTGGCCGGGAAGGATCTGTGGACATGTGTGGTGACTTTTCCAAAAGAGCAGAGATGACCGTGGGCTGTGTTCACCTTCAACGCAGCACACACACCGTCGTTTCAGAGACAGACGATCTTTCCAGGTACCAAAAAGCACAGTCAGGAGATGGAATCACATGGAGAACATGCACCTGCCATACCCACCCTGATCTTAGCTATGGACCTTCAAGCCTCTAAGTCAGCCTGTGTGTAGAAATAGAAATATCACCCAGTTCTTACCCAGCTGATGAGACAGGGGGACTCACCATGCACCTGCCCTTTCTGGATGAAAGTCCTGTTGCCTCTGAGGTTTCTTAACGTTTCTATGTTATAGGATTTCTGCAAAATTTGGGGTGGTTAGCACGCTGTGGAGTGCCAGGTAGCACTGCTCAAGGCCTGTTGCTTACCTATGACATCCCCTAACAGCCTCCACCTGTGGGCCAGGTACGTGCATCGTCAGAACCAGGCTCGGCTACTCACCAGCGGATGACCCCAGGCCCATTGCCAGACCGTTTCTATTAGCTTCCTCTATAAAATGATAGCCTGGCACTCAGAAGATAACAAGACTCTGAGAAATCAGGTATCCATCCGTCCACCAATCATCTGCCACTTTCTCCCCGTCACCAGCATGAGAAACCCATAATAGATCAATGTTCTCCATAGCTTAGGGAATCTTAATGGCCTTTCTTCCTTCCTTCCTTCCTCTCTCCCTTCCTTCTTTCTTTCTTTTTCTCTTTCTTTTCTTTCTTCTTTCCTTTCTTTCTTCTTTCTTTTCTTCTTTCTTTCTTCTTTTCTTTCTCTCTCTCTTTCTTTTGTCCTTCCTTCCTTCCTTCTTTCCTTCCCTCCCTCCTTCACTCCCTCCCTCCCCCTTGCCTCCCTTCCACTTCCCTCTCTCCTTTCCTTCTTTCCTTCTTTCTTTGTTTCTTTCTTTCTTTTTCTTTCTTTCCTTCCTTCTTTCCTCCCTCCCTCCCTCTCTCTTTCTTTTTTCTTTCTTTCTTCTCTTTCTTTCTTTCCTTCTTTCTTTCTTTCTTCTTTCTTTCTTTCTTTCTTTCTTTCTTTCTTTCCTTCTTCTTTCTTTCTTTCTTTCTTTCTTTCTTTCTTCTTTCCTCTTTCTTTCTTTCTCTTTCTTTTTTCTCTTTCTTACTTCTTTCTTTCTTTTTCTTTCCTCTTTCTTTCTTTCCTTTTTTTTTTTTTCAGATGGAGTCTCACTCTGCCACCCAGGCTGGAGTGCAGGGGCATGATCTTGCCATGCCCGGCCAATTTCTGTATTTTTAGTAGAGATGGGGTTTCATCATGTTGGTCAGGCTGGTCTCAAACTCCTGAGGTCAGGTGATCCACCCGCCTCGGCCTCCCAAAGTGCTGGGATGACAGGCGTGAGCCACCGCGCCCGGCCAATGCCCTTGTTTTCCTGACAATGATTGTGCTTTCATTATTTCCTCTTGAGCTTTTTCATCTTATGGATTCCATGATGTCATTTCATCTTATTCACTCGATCATGAATGGATTGTTGAAAGAATGGTTGACACTTCGTGGAACATCCTTGGCTGAAATGTGCCGAACAAGCCACGTACTCACTCCTTCATTCAACAACCATTCATTGAAGACCTCAAAGAGGCGGCTTATTCAGGCACAGATAGGAATAGCAAAGCCATCTGGGCACAGTGGCTCACGCCTGTAATCCCAGCACTTTGGGAGGCCGAGGTGGGCGGATCACGAGGTCAGGAGTTCGAGACCAGCCTGACCAACACGATGAAACCCCGTCTCTACTAAAACTACAAAAATTAGCTGGGTGTGGTGGCGGGCGCCTGTAATCCCAGCTATTTGGGAGGCTGAGGCAGGAGAATCACTTGAACCGGGGAAGTGGAAGTTGCAGTGAGTCGAGATCGTGCCATTGCACTCCAGCCTGGGCGACAGAGCAAGACTCCATCTCAAAAAGAAAAAAATAAAAAAATCTTAGTTCATTCTATTTTATGAACGAAGCAGAAGATTTGCATCTGAACATTGCCCTGAAACAGCTCTCAACCTCGCTGCATATTCAAGCGTCTCTGAGATGGCCTTGGGTTGACCCGTGCTGTGAAAGGTTCTTGGTGCGGTCATCACTCCTGCAATGGAAACTTCACGCTGTGTGGCCCCCAGGGCCTCTGTCAGCTCTCCGTCCCTCCTCAGCTACAGAAGCCGGCTTCGTCTGACCCCCGCCCTGTGATCCCAGATCCCTGAGTCAACCTCACCCAGATTCCCTCTCCTGACGATTTTGAAATAGTCATAGAGATTCGTGGTTGCTTTGAAGAGTGAGACTATATTCTGTGTGTTTGGAAATGCGGGGTGGGGTCTTCCATCCACTGTGGGGATCAGAGAGAGAGAGAGAGAGAGAGCAGTGGCTGGATGGTTGGCAGGGGGTGGGGGAGAGGGGGAGATTGAACAAGAAGCAGGGCTGTGATCAAAGAGGAGAGATGACAGGCAACCAACCATCAGTCAACCCCTCTTCCAATAGTTCAGGGATGCAGATGGCAGAGACGGGCTGGGGCTGGAGGCTGAAGACAGCCTTCTCGGCCATGCTCTGTCCGCCATTCTCCTGGCCCCAGCCCCTTGCTGAGCAAACGTCTGCTCTCTGACTAAGCAGGCATCACCTGGTGTCTCCATTCAGTGCAATCTGATGACAATGTTTTGAAATGAGACAGTGGTGATGGTGGCCCAACATTGGGAATGGACTTCGTGGCACTGAACTTTGCATTTTAAAGTTGTTAAAAGGTAAATCTTATGTTATGTGTATTGTGCCATAATACAAAAGAGACATATAGATGGATGATAGATGATAGATAGATGTATAGATAAAATAGATGAGAGATACATAGATGATGGTGATACTTGATAGATAGATAGATAGATAGATAGATAGATAGATAGATAGATAGAAGATAGAGAGATACATAGATAGATAGAAGATAGGTGATGGTAATAGATACTTAGGTAGATAGATGATAGATAGATAGATAGATAGATGATAGATAGATAGATAGATGATAGACAGATGATGGTAATAGATACATACTTAGGTAGATAGAAGATGATAGGTAGGTAGATAGATAGATAGACAAATAGATAGATGATGGTAATAGATACTTAGATAGATAGATAGATAGATAGATAGATAGATAGATGATAGATAGATGATGGTAATAGATACATACATAGGTAGATAGAAGGTAGATAGAAGATAGATAGAAGATAGATAGATAGATAGATAGATAGATAGATAGATAGATAGATGATGGTAATAGATACATAGATAGATAGATAGATAGATAGATAGATAGATAGATGATAGATAGATGATGGTAATAGATACATACATAGGTAGATAGAAGGTAGATAGAAGATAGATAGAAGATAGATAGATAGATAGACAGATGATGGTAATAGATAGATAGATAGATAGATAGATAGATAGATAGATAGATGATAGATAGATGATGGTAATAGATACATACATAGGTAGATAGAAGGTAGATAGAAGATAGATAGATAGATAGATAGATGATGGTAATAGATAGGTAGATAGATAGATAAATAGATGATGGTAACAGATACATACTTAGGTAGATAGATATATAGATACATGATGGTAATAGATACATAGATAAGATGAATAGATAGATAAGACAGATATGTAGATGATTGATGATAGATAAATGAGATAGGTAGATGTATGACAAGTAGATGACAGGGAGATGATTAATACATCATACATTCATAGGATAGATAGTGTTTTTTTCTTTCTTTCTCTCTCGCCCTCTTTCTGTCCTTCTCTCCCTCCTTTCTTCTTTCTTCTTTTCCTCCTTTCTTTCCTTTCTTACTTGTCCCTCCTCCTGTCCTCCTTCCTTCTTTTCCTCCCTTTCTTCCTCTCTTCCTCCCTCCCTCCCTTTTATCTTTTCCCTCTCTCCTTTCTTCCTTCCTTCCTTCCTTCCTTCCTTCCTTCCTTCCTTCTTTCCTCCCTCCTCCATGAACCAGTTCAGGACCCCACAGAGCAGCAATGTCCAATGTACCAGAATGGATCTTGTGAGAGATTTCACGTTTTCTTGTTGTTGTTGTTTTCCTTAAAGAAAACCCTTAAGATACACTTCACTTTGGGCCCCACCAAACTGACATCCGCACTGCCAGCCCAGCACAGCTGATGTGTGTTAAGACCTCCTGTGACTGGAGACCATTGTGGGGGGAGGGGAGGGAAGGGAGGGGTAGGTCCTGGAAGAAGGGTGAGTGATGGATAGGCCTGACTCCCCAAGGAACATTTGCATGGTAAATGAGGCATGCTTGTTAGCAGCAGGGAGGTCCCACAGGGCCCCTGGCAGGTGCAGTAGGATATCCTCAGGCTGGCTGGGGCCAATGTGAGGCCTCTCCACCATTTTTCTCCCGCTGCCCACCCCAAACATTCCAAACCTCAGGCTGGAAGCAATGGCAGAGGTTTTTGTTTTACACACCTGGAAATTTCTCAAAGAACCGAAAACAGAACGACCCTTCCATGGAACAATTCCACTCCTGGTTATCTATCCAAAGGAAAAGAAGTCATTCTATCAAAAAGACACCTGCAGCAGGGCACGCGGGCTCATGCCTGTCGTCCCAGCACTTTGGGAGGCCGAGGCGGGCAGATCACCTGAGGTCAGGCGTTCGAGACCGAGACCAGCCTGGCCAACATGGTGAAACCCTGTTTCTTCTTAAAAAAAAAATACAAAAAGTAGACGGGCTTGCTGGCACACACTTGTAATCCCTGCTACTCGGGAGGCTGAAGCAGACGGATGAGAAGTTATTTAATGGGTACAATATACACTATTTGGGTGATGGATACACTAAAATCTCTGAGTTCACCATTCTGCAATCTACACATGCAACAAAATTGCACTTAAACCCCTAAAATCTATAAAAATTTCAAAATAGATCGGGCACAGTGGCTCATGCCTGTAATCCCAGCACTTTGGGAGGCCGAGGCAGGTGGATCACCTGAGGTCAGGAGATCAAGACCAGCCCAGTCTCTACCAAAAATACAAAAATTAGCTGGGCGTGGTGGTGCATGCTTGTCATCTCAGCTACTCCAGAGGCTGAGGCAGGAGAATTGCTTGAACCTGGGAGGCAGAGACTGCAGTGAGCTGAGATCATGCCATGGCACTGCAGAGATAGAATGAAACTGTGTCTCAAAAATAAATAAATAAATTAATTAAAACACGCTTGCAAACAAGTAAATACATATCTGGTAGTTGTCAGTTGGATAAAAACAAGATCCCCCTTGAGAATTGACCCGATTTACTGTTTTCCTGGATTTGACTGAGGTCAGGTGTCTGGTCAAGATGGAGCTTAGGGGAACCACAAAGCAAAGAGGCATTTCACCTGGATTTCTTCCCAGCCAGTCGTGCATATAGACACTGCATGTGTGTGTGTGTGTTTGCATGGCTGCACACACATGTGAGAGCTTGTGCACTGCGTGTGTGTGTGTTTGCATGACTGCACAGACACGTGAGAGCTTGTGCGTGGCCAGAGCAAGAATCTAGCAAAGAGAAAATTAGCCTGTGCCAACTCCCAGGCATAAAAGTTTAACCACACTGTGTGTGCGTGCACATGTGTGGATGTGTGTGCGTGTACATGTGTGCACATAGACATGAGTGCTTCTGCATGGCCACAGCAAGAAGCTAGCAAAGAATAAATCTGCATATGCCTTCTCCCAGGCACGCATGTGTATCCACACTGTGTGTGCATGTGTGTGCATGCATGTATATGCATGTTTGCATGACTGCACACATGTGAAAGCTTGTGCATGGCTGGAGTAACAATCTAGCAAAGACAAAATCTGCATATGCCACCTCCCAGGCACACATATGTAACCACACTGTGCGTGCATGCACGTGTGTGGATGTGTGTGTGTGCGCATGTGTGCATGAGTGCACACACACGTGAGAGCTTGTGCATGGCCACAGCAAGAATCTAGCAAAGAAAAATCTGCATATGCCTCCTCTCAGGCATGCATGTGTATGCACACTGTGTGTGCATGTGTGTGTGTGTATGTTTGCATGACTGCACACTTGTGAGAGCTTGTGCATGCCTGGAGCAAGAATCTAGCAGACAAGAAATCTGTATATGCCTCTTCCTAAGACTGCATGTGTAATCACACTTTGCATGCACATGTGTGCATATGTGTGTGAGTGTGCATGTGTGCATGAGTGCACACACACGTGAGAGTTTGTGCATGGCCACTGCAAGAAGCTAGCAAAGAATAAATCTGCATATGCCTCCTCCCAGGCATGCATGTGTATGCACACTGTGTGTGCATGCATGTATGTGCATGTTTGTATGAGTGCACACATGTGAGAGTTTGTGCATGGCCACAGCAAGAAGCTAGCAAAGAAGAAATCTGCGTATGCCTTCTCCCAGGCATGCATGTGTATCCACACTGTGTGTGCATGTGTGTGTGTGCATGTGTGTGCATGTTTGCATGACTGCACACATGTGAAAGCTTGTGCATGGCTGGAGTAACAATCTAGCAAAGACAAAACCTGAATATGCCACCTCCCAGGCACGCATGTGTAACCACACTGTGTGTACGTGTGTGTGTGCATTCATGTATGTTCTTATGCACGCATGAGATGGCACACACACCAGGAACAAAAGAACCCTGCAGACAGAAGCCCACAGCCCACAGAGACGTTCAACAAATAGCCCCCAACCCACTCATTGCCACTGCCGTACAAATCAACTCCTGGGATCCGCCACCCCCCTCCCCGCTTCTTCCAACGGGACAAGGTCAAATGCTGTGTCCTCGTGGGCTATAAATGTGCTTTCTACAGAGCTGGCTTGCTCCCAGCCCGCCTAATGAACGCCTACCTGACATTTGTTTTCACAACGGCAAGCATCGCAATGTTCCTCACTCTAATCCCCTGCCTAATTCAATCTTTCTGCAGATCAAAATGCGCACACGGGTCCTGACAGATCTCTCAGTCACTTTCCATGAAGGACAGGGCTGCAGCCCTATATCAATTTGCCATTACACGGTCAGCCAGGGCCCGGGGAAAGGACAGGGCCTTTTCTGGCTGTCTTCCCAACGTCTCCCCCTGCTTTCTTTTCCATAATTCCTTTTTTCTTTTCTCCTTTCTTCTTTGTTTCTTTTCTTTCTCTTCTTTCTCTCCTTCCTTCCTTTTCTTTCTTTCTCTTTTCTTTCTTTCTTTCTCTTTCTTTCTTTCTTTCTTTCTTTCTTTCTTTCTTTCTTTCTTTCTTTCTTTCTTTCTTTCTTTCTTTCTTTTTTCCTTCTTTCTTTCTTTTTTTCTTTCCTTCTTCTTTCTCAGGGTCTTGCTCTGTCACCCAGGCTGGACTGCAGGGAAATGATCCTGGCTGCCTCACTGCAGCCTCCAACTCCTGGGCTTAAGTCATCCTTCTGCCTCAACTGAGTAAGAAGCTGGAACTACAGGTGCATGCCACCATGCCCGGATGTTTTTTAAAAAATTTTTATACAAAAAAAAAAAAATTAGCCAGGCATGGTGGTGGGCGCCTGTAGTCCCAGCTACTCAGGAGGCTGAGGCAGGAGAATGGCGTGAACCCGGGAGGTGGAGCTTGCAGTGAGCCAAGATCGCGCCACTGCAATCCAGCCTGAGTGACAGAGCGGTACTCCGTCTCAAAAAAAAAAAAAAAAAAAAAAAATTATAGACATGGGATCTTGCTATGTTTTCCAGGCTGCTCTCACACTCCAAGGCTCAAGCATTTTTTCTGCCTTAACTGCCTGAGCAGCTGGAACTACAGGTTTGTGCTACCATGCCTGGATAATTTTTAAAATTTTTTTATAGACATTAGGTCTTGTGATGTTTCCCAGGCTTGTCTGGAACTCCTGGGCTAAAGCAATCCTCCTGCCTTAACTGCCTGAGTAGCTGGGACTACAGGTTTGTGCTACCATGCCTGGATAATTTTTAAAATTTTTTTATAGACATGAGGTCTTGTGATGTTTCCCAGGCTTGTCTGGAACTCCTGGGCTAAAGCAATCCTCCCGCCTTAACTGCCTGAGTAGCTGGGACTACAAGTGCATGCCACCATGCCTGGGTAATTTTTTTTATAGCGATGGGGTCTTGCTATGTTGTCTAGGCTGGTCTCAAACTCCTGGGCTCAAGAGATCCTCCCACCTCAACTTTCCTTATAGCTGGAACCATAGACACTCACCACCATGCCCTGCTCATTTTAAAAAATATTTTGTGGCCGGGTGTCGTGGCTCACGCCTGTAATCCCAGCACTTTGGGAGGCCGAGGTGGGTGGATCACGAGGTCAGGAGATGGAGACCATCCTGGCTAACACAGTGAAACCCCGTCTCTACTAAAAATACAAAAAAATTAGCCGGGCGTGGTGGCGGGCACCTGTAGTCCCAGCTACTCGGGAGGCTGAGGCAGGAGAAAGGCGTGAACCCGGGAGGCGGAGCTTGCAGTGAGCCGAGATTGTGCCATTGCACTCCAGCCTGGGCGACAGAGCGAGACTCAGTGTCAAAAAATAAAATATATATATATATATATATATATATATATATATATATATATATTGTAGAGATGGAGTCTCCCTGTGTTGCCCAGGCTGGTGTCAAACTCCTGGAATCAAGTGATCCTCCCGCCTCGGTCTCCCAAAGTGTTGGGATGACAAGCGGGAGCCACCATACCCAACCTCCAAAGTTTTTTATTTTGTGTGTCTTCTGTCTGCCCCTTTCTTTCTCTCTTCCTCTCTCCAGCAGCAAATGTCTCATGTTTTTGTATTATTTTTATTATTTTGTTTATAAAATTGAGTTACAGCTTCACAATGGACCCCTCCCTGTGTTGGTTTGTCTTATTAATGGTGACTGAGTAAAACCCACCTGGCATGACAGGTGCCTGCCACCACACCTGGCTAATTTTTGTATTTTTAGTAGACACGGAGTTTCACCATGTTGGTCAGGCTGGTCTCAAACTCCTGACCCTGTGACCCACCCACCTCAGCCTCCCAAAGTGCTGGGATTACAGCCGTGAGCCACTGCACCCGGCCAAAAAAATACATTTTAGGGTAAAATATTTAGATTTCCTCCAGGTCCTGCTCTGTGTCACATAAGGGTACACCAGAGTCAGGCAGGAATTTGGTATCTTATTGCTGCCAAGAGTATGTTCTTGTGTCTTATGACCCCCTTTTTTAACCTTTATTTACCTTTTTTCAACATTAATGGTCAGCTGGGCCTAAACTCCAAGGGTGCCAGGTATAACAAGTGCTATCTGATCTCCATTTTCATCATGGCCAGCATATTAATCAGGGTTGGCTAGAGGGACAGAACTAATAGGATTGATTAATATATAAAAGCGAGTTTATTGGCCAGGTGCAATGGCTCACGCCTGTCATCCCTGCACTTTGGGAGGCTGAGACAGGTGGATCACCTGAAGTCAGGAGTTCGAGACCAACCTGACCAACATGGAGAAACCCCGTCTCTACTATAAATACAAAAAAATTAGGTGGGCGCGGTGGCACATGCCTGTAATCCCTGCACTTTGGGAGGCTGAGGCGGGTGGATCACAAGGTCAGGAGTTCGAGACCAGCCTGACCAACATGGTGAAACCCCATCTCTACTAAAAATACAAAAAATTAGCTGGGCGTGGTGGCAGGCGCCTGTAATCCCAGGTACTCCAGAGGCTGAGGCAGGAGAATCGCTTGAACCCAAGAGGCAGAGCTTGCAGTGAGCCGAGATTGCACCACTGCACTCAAGCCTGGCAACAGAGTGAGACTCCGTCTCAAAATAAAATAAAGGGGATTTTATTAGGAGAATTGACTCACCCCATCACAAGGTGAAAATCCCACAACAGGCCATCTGCAAGTTGAGAAGCCAGAAAGCCAGTGGTGAATCCCGTCCACATCCCAAAACATCAAAAGCAGGGAGGCCAACAGGGCAGACTTCGAGACCATCCTGGCTAACACGCTGAAACCCCGTCTCTACTAAAAATACAAAAAATTAGCCGTGCTTGGTGGCGGGTGCCTGTAGTCCCAGGTACTCAGGAGGCTGAGGCAGGAGAATCACTTGAACCTGGGAGGCGGAGCTTGCAGTGAGCCGAGATCGTGCCACTGCACTCCAGCCTGGGTGACAAGAGTCCCTGGCAAACCAGTGGTGCACATCCAATAGTCTAAAAACTGATGGAGCGTGATGGAGTCTATGGTCAAAGGCAGGAAGCATCCAGCGTGGGAGAAAGATGGAGGCCGGAAGACTCAGCCAGTCTAGTCCTCCCACCAACCTCTGCCTGCTTCTATCCTAGCCCAGCTGGCAGCTGATGGGATGGTGCCCACCCAGAGAGAAGGTGGGTCTGCCTCTCTCAGTCCACTGGCTCCAGTGTGAATATCCTTTGGCAAGAACCTCACAGACACAGCCTCAATGAATACTTTGCATTCTTCAATCCAATCAAGTTGACACTCAATATTCACCATCCCAGCCAGGAATCTAGTTTTTCTCTGGAGTCTCCTTGGTTAAGAGAGGGTCAGTTCAGGCCAGGCGTGGTGACTCAGACCTGTAATCCCAGCACTTTGGGAGGCCGAGGCGGGCGGATCATGAGGTCAAGAGTCCAAGACCAGCCTGACCAACATGGTGAAACCCCATCTCTACCAAAAATACAAAAATTAGCTGAGCGTGGTGGCATGTGCCAGTAGTCCCAGCTACTGGGGAGGCTGAGGCAGGAGAATCCCTTGAACCCGGGAGGCGGAGCTTGCAGCGAGCCGAGATTGTGCCACTGCACTCCAGCCTGGGTGACAGAGCAAGACTCTATCTCAAAAAAAAAAAGGTTCAATGGGTTCAAACCCTTAAGATTTCATTTTTGGCTTACACGATGACACAGAATATATTCCATCTTTAGAGAACTTCCAAGGTAATAATGCACAAATGCCTCATTCCCCTCCATCATCTGGATGTCACAATGTCTCTCACTCCACTTTTTGTCTTCCTCTTTTGTTTGTGTCTCTTCTTTTCTGCCCCTGTTTTCAGACTTATAATTAGACTGAAAACTTCTAATGCCATTTATGTATCCTCAAAAGTGATCCAAACACCTAAAACGACTGATATTCTGCCAGGCTCATCAAAGGAAAGATAATTCATGTTGGGGTTATACATTTTTCTTTTAATGATTTGATAACCATTTATGGATTAAGATTCAAAAGAATAATGACAATAAAAATCTTTTGCAGAATTCTTCTTAATTATAGAAAAAGTACTTCATAAATATTGAAATCTGTTCTTATCTGCGAATGCCCTGATTTTTCTATACTTGGACACACTCCGAACGCAATTATTTGGTGATTAATCTATTTTTTAAACTTTCTGTTCATTAGTCGTTTGATGAAAGTTTATCTAGGCAAAGATCACACAGAGTTAGTGTATAAGGAGAATAGAATATAGATCATCGTATGAACGGAAAAGGAAGACAAGAAAATGGCCTCATGCTGGCCTACTAAGGCTATATCTTTAGGGGACAAATGAATTCTCAATTTAGCATTTTGGCCACCTTCATTTTCCATCAGGAGGGATGAACACAGCTGACTCATTCATCATATAACCCCATTCATTTTCTTTCTTTCTAAAGCACTTATAAAATATAAATAGATAATGATATGTTGATAATGTAGAAAGAACAACCATTTATAATATATAATATATGATGTTATGGGTTGAAGAGGGGAATAATATATAATATTTAATGTTACAGGTTGAATAGGGGGCTCTCCAAAAAAAAAAAAATGTTGAACTCCAAAGCCCTACAACTAGGCAACGTCGTCTTATTTGGAAAGACAGTCTTTACCAATGCAGTTAAGTTAGAATGACATCATTCTGGATTAGGGTGGATCCTAAATGCAATGACAGGTGTCCTTCTAAGAGACAGAAGAGGAGACACAGACACAGAGGAGAAGGCCACGTGGAGACAGAGGCAGAGACTGGAGTGATGGGGCCTCAAGCCCAGGGATGCCTGGAGCCCCCAGGAGCTGGGAGAGGCAGGAAGGACCCTCCCCTAGAGCCTCCAGGAAGAACAAAACACAACTGCAATGGGTTGGGTGGTGACGTCCAAAAGATATGTCCATGTCCTAAGCCCAGGAACCTGGGAATGGGACCTCATTTGGAAAAAGGTTATTTGTAGATGTAATTAAGGATCTGGAGATGAGATAATCCTGGATTAGGATGGGCCCTAAATGCAATGGTAAATGTCCTTCTAAGAGACAGAAGAGGAGACACAGACACAGAGGAGAAGGCCACGTGGAGACGGAGGCAGAGACTGGAGTGAGGCGGCCACAAGCCAGGGATGCCTGGAGCACCCAGGAGCTGGGAGAGGCAGGAAGGACCCTCCCCTAGAGACTGTGGAGGGAGCACGGCCCTGAGATATCTTCATCTCAGAGTCATGGTCTCCAGGACAGAGAGAGAATAAATTTCTGTAGTTTTAAGCTCCCAGTATCTGTGAACGAGAACTTATTTGAAAATAGGGTCTTTGCAGATACAGTGAACTGAAGGAGTTTGAGATGAGGTTATCCTGGATTAGGCTGGGCCCTAAATGCAATGACAGGTGTCCTTCTAAGAGACAGAAGAGGAGACACAGACACAGAGGAGAAGGTCACATGGAGATGGAGGCAGAGACTGGAGTGATGAGGCCACAAGCCCAGGGACGCCTGGACCCCCCAGGAGCTGGGAGTGGCAGGAAGCATCCTCCCCTAAAGCCTGCAGAGGAAGTGCAATCCTGAGACACCTTCATCTCAAACTTCTGATCTCCAGAACAGAGAATATAAATATTTGTTGTTTAAGCTCCCCAGACTGTGGAAGGATGAGGGGTGGGGTGGAGAGAGGAAGAAGAACAAAAAAACAAGAAGAAGGAGAAGGAAAAGGAGGAGGAGAAGGAGGAGGAGGAGAAGGAGAAGTACGGGGAGAAGGAGGAGGAGGAGTAGGAGGAGGAGGAGAAGGAGGAGAAGGAGAAGGACAAGGAGGAGGAGGAGAAGGATGAGAAGGAGGAGGAGAAGGATGAGGAGGAGGAGAAGGAGGAGGAGGAGAAGGAGGAGAAGGAGAAGGACGAGGAGGAGGAGGAGAAGGATGAGAAGGAGGAGGAGAAGGATGAGGAGGAGGAGAAGGAGGAGGAGGAGAAGGATGAGGAGAAGGAAGAGGAGGAGAAAGAAGAGGAGGAGGAGGAGGGAAGGACGAGGAGAAGGAGAAGGAGGAGGAGAAGGAGAAGGACGAGGAGAAGGAGGAGGAGAAGGAAGAGGAGGAGAAAGAAGAGGAGGAGGAGGAGAAGGAGGAGAAGGAGGAGGAGGGAAGGACAAGGAGAAGGAGGAAAAGGAGGAAAAGGAGGAAGAGGAGGAGGAGGAGGAGAAGGAGAAGGAGGAGAAGAAGAAGAAGAAGAAGAGAGAGAAAGAGCCACATATGAGCTGGAGAGGGAACTACAGGGAGAGGCACCCACCACGTCCAGCACCTGGAGGCTGGAAAGAGCTAAGAGTGTTAGGGACATGGAAAAAGGAGCTGCAGAGTGGGCACACTGTGGGTGGGAGCCTGAGAAGTTTGCTACATCCCCATATCTGGGGCTCAAAGTCCAGGGTGGATTTATTCCATGTCCCGGGGAAGAAACAGAAGAAATTGAAGGTGAAGGTTGGAGATGGCGCTGGGCAGGTGAGCCCCAAATTGGGGCTTAGCCTGGAAGGGTTTTTGGTCTCATCTAGAAAATAACTCAAGAGTGAGCTGGTGGTGTTAGACACCAACTTTTTTTTATTATTATTATACTTTAAGTTCTGGGGTACATGGGCAGAAAGTGCAGTTTTGTTACATAAGTATACACATGACATGGCGGCTTGCTGCACCCACCAACCCATGATCTACATTAGGTATTTCTTCTAATGATATCCCTCCCCTAACCCCCCATCCCCTGACAGGCCCCAGTGTGTGATGTTCCCTTCCCTGTGTCCATGTGTTCTCATTGTTCAACTCCCACTTATGAGTGAGAACATGCAGTGTTTGGTTTCTGTTCCTATGTTAGTTTGCTGAGAATGATGGTTTCCAGCTTCATCCATGTCCCTGTAAAGGACATGAACTCATTCTTTTTGATGGCCACATAGTATTCCATGGTGTCTATGTGCCACATTTTCTTCATCCAGTCTATCATTGATGGGCATTTAGGTTGGTTCCAAGTCTTTGCTATTGTGAACAGTGCCGCAATAAAGACACGCATGCATGCGTGTTTATAGTGGAATGATTTATAATCCTTTGGGTGTGTACCCAGTCATGGGATTGCTGGGTCAAATGCTATTTCTGGTTCTAGATCCTTGAGGAATTGCCACGCTGTCTTCCACGGTGGTTGAACTAATTGACAGTCCCACCAACTGTTATGAAGTGGCAGTTCACAGCAGCAGCAGAGGTGCTGGTCTTTGCAGAGCAGGCTTACCCATGGGCACTGAGTCCAGAGTAGCAGCTCAGAGGCAGTTCCACAATCATATTTATCAATGCTTCCAATTACATGCAAATTAAGGGGCAGGTTTTGCAGTAATTTCTAGAAAAAAAATATACCCCCTTCTGGGTCATTGGGTCATTGCCATGGAAAGGAGCAGTAACATCTGGGTGTTGTCATGGAAATGGGACCAGGTGGGTGTGTCTTATTGTATTTGTAGCATGACATGGTACTGGTGGGTGTGTCCTTTCGTATTTGTCTGTTCTCATGCTGCCAATAAAGACATATCCAAGACTGCATAATTTATACAGGAAAGAGGTTTAATGGACTTACACTTCCACTTGGCTGGGGAAACCTCACGATCATCGCGCAAGAGCAAGGGACTTCTTACATGGCGGCAGGCAAGAAGAGAATGAGAACCACATGAAACAGATTTACCCTTCTAAAACCATCAGATCTCATGAGACTTATTCACTTCCACAAGAACAGTATGGGGGAACTGCCTCCATGATGAAATTATCTTCCACAACACATGGGAATTATGGGAGCTACAATTCGAGATGAGATTTGGGTAGGGACACAGCCAAACCACATCACTAATGGAGAGCTGCTTCTGCCCTAGACCTGCTTTAGCTAGTCCTCAACCTGGTCCAGTGTCTTAGCCCTGCCTCTGCGGTCATGTCCTGCTTCCTACCTTAGAGGCATGAGAATGACGTAATTTGACTTCAAAGAATATTAGCTGCTACGTGGAGAATGACTGGAAGAAGTCAAGGATGGGAGTTGAGGAGCACTTTGGGAAGCTGCCGTCTCGGTAGAGAGCATGTGGTGGCTGAAGCTTCAATGAGGGTAGCAGCATCCCAGGGAGAAGGGGAGGGAAAGCTAATGTGGACCTTTAATAATGCTTCTAGCTGCAGCCTCTACCTGAGATCATCTGTATCTGAGTCCTACACACTTCATTCTCAGCATTGTCTGGGTGTGCACGGTTCTACATTCACCCTGGGTGAAGACATCTATGACCCATAGGGAAGATCACCTGGATGCTTTCTTTTTTCTTTTTCTTTTCGTTTTTTTGTTTTTAAGACTGAATCTCACCAGGCGCAGTGGCTCACGCCTGTCATCCCAGCACTTTGGGAGGCACAGGTGGGCAGATCACAAGGTCAGGAGATCAAGACCATCCTAGCTGACACGGTAAAACCCCATCTCTACTAAAAGTACAAAAAATTAGCCGGGCTTGGTGGTGGGCACCTTTAGTCCCAGCTACTTGGGAGGCTGAGGCAGGAGAATGGCGTGAACCCGGGAGGTGGAGGTTGCAGTGAGCCGAGATCGCGCCACTGCACTCCAGCTGGGGGACAGAGTGAGATTCTGTCTCAAAAAAACAAAAACAAAAACAAAAACAAAAAAACAAAACTGAATCTCACTCTGTTGCTCAGGCTGGAGTACACTGACATGATCTCAGCTCACTGAAACCTCCACCTCCTGGGTTCAAGCAATTCTCTTGCCTCAACCTCCCCAGTAGCTGGGACTGCAGGTGCACACCACCAATCCCAGCTCATTTTTTTTTGTATTTTTAGTAGAGACAGGGTTTCACCATGTTGTCCAGGCTGGTCTTGATCTCCTAGCCTCAAGTGATCCACCCACCTCGGCCTCCCAAAGTGCTGGGATCAAGGTATGAGCCACTGCACCCAGCCAAAGATGCTTTAAGGTCGAGGTAACAAGGACTGTATCTACATATGATAAACCCAAGAATACTCCCTGGAAACTGGGCCAAAGAATCCATCATGGGAAGGATGTGATGTGGCCCCAGCAAAACATGGCTGGGTTTTTGTTGTACTCAGGTGAAGTTTCGGTTGTGAGCCATACCAGGAAAAGATATGGAGACATCAGATCTCATGCAGAGGAGGACAGGTCAAGTGTATTGAGTCCCTAGTCCTGTGTAGGATCTGGGCTGATGACGCCCTCCTCACCTTATAGATTCCTCACAACAGGGAGATTCCAGAAAACAGCCTTAGATATCAGCAAACTTCCCTTGACAATGTACTATATCACTCTCACCCTACAAAGTCCCTTTTGGTGACAGACACACTTAAGGTCATCTCCATGAACCATGGCAAAATAAGTGGTTAAATTTTCTCAGATGCGTTTCTGCTACCTTGATATGGATGTAGGTTGAGTACCCTAATCTCACTAAATGCTGTCTAGAGAGTGAATCTCCACAACTTTCATCTGCATAAGAAAGATATCTTATGATATGCTAATGATAAAGGTGGAATCCTTAATGAGTATTACAATTAAGGACAAATAATTAAATGCTTACCTTTTTTGGATTCTTTGAACATCAGCCTCAAAGCTGTCTGCACTGATAAAATATGGCATAGAAAAGACAGCTAGTTCTTCTCTTCCTGATATTTTGGCTTCAGTGACTATTTTGGGGGGCTCTGGGACTGTCCAACTCTACAGTGTTGTGGCCAAATTGGAAGAGTGGAATGAAAATGCAGGCTCTGGGCTGATGAGACCATTTTCACTTCATCTATTCCTCACACAGGGAAGGACAGGTCAAGTGTATTGAGGTCCTGATCCTGTGGAGGCTCTGGGCTGGTGAGACCTTTCTCATTTCATATATTCCTCACATGAGGAAGGAGAGGCCAAGCATATTGAGGTCCTTGTCTGGTGCAGGCTCTGGGCTAATGAGAACCTCTCACTTCATATCTTCCTCACACAGGGAAGGAGGGGCCAAGTGTATTGAGGTCCTGGTCCTGTGCAGGCTCTGGGCTGGTGACACCCTCGTGTCTTCATCTATTCCTCACATGAGGAGGGAGAAGTCAAGTGTATCGAGGTCCTAGTCATGTGTAGGTTCTGTGCTGGTGACACCCTCATCACTTCATGTATTCCTCACACAGGGAAAGAGTGGTCAAGTGTATTGAGGTCCTGGTCCTGGGCAGGCTCTGGGGTGGTGACACCCTCCTCACTTCATGTATTCTTCACACAGGGAAAGAGTGGTCAAGTGTATTGAGGTCCTGGTCCTGGGCAGGCTCTGGAGTGGTGACACCCTCATGACTTCATCTATTCCCCAGATGGGGAAGGAGAAGTCAAGTGTATTGAAGTCCTAGTCATGTGCAGGCTCTGGGCTGATGACACCCTCGTGACTTCATATATTCCTCACACAGGGAAAGAGTGTTAAAGTGTATTGAGGTCCTCATCCTGTGCAGACTGTGGGCTGGTGACACCCTCGTGACTTCATCTATTCCTCACATGGGGAAGGAGAAGTCAAGTGTATTGAGGTCCTGGTCCTGTGGAGGTTGTGGGCTGATGAGACCCTCGTCACTTCATCTATTCCTCACATGAGGAGGGAGAAGTCAAGTGTATTGAGGTCCTAGTCATGTGTAGGCTCTGGGCTGGAGACACACTTGTCACTTCATATATTCCTCACACAGGGAAAGAGTGGACAAGTGTATTGAGGTCCTCATCCTGTGCAGGCTCTGGGCTGGTGAGATTCCTCCTCACTTCATATATTCCTCACACAGGGAAAGAACGGTCAAGTGTGTTGAGGTCCTAGTCCTGTGCAGGTTCTGAGCTGGTGAGACTCCCCCTCATTTCATGGGTTCCTCACTCAGGGAATGAGAGGTCAAGTGCATTGAAGTCCTGGTCCTGTGCAGGCTGTGGGCTGGTGACACCCTTTCTACTTCATGAACTCATCACAGCAAGGAAGCAGTCTATTAAGGTAAAGTGTATTAAGTTCATAGTCCTGTACAGGTTGACCTGACCCTGTTTATATCATTTACTTCTCACAGATGACTTTATCAACCCTGGGTCACCTACGGTCCTGGGATTAACTCCACTACGGGTTGTTCCTTTCACCTCTCTACACCCTCAGAACACCTACCCCTGCTCTTCTCAATGACAGAGGAATTTCAGAGGCAGTTCAGCCACCAATAATCCATACACAAACAAGGTGACCTTTCAACTTCTTACATGTAATACCTTGAAGAAGAATGGAATTAATTATATTTCAGTGAAAATGACATTGTCCTGGACACTGTAAAAGTAGGCTGGGTGCAGCGGCTCACGCCTGTAATCCCAGCATTTTGGGAGGCCGAGGTGGGTGGATCATTTGAGGTCAGGAGTTCGAGACCAGCCTGGCCAACATGGTGAAACCCCATCTCTACTAAAAATACAAAAGTTAGCTCGACATAATGGTGCACACCTGTAATCCCAGCTACTTGGGAGGCTGAGGCAGGAGAATGGCGTGAACCCGGGAGATGGAGGTTGCAGTGAGCCAAGATCGTGCCACTGCACTCCTGCCTGGGCAACAGAGCTAGACTCCGTCTCAAAAAAAAAAAAAAAAAAAAAAAAAAAAAAAAAAAAGAATTGCCACTTGCCACTCCTGCGTATGACATTTTTTTGTTTTGTTTTTTTTTTTTTTGAGACAGAGTCTCACTCAGTCCCACAGGCTAGAGTGCAGTGGTGCGATCTTGGCTCACTGCAAGCTCCACTCCCAGGTTCACACCATTCTCCTGCCTTAACCTCCTGAGTAGCTGGGACTACAGGTGCCCGCCACCACGCCCAGCTAATTTTTTGTATTAGTAGAGATGGGGTTTCACCGTGTTAGCCAGGATGGTCCCAATCTCCTGACCTCGTGATCCGCCCGCCTCGGCCTCCCAAAGTGCCGGATTACAGGCATCAGCCACCCCACCCGGCCTGTCCACTGTTATCTAAACAGACTCACAGCTGCTTTTGAGCACCCTGCCCTATAGCAAAATCAAACAAACAAAAAATAATCCATCTCTAAATGCTATTCTAACCCATCTCTAAATTCTATTCTATCTGTCCTGCCTACAGGTAGAATATAATTTAGACCCAGGCTGGGTGCAGTGGTTCACGCCTGTTAGTCCCAGCACTTTGAGAGCCCGAGACAGGTGGATTGCTTGAACCCAGCCTGAATGACACACACAAAAACACCCAACTCTACCAAAAATACAAAACTTAGCCAGGCGTGGTGGCGGGCACCTGTGATCCCAGCTACTCAGGAGGCTGAGGCAGGAGCCCAGGGGGCAGAGGTTGCAATGAGCCGAGGCTGTACCACGGCAGTCCAGCCAGAGTGATAGAGCGAGGCCCTGCCTCAAAAAGAAAAAAAAAAGGAAAAAAGAATAGAATTTAGGCCTGGACAGACACTCTGTCCAGGTCTAAATGTCTACTCTTCCAACTGTAGAGTTGAGGGTACTTTTTGTACCACTCAGCCTGGATTCAAGCAATGCACCTGCCTCAGCCTCCCAAAGTGCTGGGACTGCAGGCATGAACCACTGCACCCAGCCTGGGTCTAAATTCTATTCTATCTGTCCTCCCTACAGTTACAATCAAAGTTAGAGATGGGTTACAATAGAACTTGGAGGCCGGGCGTGGTGGCTCACGCCTGTCATCCCAGCACTTTGGGAGGCCGAGGCGGGCGGATCACTTGAGGTCGGAAGTTCAAGATCAGCCTGGTCAACATGGCGAAAACCCGTCTCTACTAAAAATACCAAAAATTAGCCGGGCCTGGTGGTGGGCGCCTGTAGTCCCAGGTACTCGGGAGGCTGAGGCAGGAGAATTGCTTGAACCCGGGAGGCGGAGGTTGCAGTGAGCCGAGATCGCACCACTGCACTCCAGCCTGGGGGACAGAGAGTGAGACTCTGCCTCAAAAAATAATAATAATAATAAAAATATAGAATTTGGAGGTGGGTCATTTTCTCCAGGGCAGCTAGTCAAGCTGGTAGATACTGCTAGCTCGGCCTCGAGGTAGTTCAGGAGCTGGCAGTTAAGTCTCAGCTCCTGGACCGGGATGTAACCCCCTCTTAGTCCTGGTGTTCGGTCTCAGCTCCTGGCTGAGTTAATTGCTAGCAGGTTTACGAAGCATCTAATTGAACTGGACATCTCCGTGAGCTCTAACCGCCAGGCCGTTGCAAGACGTCCCGGACATAAGGCAGCCTGCAGGTTATTTAGTACGTGTGAGGACTTTGCATTTTTCTTTACCTTCCATGTGAAAATAGTTAACCGCAGTGAAACGTCCCAGCCCTGCACTTTGCAAAATGGTGAAATTAAGTTTTCCACGGAGCAGCCCGGGAAACAGAGTCTTCATTGATTCCGCAGAAAGAAACTTGTTCGTATTCAACAACGATAACCTTTTAGAAGGTTTCGAAAGCAAATCTGACACCCCATTAAAAGGCAAATGATTTTTTTTTCTCTCCACACAAGAAAAAGAAACGTTTAAAACACAGAAGGCTATTAATAAATAATGGGGCTCTTTTTTTTTTTTAATATAGGAAACCCTGACATCAAAGGGAAGCCGTAAACTGTATCGGAGGCGGCGTGTCGGACCCCGTGCCTTAATTGTCAAGGCAGCGAGGGTCTTGTTTTTATTAGTTGCGCAAAAGATATTTTATTGAATGTCAGGTTGTAATTTGATTTTAAAAGGAATAGAAAAAAGATGACATTTTCGAGTGCATAACACTGCAAAAAAAAAAAAAAAAGAGAGAGAGAAAAACTCTATTCACTCTAAATGCTAACTGCCACACAGAAAAATGCCATTACTCCAGAGAAATCTCTGCACCAGAAACCGTGAGCATTTTCAACGTACGCAGATACCGTCCCTCACTCATGTTCTGTGACAGTGGCCATCCTTAAAACAAGAATTAAAAAAAAGAATGGCGTATTTTGTATTCCCAAGGGGAGAATTTGCTAGAATTGCAAAGAAAAATGTACCTGCACCCGTGACTGTAGGATTTGCTTTTTGTAGACATCATTTATTCATACGTTAAGGTTTTTTTCTTTTTTGCAAACTTCCCTTCCAGAGAAACAGATTCAACAGGGGAAAGATAGGCCAAGCATGGTGGCTCACGTCTGTCATCCCAGCAGTTTGGGAGGCCCAGGTGGGTGGATCTCCTGAGCTCAGGAGTTCGAGACCATCCTGGCCAACATGGAGAAACCCCGTCTCTACTAAAAATACAGACATTACCTGGGCATGGTGGCGGGTGCCTGTAATCCCAGCTACTTGGGAGGCTGAGGCAGGAGAATCGCTTGAACCCTGGAGGCAGAGGTTGCAGTGAGCCGAGATGGCACCACTGCCCTCCAGCCTGGGCGACAGAGCAAGAATCTGTCTCAAAATAAATACGTAAATAAATCAATAAGAAGAAATTAATGTACTGACATGGTAAAGTCAAAACAAGAACTTGGCCTCTTGGTGTCCCGTGAAGGACTCTGAACGCCTTGATGATCCACAAGTGATAAGGAAGAGACGAAAACGAGACAGATCGAACTCTCCCAAAAATACAAAACTTAGCCGGGCATGGTGGTTCACGCACCTGTAATCCCTGCTACTTGGGAGGCTGAGGCAAGAGGATCGCCTGAGCCCAGGAGGCAGAGGTTGCAGTGAGCCGAGGTTGTAACACAGCAGTCCAGCCAGAGTGACACAGTGAGGCCCTGCCTCAAAAAAAAAAAAGAGGAAAAAAGAATAGAATTTAGGCCTGGACAGACATTCTGTCTGTACTAAATGTCTATACTCCCAACTGTAGATTGTAAATGTCTATACAAGTGTAGAGTTGGGGTCTTTGTGTATCACTCAGGCTGGATGCAAGCAATGCACCTGCCTCACCCTTCCAAAGTGCTGGGACTGCAGACATGAACCCCTGCACCCAGCCTGGGTCTAAATTCTATTCTATCTGTCCTCCGTACTTTTGCACCTGCTCAATAGGAATTCCCTGGCTGGCATTCTGAAATGGCTCAGAAAAGAGGGTCGTCCCAGCTCCGTGGGGCAATTGTCTTCTTGGCCGTGAAGTCCCTGGAAGGCTAACGCCCACACACACACAGCACCTGGAGTGGACGGGGTGTGCCTTTGGGGCTAACTTTGGCCTTCTGCCCACAGATGTGGGAGTTCATCTCTCAAACCGAATGGACATTTTTGTCCTTCTCATCTTTCTTCTGCGTTGTTAGAGTTGACTTCCCTGAGTGTGGAATGGAATTAAGCATGTGTTGCCTCTTTAGCTGGGTTCATGGAGGGGCTCTGATTCTCCATAGACCCCAAAAAGAGCTATATACCTTGTCTGCCCATGTGTTGACCACTCCCCGGAAACCAACAGGAGAGAGGACCACCAAGTCAAAACCAACCAGCTCTCCAAGGGGATCCTCGATTAGCGATCACCACCTGCCCCAAGGGGCTCCTTTACCTTAGTAGATAATTCCAAGAATGCTGCTGTGATGGTCATTTTCCTCTTTCACGTGCTTCTGCTATATCCAAATACATATATTTGGTAACAGGATTTTAAAAAATATATTTTAATATAAATTTATTTATTGTATACTTTTATTTAATATTTATATGAAGGAATAAATTTATTTAAATAAAGTTATTCCTTCATATAAATATTAAATATTAGTGTAATATATATTAATGAATAAATTTATTTAAATTTATTCCTTCATATAAATATTAAATATTTGTGTAATATATATTAACGAATAAATTTATTTAAATTTATTCTTCATATAAATATTAAATATTTGTGTAATATATAAATGAATAAATTTATTTAAATTTATCCCTTCATATAAATATTAAATATTTGTGTAATATATAATTAATAAATTTAATTCCTTAATAAAAATATTAAATATTTGTGTAAGATATAAATGAATAAATTTATGTAAATTAATTCATTAAGATAAATATTAAATAAATATTTGTGTAATATTTATATTAATGAATAAACATTTGTTTAACATTTATATTTAGTAAATTTATTTATTTAATATTTATATTAAATATATTAAATAAAAATTATTTGGGCTGGGCGTGGTGGCTCAAACCTGTAAGATTCCAGCACTTTGGGAGGCCGAGGTGGGTGGATCATGAGGTCAGAAGTTCGAGACCAGCCTGGCCAACATGGCGAAATCCTGTCTCTACTAAAAATACAAAAATTAGCAGGGCATGGCGGCAAGAGCCTGTAATCCCAGCTACTCAGGACGCTGATGCAGGAGAATCGCTTGAACCGGGAGGCGGAGGTTCAGTGAGCTGAGATAAAGCCACTGCACTTCAGCCTGGGTGACAGAGTAAGACACAGTCTCAAAAAAAAAAACAAAAAAAAAAAAAAAAGAAAAAAAAAAAGAAAAGAAAAGAAAGAAAAAAGAAAAAAGAAACCAGGAGTGGCTGAGTCACTACGAAGCATTCCTCCAACACCAGTTAGACCAGAGGTGGGCAAATCTTTTAAGTGAAGAGCCAGATAGTCAATATTTTCAGTTTTGTGGACCACACAGTCTGCCATGCAAGGATTTAGCTCTGCCCTTGTGGCAGGAAAGCAGCCACAGACGGTGTGCACAAGAATGTGTGTGTGACCATGTTTCAATAAAACTTTATTGACAGTAACGTGCAGGGGGCCGGATTGGCTTCGTTTGCAACACCCCCAATATGCTGGGTTATACTAAACTGTGAACCACTCCAACATTCTGCATCTGATCCTCAATGTATCTCTTTCACCTCTGCACTGCCCCAGCCCTTGGCAATGAATACAGTATCTTCTCACTGTTAAGATTCTGCCAGATATTTATTAATTTTGTTTAAAGAATCAGCCAATTGTGGTGGTTCATGCCTGTAATCCCAGCACTTTGGTAAACCAAAGCAGGAGGATTGCTTAAGGCCAGGAGTTTGAGGCCAGCCTGGGCAATATATAGCAAGACCCCATCTGCACAGAAAAAAAATTAAAAATTAGCCAGGCATGGTGGTGTGTGCCTGTGGTCTCAGCTGCTTTGGAGGCTGAGGTGGGAGGATCGCTTGAGCCCAGGAGGTCGAGGCTACAGTGAGCCATGATTGCACCAGTGCACTCCAGCCTGGGTGACAGAGTAAGACCTTGTCTCATAAAATAAAATAAAATAAAATATAAAATAAAATAAAATAACTTGATACGCCTGTTTCCCGCTGAACAAATTCATCTGTCTATCTTTCTTTCCTTCTTTCTTTTTTCTTTCTTCCTTTCTGTTTCTTTATTTTTCTTTCTTTTTTTTGAGACAGAGTCTTGCTCTGTCACCAGGCTGGAGTGCAGTGGCGTGATCTCAGCTCACTGCAACCTCTGCCTCCAGGGTTTAAGCGATTCTCCTGCCTCAGTCTCCCGAATAGCTGGGACTACAGGCACCAGCCATCATGCCCGGCTAATTTTTGTATTTTTATTAGAGATGGGGTTTCACCATGTTGGCCAGGATGGTCTCAATCTCTTGACCTCGTGATCCACCTGCCTCGGCCTCCCAAAGTGCTGGGATTACAGGCGTGAGCCACCACGCCCAGTCCCTTCCTTCCTTCCTTTCTTTTTTCTTTCTCTCCCTTTGTTTGTCTTTCTTTCTTTCTTTCTTTTTCTTTCTTTCTTTCTTTCTTTCTTTCTTTCTTTCTTTCTTTCTTTCTTTCTTTCTTTCTTTCTTTTTCTTCCTTTCTCTTTCCTGCTTGCTTGCTTGCTTGCTTTTCTTTTTCTTTCTTTCTTTCTTTCTTTCTTTCTTTCTTTCTTTCTTTCTTTCTCTCTGTGTCTCTTTCTTCTTTTTCTTTATTTCTTCTTTCTCTTTATTTTTTCTCTCTTTTTTCTCTTTCTTTCCTTCTTTCTTTCTTTCTCTTTCTTTTTTCCATCTTTCTGTCTGTCTCTTTTTTATGAATATAAAGACCTCTTTTTTTGAAAGAAGTCAAATCTGGGACTTCTGTATTACCATAACGACATAGATAATCACATTTTGTTCTGTTTCAGTGTTTTGTGCTAAAAATACCCCAGCTGCCCTATTTAATGAGGAAATGCAGCAGTGATCAATACTGATGTATTTCCGGAACAATGTGTTCAGGGCCTCAAGGAGCCTGGTTAATTTTAGGCACTAACAAATGAATAGAACATGTTCCAGTTAACTTAGTAGCAGCTTGGACCCAATACTTCAAGCCACAGGAGTTATTATAATCAGCATCTTTCTCTCTCTAATGCCAATAAGTGGCTATTCCAGGATACAATTTTCTGAAAAATCAAGCTGATGAGAACAGAAGCTACGACCACCACCTACGTGGGCACTCGTACCTGGGACATGATGAGTCATAGGATGTAGGCAATTGGTACCAGTTAGCCAGCATCCTTCTAGCAGGTGCCATGTGCTATTTTGATACAGTCATTATGTAAAAAAAAAAAAAGAAAAAAAAACTTATGGCTAGAAAATATCATCCACACACCTATTCTTTCTGGAAATGTCTGCCTTCTCATCTGGTATCCCTGCCTTTTCTTTTTGTTGTTGTTGTTTTTGGATAGTTTGTTTGTTTGTTTGTTTTTGAGACAGAGTCTCACTCTCTCACCTAGGCTGGAGTGCACTGGAGTCATCTCGGCTCACTGCAACCTCCACCTCCCAGGTTCAAGCGATTCTCATGCTTCAGCCTCCCAAGTAGCTGGGATGACAGGCGCCCACCACCACACTTGGCTTATGTTTGTATTTTTTTTAGTAGAGACGGGGTTTCACCATATTGGCCAGGCTAGTCTTGAACTCCTGAACTTGCGATCCACCTGCCTCGGCCTCCCAAAGTGCTGGGATTACAGGCATGAGCCACGTGTGCCCGACTGGACATTCACTATTTTTTTTTTTTTTTTGAGATGGAGTTTCACTCTTGTTGCCCAGGTTAGAGTGCAATGGTGGGATCTCGGCTCTCTGAACCTCCACCTTCCAGGTTCAAGTGATTCTCCTGCCTCAGCCTTCTGAGTAGCTGGGATTACAGGCACCTGCCACAACACCTGGCTAATTTTGTATTTTTTTAGTAGAGACAGGGGTTCACCATGTTGGTGAGGCTGATCTCGAACACCTGACCTCAGGTGATCCACCTGCCTCGGCCTCCCAAAGTGGTGGGATTACAAGCATGAGCCATGTGTGCCTGACTGGACATTCACTTTTTTTTTTTTTGAGATGGAGTTTCGCTCTTGCTGCCCAGATTAGAGGGCAATGGCGGGATCTCGGCTCTCTGAACCTCCGCCTCCCGGGTTCAAGCGATTCTCCTGCCTCAGCCTTCCGAGTAGCTGGGATTACAGGCACCTGCCACAACACCCGGCTAATTTTGTATTTTTTTGGTAGAGACAGGGGTTCACCATGTTGGTGAGGCTGGTCTTGAACACCTGACCTCAGGTGATCCACCTGCCTCGGCCTCCCAAAGTGCTGGGATTACAGGCATGAGCCATGGTGCCTGGCCTATCCCTGCCTTTTCTGAGGTCCCCCAAACAATGTGGCATTAAGGATTTTTATATCTGTCATCAATGAGAAATACAACTATAATTACAAGAGAGGTGGCCTCTTTGGTGGGCTTGGAAACAGCCTATGCTCACTGCCTGCAGGGGCAGGTGCTTGCATTAGTTTTGTTTAGGCTGCCCATGACAGGGGACTACAGACTGGGTGGGTTAAACCAGGGTCTCCCAACCCTTGCGCCACAGATTGCTACTAGTCAGTGGCTTCTGAAGAACCAGGTGCCACAGCAGGAGGTGAGCAGTGGACAAGCAAGCAAAGCTTCATCTGTGTTCCCAGCCACTCCCCATCTCTCCCATTACAGCTTGAGCCCCACCTCCTGTCAGATCAGCAGCAGAGGCATTTGATGCTCATAGGAGCACAAACCCTACTGTGAACCGTGCATGTGAGGGATCTAGATTTCACTGCATGCTCCTGATGAGAATCAATACCTGATGCTCTACTGTGTCTCCCATCACCCCCACAGGGGACAATCTAGTTGCAGGTAAACAAGCTCAGGGCACCCACCGATGCTACATTATGCTGAGATGGATAATTATTTCATTATATATTACAATGCAATGATAATAGAAATAAAGTACACAATCAATGTAATGCACGTGAATCATCCCCAAACCAGACCCCCTCCCCAGTTCGTGGAACAATTGTCTTCCGTGAAAGTGGTCCTTGGTGCCAAAAAGGCTGGGGACCGCTGGGTTAAACAGCAGACATTTATTTTCTCGTGGTTCTGGAGGCTGGAAGTCTGAGATCAAGGTGTGGACAGGGCAGACTCAGTGTCTGGTGAGGGCTCTCTTTCTGGTCTGCAAACGGCTGCCTTCTTGCTGTGTCCTCACACAGTGGAGACAGAGAGAGAAAGAGAGAGAGAGACAGAGAGAGTTCTGGGGTCTCTTCCCCTTCTCATAAGGACACAAATACCCCTATATCAGCGGCCCCCCAACCTTTTTGGTACCAGGGACCAGTTTCCTGGAAGACTAGTTTTCCATGAAATGGGGGTTGGGGAGGTGACTTTGGGATGATTCAAACACATTACATCTATCTATCTATCTATCTATCTATCTATCTATCTATCTATCTATCATCTATCTATCTGTCTATCATCTATGTGTCTATTATCTATCATCTATCTATCTATCTATCTATCTATCTATCTATCTATCTATCTATCATCTATCTCTGCCTGCCTATCTATCCGTCATCTATCTATCTAGATATCTATCTATTGATTTTTCTATCTGTCTGTCTGTCTATCTATCCTATCACCAATCTTCCCTGGAGTAAGATGCTCTGAGCACCCAGCAACCTTCCTGCTGCCAAGTGGGTCTCCAGATGCATTTGGAGAAGAAAAAACAGCCAAACATAGAATGTGGTTAGCTCTGGTAATTATTTCAGAAAGCATGGACACAAACCCTTCCATAGACTCATAGCTGCTAGGGAGGGAGAACTGCTGCTACCCCTGGCTGTAATTTTAAAATACCCATGAAAAACCAGAGGAGAAAACTGACTTCTCACCCATAACCCCATAGCAGTCATTCTTCTGAAGATACCAGCATATTTGCAAGCTTCTTGTCCAAATCAGGAAGAGCGAGGAAGACTATACTCAAGGGTTTTTTTACTCATTGGCTTAGTCAAGATTATTTTATCAGATTCTGTTTGTAGTACAGCAAAACCTCAAGATACAAGTGGGACAAGTGGGAGGAGGAAAAAGGAAGATGAGGAAAGGGGAACCATCATGTGGGCAGAAGCTGGGATGGCTCCAGGCGAAGGTGGTTTCAGGGGATAACTGCCACCAGCAATGGAGGTGGACGATGCAGAAGACAGTACCCCTCACCCCTTGAGTTCTGTTTTGCAAAGGGCTGATAGTTTTACTCAATTTAAGAATGGGAAATAGCCAGTCTTGCTCTGGATGAGGATGAGGAGGGTGGATCACGAGGTCAGGAGTTAGAGACCAGCCTGGCCAACATGGTGAAAGCTTGTCTCTACTAACCTCTCAACCTTCCTTACACTCTTATCCATCCACCTCCACGAACACTCCCAAAGAAAAAAGCGATGGGTCTCTTCTCTCCAATGGTGATACGCTTGGTTCCAAATTTGTCCGAGTTTCGAGCAACTTGAGGTGTTGTTGATTCAAGTAACTCTGGTGGTGTTTGCTGAGGACATCTGCCATCAGTTGATGGATCCCAGAAATCTTGAGTCTGAAAACCCTGAACTTCATCCACGTAGATTGTGGTGGCTCTTCTGGGACCATGTGGATGGCTGAGCCATGAACAGAGATGCATGCCCGGAGACCACCACAGTGAGGACACTAGGAGGTCATCCAAGCCCCATGCTAAGGTGTGAATATTTGTTCCCTCCAAAACTCCTGGGGAGACTTTATCCCCTACATGGCAGCATTGAGAGGTGAGTTATTTAAGAGGTGATTGGGCCGTGAAGGCTCTGCTCTTAGAGATGGATTAATCCAATCATAAATTAATGGATTAATGGTTTATCAAGGGAGTGGGACTAGTGGCTTTATAAGAAGTGGAAGAGAGACCTGAGTTAGCACTCTCGGCCCCATCACCATGTGATACCTGTGTCACCTTGGGACTCAGCAGTGAGTCCCCAATAGCAAGGAGGCCCTCACCAGATGCCGCCCCTTGACCTAGAATTATTGAGCCTCCAGAACTGTAAGAATAAATTTGATTTCTTATCATTTACTCAGTTTCAGGTATTCTGTTATCAGCAAGAAATACATCCCATTACCCAACATTGTCTATCGGACCTTTCTTAAGCACCAGGTATATAGTGAGGTGACATTGTAATGAGTGAATGAAACCATGACAAAGTAGAGATGTCTATATTCCTCAAGCATTCCAGAGAAACAGATTCAACAGGGGAAAGATAGGCCAAGCATGGTGGCTCACGCCTGTATTCCCAGCACTTTGGGAGGATGAGGCGGGTGGATCACGAGGTCAGGAGTTCGAGACCAGCCTGGCCAACATGGTGAAACCCTGTCTCTACTAAAAATACAAAACATTAGCTGGGCATGGTGGCAGATGCCTGTAACCCCAGCTACTCGGGAGGCTGAGGCAGGAGAATCATTTGCACCTGGGAGGCAGAGTTGTAATGAGCCAAGATCACGCCATTGCTCTCTAGCCTGGACAACAAGAGTGAAACTCCATCTAAAAACAGAAAAAAAAAAAAACAGAGAAGAGATAGATAAATGATAGATAGCTATGTAGAAGCTACAGAGACAGGGGATAAGTAGATGAATAATAAATAGATATATGATAAAAACATGATTTTCAGATGATAGTAGGGATAATAACAAATGATAAACAGATAATAAACAGATAGGTAGATAATATAATATAATAGATGATGATAGATAGATAGATAGATAGATAGATAGATAGATGATAGATAGATAGATGCTAGATTTATTATGAGAAAATAGGTCAGTTAAATATGGAAGCTGAGAAGTTCCTTAATCTACTGCTAGAAAGACAGAGATCCAGGAGAGCCAAGGGTCCCTAGTTCCAGTCTGAGTCTGAAGGCCTGAGACCCAGGAGAGCGGAGGTTGTGAGTTCCAGTCTGAGTGTGAAGTCCTGAGACCCAGGAGAGACGAGGGTGTGAGTTCTAGTCTGAGTCTGAAGGTCTGAGACTTAGGAGAGCTGAGGGTGTGAGTTCTAGTCTGAGTCTGAAGGTCTGAGACCTAGGAGAACTGAGGGTGTGAGTTCCAGTGTGAGTCAGAAGTCCTGAGACCCAGGAGAGCTGAGGGTGTGAGTTCTAGTCTGAGTCTGAAGGTCTGAGACGTAGGAGAACTGAGGGTGTGAGTTCCGGTCTGAGTCTGAAGGCCTGAGATCCAGGAGAGCTGAGGGTGTGAGTTCCAGTATGAGTCTGAAGTCCTGAGACCCAGGAAAGCCAAGGGTCCCTAGTTTCAGACTGAGTCTGAAGTCCTGAGACCCAGGAGAGCTGAGGGTGTGAGTTCCAGTCTGAGTGTGAAGTCCTGAGATCCAGGAGAGCTGAGGGTGTGAGTTCTAGTCTGAGTGTGAAGTCCTGAGACCCAGGAGAGCTGAGGGTGTGAGTTCCAGTGTGAGTCTGAAGTCCAGAGACCCAGGAGAGCTGAGGGTGTGAGTTCCAGTGTGAGTCTGAAGTCCAGAGACCCAGGAGAGCTGAGGGTGTGAGTTCTAGTCTGAGTCTGAAGGTCTGAGACCTAGGAGAACTGAGGGTGTGAGTTCCAGTGTGAGTCAGAAGTCCTGAGACCCAGGAGAGCTGAGGGTGTGAGTTCCGGTCTGAGTCTGAAGGCCTGAGATCCAGGAGAGCTGAGGGTGTGAGTTCCAGTATGAGTCTGAAGTCCTGAGACCCAGGAAAGCCAAGGGTCCCTAGTTTCAGACTGAGTCTGAAGTCCTGAGACCCAGGAGAGCTGAGGGTGTGAGTTCCAGTCTGAGTGTGAAGTCCTGAGATCCAGGAGAGCTGAGGGTGTGAGTTCTAGTCTGAGTGTGAAGTCCTGAGACCCAGGAGAGCTGAGGGTGTGAGTTCCAGTGTGAGTCTGAAGTCCAGAGACCCAGGAGAGCTGAGGGTGTGAGTTCCAGTGTAAGTCAGAAGTCCTGAGACCCAGGAGAGCTGAGGGTGTGAGTTTCAGTCTGAGTCTGAAGGCCTGAGACCCAGGAGAGCTGAGGGTGTGAGTTCTAGTCTGAGTCTGAAGGTCTGAGACGTAGGAGAACTGAGGGTGTGAGTTCCAGTGTGAGTCAGAAGTCCTGAGACCCAGGAGAGCTGAGGGTGTGAGTTCCAGTATGAGTCTGAAGTCCTGAGACCCAGGAAAGCCAAGGGTCCCTAGTTTCAGACTGAGTCTGAAGTCCTGAGACCCAGGAGAGCTGAGGGTGTGAGTTCCAGTCTGAGTGTGAAGTCCTGAGATCCAGGAGAGCTGAGGGTGTGAGTTCTAGTCTGAGTGTGAAGTCCTGAGACCTAGGAGAACTGACGGTGTGAGTTTTCGTGTGAGTCTGAAGGCCCGAGACCTGGAAGAGCTGAGAGTGTGAGTTCTAGTCTGAGTCTGAATGCCTGAGACCCAGGAGAGCCGAGGGTGTGAGTTCTAGTCTGAGTCTGAAGGTCTGAGACGTAGGAGAACTGAGGGTGTGAGTTCCAGTGTGAGTCAGAAGTCCTGAGACCCAGGAGAGCTAAGGGTGTGAGTTTCAGTCTGAGTCTGAAGGCCTGAGACCCAGGAGAGCCGAGGGTGTGAGTTCTAGTCTGAGTCTGAAGGTCTGAGACCTAGGAGAGCTGAGGGTGTGAGTTCTAGTCTGAGTCTGAAGGTCTGAGACCTAGGAGAACTGAGGGTGTGAGTTCCAGTGTGAGTCAGAAGTCCTGAGACCCAGGAGAGCTGAGGGTGTGAGTTCCGGTCTGAGTCTGAAGGCCTGAGATCCAGGAGAGCTGAGGGTGTGAGTTCCAGTCTGAGTCTGAAGTCCTGAGACCCAGGAGAGCCAAGGGTCCCTAGTTTCAGACAGAGTCTGAAGTCCTGAGACCCAGGAGAGCTGAGGGTGTGAGTTCCAGTCTGAGTCTGAAGATCTGAGACCTAGGAGAGCTGAGGGTGTGAGTTCCAGTGTGAGTCAGAAGTCCTGAGACCCAGGAGAGCTAAGGGTGTGAGTTTCAGTCTGAGTCTGAAGGCCTGAGACCCAGGAGAGCCGAGGGTGTGAGTTCTAGTCTGAGTCTGAAGGTCTGAGACCCAGGAGAGCCAAGGGTCCCTAGTTCCAGTCTGAGTGTGAAGGTCTGAGACCTAGGAGAACTGACGGTGTGAGTTCCCGTGTGAGTCTGAAGGCCCGAGACCTGGAAGAGCTGAGAGTGTGAGTTCTAGTCTGAGTCTGAATGCCTGAGGCCCAGGAGAGCCGAGGGTGTGAGTTCTAGTCTGAGTCTGAAGGTCTGAGACCTAGGAGAACTGAGGGTGTGAGTTCCAGTGTGAGTCTGAAGTCCAGAGACCCAGGAGAGCTGAGGGTGTGGGTTCTAGTCTGAGTGTGAAGTCCTGAGACCCAGGAGAGCTGAGGGTGTGAGTTCCAGTGTGAGTCTGAAGTCCAGAGACCCAGGAGAGCTGAGGGTGGGAGTTCTAGTCTGAGTTTGAAGGTCTGAAATGCAGTAGAGTTGATAGCGTGAAGACCCTAACTTAGCTGAAGGCCTGAGACCCAGAAGAACCGAGGCTGTAAGAGCCAGTCTGAAGACAGATGATGGAATGAGATGTCCCAGCTCAAGTAGTGTTGCAGGAGAAATGGAGCAAATCCTGTTGCACACCCTCAACAGAAGGCCTATCCTTACCAGTTTTAAAGCGGATGATGTTTCTTTTCGTGAGCCCATGAACTCAAATGCTAGTCTCCTCTAGAAACATCCTCACAGATACATCCAGAAATCATGTTTAACGTGTTCATTGCAAGACCTGATCAGACTGACTTATAAAATTCACCATTGTAGCATCCAAGCAATTGTCAGGGATGGCTGCAATGTGCTTCTTCCGGGTGCAGCATTCTTTTTTCATTTTTTTTTTTTTTTGAGACAAAGTCTTGCTCTGTCACCAGGGCTGGTGTGCAGTGACACAATCTTGGCACACTACAACCTCTGCCTCCGTGGTTCAAGCAATTCTCCTGCCTCAGCCTCCTGAGTAGCTGGGATTGCAGGTGCCTGCCACCACTCCCAACTAATTTTTTTATTATTATTATTTTTAGTAGAGATGGGGTTTCACTATATTGGTCAGGCTGGTCTCGAACTCCTGACCTCAGGTGATCTGCCCACCTTGGCCTCCCAAAGTGCTGGGATGACAGGCATGAGCCACCGTGCCCAGCCAGGACTGATTCCTTATATGTAACTGTACATTTTTTTTTTTTTTTGAGACGAAGTCTTGCTCTGTCACCAGGGCTGGTGTGCAGTGGCACTATCTCGGCTCACTGCAAACTCAGCCTCCCTGGTTCAAGCGATTCTCCTGCCTCAGCCTCCCAAGTAGCTGGGATTGCAGGTGCCCGCCACCATGCCCAACCATTTTTTAAAATTATTATTTTTAGTAGAGGTGGGATTTCACCATATTGGTCAGGCTGTTCTAGAACTCCTGACCTCAGGTGATCCGCCTGCCTTGGCCTCCCAAAGTGCTAGGATGACAGGTGTGAGCCACCACGCCTGGCTGGGTACAACGTTCCATCTTCCCCCTTCCTGCAGCTCTTCCCTGAGAACAGACACCTCTGGGTTTGATTTCTTGTTAAAACCCATTGGGATTAAGTCAACAGCATTTCACTTAATCCAATCTTCCTCCCTACCACGTACCCCAGGCGTGGAGCCCTCAGCCATCACCTCCAAGTGCCTTAGGCATCCCCATATATGTTTCTGTGGCCCCCACATTGTGTCCTGGTTTTCTAACCATCACCCCGTCATTCATTTCCCAAGCCAGGCTCTGGGCACAGAAAAACACCTCGGCGAGGATTAACAAGGAAACGGTTTTATGACGAGTCTTGGCGACTTCAGGGCTGAGGTGGGAAGAGGTGGGGGTGAGCTCTAAATTAAACCTACAGGGTTTGCTTTCTTTTTCTTTATTAGTGTGCACCCAATAGACTCTTTATTTTGCAAAATATATTGATTGTACCTTGACTCTTGGATAATGGGCTTCTCCAGTCTGTTACACGGATTAAATCAAGAGCAGTCAATGGTGCCCCTGGTAGTGACGAAGAATGCCTAACGTGTAGACAGATCGGCCACCCGTCCCTCCACGTCTGCTCTGACTTGAACTTCAGATTCATTTGCTTCAGGACAGCGAATCTTGCATTTACTTCAAGCCACACAGGAAGGCGACCCAGTCAGCAGAGTGGCCCCGGGATGCATGTTTGGAATGGAGTCCAATTCCATGGGAAAAATCCTGGGTTTGGCTCCTGGAGGCCTCCACACACTGCAGCTGCTGGTGCTAGTCAGTGGCTTCTAAGGAACCAGGTCCCACAGCAAGAGGTGAGCGGTGGGCAAGCAAGCAAAACTTCATCTGTGTTCACAGCCACTCCCCATCTCTCCCATTACGGCTTGAGCCCCACCTCCTGTTAGATCAGCAGCAGACGCATTTGATGCTCATAGGAGCACAAACCCTACTGTGAACCGTGCATGTGAGGGATCTAGATTTCACTGCATGCTCCTTATGAATGCCAGATTCCCCGTGGCTGGTGGCCTCCCGTAAGCCCATCGTGCCCCTGAATCTCCTTCTGCCTTTATTACGCTATGGTGTTTGCTGGGCAAACATGGACAGAGTATGCCAGGGGCCCCCGGATTCCCATGACAAAGTGTGACAGTCTCAGAGGTGGCCTTTGAGAGGGACGAGGGGTCTGACTCAGTGGGGAGGGGTCTCTCAATGGGAAGTCTCTCTGGGGAGGGTCCTTCGTGACTCTGGACAGTAAATATGAGATTCCTGGGCTGACCATGAGAGGAGCAGGTGAAGCACCTGTTCACGAATACACACGCAATACCGAGAGGCACTGATACACTCTCAATGCCACAATGCACACAATGCCACAATGCATTGATATACATTAAATGCTACAATTCACTGATATGCACTGAATTCCACAGTGCACTCATATGCACTCAATGCCACAATGCACTGATACACCCTCAATGCCACAATGCACTGATATGCACTCAACGTTTCAATGCACTGATACATGCTGAATGTCACAATGCACTGATACACACTCTATGCCACAATGCACTCATATGCACTCAATGCCACAATTCACTGATATAGATTAAATGCCACAATTCACTGATATGCACTGAATTCCACAATGCACTGATACGCACTCAATGCCACCGTGCACTTGTACACACTCAATACACACTAAGTGCCACAATGCACTGATATGCACTCAATATTATGATGCACTGATACATGCTGAATGCCACAATGCACTGATACACACTCAATGCCACAATGCACTGATACGCACTCAACATTACGATGCACTGATACGTGCTGAATGCCACCATGCACTGATAGGCAGTCAACGCTGCAATGCACTCATAGGCGCTCAATGCCACAATGCCCTGATATACATCAAATGCCATGATTCTCTGATACACACTCAATGCCACAATGTACTTGTATGCACTCAATGCCACAATTCAGTGACATAGATTAAATGCTATGATTTACTAATGTGCACTGAATTCCATGATGCTCTCATATGCACTCAATGCCACAATGCATTTGTACACACTCAATACACACTCAATGCCACAATGCACTCAATGCTACAATGCACCAATATATATTAAATGCCACAATGCACTGATATACATTAAATGCCACAAGGCACTGATATGCACTTAATGCTTCTAGGCATTCATATGCACTCAATGCCACAAGGCACTTGTACACACTCAATATACACTAAGTGCCACAATGCGCTGATACACGCTGAATGCCACAATGCACTGATATGCACTCAATCCCACAATGCACTGATACACAATCCCACAATGCACTCATATGCACTCAATCCCACAATGCACTGAAAGACACTCAATCCCACAATGCACTGATATATACTCAATCACATAATGCACTGACAGACACTCAATCCCACAATGCACTCATATGCACTCAATGCCACAATGCACTGATACGCACTCAATCACATAATGCACTGATACACACTCAATCCCACAATGCACTCATATGCACTCAATCCCATAATGCACTGATACACACTCAATCCCACAATGCACTCAAACACACTCAATCCCACAATGCACTCATATGCACTCAATCCCACAATGCACTAATACACACTCAATCCCACAATGCACTCACATGCACTCAATCCCACAATGCACTGAAAGACACTCAATCCCACAATGCACTGATATATACTCAATCACATAATGCACTGATAGACACTCAATCCCACAATGCACTCATATGCACTCAATCCCACAATGCACTAATACACACTCAATCCCACAATGCACTCACATGCACTCAATCCCACAATGCACTGAAAGACACTCAATCCCACAATGCACTGATATATACTCAATCACATAATGCACTGATAGACACTCAATCCCACAATGCACTCATATGCACTCAATGCCACAATGCACTGATACGCACTCAATCGCACAATGCACTGATACACACTCAATCCCACAATGCACTCATATGCACTCAATCCCATAATGCACTGATACACACTCAATCCCACAATGCACTGATATATAGTCAATCCCACAATGCACTCATACGCACTCAATCCCACAATGCACTCAATCCCACAATGCACTGATACACACTCAATCCCACAATGCACTGATACACCATCCCACAATGCACTCATATGCCCTCAATCCCAGAATGCACTGATACACATGCAATCCCACAATGCACTGATACACACTCAATCCCACAATGCACTCATACACACTCAATCCCACAATGCACTCATATGCACTCAATGCCACAATGCACTGATACACACTCAATCCCATAATGCGCTGATACACACTCAATCCCACAATGCACTGATATATAGTCAATCCCACAATGCACTCATACGCACTTAATCCCACAATGCACTCAATCCCACAATGCACTGATACACACTCAATCCCACAATGCACTGATACACACTCAATCTCATAATGAACTGATACACACTCAATCCCACAATGCACTTATATGCAATCAATACCATGATACACTTGTACACACTCAATACACTCTAAATGCCTCAACGCACGGATATACCATCAATGCCACTACACACTGATACACACCGAACGCCACAATCCCCTGATACTCATTGAATGCCACGAACAGGGCCATGGGGGGCACGTCCACAAATCAAGACCTTCAGAAACTGAAGTTGTGTGATCAAGTGCCATGGAGAAAACCCCCAAGGGAACTGCCTCTTGAGAAAGGTGAAGGAGGAGTCTCCAAGCAAAGGCTGGAATGCTGGTGGGTGGCCAGGGGAGGTCTGTGGGAACTGCATCATCCCAGCAGTCGGCTTGGACATCACCAGGACCTGGGGGTGAGGGTGAGTTTGAGGTGCTCAGAGCAGCAGAAACTCCAGGGAGGGAGAGTGGGGATGAGGAGATGGGGGCAGGAGGAGAGGAGAAGGTCTCAAAGAGTCAGGAATTTTCGGGGTCTTTTGGACAAGGTTGGTCTCAGGTCTTAGCCCAGGTGTCACGGACGGGTGTTGTAGGAATTACTGAGCAAGGGCCGGGGCTGAAGTCCAGCAACCAGATGTCCACAAGGATGTGAGTGGCTGGAGGAGGGGCTCTGTGTGGGACGTCGGAAGGGACTCAGGGGCCAAGGAGGGGGTTGGTATGACATTCAAATGGTGTTAAAAGCTGGTGGCAGAGACCTGTTTGAAGGCCTTCCCTTCTAATTGGGGGTTGCGGAAATGTTGGTTGAAGGACACAGAGCGTCAATTTGTCAGGAGGAAAAAGTTCAAGAGCTCCAATATATGGCATGGTGACTGGTAACATTGTATCCATTTACAGTGCAACAAGATAACATTGTTGATAATAATATACGTATTGTTGACTTAAAAATGGCTGAGTTGATGTTACTCTTTCTCACCACAAATCAATAGTAAGTCTCAGAGATAGGGCATTGGCTAATCAGCTTAATGCCACGAATTCTACAGTGTCAAAACCTCATGGCACACAACCTAAATATGTACAACTTTCAGTTGTCAGTTAAAACGTTAATGAGGCTGGGTGTCGTGGCTCACACCTGTAATCCCAGCGCTAGCATTTTGAGAGGCCAAGGTGGGAGGATCGGTTGAGGCCAAGAGTCGGAGACCAGCCTGGGCAACAAAGGGAGATCCTGTCTCCACAAAAGAATTTCAAAATTAACCAGGGGTGCTGGTGCATGCTTGTAATCCCAAGTTCTCGGGAGGCTGACGTGGGAGGATCATCGGAGTCCAGGAATTGGAGACCAGACTAGGGCACCAATTGAAACTGTGTCTCTACAAAAAAAACAAAAATTAAAATTAGCCAGGTGTGGTGGTGCATGGCTGTAGTTCCAGCTACTGAGGAGGCTGAGATGGGAGGATCGCTTGAGTCTAGGAGCTCAAGATCAGCTTGAGAAACACAGTGAGACCTCATCTCTGCTAAATGAATAAACAAACAAACAAACTAGCCAGGTGCAGTGGTGCACACCTGTAGTCCCAGCTACTCTGGAAGCTGAGGTGGAAAGATCACATGAGCCTGGGAGGTTGAGGCTGCAGTGAGCTGAGATTGCATCACTGCACTCCAACCTGGGCAACAGAGCAAGGACCCTGTCTCTTAAAATGCAATGCAATGAAGCCTGTAATCCCAGCACTTTGGGAGGCCGAGGTGGGTGGATCACGAGGTCAGGAGTTAGAGACCATCCTGGTCAACATGGTGAAACCCCATCTCTACTAAAAATACAAAAAATTAGCTGGGCGTGGTGGCAGGCACCTGTAGTCCCAGCTACTCGGGAGGCTGAGGCAGGAGAATGGAGTGAACCCAGGAGGCGGAGGTTGCAGGGAGCTGAGATTGCACCATTGCACTCCAGCCTGGGCGACAGAGCGAGACTCCATCTCAAAAAACAAAAGCAAAAACAAAAATGCAATGCAATGAAGTTTTATTTAAAAATAAATAGAAAAAGAAAATTAAAAGCCTCTCTTGAAGATCCCGAAGACCAGAAGCTAACGCCAGGCTGTGAAAACAGTGTCCCACAACACTCGTTTTATCTACACCAAAATAAGCTATGTAGGAAGAATCTGCAGGTCTTATTCCCCTCCCCAAGATACTCTGTAGATGCCCCAAAATGCTTCCCACCCGGGGCAGCTCCCCCACGAGCCGCCGCAGCCTCCAAGAAAGAAGTTTCTTCTCCACCTGCACCTGCGGATTCTCATCCCCCAGGTCCCCGTATCTCTGGCCGGTGCTGGCCGTGCTAGACACTTTCCGCAGCCCTGCAAAGCAAAACCTCAGGCAGATGCAAAACCATCATTAGGATGGCAGAGTCGTCCTCACGCAGAGTGAGCAGACCAGGGCGAGATCAAAGGCAGAGTCTCCGGTGGCGGCCTCGGGGGTCCTGGCCATGCCATCAGGAGGGCCCCCCCACTCTCTCTGGGGACCCTGCTGTGATCAGAGATTGAGCTCATGGGGGCCGGGCCGCTCTGTGACCGTCCCAGCCCCCGTTCAGGCTTTTGGGAGCATCTAGGAACTGCCTGCTTGCTGTTCATTGCAGTTAATTTTTTTTTTCCGCTTCCAATGCAGGCTGGTCCTTGCCTCTCTCTAATAGATCTAATTATCAGAAAATGCACTTTGCAATCAGTCCCACACAACACCGGCCTTCTCTTGCAGTATGCCAGCCAGCTGTTTTGAAAAGTACAGCTCAAATCTCTTTGCTGCCACATGTTGAAGCAGATGAAAGTAATTTTCTGCTCAACTGTCTATAAGTAATTAGGCTGCCATGTAAAAGGGGGTCTTTATGCATCCGTTTGGAATGAGGTACCCTCTGTGCATACGGAGTAATTATCAGCCATCCTCTTCCACAGTAAGGTACATCTTATGCATTTTACATGAGCGCCGGTTATTAACATAACCTGACGATCAAAAGCCCTCTGGATCGGCTGTCTTCCTTTTCATGTAACGGGCTGAAATTCCCCAGAAATATAATAATTTGAAAACGGGGCAATGGTGATTTGTTTCAGCTGTAATTTGTTAAGTTTTTTTTTTTCCTCCTCTTTGTTATTTGCCTAGTATAGACCAAGGGCTGCTGGGGGCTCCCATACACACAAACAAGTGTTCTGCCTGCCCGGCGAGGTGGGTTTTAATATGCAGAAGGGGTCTCGGGGCTGCAGACGCACAGATCGAATGCCTTCATCTTATTAATTAGGAGGTCAGGAGAAGAGTTGCATTTGGCTAAGTGAGTCCTGTGCAGAGAAGGACCATGGTTCCAAAAAACAGTTTGTAGACACCCCAACGAGACACAAACTATGTTTGTGCTTTTCAGATCATCCGAGTGGTGGGCGAAGAGGTTTGTGTGGAACCTTAGGACACCATCTTTATGTCATCTAATGCATCAGACAAACAGTGCTGGGAATTCCATGCCCATTGGCCGTTCTGTGCCAGCACGATGCCTGGACAGGTGGCACTCTGCGGGTGACAAGAAAATATAAGGTTAAGAGAAGTTTAATGTCCGGGCGTGGTGGCTCACGCCTGTAATCCCAGTACTTTGGGGTGCCAAAGTGGGTGGATGACTTGAGGTTCGGAGTTCGAGACCAGGCTGGCCAACATGGTGAAACCCTGTCTCTACTATAAATACAAAAATTAGCCGGGCTTGGTGGCGGGTGCCTGTAGTCTCAGCTACTCAGGAGGCTGAGGCTGGAGAATCGCTTGTCTATTTGGACGCCTGAGAAGACATTTATTGAAAATAATATTTTGAATGTATATCTGAGATGTTATTCATAGTTCTTTTTATTATTATTATTATTACTATTTATGGAGGTGGGGTCTCACTATGTTGCCCAGGCTGGACTGCAGGGGCACGATCTCAACTCACTGCAACCTCTGCCTCCTGGGCTCAAGCGACCCTCCCACCTCAGCCTCCCAAGTAGGTGGGATTACAGGCACACACCACCACACCTGGTGAATTTTTGTCCTTTTTGTAGAGACACGGTCTCACCAGGTGGCCTAGGCTGGTCTCAAAGCCCTGGGCTCCAGCGATCCTCCCACCTGAGCCTCCCAAAGTGCTGGAATTGCAGGCAGGAGCCACTGTGCCTGGCATTTCCCAGGTTCTTTTTTTTTTTTTCTTTTTTTTTGAGACAGAGTCTTGCCCTGTTGCCCAGGCTAGAGTGCAGTGGCACAATCTTGGCTCACTGCAACTTCCGTCTCCCAGATTCAAATGATTCTCCTGCCTCAGCTTCCCACGTAGCTGGGATTACAGGTGTCTGCCACCACACCCAGCTAAATTTTGTATTTTTAGTAGAGACGGGGTTTCACCATGTTGGTCAGGCTGGTCTTGAACTCTTGACCTCGTAATCCTCCCGCTTCGGCCTCTCAAAGGGCTGGGATTACAGGTGTGAGCCACTGTGCCCAGCCTGCTCCAGGTTCTTAAAGGCCAAATGGCCACTCCAACTAGTCAAGCATAAACTGCCAGGGAGATTGGAATTTTCTAAAGAGTCCCTGCAATTTTTTTTGGAAAAAGCATCACAAGGAAAACTTGGCCAGAGGGATTTTTTTGGATATGAAGACGATGCCAAGGAAAGATAAGGCTAAGATAAGTTTAATGGCCGGGCACAGTGGCTCACACCTGTAATCCCAGTACTTTGGGACTCCGAAGTGGGTGGATGCCTTGAGGTTAGGAGTTCGAGACCAGCCTGGCCAACATGGTGAAACCCCGTCTCTACTATAAATACAAAAATTAGCCAAGCATGGTGGCGGGCACCTGTAGTCCCAGCTACTTGGAGGCTGAGGCAGGAGAATCGCTTGAACCCAGGAGGTGGAGGTTGCAGTGAGCCGAGATCACAGCACTGCACTCCAGCATGGGTGACAGAGCGAAACTCTATCTCAAAATAAAAAAGTCCGTCTTTATCTGCAATTCTCTTTGTAAATTATTTTACCCCTGCTTACCTGAGACAATATCTATAAACACAGAAAGTAGATTCGAGGTCACCAGGGGTTCAGAAGTGGAAATGGGGGTGACTGTTTAATGGGGTTCAGGGTTGCCTTTTGGGGTGACGAGAATGTTCTCGGACCAGAGAGAGGTGACAATTCTATAACATTGTGAATGTACTATCGGCTCCTGAACTGGACGCTGTAAATTGGTTACTTGTATGGTATGTAAATTTCACTACCATAAAATCAAACTAAAATTCTGCCCAGTGAATAATATATATTTAGCCCTTACCTTATACCATGAAGAGGCGATGGGTACAATTCAAAAACAGCCGTCGTTGGAAGCAAAGTCCAGTTTAGAGCGGGAGTTTTTCTCCACCCCTCTGCATTCATTCGACAGAAAAATGCTCAAGTCCCAGGAGGGGTCAGGCACAGCTCCAGGGCAGCATTCTAGAAGGGACACCCCCTAAGGTCTCCGTGAGAGAGATGGGAGGTTCCAGAAAAGACTGAACAGGCACAAAGAAGCAACCTTCGAAAAAGGGAGCAGAGACTGGGCGCAGTGGCTCACACCTGTCATCCCAGCACATTGGGAGGCCGAGGCGTGTGGATCACAAGGTCAGGAGTTTGAGACCAGCCTGGCCAACATGGTGAAACCCCGTCTCTACTAAAAATACAAAAATTACCTGGGCGTGGTGGCACACACCTCGTGTAATCCCAGCTACTCAGGAGGCTGAGGCAGGAAAATCGCTTGAACCCGGGAGGCGGAGGTTGCAGTGAGCCGAGATCGCACCCCTGCACTCCAGCCTGGACGACAGAGAAAGACCCCATTGAAAGAAAGAAAAAGAAAGAAAGAAAGAAAGAAAGAAAGAAAGAAAGAAAGAAAGAAAGAAAGAAAGAAAGGAAGGAAGGAAGGAAGGAAGGAAGGAAGGAAGGAAGGAAGGAAGGGAGGGAAAGCTGAAAGAAAGAAAGAAAGAAAGAGACAGAAAGAAGGAAAGAAAGAAAGAAGAAAGAAAGAAAGAAAGAAAGAAAGAAAGAAAGAAAGGAAGGAAGAAAGACAAAGAAAGAAGGAAAGAAAGGAAGGAAAGAAAGGAAAGAAAGGAAAGAAAGGAAGAAAGGAAGAAAGAAAGAAAGACAAAGAAAGAAACAAAGAAAGAAAGAAAGGAAGGAAGGAAGGGAAAGGAAAGATGAAAGAAAGAAAGAAGAAAGAAAGAAAGAGAAAGAAAGAAAGAAAGAAAGGAAGGAAGAAAGAAAGGAAGAAAGAAAGAAAGACAAAGAAGGAAAGAAAGAAAGGAAGGAAAGAAAGGAAAGAAAGGAAGAAAGGAAGAAAGAAAGACAAAGAAAGAAAGAAGGAAAGAAAGAAAGGAAGGAAAGGAAAGAAAGAAAGGAAGAAAGGAAGAAAGGAAGAAAGAAAGACAAAGAAAGAAAGAAAGAAAAAGAAAGGAAAGAAAGAAAGGAAAGAAAGGAAGAAAGGAAGAAAGAAAGACAAAGAAAGAAAGAAAGAAAAAGGAAGGAAAGAAAGGAAAGAAAGGAAGAAAGGAAGAAAGACAAAGAAAGAAACAAAGAAAGAAAGAAAGAAGGAAAGAAAGAAAGGAAGGAAAGAAAGGAAAGAAAGAAAGGAAAGAAAGGAAGAAAGAAAGACAAAGAAAGAAAGAAAGAAAGAAAAAGAAAAAGAAAGAGAGAAAGAATAAAAGGGTAGCAGAGACTGCTGCAGCTCCTAGGCGTTACAGCTGACGGCAGCTGGACAGATTTAGCTGGACACAAAAATCCCGGGAAAAACGCCACAACACTCTGGCCCTGACTTCTGACCTGGGCGTTGGCGGGGCTCAGCCCGTCTGTTGTGAGTTCTGCAGGACCCCATGTCTCACGTGTATTAAATGCCCAGCTGACCTCTGACTGGGGCGTTAGCAGGGTCTGGTCCCATCTGGGATGAGTATTGAATGTTCACGTCCACTGTGTGTACCTGACCTGTGCCCAGGATGTTAGCAGTGCCTGGACATGTCTGTGGTGAGTTTTGCAGGGAACCCGCATTCCCTGTGCATTAAATGCCGCCGTCTGCCGTCTATACCTCAGCTAAACTGGCCTGGGTGTTAGCAAGGACCAGGACTGTCTGTGGTCAGTTCTGCAGGGAGCCCACATCCCCTGTTCCCATCTTCTGTGTGCACCTGATACTCACCAGGGTGTTAGCAGGGCCTGGTCCCATCTGTACCTGACCCAGTCTGACCTGGGCGTTAGCAGGACCTGGGCTTGTCTGTGGTGAGCTCTGCTGGGAGCCATCGTCCCCTGTGCATTGAATACCGGCGTCCACTGAATGCACCTGACCTGTGAGTGGGATGTTAGCAGGGCCTGGACCTGTCTGTGGTGAGGTTTGCATGGAGTCACGTCCCCTGTGCATTGAATACCGGCGTCCACTCTCTGCACCTGACCTGCGACCGGGGCGTTAGCAGGGCCTGGACCTGTCTGTGGTGAGGTTTGCAGGAAGACACGTCCCCTGTGCATTGAATACCGACGTCCACTGTCTGCACCTGACCTGCGACCGGGGCGTTAGCAGGACCTGGACCTGTCTGTGGTGAGGTTTGCATGGAGTCACATCCCCTGTGCATTGAATACCAGCGTCCACTGTCTGCACCTGACCTGTGACTGGGATGTTAGCAGGGCCTGGGCCTGTCTGTGGTGAGGTTTGCATGAAGTCATGTCCCCTGTGCATTGAATACCGGCGTCCACTCTCTGCACCTGACCTGCGACTGGGGCGTTAGCAGGGCCTGGACCTGTCTGTGGTGAGGTTTGCATGGAGTCACGTCCCCTGTGCATTGAATACCAGCGTCCACTGTCTGCACCTGACCTGTGACCGGAGCGTTAGCAGGGCCTGGGCCTGTCTGGGGTCAGTTCTGCTGGGAGCCCACATCCCCCCTGCATTAAATACCAGTGTCCACTGTCTGCACCTGACCTGTGACCGGGGCATTAGCAGGGCCTGGGCCTGTCTGGAGTCAGTTCTGCAGGGAGCACATGTCCCCTGTGCATTGAATACCAGTATCCACTGTCTACACCTGACCTGTGACCGGGGCGTTAGCAGGGCCTGGGCCCGTCTGTGGTGAGGTTTGCATGGAGTCACGTCCCCTGTGCATTGAATACCGGCGTCTACTGTCTGCACCTGACCTGTGACCGGGGCGTTAGCAGGGCCTGGGCCTGTCTGTGGTGAGCTCTGCTGGGAGCCCACATCCCCTGTGCATTGAATACCAGCGTCCACTGTCTGCACCTGACCTGTGACCGGAGCGTTAGCAGGGCCTGGGCCTGTCTGGGGTCAGTTCTGCTGGGAGCCCACATCCCCCCTGCATTAAATACCAGTGTCCACTGTCTGCACCTGACCTGTGACCGGGGCATTAGCAGGGCCTGGGCCTGTCTGGAGTCAGTTCTGCAGGGAGCACATGTCCCCTGTGCATTGAATACCAGTATCCACTGTCTACACCTGACCTGTGACCGGGGCGTTAGCAGGGCCTGGGCCCATCTGTGGTGAGGTTTGCAGGGAGACACGTCCCCTGTGCATTGAATACCGGCGTCCACTGTCTGCACTGGACCTGTGACTGGGGTGTTAGCAGGGCCTGGGCCTGTCTGTGGTCAGCTCTGCTGGGAGCCCACGTTCCCTGTGTGTTGAAGGTTTTCATCCTCTATCTGTACCTGACACTCACCAGGGCGTTAGCAAAGCTGGGCTCATCTTTTTGCGGGTGCGTTTGATCTTCCTTAGTGAACGCTCACGTCTCCTCTTCTGAAGCTTGCCTGAGATTACGTCGGTCGTGGTCATCATCCATAGAACCTCCTCCTGGTCCCTCCTGCTTTTCTCATAGAACAAAGTAGGGCTGCCCCACAAATCTAAATAAATAAAAGAGAAAGGAACTCAGAAGACAATCTCTCCAGGGCTCCCTCTACCTGCAGGACGGGGTGATGCCGAAAACGTGTCTTCCCGCGAATTTGCAGCGTCCAGCTCAGCCCAGGGGCAGCGCAAGAGGGAGGGGCCCACATCACCCTGGACTGTGTCCATCATCTCCCTTGGCTGCTGGCCAGGCTCAGAACAACAAGGAGAGCTGGCCTTGGCTCTCTCGTTGCCTCTTTTATATGGGACCAGGCCCTGCCTTCCAGGTGGTGTCCCCACTGTCCTCAATGCTCAGTCATCAGAAACACTGCAACCTTGGGGAACTCAAAAGGAAAGGTGTGGTGTCCCCATGGGGATCCCTGCCCCAGCCCAGTACCCCTCATAGCAATAGCCAAGGGCAGCGCATCTCCATCAGCTCCAGGGAAGGGATGGAGGCCTTGGAGGTCGCCCTCCCAAATGCACAATGGCAGAACATACATTTCCTTTTGTACAGGTGTATTAGTCACGGTTCTCTAGAGAAGAGAACTAAAGGAGAGACATAAATATATATACTATGAGAGACAGAACTCTTATTTATATATATATATACACTATTAGACGTATATATCTATTCTGTATATATACATTCTGCAGTTATATATAGTTATATATATAACTATACATATATTATATATCACTATATATAGTTATATATATAACTATACATATATTATATATATCACTATACATAGTTATATATATAACTATACATATATTATATATATCACTATATATAGTTATATATAAATATATATTTAAATATATATTATATATTATATATAGTTTATATATAGTTATATATAAATATATATATTTAAATATATATTATATATTATATATAGTTTATATATAGTTATATATAAATATATATTTAAATATATATTATATATTATATATGTTTATATATAGTTATATATAAATATATATATTTAATATATATTATATATTATATATAGTTTATATATAGTTATATATAAATATATATATTTAATATATATTATATATTATATATAGTTTTAACACTATATATAGTTATATATTTATATTTAACACTATATATAGTTATATATAGTTATATATAACTATATATATTTAAATATATATTATATATTATGTAGTTTATATACAGTTATAGTTTTAACATTATATGTATATTACTATGTAGTTATATATAGTTTTATATAGTCTTATATATAGTTTTATAGTGTAGTTTTATATATAGTTTTACATAAAACTATATATGTAGTTTTACATATATAAAACTATAACTATATATTTTTACATATATGTATAGATATGTAAATGTAACTATATATGTTACACATAGTTTTATATGTTATAGATATATATTTATATATAGTTTTACATATATGTATATATAAATATAACTATATATAGTCATATATAGTTTTATATATGTAAAACTGTATATAGTTATACAGTTTTATATATAAACTATGTAGTTATATATAGTTTATATATAAATATCTATATATAACACTATGTATCATTCTATATATAAAACTATATATATAGTTCTCTATCTATCTTTCCATCTATCTGTCTATCTTTCTATCTATCTATCTACCTATCTTTCTATCTTTCTATCATCTATCTATCTATCTACCTACCTACCTATCTATCTTTCTATCTATCTATCTAAAGGAGAGTTTATTAAGCAGCATTAACTGACATGGTCACAAGATTCCACCACGGGCCATCTGCAGGCTGAGGAGTAAGGAGCAGCAGTCCAAGTCCCCAAGGGGAAGAACTTGGAGTCCGATGTTCGAGGGCAGGAAGCCTCCAGCAATGGGAGAAAGATGTAGGCTCGGAGGCTAAGCCAGTCTAGCCTTTTCACGTGTTTCTGCCTGCTTTATATTCTGGCCCTGCTGGCAGCTGATGAGATAGTGCCCACCCAGATTAAGGGTGAGTCTGCCTTTCCCGGCCCCGTGACTCAAATGTTAATCTCCTTTGGCAACACGCTCACGGTGACACTCAGAATCGATACTTTGCATCCTTCAATCTGATCCTGTTGACACACAGTATTACCCATCACAAAAGGTGTCTCCCTCCCATACCAGGAAGAGGAGCATGGCTCTTTTATTTTATTATTTTTTTTTTGAGACGGAGTCTGGCTCTGTCACCCAGGCTGGAGTGCAGTGGCGTGATCTCGACTCACTGCAAGCTCCGCCTCCCAGGTTCACACCATTCTCCTGCCTCAGCCTCCCGAGTAGCTGGGACGACAGGTGCCCGCCACCACGCCTGGCTAACTTTTTTGTATTTTTAGTGGAGACGGCGTTTCACTGTGTTAGCCAGGATGGTCTCGATCTCCTGACCTTGTGATTCACCCCCTTGGCCTCCCAAAGTGCTGGGATTACAGGCGCGAGCCACTGCGCCTGGCCGAGCATGGCTCTTAATTATTTCAGATGACACGTGTCATGGAGAAGGCATCAAAGCTGATGAAATCACCCTTATCTTCCATTTCTTTCCCAAAGATATGTAGCTTCCCACAATGTACCACCCCTGGAAGTCCATAATTTTTTTTCCCTTTGCCTAGGTAATCCTCCAGGAATTCATCATCCTTTGTTAAGATGGTATATAAAACCCTGCTTATGTACCATCAGGTGTTCAGACCTCAGGTGGGGAGGGTACCTGTAGGTGGTGAGGTGTTCAGATCTCGGGTGGGGAGGGTCACTGCAGGTGGTCAGGTGGTCAGATCTTGGGTGGGGAGGGTCTCTGCAGGTGGTCAGGTGTTTAGATCTCAGGTGGGGAGGGTCTCTGCAGGTGGTCAGGTGTTTAGATCTCAGGTGGGGAGGGTCCCTGCAGGTGGTCAGGTGTTTAGATCTCAGGTGGGGAGGGTCCCTGCAGGTGGTCAGTTGTTTAGATCTCAGGTGGGGAGGGTCCCTGCAGGTGGTCAGGTGTTCAGATCTCAGGTGGGGAGGGTCACTGCAGGTGGTCAGGTGTTCAGATCTCAGGTGGGGAGGGTCCCTGCAGGTGGTCAGTTGTTTAGATCTCAGGTGGGGAGGGTCTCTGCAGGTGGTCAGGTGTTCAGATCTCAGGTGGGGAGGGTCCCTGCAGGTGGTCAGGTGTTTAGATCTCAGGTGGGGAGGGTCACTGCAGGTGGTCAGGTGTTCAGATCTCAGGTGGGGGAGGGTCACTGCAGGTGGTCAGTTGTTTAGATCTCAGGTGGGGAGGGTCTCTGCAGGTGGTCAGGTGTTTAGATCTCAGGTGGGGAGGGTCCCTGCAGGTGGTCAGGTGTTTAGATCTCAGGTGGGGAGGGTCACTGCAGGTGGTCAGTTGTTTAGATCTCAGGTGGGGAGGGTCTCTGCAGGTGGTCAGGTGGTCAGATCTCAGGTGGGGGAGGGTCACTGCAGGTGGTGAGGTGGTCAGATCTCAGGTGGGGACGGTCACTGCAGTTGGTGAGGTGTTCAGATCTCAGGTGGGGAGGGTCCTGCAGGTGGTCAGTTGTTCAGAACTTGGGTGCAGGACAGGTTACTCCAGTACCACCTGGCTACTTCTTAGCCCCAGCTCCTGGATCACAGGTAGATGCTGGCACCTGTCCTGTGACCTCGCAGTACAAAAAGGAAGAAGGAATTTGACGGTTTTGACTGGTCCTGACAGATCCCAGCCTCAGGCCAGGCCGACCTCCCTCAATCCACCTTTGCAACCAGGTTCAAGAGCAGAGAGGCAGCTCTTAGCTGACTTCCCACAATGGCAGAATCAATTGTGGATGCTGCAGCAATTTTCTGCCCTACAAAGATCAACGATATCCACCCTTTCTCTTCTCAACCTTCTCCCAGACCCAAAAATCCAGACTCCAAAAAATATCCTTCTCTACATGAGCACATTCCTTTGAAACAGAGACACCAAGTAGGGAGGCTGAACCATTTTTATGGATCACAGGGAACCTCGAACCAGAGGAAGACAAAAGCATTTTTGTCTCTAAACAGCTTGGTGGTTTCTCAAAAGGCTAAACATGAAGCTACCCTAAAGCCGGCCATTCAACTCCTGGGTACGTACCAAAAAGAACTGAAAACGGATGTTCAAACAAAAACCTAGACACAAATGTTCATAGCAGCATGACTCACAATGACCCAAAGCTGGAAACAACCCAGGAGTCCATTGGCAGTTGAACGGGTAAACAGAATATGGTCCATCCAGACAGTGGAATATTATACAGCCATGAAAAAGAACAAAGCTCTGACACTGGCTGAAGTGTGGAAGAACCTTGAAGACATCATGCTCAGTGACAGAAATCGGACATCAAAGGACAAATATTGGAGGATTCCATTACATAAACGTGTCCAGAAGAGGCAAATCCAGAGAGACAGAAAGCACATTGTGCAGAATCATGCCATGTGGTGTCAAAAACAGAGAATAGAAAGCACATTGGAGCTTCCCGGGAAAGGGGGAGGGGAATGGGAGTGACTGCTTAAAGGGTACAGGGTCACCTTTTGGGTACTGAGAAGGTTGTGGTACTAGATAGAGGTGGGGATTGCATGATGTTCTGAATGTCCTCAATGCTCCTGAATTGAGCACTATAAAATTTCATGTTATGTGAATGTCATCTTAATTTTTTAAAGGGAGAGAGAGCTATATACTTACCACCCATTGGAAGCTAAATGTGCCACACAGAATCACTGAGCATGTTTAGGCAGGCAAGAATAAGAAATTATATATATAATATATTTATATTATACTATATATATAGTATACAATATATAGTATGCTAATGTATATATATTTATATTATACTGCATAGTATATAATATACAGTATACTAATGTATATATAATATATTTCCATTATGCTATATAGTATATAATATATAGTATACTAATGTATAAATAATATATTTATATTATACTATGTATAGTATATAATATATAGTATACTAATGTATATATAATATATTTATATTATACTATATATAGTATATAATATATAGTATACTAATGTATATATAATATATTTATATTATACTATGTATAGTATATAATATATAGCATACTAATATATATAATATATTTATATTATACTATGTATAGTATATAATATATAGTATACTAATGTATATATAATATATTTATATTATACTATGTATAGTATATAATATATAGTATACTAATGTATATAATATATTTATATTATACTATGTATAGTATATAATATATAGTATACTAATGTATATAATATATTTATATTATACTATGTATAGTATATAATATATAGTATACTAATGTATATAATATATTTATATTATATTATGTATAGTATATAATATATAGTATACTAATGTATATATAATATATTTATTATACTATATAGTATATAATATATAGTATATTAATGTATATACAATATATTATATAGTATGTACATATATTTATATATAATATATAAAGCTGTATAATATATAATTATATGATATATAGCTTAAAATATTATTACAATATATCATATACAATTATATATTGTATAGCTTTATATATTATATATTATATGTTAATATATTATAATATATGATATAAAAGATTGTATATTATTTGAAGGTATATAATGTATAATATATGATATATATTATAACATATATTATATTATATATTATATACCTAAATATATTATATTATTATAATACAATATATAATTATATATTATGTAGCTTAATATATTAAGTATTATATTAATATATTGTATACATTAATATACAATATAATATATGTTATATAATATATTATGTATTTATATATTGTATACATCAATATATTATATAATACATTTATATATTATATACATTAATATACATTATATATTATATACATTAATATAATATATATTTGTATTATATAATACATGTATATATTATATATACATTAATAAACTATGTAGTGATATATTTACATGTTATATATTATAGATACATTAATATACTATGTAATAATATAGTATATAATATATATTCAACGACTATGTATAAGAAACTATATATAGAAATATATATAGAAACTATATAGTATATATGTATATATACCAGTATACTGTATATATACATTATATACTGTATATATACAGTATACTGGTATATATACAGTATACTGGTATATATACATATATACTGTATATATACATTATATATGTATAGATAATATATAACATGTAAATATATCACTACATAGTGTGTGTGTATACATATATATAAAAATATATATATATTTTCTTATATATAGTTCAGTGGCATTTGGTGATTTTTTTTTCCCATTGAGCAAACTCCGTGTATATCTTTGCCTAAAAATAAGTTGCTCAAATTTATAACAAGAGATATAAACAGATTAACCTACGACACTGGACCCACTTGCCTGACACACACACACACACACGCACACACACACACACACACGCAGGTGACCCCAGGTTGGAACTTTTCCCAAAACTGACGTTCACAGTGTCATAGGTTGAGTCAAGTCCTGTTGTTGATAATCAGGTGTGGGGCAGGGAGTCACCCCCAGGCTGCCCTGGCACTTCCATTGTGTGGGTTACGATCACTGCCGCCACCTTCTAAAAGAGACGCGGGCAGATCACGTAGGAACCTGGTAAAGCTCACGGCTGTGGCAGAGACCCACAATTCAGAACCAATGCACTCCAGCCCGGGTAGTGATGGCTCGGCCATAGCAAGTAGGGTCATACGATAATATGAACCGTTCTGCTGGGGATCTTTCTGGCTTCCCCAAATCGACTCTTTCTCTGCACAAACTCCACTCTTTCCCCAAGTAGCTGACATTTAGCACAAGTTGGACCAAAAGCTGTTCCCAAATCCTTCTTATCCGCCTTTACAATGTATGTCAGCAGAGACCATCAGCAAAGGGGAAAAAAAAATACAAGTTGATTTTACACTCACACACACACACACACACACACACATATACATACACACGATAATGAGATCCAAGCTTTTAAAGGCAATAATTATACCATTTCCAAACACCCCCATCGCGACAGCCCCGCGATGATCAAAATTCCTTTCCTCCAATTTAAAAAGAAAATTTCTCTCTGTGGAGATGGCCAACACAGACGTTACATGTTCTGCGACCCAGAGTTCCACTTCATGGCAAAGGTGATGAGGATCGCTTGCTCCCTGATGGATGACTGTGAGGCTGTTTCACTTATATTGACCTTGTAATAAATAATCAGGTCATGTTACAGCAATTTATTTGCTTGGCGGAATGGCTGTTACATGGTGGTTCAAATTATGATGATGGGGAGTGGCCACTTGGCCCCTAATGGCAGGCTTGGTAAACATCCAGGTCTTTCCCTGCTATTGTTCTGATAAAATGGTTAAGAAGTCTAAATCCTTAATAGCTGCAAAGACAGAAAAAGAGAGGAAGAAGGCGATTAGGTTAGACCCTTAAATCCTCTCAGCCATCTGACTGATGGCCGTGGTCCAAATGTCCCAGAAAGAAACAGAGGTCACAATTGTATTTTTCTGACCCCTCATCTGGTTCCATTTGTTTTTCTTCCTCCCTTAGGATTGAGACGGGGTTTCTCCACGACTTTGGAATCCGGTTTATGGGAGGACTTGATGCAGATGAAGTAAAATGGTTCTTCCATGAGACATCGGCATGAATTTGGCAGGTGGGCAAGTTCTGTGTCTCTACTCAGTACAAACCATGCAGGCTTGAAGGTAATATTAAGAAGACAACGTTAGGGAAGTATGCCAACCTCTTTGCAGAAAAGAACTTCTCCTGAAATGTAAAAAACTGCAGAAAAAACAAACCAGACTACCAAAAGGGGATGTTTTAGCCATTCTCTGCTCTCACTAGGGGGAAAAAAAAAGAAAAGCTATCATTGGGCACTTTTCCAAATAAAACAAAATTTCAGTCAAAATATTTAGCAGTAGGGTGCACTTGGTCAAAAGAAGTCGACTGTTGACCCGGTGCGGTGGCTCATGCCTGTCATCCCGGCTGACGCCTGTCATCCCAGCACTTTGGGAGGCTGAGGCAGGTGGATCACCTGAGGTCAGGAGTTTGAGACCAACCTGGCCAACATGATGAAACCCCATCTTTGCTAAAAATAGAAACTTCAGCTGGCCGTGGTGGTGTGAACCTGTAATCCCAGCTACTCCCGAGGCTGAGACAGGAGAATTGCTTAAACCCAGGAGGCGGAGGTTGCAGTGAGCTGAGATGGTGCCATTGCATTCCATCCCGGGCCACAGAGCAAGACCCCATCTCAAAAACAAAAAACAAACAAACAAACAAACAAAGAAGTCAACTCTTTTAAAAACATTGGTGGAATGAACAGAAAAACGTGAAATAGCAATGACTCCATAAGAGATGCCCCAATTTAATTAGCCTTCTTAAAACTAAAGTGTGGCCAGTAAAACTCGTAAGTGGAATCTCGGTTAATCAAATGTGTCAAGTGAATCAAATAACCCACTTCTTTATTTAATCACATGAGGTTCCATCTGTCATATTATACTAAGAAGGTGTGGCATATTAAAATATTAATTATCTGGTGGGAGTGTAAATTAGTTCAACCATTGTGGAAGACAGTATGGTGATTCCTCAAGGATCTATAACTAGAAATACCATTTGACCCAGCCATCCCATCACTGGGTATATACCCCAAGGATTATAAATCATTCTACTATAAAGACACATGCACACGTATGTTTATTGTGGCACTGTTCACAATAGCAAAGACTTGGAACCAACCCAAATGTCCATCAATGATACACTGGATAAAGAAAATGTGGCACATAGACACCATGGAATACTATGCAGCCATAAAAAAGGATGAGTTCATGTCCTTTGCAGGGACATGGGTGAAGCTGGAAACCATCATTCTCAGGAAACTCACACAGGAACAGAAAACCAAACACCGCATGTTCTCACTCCTAAGTGGGAGCTGAACAATGAGAACACATGGACCCAGGGAGGGGAACATCACACACCGGGGCCTGTTGGGGGGTGGGGAACTGGGGGAGGGAGAGCATTAGGAGAAACACCTAATATAGATGACAGGTTGATGGGTGCAGCAAACCACCATGGCACATGTATACCTATGTAACAAACCTGCCCGTTCTGCACATGTACTCCAGAACTTAAAGGTATAATAAGAAAAGAATTGGGGGGGCACCCAATATTCAGTCCATAGTAGACCTGTAGGCTCCCAGAATACCCAGGTGTCTTGCTTTCCTGCTTTATCCTCCAACTTTGGAGAAAGCGTAGGGTGAAGGAAGTAGTCCTTGGGAACCCAGGAAAGCATTCGGACCTGGCAGAACTCACTTCCTGGTGCCCCAATTCCAGTTTCTTACCCAGACGTTCATTGCATCCTAGCTGCTTGGTTCAGAACCGATACTCACTACTGCCCCTCAATACCCTACCCTAGCCTGGAACTGAAGACCCCAGGCAGAAGTTTGCCACCACCATACGAAGACCATCTTGATGTCTCCGGAAGAGAAGGATGTGCCAATAGGTTGTCATTTTCTAATATTTTAATTTTTTTAGTAGTTTTAGGTTCATCACAAAGAAGGCAGAGAGATTTTTCCATCTACCCTCCACCTCACACACATGCACAGCCTCCTCCATTATCAATATGCCACCAGACTGGTGCATTTGTTACACTCAGTGAACCTCCATGGACACGTAATCATCACAACAGTTCACAGTTCACGTTACAGCCCCCTCCTGGTGGGGTATATTCTGCACGTTTGGACAAACGTATAATGACGTGGACCCACCATTGTCATTTTACCCAGAGTAATTTGACTGCCCTAAAAATCCTCTGATCTCCTCCCATTCATCCCTCCCTCCCCGCAGCCCCTGATTCTTCCTCTGTTTCTGTCGTTTTGCTTTTTTCCACAGTGTCCTATAGTTGGACTCATAGACGGAGTCACCTTTTCAGACTGGTTTCTTTCACTGGGTCATAAGGAACTAAATTTCCTCTGAGAGCATGACAATTTTAAGCCATTATGATTGGGGTCATTTGTTACGCAGCATAGCTAACTATTGCAATGGCTGAAACCAGCATACCTCATTTGACCCATTAACTATTTCTAAAGACAGTTGCTAAAAAAAAAAAAAAGTGTTGTAATTCCATGTGTTTTGAGGCATTATTTTGTTGGACTGTCAACATGCCTCAACCGTCCTGTTGAAGAGAAACTGGAAGGAAGCAGGGAGCTCTCACGTTCTTAAAATTGGAGCGCTCACTGGGCTCTGTGGGGAACACTCCACAGGCACCATCTCATTTTATGTAATGACTCTAGATATGATGCACTGTCATTCCTCAACCCATGTGACAGATGAGGACACTGAGCTCGCAGGGAGGTCATACCTTGTTGAACTCTCCAACAAGTACACAGCCTAGGAAATCCAAATCCTGCTCTTGCTCAAACTCCTTGACTCCTTTCTGAAGTGTTTGTTTGTTTGTTTGTTTGTTTGTTTGTTTTTGAGACAAATTCTTTCTCTGTCGCCCAGGCTGGAGTACAGTGGTGCAATCTCAGCTCACTGCAACCCCCACCTGCCAGGTTCAAGCAATTCTTCTGCCTCAGCCTCCCGAGTAGCTGGGACTACAGGCACCTGCCACCATGCCCGGCTAATTTTTCAAAAAAAAATTTTTTTTTTGAGACAGAGTCTCGCTTTGTCACCCAGGCTGGAGTGCAGTGGTGCAATCGCGGCTCACTGCAAGCTCCACCTCCCAGGTTCACGCCATTCCCCTGCCTCAGCCTCCTGAGTAGCTGGGACTACAGAGACCTGCCACCACGCCCAGCTAATTTTTTTGTATTTTTTTAGTAGAGACTGGGTTTCACTGTGTTAGCCAGGATGGTCTCAAAGTCCTGGACTCGTGATCCGCCCGCCTTGGCCTCCCAAAGTGCTGGGATTACAGGTGTGAGCCACCGTGCCCAGCCTAATTTTTGTATTTTTAGTAGAGACGGGGTTTCACCATACTGGGCAGGCTGGTCTCAAACTCCTGATCTCATGATCCACCTGCCTCAGCCTCCCAAAGTGCTGGGATTACAGGCGTGAGCCACCGCGCCTGGCCTTTTGTTTGTTTTTTAATAGAAATTGGGTCTCGCTATGTTGCCCGGGCTAGTGTCAAACTCCTGGGCTCCCACAATCCTCCCACCTGAGCCTCCTAAAATGCTGGGATTACAGGTATGAGCCAATGCTCACCGTCTGTAATGTTCTGTGCAAACAAGCCTTGTGTGGACCCCAGGATCACTCATAACGACAACTGCCAGCAAGGAGTTGATTTTTCAGAACAAAAGGGAATTTGAAGTCTTTGAGATGAATAAGTGGAAATTCCCATATGATATACACGTTGAACAAATACGAAAACAGGTGAATCTGGCCCCAAAAGAACTGCAAATTTTAAAATGAGCAGACGCTGAAGCTTGGGTATTTTACGTTCCCACTGACCTGGGAGACGGGTCCTCACACATGGAGCCACAGCGCCTGTTTAAACAGACGCGTTCAAATGTGGTCAGTCTCCAGCCGGGATCACACAGAACACGCAGAGAGGAGCAGTCACGTCGGGTGACGTTTGGGGGTTGGCAAAAAACGTCTTCAACTGGTTTTTCAAACGTTTGGGTCTTGGCAAAGCCCAATTTAAAAAAAAATTGTGTTCTTCTTTATTTTTAAGCCCATGAGTATTTCAAGGGAAATGCAATTCACATGTCAGAAGCATTTTTATTCTGCTTGACTCCAAAGAAAGTGGGCAGGTTGACTCATTTGGGTATCAGCTGGAACCAGCTACATCAATACCCTTGTGGGAGAAGTCAGTCGTTTTTTAAACTGAAGGATGCAAGGAGTTGAACACAAAATAATTCAGTGACTCACCAGAAAAGAAAAAAAAATAGCAAGGAAATTCAGCCAGGGAAATGGAATGAGAACTCACCATACAACAACTTCAGTGTTCCTACAGAGCTTTGCTTTATCTCTGACTTGTTCCGGGCACACAGGAGGGGAAGATGAAATCAGACAAAACACAAATACCATTTCCTCACCTAAGCAGCCTTGTTCATAAAGACAGAGGGATGACAGAAAAGTAGGGAACCCAGAGCTCGTAACAATTGAGCAACATACTCGTCCCTAAAATCAGGCGAGCACGCACCAACTCCTATACACAGTTACTGCTGGATCTCTGCCTGTCCACCTGAGCTCCTGCCAATAGCCGGGCATTGCACAGGGTCCAGGGCCTGGTAGGATGGGCCCGGGATGGGTCAGGCCAGAGGTGGGTTTCTTCCAGAAAGCAGAATTGGAGGAACGTTTCTTGGACACCTTTTTTCTTGGATTACAAATAGAGACATGAGAGCCCCAAAGGGAAGAATTTCATTACTAGAGAACAGTGGCATGGAATTCACGCCAGGGAGGAGCCCTCTGGACATGAGGGAGGATCCCTTGGTTTATGAGGGAGGAGCTCTGGGTCCTCCCAGGGAGGAGGGAGGATCCCTTGGTTGATGAGAGAGGAGCTCTTAGTCCATCCAGGGAGGATGGAGGATCCCTTGGTTTATGAGGGAGGAGCTCTCAGCCCATCCAGGGAGGAGGGAGGATCCCTTGGTTTATGAGGGAGGAGCTCTCAGTCCATCCAGGGAGGAGGGAGGATCCGTTGGTTTATGAGGGAGGAGCTCTCAGCCCATCCAGGGAGGAGGGAGGATCCCTTGGTTTATGAGGGAGGAGCTCTCAGCCCATTCAGGGAGGAGGGAGGATCCCTTGGTTTATGAGGGAGGAGCTCTCAGTCCATCCAGGGAGGAGGGAAGGATCCCTTGGTTTATGAGGGAGGAGCTCTCAGCCCATCCAGGGAGGAGGGAGGATCCCTTGGTTTATGAGGGAGGAGCTCTCAGCCCATCCAGGGAGGAGGGAAGGAACCCTCGTGGGATTGTTTGTTTTATGCGCCTACTTGGCTGGGCCACGGCACCCAGATACATGGTGACATGTTATTCTGAAGGTTTCTGTGAGGGCTTTTGCTCTATCTCTATCTAGCTCTACCTCTATCTCTCTCTATCTGGACTACAGGCACCCACCATAATGCCCAGCTAATTTTTTTGTATTTTTAGTAGAGATGGGGTTTCACCATATTGGCCAGGCTGGTCTCGAACTCCTGACCTCAGGTGGTCCAACCAACTCAACCTCCCAAGGTGCCGGGATTACAGGCATGAGCCACCGTGCCTGGCCCAGAGCACGTTTTTAAATATAAGAGCACAAAGCGCTTTGGGAGACTGAGGAGGGTGGATTGCCTGAGGTCAGGAGCTCGAGACCAGCCTGTCGAACATGGTGAAACCCCGTTTCTACTAAAAATACAAAAAAAAATTAGCTGGCCATGGTGGTGCATGCCTGTAGTCCCAGCTACTCGGGAGGCTGAGGCAGGGGAATTGCTTGAACCCAGGAGGCAGAGGTTGCAGTGAGCCGAGATCACGCCACTGCACTCCAGCCTGGGTGACAAAGTGACTCAAAAAAAAAAAAAAAAAACCCACAAACGACAAACAAACAAACAACAAACAAACAAACAGGGATTTCCAAAACAATCATTCCTGTTCTAAAACTCAAAGCATTGAATGAGCTGTAGGGAAGGTGTATTTGATTTAGTTTGCTGATGTGTGCAGGACTTGGGACGGGTGCCCCTTCAGAGAGCCAAACTCAAGAGTCCCACGCAGATTCCGTTAGAAATCAATTAATCCCTGTCTGCTTGGAGACACTGCAATCATCACAGTTTATGCATAGTGCCTGCTGGTTTTATGCCTGCTAAATAAGTAGTCCCTGGGTACCCTGTAATGTGTAAACAGCATAACAAATGATCCTTTCTTCTTGCAGGCTCGATTTGCTCCTTAATTGAATCAGCGTGGCTCTGATAACAGGGAATGCTCACTTTCACTGCTGCACGCACTCATCCAATGATCCCTCTGCCCTCTTTTAAGTCCAGAACAATTTTATTTTTTCAAGCTCATGGGTTTTTTTTGGCCAACTACTGGAAACTAGACCTTTCTCACCCCCTCCTTTATCCCAGAGAAGCAAAGTAAATTTGTATTTAGGGCACCATTTTCTACCAACTCAACCATGTAGAAGGGATATACCAATTAGGGTAGGGCTGTGCCCCAAATGTAAGCTGGCTTCCCCTCTAACATAACCTTCATTCTGACGGTGGCATCTCTTCTCAGGACTCCGTTTGGCCAATTTTCTGGGTGTGGCCCAGGCTTGTACCCCCTAAAAAGAGGAGAGACAGCCAGTGCTACAAAATACTCCCCAAACGTCACATAGGCTGGGCACAGTCCCTCATTCTCATATTTGGATTTTCATGTGGGGATGGCCAAGAAAAGATTCCAAAAGCCACTCTCAGATTTTGAATGAACTAATTTTCCTGTATGCTCCTCTGGAGGGCTCTCATTTGCCAAAGAACAAAACAGGCATCTACAGAGAGTGAGTCTATCAGTAAATTTCCATCTGCTGCCCCTCCCCCCATTCAAAACTCAAAGAAACAAACACAATGTAAGTAGTATTTTTATTTGTGTGTTTGTTTTTGTTTTTCAGACAGAGTCTTGCTCTTGTCACCCAGGTTGGCGTGCAATGACGTGATCTCGGCTCACTGCAACCTCCGCCTCCTGGGTTCAAGTGATTCTCCTGCCTCAGCCTCCTGAGTAGCTGGGATTACAGTCACCTGCCACCAAGCACAGCTAATTTTTTTTTTTTTTTTTTTTTTTTTTAAGACGGAGTCCTGCTCTGTCACTCAGGCTGGAGTGCAGTGGCGCAATCTTGGCTCACCGCAAGCTCCGCCTCCTGGGTTCACGCCATTCTCCTGCCTCAGCCTCCCGAGTAGCTGGGACTACAGGTGCCCGCCACCACGCCCGGCTAATTTTTTTTTATATTTTTAGTAGAGACGGGGTTTCACCATGTTAGCCAGGATGGTCTCGATCTCCTGACCTCGTGATCCACCTGTCTCAGCCTCCCAAAGTTCTGGGATTACAGGTGTGAGCCACTGCACCTGGCCTAATTTTTGTATTTTCAGTAGAGACAGGGTTTCACCATGCTGGCCAGGCTGATCTCAAACTCCTGACCTCAGGTAATCCACCTGCCTCAGTCTCCCAAAGTGCTGGGATTACAGTCATGAGCCACCACACCCAGCCAAAATGTAGTTTTAAAAAATCTTTTAAAACACATCAAATATCTAGCAAAAACTGATACACCACCTGACCAAAATCTGTGAGAATCTTACAGGTGATTCAAGGCCTCTTTTGTCCTAGCTACATTTTCCCACCCAAAAAGAAACAGAAGAAAATTTAATATCCAATCACAATGTCCTTGTAAGGCTAGGGAAGCAAATAAGTTACCACACGAGGCATAAAGATGTAGATAACATGATGGGCTTATCAGCAAGCTCAAATGGTTTCATTCATGACTTAATGCATAAGAAAAATAATCAAACTCTTACACCCTCCTTCAGAGTATAGAAAATAAAAAGTAATTCTCATACAACTCAACAAGGACAGCATAAGAAAAGCAAAGTGCAAGGAAGCCTTGGTTTCTAAACATGAATGCACATCCTCCCAATAAGATATGAGCAAACCACATCCACAAATACGTAGGGTGAAAACACCCAAGTTGGGTTTATGTTAGGAATGCAAGGATAGTTCAACACCAATTTTCTCATGCATTTCACCACATCAAAGATGAACACGGAAAACATTTGATAAAATGCAAACACAATTAAAAAGAGCTCTTACAGAAGTAGGAACAAAATAATTTTTCTTCAATTGATAAAGAGTGTATATCAAAAATCTATAGCCCACTTTCTATTTAATGGTGAAGAGTTTAAGGTTGTTCATTGTAGATTGATGACAAGGTGTGGTGCCTAGCTAGTACCACTTCTAAGAACCACTGTGCTGTTTGTTAACACCTGGATAAAAATAAAATTAGAAGAGACATGGATTGGACAGAGATGAAATAAAACTGTTATGATTAGTAGATTATATGTCCACAAACAGAGATAGAGAGACTGAAGTGTAAAACTGCGTGTGGTAGGACCTAGAATGTCAGGGCAGAGCAGTTCCCCAAGACTCCAGGAACACATTAAAAGCAAAACCATTTAACCATCCTTAAATCCAAGAGTCCTCCCTCAGGCTGTGTCAGAAATCGGGGGTAAATCAACAAAAAAGTTGACTTCTGGGAGGTGGTTGGGGAAAAGACAGATGTCGATCAAAGGGTACAAAGTTTTTGTCAAACAGCAGAAATACGCTTAAGTGATGCATTGCAAAGCATGGTGACTATTATGAATAATAACACATTCTGTACCTCAAAATTGTGAAAAGAGTTGATTGTAAACATTCTCTCCACAAAGAAATAAGTAGGTGATGGCCGGGCATGGTAGTTCATGCCTGTAATCACAGCACTTTGAGTGACTGAGGTGGGGGGATCACTTGAGGTCAGGATTTTGAGACCAGTTTGGGCAACATAGTGAGACCCTGTCTCTACAAAAACAAAAAAACACAAGAAAAACAAAAAACAAAAAACATTAACCCAGTGTGATGGTACACACATGTAGCCCCAGCTACATGGGAGGCTGAGATGGGAGGATCACTTGAATTCAGGAGTTTGAGGCTGCAGTGAGCCATGATCGCAACAGTGCACTACAGCCAGAGCAACAGAGTGACACCTTGTCTCCACAGAATAAATAAATGCATAAAAATTAGCTGGGCATGGTGGCATGTGCCTGCAGTCTCAGCTATTCAGGAAGCTGAGGTGGAAGGACGGCTTGAGTCTAGGAGTTGGAGGCTGCAGTGAGCTACGATCACACCAGTGCCCTCCACCCTGGGCAACAGAGTGACACCTTGTCTCTACAAAAATAACAAAAAAATTAGCTGGGCATGGTGGTGTGTGCCCATAGTCTCAGCTACTTGGGAGGCTGAGGTGGAAGGATTGGTTGAGTCCAGGAGTTGGAGGCTGCAGTGAGCTACGATCACACCAGTACACTCCAGTCTGGACAACAGAGCCAGACCCTGTCTGTACATAAATAAATAGATAAATAAGTATATTTATCTTATTTAATAGGTGAGGCGATGGATATGTTAACTAGCATGATTTAATCTTTCTGTAAGTCATACATATACAAAAACCTTGCAATGTACCCCATGAATACATACAGTTATTATTTGTCAATTAAAATTTTTTAAAAGTAAAATTAAAAAAAAGAAGAGAAGGTGTAGCTCCTTTGGGTGAAACATGTCTCTATGTGTCTTTATATTTTTGGTTTCTTCCAAGTTCTCCTGAATGGAACCTGAGGAACAAAAACTATACAGACTTCAGAGGGAGAAGAGGCAAAGAGAGGTGAGAATGTGTTTGAAGCAGCTCCTCAGAGCTGTAGGACAAAAGTCCCTAGTGCAGACCTGATCAGCTTGCTGAGCTGAGGGGGTTTCTGCACAAGCAGCCTGCAGGAGATTTATGGAGATGGGGACTGAGTTTCCCCAGGAATCCCTGGTGGACAGAGCTAACAGGCACCATGAACCAGAGGTGGATGTGGTAGGCTAAGGCATGGCCCACCTCTTCAAAAATGTTCACTTCCTAACCCTGGCAACCTGTGAATTCCGTCTTATATGGCAAAGTCTTTGCAGATGAAAGATCTTCAGATGCAGAGATCATCCTGGTATATTTGGGCAGTCCGTAAACCCAGTGACAGGTGTCCTTCTAAGAGACAGCAGGGAAGACACAGACACAGAGGAGACGGCCTCGTGGAGACAGAAGCAGAGACTGGAGTGATGCGGCCACAAACACAGGGACACCTGGAGCCCCCAGGAGCTCGAAGAGGCAGGAAGGATCCTCCCCTAGAGCTTCTAAAAGGAACCAGACCAAATTGCAGTGGGTTGAATGGGGATCCCCCAAAGACATGTCCAGGTCCTAAACCTTAGAATCCGTGAATAGGACCTCATTTGGAAATAGGGTCTTTGCAGATGTGATTAAGGGAAGGATCTCAAAATGAAATCGTCTTGCATTGGAGTTGGACTCTAAATCCAATGAGGGGTGACCCCATAAGAGACAAAGAGGAGACACAGACACAGAGGAGGCCACGTGGAGATGGAGGCAGAGACTGCAGAGAGGCGGCCACAAACCCAGGGATGCCTGGAGCCCCCAGAAGCTGGGAGAGGCAGGAAGGACCCTCCCCTAGAGCCTCCAGAGGAAGCATGGTCCTGAGACCCCTTGATCTCAAACTCCTGGTCTCCAGGACTGGGAGAGAATAAATTCCTGTTGTTTTAACGTTGTCCTTTGTTACAACTGCAGAAGCAAACGCAGAGGGTAAAATTGTCATTAAGCACGTGTGAGTCACTGAACAGACAGGGTTCATTTCCTCAGCTCCTATCTTGCTACCTGGACCTCCAAGGAAGCAGAATATGTTCACAGTGGGAATTCCTACCCTGTTACCATTCGAGCATGGGGTACTTGGGATAGAGGATGCCGTACATGGCACATTTTTAAATTTTATTTTATATATATATATATATATATATTTTGAGATAGAGTCCCACTCTGTCGCCAAGGCTGGAGTGCAGTGGCATGATCTCGGCTCACTGCAAGCTCCGCCTCCCGGGTTCATGCCATTCTCCTGCCTCAGCCTCCCTAGCAGCTGGGACTACAGGCGCCTGCCCCCAAGCCCGGCTAATTTTTTGTATTTTTAGTAGAGATGTGGTTTCACTGTGTTAGCCAGGATGGTCTCGATCTCCTGACCTCATGATCCACCCGCCTCAGCCTCCCAAAGTGCTGGGATTATAGGCGTAAGCCACTGCACCCGGCCATTTATTTATTTATTTATTTACTTATTTATTTATTTATTAATTATTGTTTTAGAGATGGAGTTTCACTCTGTCACCCAGGCTGAAGTGCGGGGGCGCGATCTCTGCTCACTGCAACCTCCGCCTCCTGGGTTTAAGCGATTCTCCTGCCTCGGCCTCCCAAGTAGCTGGGATTACAGGCATCCGCCACCACGCCTGGCTAGTTTTTATATTTTTAATAGAGACGGGGTTTCACCATGCTGGCCAGGCTGGTCTTGAACTTCTGACCTCAGGTGATCCACCCGCCTCTGCTTCCTAAAGTCTTAGGATTACAGGCGTGAGCCACCGTGCCTGGCACATATATCCGTTAAAATGTATATGTAATATTTTCTTCAAAGCAACACATTGCAAAACTATTCAAGTAACTCAGAAGGAACTGTGATTAAAATACAACCGTCCCCATCCACGCGTCCTCCATCCCATTTTATGATCTTCAGCATCTCACCTCTTCATAAGAAGTGCACTTTTTAATTTTTTATTTTAATTTTTTTTTTTTTAGACAGAGTCTCACTCTGTAGCCCAGGCTGGAGTACACTGGGGTAATCTCGGCTCACTGCAACTTCCGCCTCTGGGTTCAGGCGATTCTCCTGCCTCAGCCTCCCAAGTAGCTGGGATTACAGGCATGCGCCGCTAGGCCCAGCTAATTTTGTATATTTAGTAAAGATGGGGTTTCACCGTGTTGGCTAGGCTGGTCTCGAACTCCTGACCTCAGGTGATCCACCCACCTTGGCCTCCCAAAGTGCTGGATTACAGAAAGAGAGAAAGAGAGAGAGAGAGAGAGAGACAGACAGAAAGAAAGAAAGAAAAAAGAAAAAGAAAGCAAGAAAGAGAAAGAAAGAAAGGAAGGAAAGAAAGAAAACAAAGAAAGAAAGAAAGAAAACAAACAAACAAAGAAAGAAAGAAAGAAAAGAAAGGAAGGAAGAAAGGAAGGAAGAAAGAAAGAAAGAAAGAAAGAAAGAAAGAAAGAAAGAAAGAAAGAAAGAAAGGAAGGAGGGAGGGAGGAAGGAAGGAAAATGGAGGAATGAAGGTAGGAAAAAGGGAAGGGAAGGAGGGAGGAACTGAGGGAGGAAAATGGAATAAAGGAGGGGAGGAAGTAAGAAAGGAAGGGAGAAAACGAAGGAAGGAAAGGAAGGATGAAAGGAACAAAGAAAGGAAGGGAGGGAGAGGAAGGAAGGGAAGGGGGAGAGGGAAGAGGAAAGAGAAAAAGAAAGAAAATAGAAGAGGGAAAATAAGGGAAAAAATACTTGTAGGCTGCTGGGTCAGAGGCCTGTTGAGGAACCGATTTACCACATTCTCCAAGGACAAGATGGCTTTTGTAAATGCCTTATGGAAATTAGTCCTTAGCACACAAGACATAAATCTTAATATTAAGATGATTTACCTCACCTTTCCTGCCATGTATGCTCCGTAAATTAGGCCCATAAATGCCATTTGCTTTGCCACTAGCTGAAGACAATTGAACAGACTCTTCTGCACACACAGAGTCCCATTCCCTCATTCCCCGTTTTCTTTCTCATTTCTCCCTGATCCATGCCACCAGTCACAGCACCCGGGGGCACCCGCACGCTGACTGCCCTGACCCAACATGTGGGCCTGGTCAGTAGGGTCTAGGAAAAAAAAAATTCATTATTTATGAGTGCCAACAAAACTCTTTCATGGTTCTGCAATTCGAAACACATGTTCCTGGAAGTCTCCAGCCATTTGCGGAATATCATTAGTCGATGCTGAGAATTCGGCTGCAAATGAATGCTGGTTTCCAGCACCTCGGATCTGACTGCATTTATATCTCAAGAAAGAAAGGAACGAGGGTTTTCTTTTTACAACGTTCCCACATGTTCTCTCTGAGACACCTCACGCTAATAATTCATTCCTCTGCACCGCTGTGTAAAAAGAAACGTGGAAATCAGAACTGGGGTGTTGGAGCTGCACCAAGAACTTTTCCTTGATGGTTGATGCCCCAACACGGACCAGGTGCTGGCTGTCACCGACAACCAGAAGGACAAGCCTTGGTCTCAGGTCACTCCTTCCTGTCACTCATCAGGAAGTGTGTCTTGTTCTTGGACTTCCCAGCCTCCAGAACTATGAGCAAATACATTTCTGTTCCTTATAAATTACCCAGTCCCTGGTAGTCAGTTGTAGCAGCACAGAACAGACTAAGACAGACAATTCCTCCTTAGGAAAGGTTCTCCCATGCAGAGGAACTTGGTCACCTGACTCATGCCCCCCTCTCTCTTTCTCTGAGGATAGATTGAGCCATCTCATCACCCACTATTTTTTTTTTTTTTTTTTTGAGACGGAGTCTCGCTCTGTCGCCCAGACTGGAGTGCAGTGGCACAATCTGGGCTCACTGCAACCTCTGCCTCCCAGATTCAAGTGATTCTCCTGCCTCAGCGTCCTGAGTAGCTGGGACTAGAGGCGTACACCACCACACCTGGCTAATTTTTCGTATTTTTAGGAGAGACAGGGTTTCACCATGTTAGCCAGGATGGCCTCGATCTCCTGACCTCGTGGTCTGCCCCCCTTGGCCTCCCAAAGTGCTGGGATTACAGGCATGAGCCACCACATCCAGCCGACCCACTTTTAATGTCTAAGCTCTCCCCCATTTTTCCTTTCCTTGGGGAAATGAGTTTCTCTTCTGGCCATTTTTCACCCATTCTAAGCTGCATAGAAAATGTCAGCCAGTGCAGTAATCCCGCTGCTGAATATGTACCCAAGATAAATTAAATCAACACTTTATAGAGCTATCTTCACTCTCCTGTGCATTGCAGCACTATTTGCAATAGCTAAGATATGCAGTGAACCCAAATGCCTATCCATGAATGAAAACAGAAAATGTAATATATGTACACAATGGAATAGTATTTGGCCTTAAAAAAAGAGTCTGGGTGTGGTGGCTTATGCTTATAATCTCAGCACTTTGGGAGGCTGAGGCAGGAGGGTCACTTGAGTCTAGAAGTTCAAGACCATCCTGAGCAACATAGTGAGACCCCATGTCTACAAAAATTTTTTTTAAAAACTAGCTGGTCATGGTGGCACCTGTGGTCCCAGCTACTCAGAAGGCTGAGGTGGGAAGGTTGCTTGAGCTCAGAAGTTCCAGGCTGCAGTGAGCTGAGATTGAACCACTGGACTCCAGCCTGGGTAACAGAGTGAAACCTTGTCTCAAACAATAAAAATGAAAATAAAGGAAATCCTGCTATTTGCAGCAACACCAATGAGCCTGGAAGATACGGTGTCAAGTGAAATAAGCCAGACATTGAAAGACAAATACTACATGGTCTCACTCATATCCAAAATCTAAAAACATCAAACTCAACCAATCAGAAAGCAGAATGGTGGGTACCAGAGGCTGGCTGTGGTGGATGGAGAGATGTTAGTCAAAGGGTGCAAGATTTTAATCAGACGAGAAGAATAAGTGCAGGAGGTGTATTATGCAGCATGGTGACTGTAGTTAATAATAATGTATTGCCTACTCTTGAAAATTATGAGAGAGTAGATATTAAATGTTCTCACCACAAAAATGTGATGAGTATACGAGCTCATTCATATGTGAATTAGTGCCATTGAGCCATTCCACAATGTATCCATATTTCAAAACACATTGCACACAACAAAGACAATTTTTTATTTCTCAATGGAGTGAACTAATTAATTAAATGAATGTTGTTTAAAGAGAGAGAGAGAAATCCACCCATGGCTTACTCCAATGGAGGTGTATTATGCAGCATGGTGACTGTAGTTAAGAACAATGTATTGTCTACTTTTGAAAATTACTAGAGAGTAGATATTAAATGTTCTCACCACAAAAATAGGATGAGTATACAAGCTCATTCATATGTGAATTAGTGCTATTGAGCCATTCCACAATGTATCCATATTTCAAAACACATTGCACACAACAAAGACAATTTTTTATTTCTCAATGGAGTGAACTAATTAATTAAATGAATGTTGTTTAAAGAGAGAGAGAGAGATCCACCCATGGCTTACTCCAATGGTTCTTTGCAATGGTTATCTCTAAACATTAGGCTTGACCCTGTTTGTTCTAGAATCACTCTCTTTCCTTAAAGTCTTTGCCTCTGATTTTTTTTTCTTTCATATATTTATTTCCTCTCCCTAAACACTAGTACTTTATGTTTGTACTTTCTCTTGGAAAAAGAAAAGCATAGAGAAAGCTACCATATTATTCCAAATGGCTCTGTCACTCCAGGGGCAACCTAGCCAACCCTCTCTGAAATCCATGCCTGCATTTACTTTCATCTGCCATCTTTCTTTGTAAATTTTTGCTCACAATTCTCTTTCTTGTCCTCTGATTCTTTATATTTTCAAATTTTCTGTCTTCCATGCACCATCAGTACTTTCCTATAGACACTTTTCAGGGTGCAGATTCAAGCCTGTGCCCTAAATTGTTTTGGGAATTGTCTGAGGCCAATATCATGTTGCCTTCTTTTTGTCTGCTCACACCACTTTCCAAGTTTGAGGTCAGGGGCTGCTGGGGGAGACCTGGTCTTACATGCTTGTGCTGTCTCCTGTGTGCTGAAGTGTCTCCTCTTCAAAATGAAATATTCTCAAACACCACAAGCCCTTGCTAGCCCTTCCTGTCTTAGTCTGTTTTTTGCTGCCATAACAGACTACCAGGAACTGGGTAATTTATAAAGAAGAGACATTTATTTTCTCACTGTTCTGGAGTCTGGGAAGTCCAAGACCAAGGCACCATCATCTGGTGAGGACCTTCTTGCTGTGTCAGCCCATGGAGAAAAAGCAAAGAGAGGAGAGAGAGAGACAGCAAGAGGGGGCCAAACTTATTCTTTTAGAAAGAGAGAAAGAGAGTGAGAGGGGCTCAAACTCATTCTCTCACAGGGAACTCACTCTTTCCATAACAGCATTAAACCATTCACGACAGCAGAGCCCTCATGGACTGATGGCCTCTTAAACGTCTCACCTCTCAACACTGTTGCAATAGCAATTACATTTCAACATGCATTTGAGAGGGGAGAAATACGCAAACCATAGCTCTTGCAAACCCTGGAAGTCAATCGTAACATCTATGGTGCAATCAGAGATTTGTATTGCTCCATGTCCATGACATATTGCAAATAATATGAGTTTTTGTCTTTACATTCTCAGGAGGGGTTTCTCTATGTTCTGCACGGTGAGGCAGAAATTGCTCATTTACTTATAAACCACATGATGCTCACTGGCTTTCATGCAGTTCCCTGAGCCAGCAGCCACCTCCAACTCAGTGTTATTTCTCCCTGCATTGACTGTTTCCCAAGAAACTCAAGGGAATGACTCACCCCTTTTTCTTCCATTCCTCCCATGATGTCATCATCTTTCCCCTTCTTCTCGCTTCTCAGTTCCTAGGATACTTTTATATTCATTGTGTTCTGATAGAGCTCTGGAATTTGGGAGGCTTGAGGTTGAGGTGAGGAGAAGAGATAAAGAGGTCTAATCTCAGAGCATCCTGTCCTATAATTTTGGCTTAGAAATGACGCCCAAGGGAGTTGAACATCAATGACCCCAGAAATCAGGTTGCATCTACCACTCAGCATTTCTCATCTCTTTTAACAGAGCTGTAAAACTGGTTTCCAGCCTGGAAACCAGTTTGTGATGTTGTTTTTCTTTTATTTTTTAGAGACAGATTCTTACTCATCACCCAGGATGGAATTTGGCCCCCTCTTCCTTTCTCTCTCTCTGCCTCTGTCTCTGTCTCTCTCTTTCTCCGCTCTTTGCTCTTTCTCCATGGGCTGACACAGCAAGAAGTTCCTCACCAGATGATGGTGCCTTGGTCTTGGACTTCCCAGCCTCCAGAACTGTGAGAAAATAAATGTCTGTCTTTATAAATTACCCAGTTCCTGGTAGTAAATCACAGCAGAACAAAACAGGAAAGTTTGACAGGATTATCAAAACTGGTTTCCAGCCTGGCATGGTGGCTCACACCTACAGTCCACAGCCCTTTGGAAGGCCAAGTTGGGAGGGTCATTTGATCCCAGGAGTTGGAGACCATCCTGGGCAACACAACAAGACCCAATCTCTACAAAAAGTTTTTTAAAATTAGGCAGGCATGGTGGTGTCACCTGTAGTCCCAGCTACTTGAGAGACTGAGATGGGAAGATCACTTGAGCCCAGGAGTTCGAGGCTACAGTGAGCCATGATTGTACCACTGCACTCCAGCCTGGGTGACAAGCAAGAACCTGTCTCTAAAAAATAAAAAATGACATCACAAACACACATAAAAACTCCCCGTGGTTTTTCTATCATTAGTATCCCTTCAGCAAGCAGGGTTTATTGCATGAAGTTAGTGACTTGAAGATAAACGAGATGTGCGTCGTGTCCCCTGAGTGGCAAATAGTTTAAAAAAAATAAAAAGAATTACACAAAATAGAAAATAAAATTAACAATGACTTCCTGATGAAATGAGCAGATTCTCTAAGGAAAAGGGGATTTATAGGAGGATTTAGATATTCATCCCTCTCCCTAAGACCCACACGTGATTCCGCTGACATTGATTTTGTCCCTGACTCTATGACATTCAGGAACAACCAGCGCTGCCTGACTGCAGGAATCTGGAAAGGTTTATCTTCCCATGGGCCTGAGCTTTGTGATGCCTGTGATCACCCTGATGGACATGGGACCCCAAAGTGTGCCACGCCACGTGGGTGCCATGGTTTGGGAGGGAGGGTCTGTGGATGAGTGTGTTTTGTTTTCCATCGAAGTGAAATGCACGTAACCTAAAATTAACCATTCACCATGATAAAGTGCACACAATTCAGTAACTCTGAGTGCTTTCATTACGTTGTACAACCACCACCTCCATCTGGTTCTGGGTCATTTTAATCACCACCCAGAGAACCCTGAACTCCATCTCAACAGCAGTCACTGCCTGTTCCATTCCTGGGCGTGCACCCAAAGGAATTGGAAATGGGCCTGGCATGGTGGCTCATGCCTGTAACCCCAGCACTTTGGGAGGACAAGGCAGGCAGATTCCTTGAGCCCAGGAGTTTGAGACCAGCCTGGACAATGTAGGAATATGTTGCTTTTGCAAAAATTTAAAAAAAAAAAAAATTAGCCAGTGTGGTGGTGACGTGCACCTGTAGTCCCAGCTACTTGGGAGGCTGAGATAGGAGGATCACTTGAGCCTAGGAGGTGGAGGTTGCAATGAGCTGTGAATGCACCACTGCACTCCAGCCTGGGCAACAGAGTGAGACTCTGTCTCCAAAAAAGAAAAAAAAAAAAAAAGACTGGGAAATGGGTGTTGGGGCAGATGTACTTGTGCACACATATCCACAGCAGCAATGGACTGGAAGCAGCTCAATGTCCATCAGTGGACTTGGAGGTACACGAGGCTCTGTTCACCCACAGAGTGGGATGTTCTCCTCTCATAGCAGGAACGTAGCTCTGATGGGGTCTGCACCATGGTTGAGCCGGGTAGCTACCGCTCATGGGCTGTGTATGCCCTCCACCTCCATAGGTTCTGGGGAACATCTTTCCTGCTTTCCATCTGAGCAGCCCCCACCACCCACTCCTTGTAGGGGGACACGCCTTCCTTGGCTAGGGCTGGGCAGGATCACAGGGGCACTGAGGGGTGGGGTTATAACACCACCTGTTGGGGGCAGGGGTCACTGTCCCTGAGGTCAGGAGCTCAGTCACATACTTCAGAGCTGCTGCAGGTGGGAACCCACACTGCACCCCGTCCCCTCTCTACATCGAAGATCGGGAGCTGAACGAGAGAGTCAACCTTGCCTCCCCTGGACAACAGCCACAGACAGGACATTTTGGGAAACAACATGACCCAAAGGCAGCCTCCTTTCCTTCTGCTTGGAAGGGGTGAGCCCAAAATATCTGAGACAGGTCCCAACCCATTTGACAAGTTTACTTTGCCAAGGTTGAGGACGTGCGCCCGTGACACAGCCTCAGGAGGTCCTGATGACAGGTGCCCAAGATGGTCAGGGCACAGCTTGGTTTTATACATTTCAGGGAGACGTGAGACATCAATCAATATGTGTGAGACGTGCGTGGGTTCAGTCTGGAAAGTCAGAATAACTCGAAGCCAGGAGGAGTCTTCCAGGTTACAGGCAGATAAGAGACCAATGGTTGCATTCTTTTGAGTTTCTGATTAGCCTTTGGCTAAATGCATAATTTACAGGGATCGTCACTTGTCCTCCCTCCACAAGGAATTTCCTTGTGGGCCAATGGTGAGGGAGGTATGTAGCTTTTTGATCTTGGTAACATCTTATTTACAAAGAGAATGGAAGGCAGGTCTGTGGGACAAAGTTCCCAGTTTGACTTTTCTCTTTGGCTTAGTAATTTGGGGGTCCTGAGATTTCCTTTCCTTTCACAAAGGCGATGAGGATGAAAGGGAAGACACACAGAGTGTATATGTCAGCGTTATCTAGAGGAACAGAACCAACGGAATATGGAAAGGGAGAGACACAGAAAAAGAGAGAGAGAGAGACAGAGACAGAGAGAGAGATTTATTTTAATGAATTGGCTTTTACAGGATTGTGGAGATGCAACTTCAAACGCTACAGGTTGGACCCAGTGCCCACAGATCAGCAAAGGGCTAATGTTGCATCTGGAGGCAGAATTCCTTGTTCCTTAGGAGACTCCCATTATTTTTTCCTCTTAAGACCTTCAACTGATTAGACGACGCCCACACACTATGAAGGTTTTTTTAATTATTATTTTACCAGCATCTACCGATTTAAATGCTTACTTCATATATAAAAGTAGCTTCAGGATGGGCGCAGAAGCTCACGCCTGTCATCCCAGCACTTTGGGAGGCCAAGGCGGGTGGATCACCTGAGGTCATGAGTTCGAGACCAGCCTGGCCAAGATGGTGAAACCCTGTCTCTACTAAAAATACAAAAAATTAGCCAGACTTGGTGGTGGGCACCTGTAATTCCGGCTACTTGGAAGATTGAGGCAGGAGAATCGCTTGAACCCAGGAGGTGGAGGTTGCAGTGAGTGGAGATTATACCATTGCACTCTGGCCTGGGTAACAAGAAAGAAACTCCATCTCAAAAAAAATAAAAAAATAAGTAACTTCAGGATGGGTACAGTAGCTCATGCCTGTCATCCCAGCACTTTGGGAGGCCGAGGCGGGGGGATCTTTTGAGGTCAGGAGTTAGAGACCAGCCTGGGCAACAAAGCAAGACCCCATGTCTACAAAAATGTTTAAAATACTGGCTGCGTGTGGTGGCAGGTGCCTGTAGTCCCACATACTCAGGAGGCTGAGGTGGGAGGATCGCTTAAGCCGGGGAGGTTCAGGCTTCAGGGAGCTATGATTATGCCACTGCAATCCAGCCTGGGCAGCAGAGCAAGATCCCATCTATAAATTTTTTTAAAATTCAAAAAAACGGGGCCAGGCCCAGTGGCTCACACCTGTAATCCCAGACTTTGGGAGGCTGAGGTGGGAGGATCATGAGGTCAAGAGATGGAGACCCTCCTGGCCAACATGGTGAAACCCCATCTCTACTAAAAATAAAAAATTAGCTGGGCATGGTGACGGGTGCCTGTAGTCCCAGCTACTCAGGAGGCTGAGGCAGGAGAATCACTTGAACCCGGGAGGCGGAGGTTGCAGTGAACCGAGATCACACCCCTGCACTCCAGCCTGGCAACAGAGCGAGACTCCATCTCAAAAAAACAAAAAAAAAATTGAAAAAATGTTAGCTTTGCAACAAAATCATTTGGCATACATGTATCAAAATATCACATGGTACACTGTAAACGGATACAATTTTTATTTGTTAATGATACCCTCATAAAGTTTGGGTTTATATAAAAACAAACAACATCTACATCAGTGTTTGGCCAAATAACCTAGGTACTGTGTCCCAGCCGGGTTGACACACACTTTTCCACCAGCACACAAGGCATCTGCAAGTTGAGGTCCAGGGTCCCAAAAGTCACAGGTTCGGCGCTTAGAGAAATGCCTTCTCAAAAGGGTCCTTCTTACATCGAAACCATCGTGGCTAACACGGTGAAACCCCATCTCTACTAAACATATAAAAAACTAGCCAGGCGTGGTGGCGGCCGCCTGTAATCCCAGCACTTTGGGAGGCTGAGACAGGCGGATCACGAGGTCAGGAGATCGAGACCATCCTGGCTAACACGGTGAAACCCCGTCTCTACTAAACATATAAAAAATTAGCCGGGGGTGGTGGCGGGCACCTGTCGTCCCAGCTACTCGGGAGGCTGAGGCAGGAGAATGGTGTGAACCTGGGAGGCGGAGGTTGCAGTGAGCCGAGATCATGCCACTGCACTCCAGCCTGGGCGACAGAGCGAGACTCTGTCTCAAAAAAAAAAAAAAGGGTCCTTCTTACCACTGGGCCCCCACTTAGAAATACCATAGTCAGGACCTCATAGTGTTTTACTCTGTTTCTCCCATAATATCTTCTCACACCCCCGCACGCCAGGAGAAAATGTACCCTCCCTTCCATTCTACAGACAAGAGTCTTGCCCAAGTCCCCCAGCCTAATCTCTAGAGGTGCTGAGATGGGCATGGAATGTTCTGGCCCTCAAAATGCTCCCGTGTACCTGCCGGCCAGGGGAACACCTCACTTGTCTGCCTTTTCTGCAACACCACCCTTCAGAGAGTGACGGCTGCTTCATGCATCTGAGCTGTTGCAAGCAAAGCTTCCTGTAAGTTCCCTTAATTTTTTTATTATTGTTGAGCCGGACGTTCCAGTCACAGATGAAAATATGAAAATGTCAACCGCCTCTAATGGCTTCGTTTATATGAGCGTGATTATGGCCGGTGCTTATGGAGTTGGGACAGGGAAACAGGACATTTTTCCGTTCGCCGTCACGCGCCAACCCGTCCTGTTCTTCATTCTGGCAGGAAGTTGTAAACCAACTTGGTTCCCGGTTGTGCAACATTTGACATATTCTGATTATGAAGCATTTGCAGCGGTCCGCGATTTATGGGAAATAATCCCTCCTGCAATATTCACAGCTCAATAATTCACAGTCCGGAGGCAAGTGAGCTTCTTAAAAATGACATTATACCAAAGATCACTGTTTGGAATTTACCACGGGCATCCTACTTTCAGAATGTATAACGCGTGCAAAACGGTCCAAGCGCCATTTATCAAGTCTTTTAACACTTTTTAAAACACTTTTCCTTCCTATTGCTTTTTTTTTTTTTTTTTGAGACAGAGTCTCACTCTGTCACCCAGGCTGGATTGCAGTGGCATAATCTTGGCTCACTGCAACCTCTGCTTCCCAGGTTCAAGACATTCCCCTGCTTCAGCCTCCCAAGTAGCTGGGATTGCAGGCACCGGCCACTACACCTGGCTAATTTGTGTATTTTTAGTACAGACAGGGTTTCAGCATGTTGCCCACACTGGTCTCGAACTCCTGACCTCACGTGATCCACCCGCCTCGGTCTCCCAAAGTGCTGGGATGACAGGTGTGAGCCACCGCACCCGGCCAGCTCCCACTTTTAAGTAAAAACATGTGGTACTTAGTTTTTGGTTCCTGCATTGGTTTGCTAAGGATAATGGCCTCCAGCTACATTCATGTTCCTGCAAAGGATAGGATCTCGTTCTTTTTCATGGCTGCATAGTATTCCATGTATATGTGGCACAGGCTGGTCTCAAACTCCTGACCTCAGGTGATCCGCCTGCCTCGGCCTCCCAAAGTGCTGGGATTACAGGTGTGAACCACCACACCCAGCCCACCTTTTGGGGGTTTGAATAAAATCCTGCACCACCCACCAGTCAAATATCCTAATGGGCAAATGAAACATGGCGGCTGCTAGATGGGGATATGGACTGGATGGAGGATGAGAGGTCATGAGGAAACAGGATTCACTCTGACTGTGAAGATGAAAAACTGTCCTCTGTCTCAGGCCCTGGAAAGATAATAGGTGTCAGGCCTCTGAGCCCAAGCGAAGCCATCATAGCCCCTGTGACCTGCACATATATCTCCACATGGCCTGAAGCAACTGAAGAACCAGAAAAGAAGTGAAAATGGCCGGTTCCTGCCTTAACTGATGACATTCCCCCATTGTGATTTGTTTCTGCCACACCGTAACCGATCAATTGACGTTGTGACATTCCTTCTCCTTAACAATAAGTCTCTGGGCCTCCCCCACCGAGCACCTTGTGACCCCCGCCCCTGCCTGAAGAGAATAACCCCCTTTGACTGTAATTTTCCACTACCTACCCAAATCCTATAAAACTGCCCCACCTCTATCTCCCTTTGCTGACTCCTTTTTCAGACCCTGCACCCAGGTGATTAAAAAGCCTTAGGCCGGGAGCGGTGGCTCATGCCTGTAATCCCAGCACTTTGGGAGGCCGAAGTGGGTGGATCACCTGAGGTCAGGAGTTCGAGACCAGCCTGGTCAACATGGTGAAATCCTGTCTCTACTGAAAATACAAACATTATCTTGGCATGGTGGTTCACGCCTTTAATCCCAGCTACTCGGGAGGCTGAGGCAGGAGAATCACTTGAACTCGGGAGGCGGAGGTTGCAGTGAGCCAAGATCGCGCCATTGCACTCCAGCCTGGGCGACAAGAGCAAAACTCCATCTAAAAAAAAAAAAAGAGGCCGGGTGCAGTGGCTCACACCTGTAATCCCAGCACTTTGGGAGGCCGAGGCGGGTGGATCATGAGGTCAGGAGATCGAGACCATCCTAGCTAACATGGTGAAACCCCGTCTCTACTAAAAATACAAAAAATTAGCCGGGCGCGGTGGCGGGCGCCTGTAGTCCCAGCTACTCAGGAGGCTGAGGCAGGAGAATGGCGTGAACCCGGGAGGCAGAGCTTGCAGTGAGCCGAGATCGCGCCACTGCACTCCAGCCTGGGCAATAGAGCGAGACTCCATCTCAAAAACAATAATAATAATAAAAGACCGGGTCTCACTATGTTGTCCACGGTGGTGTAGAGCTCCTGCTCTCAAGCAATATCCTCCTGCCTCAGCCCCTCAAAGTGCTGGGATTACAGACACGAGCCACTTGACCTAGCCAGCTTCACCTTATTTTATGCGATGTTTGGTTTTCGCTGGCCTCACGCAGGTCTTTAGGTCTTGAGGCTGACACCCCACTCACCCCTGTGCCCTTCCACCAGAGTGGGCCCCACAGGGAACAGTGAGGTCACCATACAGCCAGAGTTAAACACTTCCAGAAGCTTCTTCTCGCCAAACTCTGGTGCACTCCAGCCAGGCATTTCCCACCTACCTCCGTAGTTGGCCAAGACTCCACCATATTGGTGGGTGCAGAAAAATAAAACATTTCTCTACCTCACATACTGAAAGCCCTTGGGTCAAAAGACCTGTGTTTCCATTCCCATAGATCGCAAGAATGGGGCTTGTCAGTTAGAGCAATGCTGGACAACTGTAACAAAGACACCCAGAGTCTTGTCGGGTGCCGTGGTTCATGCCTGTAATCCCAGCACTTTGGGAGGCTGAAGCGGGAGGATTGCTGGAGCCCAGGAGTTCAAGGCCAGCCTGGGTAACATAGTGAAGCTCCAGCTCTCCAAAAATAAAAAAAGTTAAAAAATTACCTGGGCCTGGTGGTATGCACCTGCGGTCCCAGCTACTTGGGAGGCTGAGGCAGGAGGATCATTTGAGCCCAGGAGTTGGAGGCTGCAGTGAGCCATGCTGGTACCACTGCATTCCAGCCTGGGTGACAGGGTGACAGCCTGTCTCTAAATAAATAAAAATGAACAAAATGAAAAAAGACCCCTGTATTATCAGTTTATTTCCTTCTGTTTCTCACAACAGCCCCACGAGAGCTCTCCATAGTACCAGATGCTCTGCTCCACACAGTCACTCAGGGACCCAGGCTGCTCCAGAGGCCCCTGTGGCCTTCTCATTTTCTTCCTGTTCAGAGCTGGATCTTCCAGGGTCCCTGCTGGCCAGCACGAGATAGCATGCGAGATTCTGTTCTGAGGCTCAAATCCAAAAGGCGCACCTGCCATTCCTGTTTCCTGAAACTCAAGTACTTAATCAATCCCAACCAAAACTCAGAAAAGTCTAACTTTCTGTTCACGGTGGGAAGAGGAGGGATGGATTTTGGGGTGGACAACCATTAGCTATGGCCACAGGGCTGAATAATCAGATCACTAAAAGACCACTTTCTAAAAAGCATTTGATTTCCATGGCGTGGGCTGTGGCTGCAGGACGGCAATAAATCGCATATCCCACTTTATCTTTATCAAAGGGACAGTGAAGACAAACCACCTCTCTCCGCCTGTCTCAGGGCACCATTGGCGTCCGTACAGCCTACAGAATTTATCTCTGCCTTCATCAAATGCTGTCCTTTTAAAGGTAACCTGGCGCGGAGCCGTGAGGACATCAGAAGATTAATGAGGTCTTGAAGGGAGATCAGGCGCTCACCGTTCGAGGCTGCAAAGCATTCTCTCGACGTTATTAGCAGTCGTGTTTAATGAATGCAAGCAAGATCTTTGCAGCGCGAGTGTCTACTAAGATGCCCCAGGTACCGGGAGGCCAGAAGGCTGGTTGGGAATATCTGTCAAACCGTAATTGAGGAGCTCTGTCTCTCTGTCTCTGCACCTGCGTCTTATGCCAGGGGAACGTCCTTTGTGCAAAGAGGAAAGCTCCAGAAATGGTGCTAAGCAGTTGAATTTGGCCCCAGAAAACACCAGGAAAAAAAAAAAAACAATCGTGAGAAAAAAGTAAAACCAAGCAGCAGATGTACGTGGAAATTATCTGAGAGTAACGAAAATCCTTCTTGCGTGAGAGGCTCAAATAAGGGGAATGATCATGATGGAAACGGTGGGTCAACCAGACATGGCACTGGGGACACTCTTCACTGATGAGTGCCTTCTGAATGAGGGGAGATGTGTTTTTATTTTTATTTTATTTTTATTTATTTATTTTTTTGAGACAAAGTCTCCCTCTGTCGCCCAGGCTGGAGTGCAGTGGCACGATCTCGGCTCACTGCAACCTCTGCCTCCCGGGTTCACGCCATTCTCCTGCCTCAGCCTCCCGAGTAGCTGGGACTACAGGCACCCGCCACCACGCCCGGCTAACTTTTTTGTATTTTTAGTGGAGACGGCGTTTCACTGTGTTAGCCAGGATGGTCTCGATCTCCTGACCTCATGATCCACCCGCCTCGGCCGCCCAAAGTGCTGAGATTACAGGCGTGAGCCACCGCGCCCGGCCTATTTATTTTTTTATTTTTCGAGACAAAGTCTCTCTCTGTCACCCGGGCTGGAGTGCAGTGGTGCAATCTCAGCTCACTGCAACCTCCACCTCCCAAGTACACGCCATTCTCCTGCCTCAGCCTCCTGAGTAGCTGGGACTACAGGCGCCCGCCACCACGCCCAGATAATTTTTTTTTTTTTTTGTATTTTTAGTGCAGACAGGGTTTCACTGTGTTAGCCAGGATGGTCTCGCTCTCCTGACCTCATGATCCACCCGCCTCAGCCTCCCAAAGTGCTGGGATTACAGGCGTGAGCCACTGCGCCCGGCCATAAATTTTTAATTAACAAATAATAACTGTATATTTACGGAGTAAAAGGTGATGTTATGATAAGTTTTGGTGCTGTATTGTACAGCATGGTGACTATAGTTCATAATGGTGGATCGTATATTTCAAAATTGCTTTCAAAACATATATTTTAGGCTGCACGCGGTGGCTCAGGCCTGTAATCCCAGCACTTTGGGAGGCCAAGGTGGGGGATCACAAGGTCAGGAGTTCAAGATCAGCCTGACCAACATGGTGAAACCCCATCTCTACTAAAAATACAAAAAAAAAATTAGCCAGGCGTGGTCACGGGTGCCTGTAGCCCCAGCTACTCAGGAGGCTGAGGCAAGAGAATCACTTGAACCCAGGAGGCGGAGGTTGCAGTGAGCCGAGATCAGCCTGACCAATGTGCTGAAACCCCATCTCTACTAAAAATACAAAAAAAAAAAAAAAAGCCAGGGGTGGTCATGGGTGCCTGTAACCCCAGCTACTCAGGAGGCTGAGGCAGGAGAATCACTTGAACCCAGGAGGCGGAGGTTGCAGTGAGCCAAGATCGCGCCACTGCACTCCAGCCTGGGCGACAGAGTGAGATTCCATCTCAAAAATTTAAAAAAAAAAAAAAAGCCTCCTTCCGCAGCACCCCCACCTAAACCCCATCATTCTATCCCTGGATAACAGTGAACAGTTCGGTCGTGCAATCTGACATTTCAGATGGAAAGCCTTCTGTGCCCAGAATGAAACCAACTATTTTAGGGTATTTGAAGGTCACAGTAAAAGGATGGAGTAATAGCATATCCCTAAGTTGTTAAATTGTCCGTTCTGTACATCACAGCCCTGGACAAGCCACGAAGCCAGGTAGGACCACCAGAAGCCGACTGTCCCAAGAACCCAGAATAAACACCACCCAGGAATAAACAGAGAAGAAAGAGCTGGCGTCGGGTAGTCGGAGGCCACCGTTTAGGGTGTTCCGTCCTGCAAACGCCCCTGACCTCAAAATCATTAATTATTGACTTTCTCCTAGTTCATTAACTGCTAATGGTTCTCAGGAAGAAAAATAGTGATGTTTATGTAAAAGGAAGGATCCCTCACACAGGTTTACGCCCCTTAACATGGAGGGTTTTGTTTCCTGAACCTTCACCCAGGTCATAGGTAGAAGTTTCTCAGCCTAGCACAGTGGCTCACACCTGTAATCCCAGCACTTCGGGAGGCCGAGGCGGGCAGATTCCCTGAGGTCAGGTGTTCGAGACCAGCCTGGCCAACATGGTGAAACCCCGTCTCTACTAAAAATACAAAAATTAGCTGGCTGTGGTGGTGCACGCCTGTATCTCAGCTACTCAGAAGGCTGAGGGAGGAGAATCGCTTGAACCCGGGAGGTGGAGGTTGCGGTGAGCCAAGATCGCACCATTGCACCCCAGCCTGGGCAACAAGAGCAAAACTCCATCTCAAAAAAAAAAAATTAGCCGGGCCTGGTGGCAGGTGCATGCAATCGCAGCCACTCAGGAGGCTGAGGCAGGAGAATCACTTGAACCCGGTAGGTGGAGGTTGCAGTGAGCCGAGATCGCACCATTGCACCCCAGCCTGGGCAAGAAGACTGACACTCCATCACAAAAAATAATTAGCCCAGCATGGTGGCAGGTGCGTGCAATCCCAGCCACTCAGGAGGCTGAGGCAGGAGAATCACTTGAACCCAGTAGGTGGAGGTTGCAGTGAGCCGAGATCGCACCATTGCACCCCAGCCTGGGCAAGAAGACTGACACTCCATCACAAAAAATAATTAGCCCAGCATGGTGGCAGGTGCGTGCAATCCCAGCCACTCAGGAGGCTGAGGCAGGAGAATCACTTGAACCCGGTAGGTGGAGGTTGCAGTGAGCCGAGATCGCACCATTGCACCCCAGCCTGGGCAAGAAGACTGACACTCCATCACAAAAAAAAATTAGCCCAGCGTGGTGGCAGGTGCGTGCAATCCCAGCCACTCAGGAGGCTGAGGCAGGAGAATCACTTGAACCCGGTAGGTGGAGGTTTCAGTGAGCCGAGATCATGCCACTGCACTACAGCCTGGGTGACAGAGCGAGGTTCCATTTCTAAAAAAAAAAGGTCGGGGGGAAATCCAACTGTAAAACTGTGGACCTTGAAGATGGTACCCTATATTGAATAACTCCTCAATAGACAGGTGTTTGTTAAGTAAAGGAATACAATGTGTGCGTCCCGGCTTTGTACAGAAACTAGAATGTTGCAGCCTCTGTTTCCTGAAAGACCCATCAAGCAAAGGGGCAGTGTGCCCCATTTCCCAGCTCCCATCCCGATTCAGCCCTGCTCTGCGGGGAGCCTGCCATGTGCTATGTTTTACTTCATTTTCACTTGGGATGAAGTGGAAACTGAGGCTCGAGTTCTATTCTCAGTTGTGATTTTCAAAAGTCTCTAGAAATCCCTGCGATTCTGGGGTGAGTTCCAGAGGGGTGGTTGGTTAGGAACTTGAATAGAGGAAAGAATGTCACAGCACTCACCCACCCAGCCCTGGTCCCCGCCTATCCCCCAACTCACATGATTTTCTTTTTCTTTTCTTTTTTTTTTTTTATTATACTTTAAGTTCTAGGGTACATGTGCACAACGTGCAGGTTTGTTACATATGTGTACATGTGCCATGCTGGTGTGCTGCCCCCATTAACTTGTCATTTAATATTAGGTATATCTCCCAATGCTATCCCTCCCCACTCCCACCACCCCACAACAGGCCCCAGTGTGTGATATTCCCCTTCCTGTGTCCAAGTGTTCTCATTGTTCAATTCCCACCTATGAGTGAGAACATGCAGTGTTTGGTTTTTTGTCCTTGTGATAGTTTGCTGAGAATGATGGTTTCCAGCTTCATCCATATCCTTACAAAGGACATGAACTCATCGTTTTTTATGGCTGCATAGTATTCCATGGTGTGTATGTGCCACATTTTCTTCATCCAGTCTATCGTTGTTAACCTCATATCACCTCCTTGTCCTTCTGAAAATACAGACGGGACACGGGTGGGTGTGCAGGGACCTCACTGGTGGGGATTAATTACTCAACAGGACAACAGGTTTCCTTTGCTTTTAGGGACAGGATCTGGCTCTATCATCCAGGCTGGAGTGCAGCGGTGCAATCACTGCTCACTGCAGCCTCGACCTCCTGGGCTCAAGCGATCCTCCTGCCTCAGCCTCCCGAGTAGCTGGGATTACAGGTGCACACCACCAAGTCTGGTAATTTTTTTTTTGTAGAGATGGGGTCTTGCTATGTTCCCCAGGCTGGTTTCAAACTGCTGGTCTTAAGCATTTCTCCCACCTCAGCTGCCCCAAGCACTGGGATTCCAGGCGCGAAGCACCCTAATTTGTACCCCAGGCACACCAGGACTAATTTACCTTTTAATTACAAATACCCATGAGGGCAGCCTCTGAGGGCTCCCAGACCATCCATGTGCAAGCTCCTACTAAGTATGTAAGCTCCTACTAAGCACATAAGGACCTGCTAAGCACAGAAGCTCCTACTAACCACTTGAGCTCCTACTAAGCACATAGCACCCACTAAGCACATGAGGGCCTAACTAAGCATGGAAGCACCTACTAAGCCATAAGGACCTGCTACGCACATAAGCTCCTAATCACATGAGCTCCTACTAAGCACATAGCACCCACTAAGCACATGAATGCCTACTAAGCACGGAAGGACCTACTAAGCTCAGAAGCTCCTACTAAGCACGTGAGCTCCTACTAAGCACATAAAAACCTACTAAGCACGTGAGCTCCTGCTAAGCACGTAAGCTCCTACTAAGCATATGAGCACCTACTAAGCACGTGAGCTCCTAGTAAGCACATTAAAACCTACTAAGCACGTAAGCCCCTACTAAGCTCACGAGCTCCTATTAAGCATGTAAGCACCTACTAAGCACGTGAGTTCCTACTAAGCACATAAGCTCCTACTAAGCATATAAGCACCTACTAAGCATGTGAGCTGTTAACTAAGCACATGAGTTCTTACTAAGCATGTGAGCCCCTACGAAGCACGTGAGCTCGTGCTAAGCATGTAAGGTCCTACTAAGCACGTGAGCTCCTACTAAGCACATAAGCACCAACTAAGCACGTAAGGACCTACTAAGCTCATAAGCTCCTACTAACCACGTGAGTTCCTAGGAAGCACATAAAAACCTACTAAGCACGTGAACTCCTGCTAAGCACGTAAGCTCCTAGTAAGCAAGCACATAAGGACCTGCCAAGCATATAAGCTCCTACTAACCACGTCAGCTCCTACTAAGCACGTAGCACCCACTGACCACATGAGCTCCTACTAAGCACAGAAGGACCTACTAAGCTCATAAGCTCCTGCTAAGCGTGTGAGTTCCTACTAACTGTATGAGCTCCTACTAAGCATGTAAGCACCTATGCACGTGAGCTCCTACTAAGCACGTGAGCTCCTACTAAGCACATAAGGGTCTACTAAGCACATGAGCTCCTACTAAGCACGTGAGCAGCTATTAAGCACATAAGGTCCTGCCAAGCATGTGAGCTCTTAGTAAGCACATAAGCTCCTACTAAGCACGTAAGTACCTACTAAGTACATAAGTACCTACTAAACACTAACTGGATGCTGAAGACCAGCTGAGCTCAGGGGACAAGCTCCGGGGTGACAGGTCCCCAGGGAAGACTCTGGGATGAGAAAGCCAAGGTCAACCCAAGGTGAGAGTGAGCAACCTGTGGGGAAATCGGGTTACCAGCTTTCTAGCCTATGTCTGTACATCTGAGAGGCATTTCTGATGGGTGGAGCCGAGGAGTGATGCTGGGCAGACAGCCATGGTGATCACACATGGGCTATTTTATTTTATTTCGTTTTGTTTTTGAGATGGAGTCTCACACTGTTGCCCAGGCTGGAGTGCAATGGCACGAGCCCTGCTCACTGCAACCTCCGCCTCCCGGGTTCACGCCATTCTCCTGCCTCAGCCTCTGAGTAGCTGGGACTACAGGTGCCCGCCACCACGCCCGGCTAATTTTTTTGTATTTTTAGTAGAGACGGGGTTTCACTGTGTTAGCCAGGATGGTCTCGATCTCCTGACCTCGTGATCCGCCCACCTCGGCCTCCCAAAGTGCTGGGATTACAGGCGTGAGCCACCGTGCCCAGCCTTGTTTTATTTTATTTTATATTTTATTTTTGAGATGGAGTCTCACACTGTTGCCCAGGTTGGAGTGCAATGGCACGAGCCCCGCTCACTGCAACCTCTGCCTCCCGGGTTTATGCCATTCTCCTGCCTCAGCCTCTGAGTAGCTGGGACTACAGGTGCCCGCCACCACACCCGGCTAATTTTTTTGTATTTTTAGTAGAGACGGGGTTTCACCGTGTTAGCCAAGATGGTCTCAAGATTTGCAGTTTTCTAATCACCACTCTGGCCCACAGTTCTTCCAGCAACAGAAGAATACATTGAAACCTTGGACCCAGGAGATACATTAAAAATATTTCCAGAATCCTTACGGCCCCTGCTCCACTGTAACCACACATTTCACTCCTACAGGATGATAAACTTCCTGTGTTACAGGAACAAAGTTTCCAGTGGAAACCTTAGCCCTTTATTTCCCATGCATACACCCTACAATAGCTCTAGCAATAATTTTTATTTTGAGACAAAGTCTCATTCCTGTCACCCAGGCTGGAGTGCAGTGGTGTAATCACTGCTTGCCGTAACCCCGACTTCTCCGGCTCAAGTGATCCTGCCCACCTGAGTTCCCCCAAGTAACTAGGACCACAGGTGCACATCACCATGCCTGGCTAATTCTTGTATTTGTTTTGTAGAGAGGGGGTTTCACTATGTTGCCCAGGCTGATCTCAAACTCCTAGGCTCAAGCGATCCATCCACCTCGACGTCCCAAAGTGCTTGGATTACAGACGTGAACGCCACACCTGGCAATTTTTTTTTTTTTTTGAGACGGAGTCTCTCTCTGTCCCCCAGGCCAGAGTGCAGTGGCGCCATCTCTACGCTCTGCAAGCTCCGCCTCCTGGGTTCACGCCATTCTCCTGCCTCAGCCTCCCGAGTAGCTGGGACTACAGGCGCCCGCCACCACGCCCGGCTAATTTTTTGTATTTTTGGTAGAGATGGGCTTTCACCGTGTTAGCCAGGATGGTCTCGATCTCCTGACCTTGTGATCCGCCTGCCTTGGCCTCCCAAAGTGCTGGGATGACAGGCATGAGCCACCACACCCAGCCACACCTGGCAATTTTTAACTGTCATAAACAAAATGCAACAGTGAAACCACCCTTTTACTTATTGTTCATCACTAGAGATTTGTGGTACTTTATGCATAATTTGCTAGTTGCTAAAGTAAGTATAAACACTTGTTCATTCTTTTTTTTTTTTGAGACAGAGTCTCGCCCTGCCGCCCAGGCTGCAGTGCAGTGGCACAATCTCGGCTCACTGCAACCTCTGTCTCCCGGGTTCAAGCAATTCTCCTACATCAGCGTCCCAAGTAGCTGGGATTACAGGTGTGCACCACCACCCCTGGCTAATCTTTGTGATTTTAGTAGAGACAGGGTTTCACCATGTTGGCCAGGATGGTCTCGAACTCCTGACCTGGCAATCTGCCCACCTTGGCCTCCCAAATTGCTGGGATTACAGGCATGAGCCACCACTCCTGGCCAACACTTGTTCATTCTAAAATAGAAGATGCAAGACAAAGCAGGCAGCCATTAATCCGCGTCTCATAATTGGCCATATTCTCCTATCAAAGCAAAGCTCAAACTTTGAAGTTCTGTGTGATTTCAGTTTTGAAAAAAAAAAAAATAATCCACGTACCAAAATACTTCAAGCACCAAAACATCTACGTTTGTCCAGGCAATATTGGCATCATATAAAAATAAATAGGATGCTGATTAAATAAAATGCTGATTAAATAAAAGCATGTTCACGGAATACTCGGGGGCTATGCAATAATAAGAATCACAATAAAAAGTTAAAAGGGAAATGCTGTAATTCCACGGACTTCCAGCAGCATGCAAATTTCACTGGATTCAGACCGCAGTTCAACAAGAAAAGCAATATCACGGGTAGCCATTCCATCTTGTCATGAGCCCGAATCCATTTCCCCAGAAGCGAAGGCAGGTAAATTACACCTCATGAACTATTAGGAAATTAAACTTCATAAGCAATATGCTGCTGTTTTGTGCAATGCATTTGCTAGAAGAATTGTTCCATTTATCTTTTTTTCCCGCAGCATTAGGAGACAGAGACTTTGAATAAAACTCATTTCATTAGAGCACCTGGTTATGTTGGGAGAGGAGATCCATTCGTGACTCAACCCATCACTCCAAGCCGTCACAAACTCATCGAGATGTGAACGTCCGGGGTCCGGGGGAAAACGGTCAGGCGAAACTTCGCCATGTTACTGGAGGAATACGTGAGCAAAATCTCAAAGATGGCTTGGCGAGGCTGACCACCTCCAAGAGCATCTATGCCGCTGCAGCAAAGAAAGCATTAACGAATCTTAAGTCTGCTTGAGTGGGTAGATTAGTCTGTTCTCATGCTGCTAATAAAGGCATTTCTGGGGCCAGGCATGGTGGCTTATGCCTGCCATCCCAGCACTTTGGGAGGCCGAGGCAGGCGGATCACCTGAGGCCAGGAGTTCAAGACCAGCCTGACCAATATGGTGAAACCCTGCCTTTACTAAAAATACAAAATTAGCCAGGCGAGGTGGTGCATGCCTATAAATACAGCTACTCGGGAGGCTGAGGCAGGGGAATAGCTTGAACCCTGGAGGCGGAGGTTGCTGTGAGTTGAGATCATGCCATTGCACTCCAGCCTGGGCATCAGAGCAAGGCTCTGTCTCAAAATAAATAAATAGAAAGAAAAAAAGAAAGAAAGAGAAAGAAAGAGACAGAGAGAAAGAAAGAAGAAGAAGGAAGGAAGGAAAGAGAGATAGAGAGAAAGAAAGGAAGAAAGAGAAAGAAAGAAAGAAAGAAAGAAAGGAAAGGAGAAAAGAAAGAGAGAAAGAAAGGAGGAAAGAAAGAAAGAGAGAAAGGAGGAAAGAAAGACAAAGGAAGGAAGGGAAGAAAAAGAAAGAAAGAAGGAAGGAAGGAAAGAAAGAAAGAGAAAGAGAAAGAAAGACCAAGAAAGAAAGAAAGAAAGAAAGAAAGGAAAGGAGGAAAGAAAGAAAGAAGAAAGGAAAGAAAGAAAGACAAAGAAAGAAAGAAAAGAAAGCAGGAAAGAAAGAAAGAAGGAAGGAAGGAAAGAAAGAAAGAAAGAAAGAAAGAAAAAGAAAAGAAAGGAGGAAAGGAAGGAAGGGAGGAAAGAAAGAAAGAAAGAAAAGAAAGAAAAGAAAAAGAAAGAAAGAGAAAGAAAGAAAGAAAGAAAGAAAAAGAAAAAGACATATCTGAAACTGGGTAATTTATAAAGGAAAGAGTTTTAATGAACTCACAGTTCTGCATAGCTGGGGAGGCCTCACAATCACGGTGGAAGGCAAAGAGGGAGCAAAGCCACGTCTTCCATGGCAGCCGGCAAGAAGCTTGTGGAGGGGCCGCCCCCTTTATAAAACCGTGAGATCTCGTGAGACTTATTCTCTATCGCGAGAACAGCACGGGAAAGCCCCGCCCCCCACGATTCAATTACCTATCACTGGGTCCTTCCGATGAAACGTGGGAATTGTGGCAGCTACAATTCAAGATGAGATTTGGGTGGGGACACAGCCAAACCCTGTCAGTTGGTTTAGCCAAAAACCTGCAAAACACAGCTTGTCATTGTTTATCTGCAGTGTGAACTTAGAGGCCACACAATTATTATATGATTGCATATAATAATTGCAATCATATTGAAACCCACACACTTATGTTAACAAAAATGGGTTGTGTCCCCAACATGAGGGCTTTGGCTACAATCCGTGAACCGGAACGCCCGTGCAAATGACTTCCTTTGATGGGAATTTACAATTGTTGAATGAAAGACCGTGTACACACTTTGTAAATCAATTGCCTAGTCCCCACAGCACAGAGAACCTTTCCAAACACCTTGGTAATTAATCAAATCCAGAGTGGAACAGAGCCAGAGGGGGAGAAAAAAATTTACAACGTATGTCAAAAAAAAAAAAAAAGAAAAGAAAAGAAAAGAAAGAAAAGGAAAGGAAACCCTCTGCATTCTCTTAGTATCAGGGTTACAGGAGCTCCTTACAGAATGAGGTCTACTTTGCAACAGTTGAGACCACAGTCATCTCTATCCTGGGTCATTCTAAAAAAAAATGAAGGTGGTTGGTGCTTTTTTTTTTGTCTTGGGTTAAAGCACTGAGAGCTTGAATTTGGGGTGTAAAAAGTAAAATAGAGGTTCCTCTTCAAAGACTTCCCTCCCCGTCTAATTAGGAATAAATAGTAACTTCTCTTAGAAGCAAAATTTATGCAAAGAACTGTGCTAACGTTCTTAAATATCTGCTGGCCGTAATAAAGAAATCAATGTACTTTATGTTCTTAGCTCCCACAATTTAGCCTAAATATTTGTCCTGGCATGCTTATACTGGTCCAAGCAAGCATTACGTCATAGCCTGTTCCTCTTCTTTATTTAAAAGTGCTTTTACCTTTCTCAGCATTCCACAAATTACTTCCTCCTTCCTTTGTTCTCCTCTACCTTTGCTTCTTTTTAAAAGTTCTAAGTTGCTGGCCAGTCGGGACAAATACAGAATGTGAGGTCCCGTTCCAGCCAATGGAAACCGGACACGGCAGTAGGGTGGACGCGTCAGGTTATAAACGACCCTGTCCCCTTTGTTCGCTGTACTCTCATGGCAGAACTGCTGGTGAGTGTACCCTTTCTGCAGAAAGTATAAAAATGGCCTTACTAAATAAATTAAAATTATGTTCAAGTGCTGTTTCTTGATGGCACAGGGGAACAAGCATTTCAAACAGGGGTGTGTGGGATGGTTGCAGTCCATCTCAGTGGACATTTGGCTTCATGACACCTGGTAGCAGGAAGCATGTTGGAGGATCTGTGTTCTATTCCCACCCCTGCTAGCAGCCTCATGCAATGCCTGCCTCTGAACAATGAAGTTGGCTCTGAACGCCTTGGTGATTTCATCACAATGGCCCACACCTGTGAACCAAAAGACAGTACAATCAGCCATTCCGGCCTCTCGATACAGCCGCATTGAAATGCATCTGTTTCTCTGCCTTCCACGGGCCAGCGCTGTTCTGACGGTTACCACCTCCTCCCCGGAGGAAACAACTCTTGCCTCTGGATATCTCTTCCTCCTATTAAACCAGCCCTCCCCTGCAATCCAGTCTCCACACTGGAGCCTGAATGGTTTTCCAAATATATTTCCAAAATATAATTCTGGTGGGAGATGCAGTGGCTCACACCTGTAATCCCAGCACTTTGGGAGGCTGAGGCGGGCAAATGCCATGAGCTCAGAAGTTTGAGACCAGCCTGGGCAACATAGCAAGACCCCATGTCTAAAAAAAAAAATACAAAAATCACCCGGGTACATGTCACACGTCAGGAGTCGCAGCTACTTGGCAAGCTGAGGTAGGAGGATTGCTGCAGCCCCGAGGGGTTGAGGTTGCAGTGAGCCGTGATGACACCACTGCACTCCAGCCTGGGTGACAGAGTTTCTTCTAGAGCAGCCATAATGATTCTGAGACAGTCATGATTCTGAGACAATCACAGCACAGGTGTACCCATGATGAAAAGCCCATCATTGGAGGTGGCTCTTGCCTGAGTCTGCCAGATAGTCGGCTAGACGTCCACGGACCTATGTTGTAACCAAACAGATCACGTGCGTTGTCTTGGGCCACATGTGGGATGCACTTTACCCTTCATACAATTAAAAGGCAATTTTTTTTTGAAGGCTCCAATCAGCAGCTCCAGTTGAACCAAGAATCCAAGACTGTTTGGTCGAATGCTTTGGCTTTGCACGTTCTATGCAGGAAGGATTTTGTCATGGACAGGTCATCAATGCATTCAATGGAATTTTTTCTTTCCGTGTTCTCACTCTACGAGCTGTGACTCTATCCAATGCTACTGGTAAGCCGTGGGTGATTTTAATCCACTTCTTTGCTCGGGATCCTACAGGTTTCCATCTCCATTCCTGCTTGCATCTCAGAAGTTGCCCCAGATCTCTCTCTCTTTCTCTCTCTCTGTCTCTGTTTCTGTCTCTCTCTCTCCCTTTTTTTTTTTTTTTTTTTTTTTTGAGACAGACGACTCTTGCTCTTTCACCCAGGCCAGAGTGCAGTGGCACGATCTCGGCTCACTGCAACCTCCGCCTCCCAGGTTCACGCCATTCTCCTGCCTCAGCCTCCTGAGTACCTGGGACTACAGGCACCCGCCACCATGCCCGGCTAATTTTTTTGTATTTTTAGTAGAGACGGGGTTTCACCGTGTTAGTCAGGATGGTCTCGATCTCCTGACCTCGTGATCTGCCCGCCTCAGCCTCCCAAAGTGCTGGGATGACAGGCGTGAGCCACCACGCCAGGCCGTATCTCTCTCTTTCTTTCTCTCTCTCTCACTCTCTCTCTCTCTCTTTCTCCCCCTCTTTCTCTCTCTTTTCTCTCCTTCTCTCTCTTCCTTTCTCTTTCTACCTCTCTCGCTCTTTCTCTCTCTCCCTCTTTGTCTCTCTCTCTCTTTCTTATTATTATAAGTGGCATGATCACCACTCTCTTTCTCTTTCTTTCTCTCGTTTTGTCTCTCTGTCTCTCTCTCTTCCTCTCTCTCTCTTTCTCTCTCTCTGTCTCTCTCTCTCTTTCTCTCTCTTGCTTTCTCTGTCTCTTTCTGTGTGTGTGTCTTTCTGTCTCTCTCTCTTCTCTCCTTCTCTCTTTCTTTCTCTCTCTCTTTCCCTTTTTCTGTCTCCTTCTCCCTCTCTGTCTCTGTCTCTCTGCGTCTGTCTCTCTTTCCCTTTCTCTGTCTCTCCCTTTCTCTCTCTCTTTCTGTCTTACTCTCTGTCTCTCTTTCTCCCTCTCTTTCTCTCTCCCTCTTTCTCTGTCTCTCTCTTTTCTCTCCTCTTTCTCTCTTCCTTTCTCCTTCTACCTCTCTTGCTCTTTCTCTCTCTTTCTTATTATTATAAGTGGCATGATCACCGCTCTCTTTCTTTCTCTCTTTCTGTCTCTCTCTCCCTCTCTCTCTTTTTGTCTCTGATTCTCTCTGTCTCTTTCTCTCTCTTTCCATCTCTCTCTCTGTCTCTCTCTCACTCTCTTTCTCTGTGTCTTTCTCTCTGTCTCTTCTCTCCCTCTTTTTCTCTCTTCCTTTCTTTCTCTCTTTCTTTCCCTTTCTCTCTCTCCTGCTCTTTCTGTGTCTGCCTCTTTCTCTCTCTGTCTCTCTCTCACTCTCTCTCTCCTTCTCTCTCTGTCTCTCTGTCTCTTTCTCTCTCCCTTTCTCTCTCTCTCTCTAAGTCTCTCTCTCTGCCTGGTGTACCTACATCAGCCCTCTGGAATTTACCTAGAAGGCATGAATTGGAGACATTTCATCCAGACACATATGTGTCTCCCCCACCCAGGGCTGGCTTCGTGGACGTGCAAGCTGTATGATTGGACAGAAATCGCACCAGGACGGGCCCTGTGCTTCGTTGAATGCTAAGAGGTTGCCATCTTAAAACCCTGAGTCACTTTTAGAACAAAAGGTCCTTCTTCTGTTCTGCACCCCACAAACTGTGCAGCCGGCTCTGCCATCCACCGGCATGGGAAGAAACGTGCCTGCAGTGGACTGAATGTTTGCATGACCCGTAAATTCCCACATTGAATCCTCACCCCCGAGAGATGGTGTTAGGAGGTGGGACCCTCTCATGAATGGGATCAGTGCCCTTATAAAAGGGACCCCAGAGAGCTTCCTCGCCCCTTCCACCACATGAGAGCACAGGAGGTCGGTTCTCAGTAGGCGCTGACCCTGCCAGGCCTTGATCTGGCATTTCCAGCCTCCACAACAGTGAAACCAAATTTCTGTTGTTTATAAGTCTCTCAGTGTAGGTCGGGCGCGGTGGCTCACGCCTGTCATCCCAGCACTTTGGGAGGCTGAGGCGGGTGAATCATAAGGTCAGGAGTTCAAGACCAGCCTGGCCAACACGGTGAAACCCCGTCTCTACTAAATATACAAAAATTAGCCGGGCGTGGTGATGCATGCCTGAAATCCCCACTACTCAGGAGGCTGAGGCAGGAGAATGGCGTGAACCCGGGAGGCGGAGGTTGCAGTGAGCCGAGGTCGCGCCACTGCACTCCAACGTGGGCAACAGAGTGAGACTCCGTCTCAAAAAAAAAAAAAAAGCCTCCAACGCATCTTCACTGATGGACACAGCCCAAGCCAGACATCTCCGGAAGCTGTTTCCGTCCCTGCAAAGCTTCTCCACGGAAGCCACCCTGGGTACGTGCGTGTTTGAGTTCTGGGCAGACTCCAGGTACCTCAGGCACCTCCGCACTTTGCAAGACATGAAGACACCAGTGCCTGCAGGAATGTTGAACCAGGAGAGCCTGCACACACACACACACGTGCACACACAGACACACACGTGCACACACAGACACACACGAAGACATACAAGTGCACAGACACATGCATGCAGACGTGCACACACAGACGCACACATGCACACATGCAGACATGCACGTGAAGACATACAAGTGCACACACAGACACACGTGAAGACATACATGTGCACACACACAGACACACGTGCATGCAGACGTGCACACACAGACGCACATGTGCGCACACACATGCACACACACATATGCCCACAAGCACGTGCTTTAAAAGCAGGAAATATTAACTGGACACAATCGCATACCTCAGGCACCTCCGCACTTTGCAAAACATGAAGACACCAGTGCCTGCAGGAATGTTGAACCAGGAGAGCCTGTGCACACACACACACACGTGCACAGACACAGACACACACATGAAGACATACAAGTGCACACACATGCATGCAGACGTGCACACACAGACGCACACGTGCACACATGCAGACACACACGTGAAGATATACAAGTGCACACACAGACACACGTGAAGACATACATGTGCACACACACAGACACACACGTGCATGCCGACGTGCGCACACACACGCACACACACAGACACGCACACGTGCACACACAGACACACGCATGCACACACAGACAAAACACGTGCACACACACGTACGCACACGGAGACACACACATACGTGCACACACAGAGGCATACACGTGTGCACACACAGAGACACACACGTGCACACACAGAGACACACATGCGTGCACACACACAGGCACAGACACACACACACATGCACGCGTACACACACACATGCCCACGGCACGTGCTTTGAAAGCAACCAGGAAATATTAACTGGAAACAATCGCGTGCCTGTCAGGCAGTAATTGCTGATCTTGAAAACTGCGTAGCAAAAACCTTCCAGTCTCTAATGCAGAGTGACAGTTGTGTGTTTTACGTCCCGTCTTCCACAATGGCGTCTACCCAAGGAGAGGGGGGCCGGCTGTTTAAAACGGTTGAACGGCGTCTTTATCATGTTTGACAGCTCCTTCTGCAGCCAGACGCTCGGTTTATGGTTCTGAAGTGGCGGGTTCCAGCTAATGCCCTGGCCTTTCACCTTTAGGAATCGGGCCCCTGGCCAGGCGGCGTGAATCTGAGAGTGTCTCAGAGCAGCCTGGTGAATGCACACACGCCTTCAGAATCTTCTACCGATGCCTTTCTTATTTCCCCTTGGAAGAGTCCCAGAAATGGCACAAAAGGAAGGTTTGGGGTTCAAGACAAGGAGGTATGCGTCTCCCAGACACCCTCCACCTCGGAACAAAATGCTGGGAGAAGTTCTACAGTTGGGGGGCAGAAAGGAAAGATTTGGGGTTCCAGACAAGGAGGTATACATCTTGCAGGCACCCTCCACGTCAGGACCAAAAGCTGGTTATTCTACTGTTGGGGGGTAGAAAGGGAAGGTTTGGGGTTTCAGATGAGGAGGTATACATCTCCCAGACACCCTCCACCTGGGAACAAAATGCTGGGAGAAGTTCCATTGTTGGGGGGCAGAAAGGAAAGATTTGGGGTTCCAGACAAGGAGGCATACATCTTGCAAGCACCCTCCACATCAGGACCAAAAGCTGGTTGTTCTACTGTTGGGGGGTAGAAAGGAGAGGTTTGGGGTTTGAGACAAGGAGGTAAACGTCTCCCAGACACCCTCCACCTGGGAACAAAATGCTGGGAGAAGTTCCACTGTTGGGGGGCAGAAAGGAAAGATTTGGGGTTCCAGACAAGGAGGTATGCATCTTGCAGGCACCCTCCACGTCAGGACCAAAAGCTGGTAGTTCTACTCTTGGGGAGTAGAAAGGAGAGGTTTGGGGTTTGAGACAAGGAGGTAAACGTCTCCCAGACACCCTCCACCTGGGAACAAAATGCTGGGAGAAGTTCCACTGTTGGGGGGCAGAAAGGAAAGATTTGGGGTTCCAGACAAGGAGGCATACATCTTGCAAGCACCCTCCACATCAGGACCAAAAGCTGGTTGTTCTACTGTTGGGGGGTAGAAAGGAGAGGTTTGGGGTTTGAGACAAGGAGGTAAACGTCTCCCAGACACCCTCCACCTGGGAACAAAATGCTGGGAGAAGTTCCACTGTTGGGGGGCAGAAAGGAAAGATTTGGGGTTCCAGACAAGGAGGTATGCATCTTGCAGGCACCCTCCACGTCAGGACCAAAAGCTGGTAGTTCTACTCTTGGGGAGTAGAAAGGAGAGGTTTGGGGTTTGAGACAAGGAGGTAAACATGTCATAGACACTCTCCACATCAGAACCAAATGCTGAGAGTTCTATCTTTGGAGGGTAGGAAGGAGAGGTTTGGGGTTTGAGACAAGGAGGTAAACATCTCATAGATATCCTCCACATCGGAACCAAATGCTGAGAGTTCTGCCTCTGGCGGGTAGAAAGGAAAGGTTTGGGGTTTGAGACGAGGAGGTATTCATCTTGCAGGCACCCTCCACATCAGAACCAAAAGCTGGCAGTTCTACTGTTGGGGGGTAGAAAGGAGAGGTTTGGGGTTCAATACAAGGAGGGATTCATCTCACAGACACCTTCCACGTTGAAACCAGGAGCTGGCAGTTCTACGGTTGGGGGCTGCCTGAATGTCCTTTTCTTCCTGGGTACCCCATGTCCCTGCAGAGGGAACGCAGATGGGCACAGACTTCCAGGGAGAAATCCATCTTTCTGGTGCAGACAAGACCGGGCCTGCCTGTGGAGAAGTGGCCAGAGGGTCTCTCTGAACCCATGGCCCTCACAGCAGTGGGAGGCTGCCCTGGGGACTCAATGTCCACGACCAGACGATGAACAGTTGTGGCTCTTCCTACCAAGCCCTGAGGCCGGCTGCTGGCCGCGTGGGTCCCAAGCTCTCCAAACTCCGAAATCCGGTTGCCCTTGGAACTCGGCATCCCCAGGACCGGGTGTCAAATCTTTGCATAAACCTCCTCTCCACCCCAGCCTCTCCACACGCTCTCGTCCAGTTACAAGACACCTTTTCCCTCCTTTTGTCTCTGATATCCACGGCTCTCCCAGCCTCCACGTTCCTTCACTATCCCAACCCGGGGTTCAGCATATTGTCATATCACTGGCATTTTATTTTATTTTATTTTGAGATGGAGTCTTGCTCTGTCGCCCAGGCTGGAGTGCAGTGGCATGATCTTTGCTCCCTGCAACCTCTGCCTCCCAGCTTCAGGCAATTCTCCAGCCTCAGCCTCCCGAGCAGCTGGGTCTACAGGCGCCCGCCACCACGCCCGGCTAATTTTTTTGTGTTTTTAGTAGAGATGGGGTTTCACCGTGTTAGCCAGGATGGTCTCGATCTCCTGACCTCGTGACCCACCTGCCTCGGCCTCTCAAAGAGCTGGGATGACAGGCGTGAGCCACCACGCCCGGCTAATTTTTGTATTTTTAGTAGAGATGGGGTTTCACCATCTTGGCCAGGCTGGTCTTGACCTCCTGACCTGGTGATCTGCCCGCCTCGGCCTCCCAAAGGGCTGGGATGACAGGCGTGAGCCACCATGCCTGGCACTCTTCGCTCCTTTTGTCTCTGATATCCACGTTCTCCCAACGTCCACATTGCTTGACTATCCCACAGGTGCAACCCGGGGTTCAGCGTATTGTCTTATCACTGGCATTTTATTTTATTTTATTTTATTTTATTTTATTTTATTTTATTTTATTTTATTTATTTTATTTTATTTTGAGACAGTCTCGCTCTGTCGCCCAGACTGGAGTGCAGTGGTGTGATCTCCGCTCACTGCAACCTCCGCCTCCCGGGTTCAAGCGAGTCTCCTGCCTCAGCCTCCCGAGTAGCTGGGACTACAGGCACCCGCCACCACACCCGGCTAATTTTTGTATTTTTAGTAGAGACGGGGTTTCACCGTCTTGGCCAGGCTGGTCTTGAACTCCTGACCTCGTGATCTGCCCGCCTCAGCCTCCCAAAGTGCTGGGATGACAGGCGTGAGCCATTGCGTCTGGCCCTCACTGGCATTTTTATAAAAACCACCTTGCACCCTGACCTTAAAAATCTGCGTCTCTGTTCAGTTTCCCAGCAAGGAACTGGGCCCCGGCCCTAAAGTGGCCGTCATCACACCTCTGGGGCCCTCAGGTAGCACCGGATCGAATTCTCGTCTCTCGTTGGATGTTTTTTATGGTGAGCTTCATTCGTGAAACACAGGCTCTGCTCCTCCAAGAAGCAGCAGAGCCAGCCCCCTCCCTGCACACGTCGTCATAAAGAGACAAAAGGCCTCCAGACGCTGGATGGGCCCTACCCGGGGGTCACACGCCTGCTGTCTCCACCAGAACAAAGCAGCTTGTGAGAAGGCGTGCCGGGGCACCCTTCTCCTTCTAAATCCACCCTTGGAAGGTATCATCTCACCGGGCCGACAATAACAAATGGCCTTCCCCAGGTATACCTCGGAAGGCAGGCTTGCAGGAACACAGCTCTCCTTTCAGGAGGGAGATTAGCTCCCCACATGTGTCACGGGCTCTCAGGAAACAGGGCTCTTGCTCTCTCTCAAAAAAAAAAAAGAAAAGAAAAGAAAAAGAAAAAGAAAGGGCTGGGCGTGGTAACCTGGGGCTGCTGCCCTATTACAGAGCTGGGACATGGACCCAGCATATCCCTGGAGGAATCCACAGCCAGGAAATGGGGCCACACTCAGAAATGGTCCAGGAGGGAGGGGAAGGCAGGGACGCAGGGGAGCCCGTGTTTTGCCCTGATGGTGGCTCAATTTATCAAGATCAGGGAACTGGGACTTACACAGTTTTTGCCACCAGGGCCTGAGCAGTCCCTTCATTCCTTCCTTCCTTTCTTCCTTCCTTCCTCCTTCCTTCCTTTCTTTCTCCTTCTTTCTTTTTCTTTGTTTTTCTTCTTTCTTTCTTGTCTTTCTTTCTTTCTTCCTCCCTTCGTTCCCTCCCTCCCTTTCTTTCTTTCTTTCCTTTCTCTCTCTCTCCGTTCCTTTCTTGCTTTCTTTTTCTTTTTTCCTTCCTTACTCCTTCCTTCTTATTTTTTTCTTTCTCTTTCTCGTTTTTCTTTCTTTCTTTCTCTTTTTGTTTTTACTTTCTTTCTCTTTCTTTTCCTCTTTCTTTTTCTTTTTAAAGAACTAGGCTCTTGCTCTGTGACTCAGGCTAGAGTGCACCGGTGCCATCAGAGCTCACAGCAGCCTCCGACTCCCTGGCTCACGCCCTCCTCCCACCTCAGCCTTCTGAGTAGCTGGGACCACAGATGCATGCACCGTGCCAGGCTAATATTTTTGTGCCTTTGTAAAGACGTGGTGTCGCTATGTTGCCCAGGCTGCTGTTTAAATTCTGGCCTCCAGTGATCCTCCTGCCTTGGCCTCCCAACGTGCTGGGATGACAGGCATGAGCCAGCATGCCTGGCCTTTACTTTCTTTTTGTTTCTACCTTTTAAACTTTCATTCCTTGATTCATTCATCATCATCTTTCCAAAATCCTGAGAAGGCTTACAACAAAACACATAAAATTGCAGGGCCCAGTGGCTCACGTCTGTCATCTCAGCACTTTGGGAGGCCGAGGCAAAAGGTGATCACCTGAGGTCAGGGGTTCAAGACAAGCCTGGCCAACATGGCAAAACCCCATCTATACTAAAAATAAAAAATTAAAAAATTAGCCAGCTGTGGTGACAGGTACCTGTAATCCCAGCTACTCGGGAGGCTGAGGCAGGAGAATCACTTCAACCTGGGAGGCGGAGGTTGTCGTGAGCCAAGATGGTGCCACTGCACTCCAGCCTGGGTAACAGAGGTGAGATCGCGTCATTGCACTCCAGCAGGGGGAACAGAGCTAAAGTCTATCTCAAAAAACAAAACAAGACAAAACAAAAAAAAAACACACAAAATGAAATCATTAACTACCATAGGAGCAGAGGTCAAGACTGAGGCAGGTCCATTCAGAGAATGACTTTCGTGGAGGGGTGACCTCAGCTCTGGGCTTCCCGGCAGCCATGGCAAAAAGGGAAAGACGTGCCACTTATGACCAGATCTGTCCTGTGATCTGTTCTTGGGAGAGGGATGGTCTCCTCTGTACTATAGTCTAAGAGCAGGTAGTGGGTTAATTTTTTATCCCCCCAAGAGATATGTCTGCGGACCCTTACTACCTGTGAATGGGGTGTTATTGAGAAATAGGGTGTTTGCAGATGTAATGAGGTTGAGATGAGGTTGTACTGGAGGAGGGTGGGCCCTAATTCAATGACGGTGACTTGCGATCCTTCCCCAGCTGGCTCCTTTATTCACTGGGATCTGATTTTTTACCCTTACTCCAACACTGCAACGAGGAGCCCTCTAGGTTCCAACCTTGGGGTCTCTGCCTCATCTGTGCCTCCCTGACCAGCAGTGGGGTCTCAGCAACACCTTTTTTTTTTTTTTTTTGAGACAGACTCTCGCTCTGTCACCCAGGCTGCAGTGCAGTGGTGTGATCTCGGCTCACTGCAACCTCCGCCTCCCAGGTTCAAGCCATTCTCCTGCCTCAGCCTCCTGAGGAGCTGGGATTACAGGTGCCCGCCACCATGCCCAGCTAATTTTTGTATTTTTTAGTAGAGACGGGGTTTCACCGTGTTAGCCAGGATGGTCTCAATCTCCTGACCTCGTGATCCGCCCGCCTCGGCCTCCCAAAGTGCTGGGATGACAGGGGTGAGCCGCCGCGCCTGGCCCTCTTCCCTCCTTTTGTCTCTGATATCCACGGCTCTCCCAACCTCCACATTCCTTGACTATCCCACGGGTCCATCCTGGGGTTCAGCGTATTGTCATATCACTGGCATTTTATTCTATTTTATTTTAAGATGGAGTCTCGCTCTGTCCCCCAGGCTGGAGTGCAGTGGTGTGATCTCGGCTCACTGCAATGTCCGCATCCGGGTTCAAGCGATTCTCCTGCCTCAGCCTCCCTAGTAGCTGGGACTACAGGTGCCCATCACCACGCCCGGCTACTTTTTTGTATTTTTAGTAGAGACGGGGTTTCGCCGCGTTGGCCAGACTGACCTCATGATCTGCGCACCTCGACCTCCCAAAGTGCAGGGATGACAGGCGTGAGACACCGTGCCCAGCTAATCTTGTATTTTTAGTAGAGATGGGGTTTCATTGTGTTGGCCAGGCTGTTCTGGAACTCCTGACCTCAGGTGATCCGCCTGCCTCAGCCTCCTAAAGTGCTGGGATGACAGGCGTGAGCCACCGCATCCGGCTGGTAGTGCTATTTATACAGCTCTCCTATCTCATCTCTCGTACTCTAGGGATATTGCACCTCCTCCAATCTCCTCCTTTGCAGACTCCTCACCATCCTGGAATGTCCGTGCCTCCAGGCTTGGTGTGGTGAAATCAAACAGCTTCACAAAGCGTCCATCCAAGGGCAGCCCTATAGTGGGTGTCACCTGCTCAGAGGACCCCACTGCAATGCCAACCCCCCACCCACCACATGCCTTTCACTGCTGGTTGCTCTTCCTTTCCCATCTCATAGTCCTAAATAATCAACTAGTGTCCACCACAAATGTCTTTTTAGCCTGTATCATACACAGGCAGACCATCTAGATATATCTACACACCTGCAGGGCGTCTACAGACATCTACACACATAGAAGGTGTCTACAGACATCTACACACCTTCTGGGTGTCTAAAGTCTACACACCTTCAGGGCATCTACAGACATCTACATATACAAGAATATCTTTCAGACTGTGTACTGCAAACTTGCGGTGTTGACAACATTTCTCATGAAAGTATCTGAAAAACGCCCAGTGCTTTGGAACGGTGGCTCAGGTATGGAAGGTCCAGATCTAGGCATTTCATAAAAGCTGTTCACGTCACTGTACCTTCCAGAGCAGCCGTCCGTTTGACTGTATGCACTTAACTGGGGGTAACCCTCATATTCTGTGTCCCTAGGTGAGTAATGATTCTATTAGCCACCCTGAACTCCGATCTCCGTTCCAGGCAAGACCCCAGAAGACAGATGGGTCCTCACGAGGCAACCGTATCAACACGACCTGTTCTTGCCACGAGTTGTCAGTGTTAGCAAATTGCTCATAATTGTGTATCAACGGGCAGAAGAGAAAGACGGTGCTGTGTGCTCTTATGATGGTATTGATTTTCAATGACACCCTCTCTCGGAGCTGTTTGTGTTGTGTCTTTGGCTTGAACGGCAGGGGAGTTTCTGGAGGGTATGCAATGGTGCCTCTGCGGGGGTAGCTGGAACTTCACACCCAGAATTTCCCATACATGGTCCCGGTATCATGTCAGACATGAGATTCCTATTTATGGCTGTGTTGCCTGGAAGCCACGGAGATGTTTAAAGGATCACAGATATCATACGTGTAGTGAGACCCTCTTTCTTTCAGCGTGGGTTTGGGATATGTCCAGGGCACACCTGCTGTGTGCAACGTGCAGGACAGGTCTTGGGGAGAGAGCGGGGAATGAGGTGGGATCCCTGCTGTTAACTTTTAAAAACACAATATATACATTTAGAAAGGGGAAGGAGACTTTATGTCTGGTAAAGAGTTAGAGGGCCGGGCACGGTGGCTCATGCCTGTCATCCCATCACTTTGGGAGGCGAGGCGGGCGGATCACCTGAGGTCAGGAGTTTGAGACCAGCCTGGCCAACATGGTGAAACCCCGTCTCTACTAAAAATAATAAAATTAGCCAGGCATAGTGGCAGGTGCCTGTAATCCCAGCTACTCCGGAGGCTGAGGCAGGAGAATCGCTTGAACCCGGGAGGCGGAGGTTGCAGTGAGCCGAGGTCGCGCCACTGCCCTCCAGCCTGGGTGAAAGAGCGAGACTCCATCTCAAAAAGAAAGAAAAGAGAAAAGAAAAACAGAAACAATTTTGCATCAACTTCAAGGAAAGCATTTTATTCTTCCCGACGGCCTCCTAAGAAAGGGGGGAAAGGAAAACAGAAACACAGCACTTTGGGAGGCCGAGGCAGGCAGATCACTTGAGGACAGGAGTTCAAGACCAGCCTGGCCAACATGGGGAAACCCTGTCTTTTCTAAAAATACAAACACTAGCCGGGCGTGGTGGCGGGCGCCTGTAGTCCCAGCTACTCAGGAGGCTGAGGCAGGAGAATGACTTGAAACAGGAACGTGGAGGTTGCAGTGAGCTGAGATCATACCATTGCACTCCAGCCTGGTGACAGAGCGAGACTCCGTCTCAAAAAAAAAAAAAAAAAAGAAAAAGAGAAGAAAAACAGAAACAATTTTGCAGCAACTTCAGGGAAGCATTTTCTTCCTCCCAATGGGCTGCAGAGAAAGGGGGAAACCCCCCAGGCCCAGGCCCACAGAAGATTGCTTTGTATTTGAAGCAGGGAGAAAAAGTTCAAAGAAAGTCTCTTGATTGTGTTCCTCTCCTCTCCCCTCCCGGCTTCATCCCTTATAACGATTATTTAATGAATTTTTATTAGAAAAGCATGGCCGTGCTTATGAATTTTTTTCTTCCCTCTGAAACCAGGAGCGGGGGGCGTGTTTTTGCTGGCATTAGCCTCTGTGTGTTTTAATAACAGGTTGCACCGAGGTTCACTCCGAAGCCGTAAGCTCACAAAGGGGAACTCTTCGGGAAAGGAAACCGTAGGCCTCATTCCAGAGCGAGGGGCCCCTCTTTGAAGTGAAGACAGGAAATGGGAACATGCCTGCCTGGGTCCCCACGGACCCCCCCCCCCCCAGCCCCGTCTTTCTTCCTCTGACTTTCCACCCTCTCCCTGGGCCTGAGGAGCACCAGAGGAAGGACGAGAAAGGGTGAAGGCAAACATCCACTTTCTTTTTCCCGGAATGAAATCACTACTATTTGCCTTGACATTTTATGTTTTGTTTTCCCTGCAGGACAGGTGAAAAGACAAACACGGACAGGGATTTGTTTCTAAAGTAAAGTTTATTTGTTTATTTATTTATCTATTTATTTATTGTAAGACGCAGTTTCGCTCTTGTTGCCCAGCCTGGAGTGCAGTGATGTGATCTCCGCTCACTGCAACCTCCGCATCCCGGGTTCAACCGATTCTCCTGCCTCAGCCTCCCGAGTAGCTGGGATTACAGGCACCCGCCACCACGCCCGCCTAATTTTTGTATTTTTTAGTAGAGACGGCATTTTGCCATGTTGGCCAGGATGGTCTCAATCTCTTGACCCTGTCATCCACCCACCTCGGCCTTCCAAAGTGCTGGGATTACAGACGTGAGCCACCGTGCCCGACCTATTTTTATTTTTTTACATTTATTTATTTATTTATTTTTTGAGACAGAGTCTCACTCTGTCGCCCAGCCTGGAGTGCAATGGCACGATCTCGGCTCACCGCAACCTCGGCCTCCCGGGTTCAAGTGATTCTCCTGCCTCAGCCTCCCAAGTAGCTGGGATTACAGGTGCCCACCACCACTCCCTGTTAATTTTTTTTTGTATTTTTAGTAGAGACAGGCTTTTGCTATGTTGTCCAGGCTGGTCTCAAACTCCTAACCTTGGCCTCCCAAAGTGCTGGGATTATAGGTGTAAGTCACCAGGCCTGGCCTTTGTTTTTTTGTTTGTTTGTTTGTTTTTAAATTTTACTTTAAGTTCTGGGGTACAAGTGCAGAACGTGCAGGTTTGTTACATAGGTATGCATGTGTCATGGTGGTTTGCTGCACCCATCAACCCATCATCTACATTAGGTATTTGTCCTAATGCCCTCCATCCCCTAGCCCCTCACCCCCCAACAGGCCCCCAGTGTGTGATGTTCCCCTCCCTGTGTCCATGTGTTGTCATTGTTTGACTCCCACTTATGAGTGAGAACACGTGGCGTTTGGTTTTCTGTTCCTGTGTGAGTTTGCTGAGAATGATGGTTTCCAGCTTCATCCATGTCCCTGCAAAGGACATGAACTCATCCTTTTTCATGGCTGCATAGTATTCCATGGTGTCTGTGTGCCACATTTTCTTTATCCAGTCTATTGTTGATGGACATTTGGGTTGGTTCCAAGTCTTTGCTATTGTGAATAGTGCCTCAATAAACATACGTGTGCATGTGTCTTTATAGCAGCATGATTTACAATCCTTTCGGTATATACCCAGTAATGGGATGGCTGGGTCCAATGTTACTTCTTGTTCTAGATCCTCAAGGAATCATCACACTGCCTTCCACAATGGTTGAACTTATTCACCTCCCACCATCGAGAGTAAAAGCTTTCCTATTTTTCCGCATCCTCAGAAAACCAAACACTGCATGTTCTCACTCGTAAGTGGGAGTTGAACAGTGAGAACACATGGACACAGGGAGGGGAACATCACACACCAGGGCCTGTGGGGGGATAGAAGGCAAGAGGATGGAGAGCATTAGGACAAATACCTAGTGCATGTGGGGCTTAAAACTTAGATAATGGGTTGATAGGAGCAGCAAACCACCATGGCACATGTATACATATGTAACTAACCTGCGCTTTGTGCACATGTACCCCAGAATGTGTTTAGTTAACACACATTTACTTACTTTTACTTAAGTAAAGTATGACTTTTTTAAAGTAAAATTTAAAAAATTAATTAATTAGCACATGTATCTCAGAAGTTAAAGTAAAATGTAAAAAATTAATTAGGCTGGGCGCGGTGGCTCATGCCTGTCATACCAGCATTTTGGGAGGCTGAGGAGGGCAGATCATGAGGTCAGGAGACCGAGATCATCCTGGCTAACACGGTGAAATCCCGTCTCTACTAAAAATACAAAAATTAGTCGGGTGTGGTGACGGGTGCCTGTAGTCCCAGTTACCCGGGAGGCTGAGGCAGGAGAATGGCGTGAACCCAGGAGGTGGAGCTTGCAGTGAGCCGAGGTAGCGCCACTGCACTCCAGACTGGGCAACAGAGCCAGACTCCATCTCAAAAAAAAGATTAATTAATTAATTAAAAAAATAAAAATAAGTAACAGAATCAGAAGGATGAGGTGGAAGGATCTCTTGAGCCAGAGAGGTGGAGGCTGCAGTGAGCCAAGATCGCACCACTGCACTCCAGCCTGGGTGACAGAGGAAGACCATTAGAAAAAAAAAAAAGAAGAAGAAAAAAAAGAAAAGAAGAGAAAAGAAGAGAAGAGAAGAGGAGGGGAGGGGATGGGAGGGGGGAGGAGAGTGAGAAGTGGGGGAGGGGAGGGGAGGGGAAGAGAGGAGGGGAGGGGAGGGGAAGATGGGAGGGAGGGGAGGATGGGAGGGGATGGGAAGGGGGAGGGGGAAAGGGGAGGAGAGGGAGGAGGGGAGGGGAGGGGAAGAGAAGAGGGGAGGGGAGGAGGGGACGGGAGGAGGGGAGGAGAGTAGGGGAGGAGGGGAGTGGAGGAGGGGATGGGAGGGGGGAGTGGGAAAGGAGAGGGGAGGGGAGGAGGGGAGGGGAGGAGGGGAGGGGAGGAGGGGAGGAACAGAGGGAAGGGGAGGAGGGGAGGGGGGAAGGGGAAGGAGAGGGGAGGAGGGGAGGGTAGGAGGGGAGGGGAGGGGATGTGAGGGGGTGAAGGAGAGGGGAGGGGAAGAGGGGAGGGGAGGGGAGGACGGGAGGGATGGGATGGGGGAGGGGGAAAGGAGATGGGATGGGAGGAGGGGGAGTAGAGGGGGAGGGGGAGGGGATGGGGAGGGCAGGGGAGGGGAGGGGGGAGGTCAGGGGAGGGGAGTGGGGAGGGCAGGGGAGGGGAGGAATTCAGCACTTGAACGGTAAATGTAGTAGCCGCAGGGAATAAAATCAATTTCGTGGCATCATTGTGAGGAAAGAGGAAATAGGGTGTGTAGCCCCACGTAAACTTTGCACACAAAAAAATCCTGCATTTTCCCTTGTGCATATCAAACGCTTTGGCTTCCCATTCCATTCATTCTTGGCAAAATAAAACTTCCTGTTTTTCAGGAAAACAAGCAAGCCGAAGACCTTCTTTTGCCAGGGTTACAAACTGACGGAGAAATGTGGGCTCTGACTTCGGATGTGAGAAGCACTGGAGACCTTCGAACTTCACTGCCAAGTTCACGACCCCCCCAAAGACGTCTACGGTTTTGTTTGCAGGATGACAGTGTCCACGTATCAAAAAGATAGACATTCAGCTTCCCTTGGAATTCATAGGATTGCAAGACTCAAGAACAAAAAGTACTTGGGAAAGAGGAAAAAAAAAATGGGCTTGGAATTCCATTCAAGCCAAAACCATTTGAAAACAGTAAGAAGCATGAGATGTATCCAAAATGTGGCCGGCCCATCATTCCGTGGGCTGCCGAAAGAGACTTTTCCATGGTTCTGCTCCCAAAGATGATCCTCTTTCGGAATAAAAATGCTTTCACAGCAGGACTCTTCCTCACAGAGAGCCACGATGCAAATGTTTTCGTTGGTCCTTGCGTCTTCCGGCTGCAGCTCTGGGAGGCAACCGAAATTCTCTGCACCATTACTCCCCGTAAGAGTGTCAGCCGCAGAGAAGATGGAAAAGCAACAAATCCACAGCCGGAGAAGCCACCATCCTGATGGGCAAAACCCCGCAGGTCAGTTTCTTAGATTCCTGAGTCAGCCGTAACAAAGGACCAGGAATGACGATGCATGCCGCAGGAATTCATCCCCGTCAAGTCCTGGAGACCAAGAGTCTGAGGTCAAGGAGTCTCAGGACCATGTTCCCTCCAGAGGCTCTAAGGGAGGGTCCTTCCTGCCTCTCCCAGGCCTGGAGACCAGGAGTCTGAGGTCAAGGAGTCTCAGGGCCATGCTCCCTCCAGAGGCTCTTGAGGAGGAGACTTCCTGCCTCTCCCAGCCATAGAGACCAGAAGTCTGAGGTCCAGGTGTCTCAGGGCCATGCTCCCTCCAGAGGCTCTAAGGGAGGGTCCTTCCTGCCTCTCCCAGTCCTGGAGACCAGGAGTCTGAGGTCAACGTGTCTCAGGGCCATGCTCCCTCCAGAGGCTCTAAGGGAGGGTCCTTCCTGCCTCTCCCAGTCCTGGAGACCAGGAGTCTGAGGTCAAGGAGTCTCAGGGCTGTGCTCCCTCTGGAGACTCTAAGGGAGGATCCTTCCTGCCTCTCCCAGCTCCTGGGGGCTCCAGGCATCCCTGGGCTTGTGGCTGCATCACTCCAGTCTCTGCCTCTGTCTCCACGTGGCCTCCTCCTCTGTGTCTGTGTCTCCTCTTCTGTCTCTTAGAAGGACACCTGTCATTAGATTTATGGTCCACCCTAATCTAGGATGATCTCATCTCCAGATCTTCCACTTAATCACATCTGCAGAGACCGTATTTCCAAATAATGTCCCATTCACAGATTCCAGATGATCAATACATGGACAGGTCTTTTGAGGGGCCACGGTTCACTTCACTTCAGTTGTATCCAGTTCCTTCTGGAGGCTCTAGGGGAGGATCCTTCCTGCCTCTCCCAGCTTCTGGGTGCTCCAGGTATCCCTGGGCTTGTGGCCCCATCACTCCAGTCTCTACCTCCTTTCACAGGTTCTTGGGTTAGAATATGAACATATTTTTGGGGGGTACCATAGTTCAATCCACTTCAACCATAAGAAGTTCCCTCTGGAGGCTCTAGGGGAGGATCCTTCCTGCCTCTCCCAGCTCCTGGGGGCTCCAGGCGTCCCTGGGCTTGTGGCCGGATCACTCCAGTCGCTGCCTCCGTCTCCACGTGGCCTTCTCCTCTGTGTCTGTGCCTGTGTCTATGTCTCCTCTTCCATCTCTTAGGAGGACCGTAGTCATTAGATTTATGGTCCTCTTCTGTCCCTTACAAGGACACCTGTTATTGGATTTAAGACCCACCCTAATCCAGGATGACCTCATTTCAGATCCTTCCCTTAAAGACATCTGCAAAGACCCGGTTTCTACATCAAGTCCAGAAGCTTAGAGTCCTCATCCCATTCCTCCTGTGGAATTTGGCTATAGATGTTTTGAACACACCTCAACAAACGGTTATGGTGATGAACTGACACACTCCGAGTGGAAGGACCCAAGGTCTTCCACTGGGGCTACGCTTTTTGAGAATGAATTTGTTGTCCATGAAACGGCACCACCCAGGATCTGGAGAAGGTCTCCCTTAAGACAGGCTGTGAGCATGAGCTCTTACTAAAAACTCCATGAGCCTGGGCTGGGTGCAGTGGCTCACATTTGTAATCCTAGCACTTTGGGAGGCTCAGGTGGGTGGATCACAAGGTCAGGAGTTCGAGACCAGCCTGGCCAACATGGTGAAACCCCATCTGTACTAAAGATACAAAAATTAGCCAGGTGTAGTGGTTCACGCCTGTAATCCCAGCACTTTGGGAGGCCGAGGCAGGCGGATCACAAGGTCAGGAGATCGAGACCATCCCGGCTAACATGGTGAAACCCCGTCTCTACTAAAAATACAAAAAATTAGCCGGGCGTGGTGGCGGGCGCCTGTAGTCCCAGCTACTCAGGAGGCTGAGGCAGAAGAATGGCGTGAACCCAGGAGGCACAGGTTGCAGTGAGCCAAGATGGATCCATTGCACTCCAGCCTGGGGGACAGAGCAAGACTTGGTCTCAAAAACAAAGGAAAAAATTAGGCAGGTGACGGGCGCCTGTAATCCCAGCTACTCGGGAGGCTGAGGCAGGAGAATCACTTGAGCCTGGGAGGCAGAGGTTGCAGTGAGCCAAGATCGTGCCATTGCACTCCAGCCTGGGCGACAGAGTGAGACGCCATCTCAAAAAAAAATAAAAAAAATAAAAATAAAAAACTCCGTGAGCCTGACCCAGGCGCAGTGGCTCACACTTGTAATCCCAGCACTTTGGGAGGCTGAGGCAAGATAATTGCTTGAGGCTGGGAGATCCAGATCAGCCTCAGCAATATAACAGGACCCCATCTCTATGAAAATTTAAAAATGACACACCTGTAATCCCAGCTCTTTGGGAGGATTATTTGAGGTCAGGAGTTCGAGACCAGCCTGACCAACATGGTGAAACCCCGTCTCTACTAAAAATACAAAAAAAAAAATTAGCCAGGTGCGGTGGCGGGTGCCTGTAATCCCAGCACTTTGGGAGGCCGAGGCAGGTGGATCACGAGGTCAAGAGATCGAGACCTTTCTGGCTAACATGGTGAAACCCCATCTCTACTAAAAATACAAAAATTAGCCGGGCGTGGTGGCGGATGCCTGTAGTACCAGCTACTCAGGAGGCTGAGGCAGGAGAATCGCTTGAACCCGGGAGGTGGAGGTTGCAGTGAGCTGAGATTGCACCACTGCACTCCAGCCTGGGTGACAGAGTGAGACACTGTCTCAAAAATAAATAAATGAATAATAATTAAAATAAGAGAAAATGACAGACCCCATGACCCGCCACAACATTCTAAGCTCCATGCCAGAGGAGAAGGTGCTTTTCAGAAACAGACCAAGTGGATGAAGTTAAGAGGCAAAAATGTGAAGCCGAACGCTGCTCCGTGCAGAGAAAACTGGCAAAGGCCATTCGAACCGGTGGCAACGCGGTCCAAGCTCATCATTAACTTGCCCTGGACCTAGAGGTGTCAATTAGAAGGAGCATCGTATCACCCATCTTCCCCGTGGTTCTCCCAGCGTCATCCACGCCACCCGTCACACCGCCATCGGGAGCCTGGCTGGCCGGCTCTCTTAACTGCATTTTCCGCTCACGGTAAGAGATCTTGCAAAGCTGACTTTTTTTTTTTTTTTCTTTTTGCCTGGGGAGACGTCCCTTCTGAAAGAAGGAGGGTTTGCATTGGCTGGCTTCAGAAATATGATTGCCTCATTTCGCAGTCTACATATTTCTTAATATAAATGAACATGGCCTGCCTCGTACTTATAGGCTGAATGGGAAAAAAAAGTGCATATATATACATATGTGCATATACATACATATGTACATATATATACACACATATATACACTATATATACATATATACACACATATATACACAGATATACATATATACACAGATATACATATATACACATATATACACTGATATATATACATATATACACATATATACATATATACACACATATATACACAGATATACATATATACACAGATATACACTGATATATAAACATATATACACATATATACATATATACACACATACATACACTGATATATATACATATATACACATATATACATATATACACACATACATACACTGATATATATACATATATACACATATATACATATATACACACATACATACACTGATATATATACATATATACACATATATACATATATACACATATATACACACTATATACACATACACACAAATATATACATATGTCCACACATATATACATATAAGCAGACATATATACACTATATATATGCATATATACATATATACACATATATTTACATGTACACACACATAGATGCACATATATACACACTATATATACACACATATACACATATATACATATACACATATATTTACACGTACACACACACATAGATGCACATATATACACTATATATACACACATATACACATATATACATATATACACATATATTTACATGTACACACACACATAGATGCACATATATACACACTATATATACACACATATACACATATATACATATACACATATATTTACATGTACACACACACATAGATTCACATATGTATACACACGTATATACAGATATATACACACTATATATACCCACATATATACACATATACACACATATATTTACATGTACACACACACATAGATGCACATATATATACACACGTATATATACATATTCAGAGTAGGAGAGGTGTAGAGAGATGGGAAGCAGGTTAATGGTTGCCCAGGCTAAATGGAGAAACCTGAGACTGATGGCGGAATGGGCTTGCGGTTTCTTTTCAGCGTGATAAAAACGCTCTGGAGTCTAACAGATGGTTACACCCTGTTGCAAATATCCTAAAAGCTACTGATCACGGTTTCCTACGTTATATGAATGATGCTGTAACAACAACAACAAAAAAAGAAATTTAAAAAATGTTGTTAAGATCAGGCAGGGCTGTCTGCCTCAGAGTATCATTAATGAGGTCATTAGCACACATGAGTCTGGGGTTCTCCGTGACGGCTAAAATAACCCAGAAAACGCGTCTCGTGTTTCTCCATCCGTATTGAGAAACAGGATATTCTGCAAAGCTGTGAAGGTTCGAGACAGATGCAGACGGCACGGCCACCCAAACAGATGGGACGCTTGCGTGAACAACAGAGTGCTGGGAAGATTTTAAAAGGCAGGACCCTAAACTCAGGGGGTCGGCGAAGGCGACCTTCAGCCTCACGTTCCTCAACGTCCAAACGCCTGACATTTAAAACAGACATCCACACCTGTGCCACGTCCCCGAGAGCCACACTTTCAGAACGGCAGCTTCTGGGAACCCCAGAAAATAGGCACGGGGTCCCAGACACTCAAAGTGTCATCAGATAGGCATGAGGGAGATCCAATATCCCGTGGGATTTCTGAGACAATTTTAAGTTTGCTCTTTGTTATTTATTTATTTATTTATTTGAGAAGGAGTCTCGCTCTGTCGCCCAGGCTGGAGTGCAGGGGCGCGATCTCGGCTCACTGCAACCTCCACCTCCCAGGTTCATGCCATTCTCCTGCCTCAGCCTCCTGAGTGGCTGGGACTACAGGCACCTGCCACAGCACCTGGCTGATTTTTTGTATTTTTAGTAGAGATGGGGTTTCACCATGTTGGCCAGGATGGTCTCGATCTCCCAACCTCGTGATCCACCCACCTCGGCCTCCCAAAGTGCCGGGATGACAGGCGTGAGCCACCGCGCCCGGCCTTAAGTGTGCTCTTTGCAAATGGTTCTCCAAGGAAATATATATTTGGGACCTGGCTCTCTTTTCTTTCCTTTTTGCTTTTTGTTTTGTTTTCCGGTGTGTGTGGGTTTTTTGTTTGTTTCTTTGTTTTGTTTTTTGTTTTTGTTTTTTGAGACAAGGTTTTGCTATGTCATCCAGGCTAGAGTACAGTGGCTGGATCACGGTTCACTGCAGCCTCTACCTCCCAGCCTCCAGCAATCCTCCCACCTCAGCCTCCTGAGTAGCTACAACTACAGACATGCGCCACCGCGTCCGGCTAATTTTTGTGTATTTATTTTAGAAATGGGGTCTTGCTGGCCGGGTACGGTGGCTCACGTACAGGTGAGCTACAGGTGAGCTGCTGCAGGTGAGGTACAGGTGAGGTACAGGTGAGCTGCTGCAGGTGAGCTACCAGTGAGCTGCTACAAGTGAGCTACACGTGAGCTACAGGTGAGCCGCTGCAGGTGAGCTATACCTGAGCTATGGGTGAGCTGCTTCAAGTGAGCTGCTGTAGGTGAGCTACAGGGTATCACTAGTAGTCAGATGGCCTCTTGCTGCAGCATGGTTTCCAAGGAATATCACTTGCATTTACGTCAGAAAAGAAGAAGAAATGTGGGGCACAAACACAAAAGTTAGGTGCCACCATTGGTGGTGTTGGGACAGGCGTGGCCAATGTACCATCTACACTTAGAGTAAAATACTCTGGCCCCTCATGGTTCCTTAAGATGTAACAAACATCTCCATGTCATTCTTTCTGTAACACTGAGTAACCCATGACCCTTGTCCGTAGCCTGGAGAAAGGCTTTGGAAATCTATAACTTCTCAGCATTAACAATTACTTAGATATTCTGTTTACAAGACAAGAAGTTACAGATTCCCAAAGCATCTTCCCCATGCTCCCTCCAGAGACTCTTGGCGAGAAGAGATGGGGAGGGAGACTGGAGCAAAGTCCACTGCACCGTATTTTATGTTCCCTTCCAACCCCAGCCCTGCCCACCCCAATGGTCTCCTGAGTTCAGTATGATTTCATTATATTAATTAATTGATTAATTAATTGTTTTCAGACAAGGTCGTGCTCTGTCACCCAGGCTGGAGTGCAGTAGCTTGGAGAGCTTCTCAGCATTAACAAGTACTTAGACATTCTGTTGAGAAGCTTGCCTGGCCAAATGAAGCACCCTCAGTTTCTGGCAATTGGCTCACTCACGATTGAGAACAGGCTACAGACAAGAGGAGACATCCTTTCACTCTCCTTTCTCTTCGCTGGACGTCTCTTTTTCTCCTCAGAGTGCGGAAACTACCCACTTTCTGATTTCCTAAGACATGACGTCTGGCCGGGCACCGTGGCTCACGCCTGTAATCCCAACACTCTGGGAGGCTGAGGCAGGAGGATCATCTGAAGTCAGGAGTTCAAGACCAGCCTGGCCAATGTGGTGAAGCCCCGTCTCTACCAAAAAAATACAAACATTAGGTGGGTGTGGTGGCGGGCACCTGTAGTCCCAGCTACTCGGGAGGCTGAGGCAAAAGAATTTCTTGAACCTGGGAGGTGGAGGTTGCAGGGAGCCGAGATTGCACCACTGCACTCCAGCCTGGGCAACAGAGTGAAACTCCATCTTAAAAAAAAAAAAAAGAAGAAGAAGAAGAAGGCTGGACGCGGTGGCCCTCGCCTGTCATCCCAGCACTTTGGGAGGCCCAGGTGGGTGGATCACCCGAGGTTGGGAGTTCAAGACCAGTCTGGTCAACATGGAGAAACCCCGTCTCTACTACCAATAAAAAATTAGCCAGGTGTGGCGGTGGGCGCCTGTAATCCCAGCTACTTGGGAGGCTGAGGCAGGAGAATCGCTTGAATCCAGGAGGCAGAGGTTGCAGTGAGCCAGGATCACGCCACTGCACTGCAGCCTGCAACAGAGCGAGACTCCGTCTCAAAACAAAACTAGCCGGGTGTGGTGGTGTGTGCCTGTAATCTCAGCTACTCGGGAGGCTGAGGCAGGAGAATCGCTTGAACCCAGGAGGCAAAGGTTGCTGTGAGCTGAGATCATGCCACTAGCCTGGGCAACAGAGTGAGACTCTGCCTCAAAAATACAAATAAATAAATATAAATAAATAAAATTTAAAAACAACATGTATCTTTACACAGTGAGGGTAAGAAGGAATGAGAGATGGAGGTGGTGGTAATAACAATTAAATACATGAAATCAGGAGACTGCACACACACACGCGCGCACACGCACACACACCCTCAAACTGTACAATTAACAAAGAAAAGACGAGAACAGGAAGCTAGAACATCCACGTAACAGTCCTTTTTTTGGAGACCACGGGCAGTGGTTCATGCTTGTAATTCTAACACTTTGGGAGGTGGAGGTGAGAGGATCTTTGGAGCTCAGGAGCTCAAGACCAGCCTCAGCAGCAAAGCAAGATCCCGTCTCTAGTAAAAATCAAAAAAATTAGCTGGGTGTGGTGGTGGGTGCCTGTAGTCCCAGCTACTCAGGAGGCTGAGGTGGGAGGATTGCTTGAGCCCAGGAGTTTGAGGCTGCAGTGAGCTATGATCGCACCAGTGTGCTCCAGCCTGGGTGACAGAGCAAGACTCTGTCTTTCTTAAAAAAAAAAAAAAAATTAAAAATAAAGTTACAAAGGCCGGGCGCAGGGGCTCACGCCTGTCATCCCAGCACTTTGGGAGGCTAAGGCGGGTGGATCACCTGAGGTCAGGAGTTCGAGACCAGCCTGGCCAACATGGTCAAACCCCATCTCTACTGAAAATACAAACATTATCTTGACATGGTGGTGGGCACCTGTAATCCCAGCTACTCGGGAGGCTGAGGCAGGAGAATCGCTTGAACTCGGGAGGCGGAGGTTGCAGTGAGTCGAGATCATGCCATTATACTCCAGCCCGGGCGACAAGAGCAAAACTCCATCTAAAAAAAAAAAAAGGCCAAGTGCAGTGGCTCACGCCTGTAGTCCCAGCACTTTGGGAGGCTGAGGCGGACGGATCATGAGGTCAGGAGATCGAGACCTTCCTGGCTAACACGGTGAAACCCCGTCTCTACTAAAAATACAAAAAATTAGCCGGGCGCGGTGGCGGGCGCCTGTAGTCCCAGCTACTGGGGAGGCTGAGGCAGGAGAATGGCGTGAACCCGGGAAGAGGAGCTTGCAGTGAGCGGAGATCGTGCCACTGCACTCCAGCCTGGGTGACAGAGCGAGACTCCGTCTCAAAAAAAAAAAAAAAAAGAGTTCTTTTTGAGAACATGCCTTATCCTAATATTGCATGCAACTGCTACAAAAAATACTAACCATCAATGATAGGTCGACTTTTTCTTATTTTTATAAAATTACAACTCTAAAACCCATACACTGAGTCTGTCTATCTTCATGGTTTAAGGCTCAGAGAGAAAGCTGCTTTAATACCCGCTAAAAAGACCACCTGGGGCCGGGCGTGCTGGCTCATGTCTGTCATCCCAGCACTTTGGGAGGCCGAGGCAGGCGGATCACCTGAGGTCAGGAGTTCAAGACCAGCCTGGCCAACATGGTAAAACCTCATCTCTACTGAAAATACAAACATTAGCCAGGCGTGGTGGTGCACACCTGTGATCCCAGCTACTCGGGAGGCTGAGGCAGGAGAATCGCTTGTACCTGGGAGGCTGAGGTTGCAGTGAGCCGAGATCACGCCATTGCACTGCAGCCTGGGTGACAGAGTGAGACTCTGTCTCAAAAAAAGAGAGAGAGAGAGAGACCACCTGGAGAAGCTAAACTTCCAAAGTAATCCTCTTGGTATTCCCATATATGGCCTTCCAAAGGAAAACAGCAGTATTCATTTCCATCTGCCCCTTCCACTCGTCAAATAAATCAACCCAAATGTGTGGTCATACCCCATTTAGCTTCCTGAATGTGTTCCATTCAAACACATAATTTGCATGGGTGACATTTCTCTACTCTGTGTGTGCACGTCGTATTTTATCTTTTCCAACAATCGTTCAACTCGCTTCTGAGAAGGGCATCTTTTCAGACGGGTTACGGTTCCCTGGGGAAAGAGAAGGTTTTTGTACATCTTTGCATATGGCCAAATCCTCAGAGAGTGCATAGGAAACAAACCTGTGCTTTTATGATAAAACATACATCCTGTTAATTCACCTGTGTGTGGGGGTGTGGGGGGAGCAGGTTCTTTGTGCAGGTTCTTCTCTGAAAAAAACTGGTTCTTGTGATGTATTTTGTGTGGCTTTTGTCTTCTAGAAGGATGGGCAGCATTTTCTCACCATAACATCCACTCCCTTTAAATACATATCTTCCTCCCAAGGGTGCATTGTGATTCCAAGAATGTGGGACAGATACAGGAGCTTCCAGACAGACCCCATGCAGAGGCTGGAAGCTTTATTTAAACAGGCATCAGTGAGTAAATCTGCCCTGCAGTTACAGGGATGTGTTCTTCTGAATGGGGCTCAGAAACAGTTCCTCAGGTGGAAAACTCATTGGTTTTCTGAAGAGGTCACTGCACGATGCACTGATTTCTGTGTGAATTGCTTTCTTGGTTGTGGAGATGGCAGAAAGCTGAGGCTTGCTCTGTTGCCCAGGCTGGAGGGCAGTGGTGCAAACACAGCTTGGGCAGCATTTTTTTTTTTTTTGAGACGGAGTCTTGCTCTGTTGCCCAGGCTGGAGGGCAGTGGTGCAAACACAGCTTGGGCAGCATTTTTTTTTTTTTTGAGACAGAGTCTTGCTCTGTTGCCCAGGCTGGAGGGCAGTGGTGCAAACACAGCTTGGGCAGCATTTTTTTTTTTTTTTTGAGACGGAGTCTTGCTCTGTTGCCCAGGCTGGAGGGCAGTGGTGCAAACACAGCTTGGGCAGCAGTTTTTTTTTTTTTTTTTTGAGACGGAGTCTTGCTCTGTGGCCCAGGCTGGAGGGCAGTGGCGCGATCTCGACTCACTGCATGGTCCGCCTCCCAGGCTCACGGCATTCTCCTGCCTCAGCCTCCTGAGTAGCTGGGACTACAGGCGCCCGCCACCACGCCCGGCTAATTTTCTTTGTATTTTTAGTAGAGACGGGGTTTCACCGTGTTAGCCAGGATGGTCTCGATCTCATGACCTCGTGATCCGCCCGCCTCGGCCTCCCAAAATGCTGGGATCACAGGCTTGAGCCACCACAGCTGACTAAATGTTTTATTTTTTGGAGAAACAAGATCTCACTTTGTTGCTGAGGCTGGTCTTGAACTCCTGGGCTCAAGCAATTCCGCCTCAGCCTCCCAGAGTACCGGGATTACAGGCATCAGCCAGCACAGCTGGCTAAATTTTTGATTTTTTTGGAGAAACAAGATCTCACTTTGTTGCTGAGGTTGGTCTCGAACTCCTGGGCTCAAACGATTCTGCCTCAGCCTCCCAGAGTACCGGGATTACAGGCATGAGCCAGCACAGCTGGCTAAATTTTTGATTTTTTGGAGAAACAAGATCTCACTTTGTTGCTGAGGTTGGTCTCGAACTCCTGGGCTCAAGCCATTCTGCCCCAGCCTCCCAGAGTACTGAGATTACAGGCATGAGTCACCACAGCTGGCTAAATGTTTTATTTTTTGGAGAGACAGGGTCTCACTTTGTTGCCGAGGCTGGTCTTGAACTCCTGGGCTCAAGCAACTCTGCCTCAGCCTCCCAGAATACCGGGATTACAGGCATGAGTCACCACATCTGGCTAAATGTTTTATTTTTTGGAGAGACAGGGTTTCACCATGTGGCACGGGCTGGTCTTGAACTCCTGGGCTCAAGTGATCCTCCTGCCTCAGCCTCCCAGAGTGCTGAGATTACAACAAGCGTGAGCTACCACGTCCAGCCTAACTTGCTTTCCAATTTCTGAATTACAAATCCTGGTCTCCTTTCTCAGCGTGTCTTTTGGAAGTGCAGTTTTATGGGAAACACGGCAAACGCACTGCAGCTCTTTAAACACGAACAGATTGAGTTTGTTTCTCATTCAATACAACTTCCTTGGAAATCTTCAATACATGACAATTTCACTTTCCCAAGGGGAAAACCAGTAGATGAGCTGGTCACCCAGCAATTTTTGAAACTCATATATATATATATATATATATATATATATATATATATATATAGAGAGAGAGAGAGAGAGAGAGAGAGAGAGAGAGAGAGAGAGAGAGACAGAGAGAGAGTCCTTTTTGCTGAGGTTGGTCTCGAACTCCTGGGCTCAAGCAATTCTGCCTCAGCCTCCCACAGTACTGGGATCACGGGCAGGAGCCACCACAGCTGGCTAAATTTTTGATTTTTTGGAGAGAAAAGGTCTCACTTTGTTGCTGAGGCTGGTCTTGAACTCCTGGGCTCATGCCTGTAATCCCAGCACTTTGGGAGGCTGAGGCAGGCAGATCACAAAGTCAAGAGATCAAGACCATCCTGGCTAACACGGTGAAATCCCGTCTCTACTAAACATACAAAAAATTAGCCGGGCGTGGTGGCGGGCACCTGTAATCCCAGCTACTCGGGAGGCTGAGGCAGGAGGATTGCTTGAACCCAGGAGGTGGAGGTTGCAGTGAGCTGAGATGGCACCACTGCACTCCTGCCTGGTGACAGAGCAAGACTCCATCAAAACAAAACAAAAAAAGTTTCTGCCTGTATTTATTCATTTATTTAGAGATGTGGTCTCACTCTGTCAGCCAGGCTGGAGTGCAGTGGTGCAATCATGGCTTCCTGCAGCCTCCACCTCCTGGGATCAAATAATCCTCCTGGGCCAGGCGCGGTGGCTCACGCCTGTCATCCCAGCACTTTGGGAGGCTGAGGCGGGTGGATCACCCGAGGTCGGGAGCTCAAAACCAGCCTGGCCAACATGGGGAAACCTCGTCTCTACTAAAAATACAAAAGAAATTAGCCAGGTGTGGTGGCGGGCACCTGTAATCCCAGCTACTCGGGAGGCTGGGGCAGGAAAATCGCTTGAACCCGGGAGGCAGAAATTACAGTGAGCTGAGATCACGCCACTGCACTCCAGCCTGGCAACAGAGCGAGACTCTGTCTCAAAAAAAATTAAAAAACAAAAACAAAGTATCCTCTTGCCTGCTGAATAGCTTCAACCGTAGGAGAGCACCACCATGCCTGCCTAATTATTTGACTTTTTTTAATTGTTATAAAATGTTTATTCATTTTGTAATTTTTATTGGCTGCATTATATTTCAGCACAGGATGCCCAACAATGATTTATTCAATTTTTTATAGCCTTTTTAGAAATCAGTTTATTATACTGTCTTCTCAGAATACTTTCAAGGATTCTTCCATTGAATTGTTTTATAAGTTTATGCAAGTCCTTATGTGTTAGGTGAGTCTCTTGAAGGCACCAGCAGGCAGTTGATTGGTGAATTTTTTTTTAATTTTTTTATTATTATACTTTAAGTTTTAGGGTACATGTGCACAATGTGCAGGTTTGTTACATATGTAACAAACCTTTTTTGTAGAGATGAGGGTCTCGCTATGTTGCCCAGGCTGGTCTCAATCTCCTGGGCTCAAGGGATCTGGCTGTTTCGCCTCCAAAAGTGCTTTGATTACAGGTGTGAGCCACCGAGCCCAGCCTGTATTTTTCTTATTATGCTATAGTGCAAAAGTAACTGTGGTTTTGGCCACTATTGTTCATGACAAAAATTTAACTTTTAACTCTCAGCATCTGTGAGTTCAAACAAAAGAAATTAAAATACGTCTGTTTTGGGAAAACGTGTAGAGTAGACGACCGACACTATTTTTCTTGGCTCTCTTGCTTATGAGTTCAATATAGGCATGCTTGCAAAGTTTAAAACAACTTTTTTTTTTTAACGACAACTCCAAGAACAAAGGCTTTAGAAAGCTTATCTCCGTGTGTTTGGTCAGTGTTTTTGCTTTCTCTGCATTTTTCTTTAAATCCCTACATTGTCTGCTATTAAACATGAAAGTCTAACACCAACAGAAGCCTCAGAAACAGAAGGACATGTTAGCAGGAGGCGAAGTCCGTGGCTTTTTGTGTGTAATTTGGGAATCTGAGAACTGATGGTAAGAATCTGTTACATAAAAACTCAAAGATCTCATTCCTATTGAAACCGTGTCCGTGTGAAAAAGTTAATTTTTTTTTTTTTAAATGTGGTCAAGTCCAGAGAAGTCTGCAAGACAACCCATGGAAAAATCAGAAAGAAATTCAGGGCTGAGACACTTACTTTTCAGGTTGAACTATGCAAAAAAAATGAAGATCTGGAAGCGATATCCAGGAAGATTCCATTCATTTTTGAAAAACATTCTTTGTGATTGGCAACAAGCTATTTCTAAGGGAAAAGATCTCTCAAACCATTTGAATATTCTGTTCATTTTTGAAACAGATTCATTACAATTGGCAACAAACATCTATTTCTAAGGGACAGAGTCTCTCAAACCACGTAAAACAATAGGAGTGGATTTGCAGAACAAAGCTGAACGTTTTATTTTATTTAGTTCCTGTTATTTTATTTTATTATTCATTTTTTTGAGACAGCGTCTGGCTCTGTCGCCCAGGCTGGAGTGCAATGGCGCGATCTCGGCTCAGTGCAACCTCCGCCTCCTGGGTCCAAGCGATTCTCCTGCCTCAGCTTCCTGAGTAGCTGGGATTACAGATACACACCACCACGCCCGGCTAATTTTTGTATTTTTAGTAGAGATAGAGTTTCACCGTGTTGGCCAGGCTGGTCTCGAACTCCTGACCTCAGGTGATCCACCCGCCTCGGCCTCCCAAAGTGCTGGGATGACAGGCGTGAGAGCCACACTGCGCCCGGCCAAAGCTGAATAGTTTAACCATGAAATAACTGTGTGCATTCAGAACTTGCCTGCGTTTGCCCCTAAAAAACAGGCTGGAGATGGACGCGTTGAGGTCAGCCATGAAAAGCACCTCTGCTAACACGCAAAAAGCACCATTTTTCTTCTGTCCGGCAAGACACACACAGGCTGGGTGAAGAGAGGGCTCTGAGCTTCAGACCACGCAGGCCAGAAAAGGAAAGGAACGGTCAAGTTGCACTTTGCAGAATGGCCTGGACACACGGCCTCTGAAACCCCTTCTCTGGCCAAGAGAAGCTTTCAGGAACTACCAGGAGTCAGCAGGAAGAACGGACGGTACAGACAACGGACGGTTTAGACTCCAGGCAACTGGGGAGGTGTCGGAGAGGCTCACCTGTCCTCAGGCTCTGAGCCCCCCACAGAGAAAGCTCCCCCAGCACTGCCCACCCTGTAACCGCGGTGGGAACCCTGTGTGGGCAGCTGTGTCCCTCCCCCACTTCCCTCCCAGCTCACATGTGTTTTTTATCACAGCCGGGAAGCAGTCAGGCCGGCCAAATCCAATCATGAACTTTCCTTTACATAAAGAGAGAAAAATCTATGCAAAAAAAAAAAAAAAAATTTGTCATTTTTAAAAGTCGATTTCTTTTTCCATTTATTATTATTATATTTTTTGTCTCAAAAATGACTCAATCATCCTTGCAAGACCGTGCTGGAAAATCCGTGCCACTGTCGAAAACTGGAACAAAATAAAAGTTAAAAGCACACACATCACCGGCCGGGCCCAGACGCGGGTGGATCACGAGGTCAGGAGTTCGAGACCAGCCTGACCAACACGGTGAAACCCCATTGCTACTAAAAATACAAAAATGAGCCGGGCGCGGTGGTGCAGGTGACTGTCATCCCAGCTACTCGGGAGGCTGAGGCAGGAGAGTCGCTTGAACCCGGGAGGCGGAGGTCGCGGTGAGCCGAGATCGCGCCCCTGCACTCCTCCGGCCTGGGCGACAGAGCGAGACTCAGTCTCAAAAAAAAAAATAAATTAATTAATTAAAGAAAGTGGAGAATTAGCAGCTCTGACTTGATTCAAATCAGGGCTTTTTCCTCTGTTTTTTTTGCCACCTTCTGGGGGGACGTTGGCTGAGAAGCGGGGAGGTAGGTTTCAGTAAAGGAAGGGGATGGGATACAAGCAAAAGTCAATGGTACCTCCCGATCTAAGGCTGGGGGGCAACACTGGGTACCCACCCTGGAAATGCACGGAGCAGAACAACACTCTGTGTTCAGCCACGGCCGACTCAGGATTTTTTTTTTTTTTTTTTTTTTCCAATAAGCCTGTCCTCAGGGGAGAGGTTGAGAATTTTTTTTTTTTTAACACTTGAATACAAATATTTATAAGTTTATTTATATCTCAGTTTTACAAGATGTACATTCATACTACGGGGCGTCACAAAAATACAGTCTGTTGCTGCAACTCAACATTGAGATTATTGAACGTTAGGAGAATGAGGGCGTCACCAGAGAAACTCAGGGTGGTTTTTTTTGGTTTTTTTTTCTGTTTGTTTGTTTGTTTTTTTTCTACCCCTCACCGCCTGCCGACAATAACAGAGGGATAGAAATGTGAAGACTGTTGGTTTGGGAAACGGTGTGTGATTTGTTTTCATCTGAAGCAATCCCTGAAAATATCTGTAGATGTATTTGTAACCCGGACGCGGGGGCCGCTATGTCGTCAATGGGGGAGGGAAAAAGAAAAAGCAACAGTTTTCAGAAATATAAAAATAAATGCAACGCGATGTCAAATTTACACTCGACATAATTAAAATAGTACATATTTATGAACGTCCGACCAAGGAAAAAAAAATAAATAACAAATGCACATACATCACAAAGTAAGAAGCAGGGGCTTTTGCCTCCTTCCCACGGGACCTGCACGTACAATGGGCTGAACTCGTGAAGCCACATCCCCTTTCAATAAATAGCACATTTCATAGCTTTGAAACGGGATATTGTCTACATTCCTTAACCGGCTTCTCATTAAATATCAAATTTCAATAAAACATTTATAAATGGCATCAACTTACCCACGTGTGTCGAAGAATATCAGCATATACTCGCTAAGCTAATTCTCTTTAATAAATTAGGCACCAGTTTTTTTTTTTTTTTTTTTTTTTTTTTAATGTCAAACGTGTCCACCGAAAGCCTCTCTCCTCCCCAGACCTCCCAAAGCTGGAGGAGACAAGCGGCTTCCAGCAAAGTGCCTCCGAAATGTGTGTCGTGGGAGTGGCTGCCGTGTGCCATCCTCGCTATGTCCCCGGGAAAACTGTGGAGCTAAAGGGAGCTGGAGGCTTCTGCTTGTTCTTAGGGGAAAACAAATGTTAGAAAGGTCAGCATGAAACCCAGAGGCGAGGACAGAGGACTCTGGTATTTCCCTTTCATCCTGACCAGAGCTTGGCACCAAAACCTGAAACCCGTCTCGGCTTCATTTCGGTTAAACGCCCAGCTGTCCCCAGACTCTGCGGTATCCACAGATGCTCCCACGTGCTGACGTGGCCAAGGACAGCAGCAAGACCAGAACAGAAACTCAGGCTTCCAAGGAAATGGGACCATTTCGGGGGCCTGGCTGGACTTTGGCGGGATGGAGAGGCCATTCCTACGACAGGGCGTCTTTGGAGCGGCCCAAAGGCCTCCTTCCCGTACGGGAGACACCAAGCCCGTCGCACCACCAGCTTTGTAAGTGGAAAAACGGGTGTTGGACGCGGTCAGTTACGCTCTAAATCGTACAGAGGCACAGAATCTGTCCCATCTCTTTATCCACGGCGCTGGAGAAGACAGCCACAGCCAAGGGGCCCTGTCACCACTGCCTGTGAAACAACACCCCAACGGCCACCAGAGAAGGTGCATTTTTCTAACTCTTGGCAATTGCCAGGAACACACCTTTGCAAAGTATGCACCAGTCAGAGACTCGAACGGAGAAAGAAAATCTAATAGCAACATCCGATACATCCAATTCCTTCTCCCTGTGGGTGCTTCGCAGTCAGAGAGAGAGAAAAGAGAGAGAAAAGTGGATATGTCAGAAACAGATTTCACCAGAACAGCCACTCAAAGGAAGAAGTGTTTTTTGCTCAACTGCGGCGACTGACAACCCTCCACGGACTATTTGGCCAAGTTTTGGGGAGAGGAGGGAAGAAAATACGTATCAATCAGGACCCAACCCAGCATCGTTCAGTTCGGCCAGCAACGTGTTCCTATCAGTGTGCTGGAGCTGGTACGGATCTCACACACCAAATCCTCTCTCTGCAACGGCGTTACATCGGAACACAGCCCACGTTGCTCTCTGGGTGGTATTCCTTGCTCTGCGAGCGAGCTCACCGGGAAGCCACAGGGAAAGCAGGAACGTGACTTTCAAAAGAACCTTGTTTTGAGCAAAAAGCACCAAGAATCGCCAGCGTACACCCACCCCATAAATTCAATTTCTCACCTCCTGTGGAGAGACGTATGTTGTTTCCATGCTGAATGTTCACGCAAACGTGTCTCTGGAGGGCCTTCCGGGAAACCAAACCCACGCACATCACATACAGAGGGTCCCCATCAGCCCAGTCCTTCCTAAACATCTCAGAAAAAGAGAGAGGAGGCCGGGCGCGGTGCCTCACCCCGTAATCCCAGCACTCTGGGAGGCTGAGGCGGGTGGATCATGTGAGGTCAGGAGTTCAAGACCAGCCTGGCCAACATGGCGAAACCCGGTCTCTACTAAAAAATACAAAAATTATCCGGGAATGGTGGTGGGTGCCTGTCATCCCAGCTACTTGGGAGGCTGAGGCAGGAGAATTTCTTGAAGCCAGGAGGTAGAGGATGCAGTGAGCTGGGATTGCACCACTGCACTCCAGCCTGGGTGACAGAGTGAGACTTCATCGAAGAAAGAAAGAAGAAAGAAAAAGAAAGAAAGAAAAAGAAAGAAAGAAACAAAAAAGGAAAAGAGAAAGAAAAAGAGAGAAAGATAAAAAGGAAAGAAACAGAAAGAAAGAAAAGAAAGAAAGAGAGAAAGAAAGAAAAAGAAAGAAAGGAAGGAAGGAAGGAAGGAGAAGGGAGAGAGAAGAGGGCGTTGGTGGTGAGAACTGGTCACAGCCCAAGCTGAATTTCTTACTTCCTTCCATCCGAGAGTTTCAGGGAGAAAGAAGCAGCTAGCATACACGTACCCCACACTCATTCAGGGATCACTCATCCACCTACAGAAAGTCACCCAACTTCTCTCGCAGGAGAAAAGCCAAAGGCAGCCAGTGTCCACAGACACTCGTGTCCCACCCTCACAGTTCTCTGCGTTTGATCTGCTTCGGGGACCCATTTGTGAGGATGACACTTGGCCCTCTTTCCATATTAAATCAAACTGAAACCGTCCCCGCACAGTTGAGAGTCAGTAACTCCCTTTTAAAAGTTCAGATTCAGGCCAGGTGCGGTGGCTCACGCCTGTAATCCCAGCACTTTGCGAGGGACAAAGCGGGCAGGTCAACCTGAGGTCAGGAGTTTGAGACCAGCCGGGCCAACACAGCAAAAACCTGTCTCTACCAAAAATGCAAAAAAATTACCCAGGCCTGGTGGCAGGTGCCTGTAATCCCAGCTACTCGGGAGGCTGAAACCCTGTCTCTACTAAAACTACCAGAAAGTTACCCAGGCCTGGTGGCAGGTGCCTGTAATCCCAGCTACTCAGGAGGCCGAAACCCTGTCTGTACTAAAAATACCAGAAAGTTACCCAGGCCTGGTGGCAGGTGCCTGTAATCCCAGCTACTCGGGAGGCTGAAACCCTGTCTCTACTAAAAATACCAGAAAGTTACCCAGGCCTGGTGGCAGGTGCCTGTAATCCCAGCTACTCAGGAGGCCGAAACCCTGTCTCTACTAAAAATACCAGAAAGTTACCCAGGCCTGGTGGCAGGTGCCTGTAATCCCAGCTACTCGGGAGGCCGAAACCCTGTCTCTACTAAAAATACCAGAAAGTTACCCAGGCCTGGTGGCAGGTGCCTGTAATCCCAGCTACTCGGGAGGCCGAAACCCTGTCTCTACTAAAAATACCAGAAAGTTACCCAGGCCTGGTGGCAGGTGCCTGTAATCCCAGCTACTCGGGAGGCTGAAACCCTGTCTGTACTAAAAATACCAGAAAGTTACCCAGGCCTGGTGGCAGGTGCCTGTAATCCCAGCTACTCGGGAGGCCGAAACCCTGTCTCTACTAAAAATACCAGAAAGTTACCCAGGCCTGGTGGCAGGTGCCTGTAATCCCAGCTACTCGGGAGGCTGAAACCCTGTCTCTACTAAAAATACCAGAAAGTTACCCAGGCCTGGTGGCAGGTGCCTGTAATCCCAGCTACTCGGGAGGCCGAAACCCTGTCTCTACTAAAAATACCAGAAAGTTACCCAGGCCTGGTGGCAGGTGCCTGTAATCCCAGCTACTCGGGAGGCCGAAACCCTGTCTCTACTAAAAATACCAGAAAGTTACCCAGGCCTGGTGGCAGGTGCCTGTAATCCCAGCTACTCGGGAGGCTGAAACCCTGTCTCTACTAAAAATACCAGAAAGTTACCCAGGCCTGGTGGCAGGTGCCTGTAATCCCAGCTACTCGGGAGGCTGAAACCCTGTCTCTACTAAAAATACCAGAAAGTTACCCAGGCCTGGTGGCAGGTGCCTGTAATCCCAGCTACTCGGGAGGCTGAAACCCTGTCTCTACTAAAAATACCAGAAAGTTACCCAGGCCTGGTGGCAGGTGCCTGTAATCCCAGCTACTCGGGAGGCTGAGGCAGGAGAATGGCTTGAACCCGGGAGGCGGAGGTTGCGGTGAGCCGAGATTGTGCCACTGCACTCCAGCCTGGGGGACAAGATTGAAATTCCGTCTCTAAAGAGAAACGTTCAGATTCTACAGGGACCAGGTAGATGTCTTTCTACTCACGTGGAGTGAGCTTTTTCTTGGGAGGAAATGATGACACACTGTTATGTTTCGATTTTTCAAAATTACTCAGCCTTTTTGGTTAAAAAAAAAAAATCTAGGGCTGTACATATCTTACCAACCACTTTTCCAAAGGGTTACATACTCTGATGAATGAACCTACTTCCCAAAGATTCAAAATGCAATTCTTCTTTTCGATAAAAATTTCAGCTTAACTATTAAAGCCTCTCTCTCTCTTTTTTTTTTTTAATTTCCAGCTTTTAAGAAAAATGGATGAATGAGGCAAACTCTCTAATACCGTTAATGTCTGGGATTCTTTCTCTCTCTCTCCGTCATTTTACAGCGGTTGTAACATTTTGACATAAAAAATGTTGAAGGGGACTTTTGGTTTGTATAAAGAATATCAGAAGATACAAATGAGACGGGTCCAAATGGATCTACAGTTCAGCTCAGTGACAAGATAGAAAGTGTTATGCGGAAGAAAAAAAGAAGTTGTTTTTTTTTTTCTTTTATCCCCACCTCAGGGAGAAGTATCTAAATCAGAAGTTAGGAAAGAAAACCACCAAGCTTGAATCCAGAAAGATGCAAATGTGTTATGGAAATAAGAGAGTTGACCAGTGGATGTTAGTAAATGTTGGGAGAAGATAGTTTCTCTCTGGGCAGGCTGTGGTAACTAATGCCAATCATGCAGATGGATCTTCTCGGAGGTCACCAAACCCCTTGCTGTGTTCCCAGAAAACCAATCAGAACATGGAACGTGGATCTCCCGAAATCTGGGGGCAGAACCCTTGAATGTTTTTGGTTAGGTCATTTCAAGCAACTGTCCAGCCCATGCCAGCTGTGACGACAAGTTGCTATCTGCTGTTTATAAAACTGGGGGCACGTTGGGAGGCCGAGGCGGGCAGATCACCTGAGGTCAGGAGTTCGAGACGAGCCTGGCCAACACGGTGAAACCCCGTCTCTACTATAAATACAAAAAATTAGCCGGGGGTGGTGGCAGGTGCCTGTAGTCCCAGCTACTCGGGAGGCTGAGGCAGGAGCATCGCTTGAACCCGGGAGGCGGAGGTGGCAGTGAGCTGACATTGCGCCACTGCACTCCAGCCTGGGCGACAAAGCAAGTCTCTGTCTCAAAAATAAAAAACAAAGAAATAAAAGAACTGGGGGAACGCAGAAGATGGAGTAGGGGAGAAAGAAAAGCTGGAACCACCTACATCTGCAAAAACTTGAAAACTCTCTGGATCTCTCCCTGGCTTTTACGCTTCCCAACCAGAAACAGCTCAGGTACCAAACTGATATCTTGGCACCACCGTGCCCTCTTTTATCCCCTTCAGAAACACAACCACACTCCCAGCGCGCCCAGGGCCATCTCTACACCCGTGATTTTTGCAAAGGGCCCTCAGTGGCCAGGCGGCCAGCGCTGGGAGAAGAGGTAACGCCTTTTCCACGTTGGACGCTGACGGGGTCAAGAGTGCACGGCTATTTTTTTTTTAATCTATAATATTTATAATATTGCACTTCACTCCATGTCAGTAAAGTTAATGCTGCATATCAGTATGACACCTTGCAACCACGCGTCCGTCTCTTATGCAAGTCTTTTGCGTCTGAATCCTGTAACACAGCAAAAAAAAAAAAAAAAAAAAAAAAAAAAAAAAATACCAATCCAAAACAAAACCAGACCCAATTTGGGAATCAAACACTGGAAAAGTTATAAAGTCGGTCCTCATTCAGGTCCCCGGAACGTGGGAGTCCCAACGTGGGAGGTTCGGGTCTCCCTCCCCTCCCTTTCCAAAGCCCGCGGTTCACGTCCTCAGCCTCAGCCAGAGAACTATTTCCTTATTGCTGCCTGGGAGGCTCCGGGGGAGCGGTGGAGGAGAGCCCGGCCCCTGCCTCCTGGGATTCCGAAGTCCACATTCAAATCCACACCCGTTCCGCAGCCTCTCGGGATGAAGGAAGGAGCATGGTAGTAAAGAAAATCGTTGGCAACGAAGAAATGGCATTTTCATCGGAGACCAGCTCCGGGATCTTTGCAGTTTCAATAGACTCTAAGGATCTTCCAAACGTGTGTAGTTAACCGCATGCATAGGGTATAGCAGAGGAAGACGCAGCCAGGCGGGGGTTTACCCTTCTCCAGGGTCCCAGGACGCACGGGCAGCCTTGGAGAGGCCCGGGCTGGACGCACGGCCGCTCACCCGCTCCGCCTTCTGCACCATCTCCGCGAGGGTCTGGCTGGGTCGTGCGTGGACGGTCCCGGGAGCCTCCCTCCTCAGGCCTCTTGCAGGAGCTCCCGGGGTGCCCGGAGCACGGTGGCCGCGGAAGGAGCTCCAGGCGGGGTTGAGTGCAGGACGCGCGGTGCAGGCGGGGTGCGCGGAGCCCGGGAGTCCGGGCGCGCGGGGGGCTGCGCGGCGGGTCAGAGCCCCAGGGCCTCCGCGTGCTTCCGCGCCTTGAGCCGCAGGTCGGCGATGCTGGAATTCTTGCTGTTGCTTTTGGCGGCGGCGGCGACCACGGCGGCGGCCGAGGCGGACTCGGCCAGCGACGCGATGGGCAGCCCGAAGGGCGGCGGGGGGAACATCAGGTAGGGCGCGTGCGCCGCCAGGTGCGGGTGCAGGTGCGGGTGCGCGTGGGCCACGCCTTCCAGCTGCAGCTGAGCCTGGACCTGCGGGAGCGGACCCGGCGGGGTGAGGGCGCAGGATGGGGACTGGGGGGCCTGCTCCGCCCCGCGCCCCCGGAAACCTCCAACGTGCCTCTTCTCCCCTAGGGAGCGTCGCCCCTTCTCCAGCCGTGGAGACCACCCCACACCCGCCTTTCCTCCTTCCCCCTGGCCCAGAATTGGCGCTGCCACTGGATGCATCCGCGGGAGCCGGGCCAGGGGAATCCGAACAGCTCCCTGCAAAGCGCATGGGAGGGGGGTCCACAAATGGAACGCCCTCAGGGGGAGCTCCCGATGCGCTCTCTTCGCAGGGATTCAGGGACTTTGGCTCACAACGTTCTCTCCCCCAACCAGCCCCCGTAACCTCTCCCGGGGACACCAGGTCCCCAAGCCTCTCCCGGGTCCCCAGGTCACCAAGGCTCTCCCGAGACACCAGGTCCCCAAGCCTCTCCAAGATCACCAGGTCCCCAAGCCTCTCCAAGGTCACCTGGTCCCCAAGGCTCTCCCGGGACACCAGGCTCCCAAGCCTCTCCCGGGACACCAGGTGTCCAAGCCTCTCCCGGGTCACCAGGTCCCCAAGGCTCTCTCCCGAGACACCAGGTCCCCCAGCCTCTCCCCAGGACACCAGGTCCCCAAGGCTCTCCCGGGTCACCAGGTCCCCAAGCCTCTCCCGGGACACCAGGTGTCCAAGCCTCTCCCGGGTCACCAGGTCCCCAAGGCTCTCTCCCGAGACACCAGGTCCCCCAGCCTCTCCCCAGGACACCAGATCCCCAAGGCTCTCCCAGGACACCAGGTCCCCAAGCCTCTCCCGGGACACCAGGTCCCCAAGCCTCTCCCGGGTCACTAGGTCCCCAAGGCACTCCCGAGACACCAGGTCCCCAAGCCTCTCCAAGGTCACCAGGTCCCCAAGGCTCTCCCCAGGACACCAGGTCCCCAAGGCTCTCCCGGGTCACCAGGTCCCCAGGCCTCTCCAAGGTCACCAGGTCCCCAAGCCTCTCCTGGGACACCAGGTGTCCAAGCCTCTCCCGGGACACCAAGTCCCCAAGCCTCTCCCGGGACACCAGGTCCCCAAGCCTCTCCCGGCTCACCAGATCTCCAAGCCTCTCCCAGGACACCAGGTCCCCAAGCCTCTCCCAGGACACCAGGTCCCCAAGCCTCTCCCCAGGACACCAGGTGTCCAAGCCTCTTCCAGAGACACCAGGTCCCCAAGCCTCTCCTGGGACACCAGATCCCCAAGGCTCTTTCAGGACACCAGGTCCCCAAGCCTCTCCAAGGTCACCAGGTCCCCAAGCCTCTCCCAGGACACCAGGTCCCCAAGGCTCTCCCGGGACACCAGATCCCCAAGGCCCTCCCGGGTCACCAGGTGTCCAAGCCTCTTCCAGAGACACCAGGTCCCCAAGCCTCTCCCAGAACACCAGGTCCCCAAGCCTCTCCCAGAACACCAGGTCTCCAAGCCTCTCCAAGGTCACCAGGTCCCCAAGCCTCTCCAGGGACACCAGGTCCCCAAGCCTCTCCCAGGACAACAGATCTCCAAGCCTCTCCCAGGACACCAGGTCCCAAAGGCCCTCCCAGGACACCAGGTGTCCAAGCCTCTTCCAGAGAAACCAGGTACCCAAGCCTCTCCCGGGACACCAGGTCCCCAAGCCTCTCCCGGGGATACCAGGTCCCCAAGTTTTTCCCGGGGACACCAGGTCCCCAAGACTCCGGTGCGCAAAGCCAGGCAGGCCTGCGGGCTCCAACGGCCTAATTTCACTGGGTCCCGCCGTCGGCAAAAGACGGTACAAGAAGTAGGCTCGTTCCCCCACCTCAAGGCCAGGTACCCAGGAGAGGAGAACCGCGGAGGGATGCGGACCCCTCTCCTTCGGGCCTGGGCCAGGGAGAGCTGGAGAGCTAGCGGCGACCAGCGCTCGGGGTCCATTTCTGAGTTGTTTACTTATGATTTATACGTTTATACCTTCCGCGCTCCCCACCGCCACCCCCCAAGTCCCTGCACCCTCAGCCAAACACGCGCCCAAATACAATCCCCAGCCTGTCCCCTTGGAATAAAACGGTGAAGAAGGGAGGCCACGCGTCCGCCCTGCCAGAGCCCCCCCCCCAAGCCCGTTCCGCCCGCGCATGCACTCCCGACCCCCAAATTAGGGACCGAAGGGGCAAGGGGCACCGCAGCCGGGCGCTGCGCTGCGCGTTCAGGCAGGGCGCACGTGGGCGCTGCGCTCTCTCCTCCTGTGACCCTTCACCTCCTTCCACGCAGCTCCCCGCTTCCCCCCATCCCATCCCCACCACTAAGCCAGGGCAGGGCGGGGGCGCCCTTGGGAAGCTTGGGCTCCGCGACCGAACCCCGACTCCCTGGAAGCCCCAAATCCACGCTGGGCACCCAAGCGCTGCTCACTCCAAAGTAAGTGGGGAGCTGAGTAGGGTGTCTCCAGCTCAGAGGTGCAGAGCCCAAGCCAGGGGCCAGGGGCCAGGCAGACGCCCCAGGCCCTCGGGCACTCGGGGGTGGTGATGAAAAGGGAATGGGTGTCTGTCCCATCTCTGGTATCCAGGCACAGGCATCTGCGCCCTTCTTAACCAGGCAGCAAGCCAGGTGGGGGTGCCTGACTGTGTGGACTTTTCACCCCTCTGGTTTTTGTCAGATTTCTGTTTGGGCTTGTGTGTGTTCACCTTCCCAAAAGTGGATTTTTACAGCCTGATTTTTTTTTTTTTTTTTTTGAGATGGAGTCTTGGAGTCTCACTCTGTCACCCAGAGTGGAGTGCAGTGGCGCGATATTGGCTCACGGCAACCTCCACCTCCCAGGTTCAAGTGATTCTCCCTCCCAAGTACCTGGGATCACAGGTGTGCACCACCACGCCCGGCTAAGCTTTGTGTTTTCAGTAGAGACGGGGTTTCAGCATGTTGGTCAGGCTGGTCTCGAATTCCTGACCTCAGGTGATCCACCTGCCTCGGCCTCCCAAAGTGCTGGGATGACAGGCGTGAGCCACCACACCCATTTTGTATTTTTAATAGACAGGGTTTCGTTAAGTTGGCCAGGCTGGTCTTGAACTCCTGATCTCAGGTGATGCACCCTCCTCAGCCTCCCAAAGTGCTGGGATGACAGGTGTGAGCCACCCCGCCTGGCCCAGCCTGATTTCATAGGTGCCAAGGTGCCTGTAAATGCCTCCTCGGAAAAGAGGCTTTTTTTCTAAGGGCCAGCTGAGAAGTCTGCAGGGGCAGGGAGGGACTAGGAGTGTCAGGATGCGGCAGCAAATAGGGGAAAGGGGAAGGGAGCAGCAGGTCCCTAGGGATCTTCAGAGGAAGAAAAAGTGAGCTACCTGTTGGAAAGGCATCCGTAAGGCTCCCATGTTGACGTAGGGTGCCACTCGGCAGGCGTCTAGGTGGTTGGCTGTGCCCAAGATGACGCCTGTGTCCAAAGGGAGCAGGTGTCAGTGTGGTGGTCCTGGGTGTAGCCAGCACCTCGTCGACCCCATCCCTCCTGGAGCAGGATCCCCCAGCTTCAGGTCCCCCCAGTCCCGACACCCACCTTTATGCATCTGATTCTCTTGTTTGCGGCACTTGGCTCTCCGGTTCTGGAACCAAACCTTGGGGAGAAGCAGAGAGAGATGTGAAGAGCCCTGTGAACCCAGCCCAGCCTCCCCAGGGAGCATCCTTCCCATGAGGCTGAACCAAGCACTTTGCACCTCTGGGAGCTGGGAGGTGACTGATGGTGGGCGCCCAGACACTTACCGCCCCTCTGTCTCCAGCCCTGCATCACTGACTACCTAGTACTGGAAATTGGGGTTTTTTTGGATTTTTTGTTTTGTTTTGTTGTGGTGGTGGTGGTTCTGAAATCAAGTCTCGCTCTGTCGCCCAGGCTGGAGTGCAGTGGCACTATCTCGGCTCACTGCAAGCTCCACCTCCCAGGTTCAAGCCATTCTCCTGCCTCAGCCTCCCGAGTAGCTGGGACTACAGGTGCCCACCACCATGCCCGGCTAATTTTGTATTTTAGTAGAGACGCGGTTTCACCATGTTGGCCAGGCTGGTCTCTTGTTTTTTGTTTTTGCTTTCTTTTGTTTTTGAGACGGAGTCTTGCTCTCTGGTCCAGGCTGGACTGCAGTGGCACTATCTCGCCTCCCTGCAACCTCCACCTCCCAGATTCAAGCAATTCTCCAGCCTCAGCTTCCCGAGTAGCTGGGATTACAGGCGCACACCACCACACCTAGCTAACGTTTGTATTTTTAGTAGAGATGGGGTTTCACCATGTTGGCCAGGCTGGTCTCGAACTCCTGACCTCAAGCGATCCACCCTCCTGGGCCTCCCAAAGTGCTGGGATGACAGGCGTGAGCCACTGCACCTGGCCTAGAACTGGAAATTGGGTTTTCTTTTTTGATTTTTGTTTTGTTTTTGTTTTATTTTGTTTTTGAGACAGAGTCTTGCTCTCTCATCCAGGCTGGAGTGCAGTGGTGTGATCTCACCTCACTGCAACGTCCACCTCCCAGGTTCAAGCGATTCTCCTGCCTCAGCCTCCCGAGTAGCTGGAATTACAGGTGCTCACCACCATGCCTGGCTAATTTTCGTATTTTAGTAGAGACGGGGTTTCACCATGTTGGCCAGGCTGGTCTCAAACTCCTGACCTCAAGCGATCCACCCTCCTGGGCCTCCCAAAGTGCTGGGATTAGAGGTGTGAGCCACCGCACCTGACCTAGAAGTAGAAATTGTTAAATCATCCGTGCCCTGCCTAAGTGAGACCTATGCGTTACCGCTGATGAACTTAAGGTGAAAAAGTGAGTTCCGAGCCAGTGGAAGTGGACTGTCGAACTTTCCAGCGTTCTGTGTGGGCGCCCCGCCCCCCAACTCCTGTAGACCCTGTAGGAGAACCGAAGTTTCCACCTTCAGACTTTAGCCACAAACGGAGAGGGTGAGCTGATGGCTAAAGAGTTCCAAATCCAGCCCCTTCTCCAATCTAGCTCTTGACACACCAAGCCCAGAAAATGTCTTTGCCCTTCTCGGCCTCCTCGGAAGTGTCTTTGCCCTTCTCGGCCTCCTCGGAAGCCCTGGGGAGCTGAAGGCGTCCCATTCATATTACCAAGGGTCCCCATACATGAAAGGGTCCCATTCATGACCAAGGGTCATGAGGACGCCCAAGGATAGCAGGCTTTGTGGTGGGGGCATTCTGCCCCTCTAAGGACTTCTGAGTCTTGGGGTAAACTATCAAGAAGTTGAGTGCAATAGCGCAGGGGACCCTCAGGAGGCTGGAGAAATTCACACAGGCCTCATGTGAAGATTTGCATGCAAATTCCACCCCCTCTCACCTCCTACGAGCCTCCTCTGCTCTCCCAGTATTGACAATCCCCTCCTCCACAGACAGACCAGCTGGAGAGTGCAGGCAGTTTAGCCTATGCCTGGTAATCTGGACACCACCCCCTCCTCTCCCCCACCACCACCTCCCTGACAGTCTTAGTCGCTTAATTCCTCCTAACAGGTTTTCTGTGGCAGAAAACCTGCACCTTGACCCACAAGGCAGTCACCACCCAAGAGAAATGATTCGTCCAGAGAACAGGCGTCCTCCGCCAAGGCGGTGAGTGAACCAGTCACTCCGGCTGTTGTGGGCAAAACACGTGCTGGGTCCCTCGGCCCACAGCCACCCTTACACACTGTGCATGGCCCAGGGCCGGTGCCCCTATGAAGGGAACCTCAGAAAACCCTCAGAGTTTGGGAGCAGCCAGGAGTCTACACAGCGCAACGTGAACTTGCTCTTGAACCCAACACGGAAGCTTCCAGCCCAGCTTTCGGAACTGGCTTTTCATTTCCAAAGTGGGTCCTACCGGGCTGCAGTGCGCCTGGAGAACCTGATCCTGTTTCCCAGCAAAGTCATCCTCCCTCACACCCCCGCCAAAAAGGCCCCTGCCTGGTGCTGACATCGAAATTCACCAATAATTTCCAAAGCTGGCGCCTTCAGACCTCCACCTCCACTGACCATCCAGGTGACCTGCCACTGTGCCTCTCCATGCCCACCTGGACTCTCCGCCTGTCTCCTCCAGGGCCCAGAAAGCAAGCCAGCCACCCAAAAGCCTCTGGAAGGGCATTTTTCAAAAAAGAAAATCCTCCTGAAACGTGGAAAGCCTCATTCACTCTCCCTTCAACACGGCGAGAGGAAAAAAAAAAATGATGAAGAATACAAGTGATGAATTAGCCGCTGCGTGAAGCGCTAATAAATCAGTCTTGGAGTGATTCACGATCCATTCCAATTAGGCCCGAATATGGTAAGTGAAGTGTGTGACACTGCTTAAGACAGTTATTTCTTCATTAAAGAGCACTCCCCGCTTTCTTTCCCAAATGCCGTAATGCGATTTCCTTTTGATTTCCATTACAGACAGTGAATAATGACATTTAATTTAGCTCTGCGCCATAAACCCAAAGATATTTGTTGTAATTAAATTACCGCCTGCCCCTCACCGTGGTCTCATAACTTTCGATTAGAAGCCTGACAGCTGGGTGATACGACTTTGCAGGGCCACGCTAAAAATAAAAGGTTAATCAGCAACAGCTTCTATCGGATGCTCAATTTATTTACAGCAAATTTCCACAGTAAATTGAAACTCTATCCGGTCACAGCACGGGACGGGCTGTACTGAGACGCATGTGACCCAAGAATTCACAGAGAGATGGGATTCAAATATGGTTTCTTTTTCTGTCCCTGCTCGTCCCCGTCCCCTCAACGCGGGACGTGGGTGTTGGAACTAATTGATTTTTATGACCCCTCAAAGCGCACTCGCCTTTACTATAGGATCCTTTCCCCCCGCGGCGATGGAGAATTATGTCTTTTATTGCATTCCCATGTTTGTTGTTATTATTATTTACCGTCGTTAAATTTTCATGCGACCCCTGCAATCGATAACCCCCAGCTTGTCCCCGATTTGTCTTTATTTTAGGGCGTTCTCGGGGTCCGCACACACCCCACAACCAATTTTCCGCAGCTGAACTAACGTGCTCTCGTCGGTAATAGACTACGGAAAGAAATAGTGTGGAATTAAATTACAAGTAATTTATTTTTATAGAAACAGTACATCAAGGGCTGGGATATATTGCAGATCCCAGGCACACAGACACCAGGAGATGACACATAAACTCGATGTCCCCTTTAGCGAAACTTTAATCTTTTCATTAATTTATACGGGGCAGCCCAATCCATCTTCTGCCAGAGGGGTGGACAGCGAGGAAACCCCTGTCTGATGCAGCTTCCTTCCCTCACTGAGGCCACAGACGCCCTAAGGAGGGACACAGTCCTTCCTCCAAGTCACCAAAGCCTCTCTCCCTCCTGGGCTGTATCGCTTTGGGGACCACAGCCCTCGGTAAAGATGCCTGGGGAGGGTTGATTTAATCCTAACGATCTTAGGGAAGCCTTTTAAAATGCAGCCACATGGGAAGACGGAAGAGAATCAGGAGCCAAAATATATATATATATATATATATATTTTTAAATGAAAGAGCTCGTAAAACCCTCTCCATCAAACGCATCTGTATCCTCATCTCCTAAGCAACATCGATGGAAAAGTTGTGTTTGAATGTGTTGACTCAATCACCCATCCCACAGGAACCGAAGGGAATCAGGGGCCAAAAATATATATATATTTTTATATGTATATATATGTTAATATATATATTTTTATATGTATATATATGTTTATATATATATTTTATGTATATATATGTTTATATATATATTTTATGTATATATATGTTTATATATGTATATTTTATATGTATATATGTTTATATATATTTCTTTATATGTATATATATGTTTATATATGTATATTTTATATGTATATATGTTTATATATATTTCTTTATATGTATATATGTTTATATATATTTTTATATGTATATATATGTTTATATATATATTTTATGTATATATATGTTTATATATGTATATTTTATATGTATATATGTTTATATATATTTCTTTATATGTATATATGTTTATATATATTTTTATATGTATATATATGTTTTTATATATATTTATATATATACAATATGTTTGTATATATTTATATATGTTTATATATTTATATATGTTTATATGTTTATATATATTTATACATATTTTATATATGTTAATATATTTATATATTATATATGTTTATATATTTATGTTTATATATTATATATGTTTATAGATTTATATATTATATATGTGTTTATATATTTATATATGTATATAGATTATATATATTTACATACATTTATGTATGTTTATATATTTATATATGTTTATATATAGAGACACACATATAATGAAAGATGTAACACACTTTGGATCAAATGCATCTGTATCTTCCTCTGCTCAGCAAAATCGAGAGCAAGCTGTGTTTGAATGTGTTGACCTCATAACCAGTCCTACGGGAACGGGCTTTCAGTTCGTCTCTTTGCTTTGAACGCCGTTTGCTTTGTCACGGTTCTCTCTCTGGTCGGCAATCTTAATTTCATTTATTTTTGACGGGGTCCCCAGGGTCCGGGGATCCTGACCGTCTCTCTCTCTCTCTCTCTCTCTCTCTCCCTCCCCCCACTTCTGTCCTGCCCAGAACCAGGAGAAAGGACTAGAGGAGTTGACCTTCCAGGGGAGCTGAACTGTCAGGCAGGGGCTGGAAGAAGCCATTTGGAGGCTCTCCCAGCAGCACCCCTGAAATAAACTCATACCTTTAAGTGAATGTTTAGAATGCGGAGGAAGGCTCTGCCCGCCCGTCCCTCTGCGCACACCCAAGGCCCCTCCGCCCCCCAGTGCCTGGTCTCATGGGGCAGCGTGAATTCGCGCGCTCCTCGGGGAGCCCCCGTGCCCCGCTAATAGTCTCCGCTCATCCAGATGCCCAACGTGCTCCTGCGCTCCCCACAGCCGGAGGGAGGAGGGGGTGGTTTGTAGCAGAGGACAGGGCTGGAGAGGGGAGGAGGGAGATAGAAACGGTAGGTGAAAAAACGGAGGAAAGAGAAGACCCTGTTTCTCTCCACCTAGGGACAGAGGACACCCCTCTCCTTTCATCCTAAGGAAACCTTTTCAATGCAGCCACACGGGAAGACGGAGGGGAATCAGGGGCCAAAAGACACATTTTTTTTTAAATGAAAAATCTTGTAAAACACTCTGGATCAAACGCATCTGTAGCTTCGTCTCCTAAGTATAATCCAGGGAAAGTTTTGTTTGCATGTGTTGCCCCTATAACCAATCCCAGGGGAACCGAAGGCAGTCAGGAGCCAATATATGGGTTCACCGGGTGTCTTTGCACCAAGGACGAACAAATATCTATAATATATACAATATACCCATCTGTATAACATATATATTTATTTGTTATTTGTATAATATATATGTATATATATTTGTTTGCTGTTGGTGAAAAACAAACGCAATGAACCCATCCTACAGGCCTCAGGCGTCTCCAAAAGTCCAGGAACCCCAGCCCGTCCCTCACCCAACCTCCCCGCGCTCCGGGAAGGGGACGGCGGCGGCCCGGGCGCAGGTGGCTGTACGCGTGCTGTGCGCTCCCGAGGACCAGGCGATGGCTCCGGGCCCCCCGCCCCCGCCCCCGGGTTCCTACCTGCACGCGCGCCTCGGAGAGCCCCAGGCGCTGGCTGAGCTCCTCGCGCATGAAGGCGTCGGGGTAATGGGTCTCGTCGAAGAGTCGCTCGAGCTCGTTCAGCTGCTCCAGCGTGAAGTTGGTGCGGCTGCGCCTCTGTTTCAGCTTGGTCTGCCCGTCCTCGTCCTCCGACTTCACGTCCTCGCGCTTCTCTTTGCATTCATAAATCCCTGCGTGGGGAGCGGAGGGCACAGGGCTGAGGCCGGGGAGGTTTTGCGCAACGTGGCGAACCCCTTCGTGCATCCCGCGGTGGAAAGGGGGCCCTCGAAAACCAATGCGCTTTGACGCAAAAACTGCGTGGGGTCCATAAGGCAAAAGCCGAGGAGGATACTCGCTGCTTTCCCAAAAACCTGGGCTTTGCACGAGCGTTGTTTTCTTGGCCTCATCTCAGAATCGTTTCCTCAATTATCCACTTCACCTCTGTTGACATAACCTAACCTTTTTTTCTTATTTTTTTTTTTAAGGAGAGTGGGGTGTCAAATCCTATTTTTAAGGGAAAGAATTTGAGGAAGAGCTGCCAACTGTGGGATCCCCGGCGGGACGCCCGGGAAGGACACGGGGAGGACCCGGGGCGGGTTGCAGATTCTAGGCCTACGGAGAGACGCTATCCCCACCGCTGCAGCGCAGGAGGGCTGGGGGTCCCTCCGCGATCTGGCGGAGCTAGGAGCCCCTACCCGAAGCCTGTTTCTCAGCAGAACAGCAGAACCGCGTCTGAGTACCTGAATGCGCCACCGCGCCTGGGGGCTGAACCGCGTGCGCAGAAATCTCTCCTTCCCACTTTTTCACACGCGGTCGGGCACCTACCCCACCAGAGTGTGCCAAAAATGGCACTTTCTCATCTCCAGTAGTTGGTGACCTGTCTGTATTTGCTGGGGGAGTCAGAAGGGCAGAAGACTCAGCCCTCAAGCGTTTCCAGGTGAAAAACCTTTTCTTCCTCATTTTAGACATTCAGCCTCTCTGACCAAGCTCAGGGGTTTAAGTAAAAGGTGTCTCCCTCGCTCCCCTTCAACCCAGGGCTGGTGGAAGTGGCATCTCCAACGCCCCTCTGTTCCTATCTCGGGCCTGCTGAGCACAGATGAGAAGCACGCGATGCCCTAATGAGATGTCCCTTGCTGTCAAGGGTAAGGGGCTGACATTTGGAAGTTTAGTCTGGAAACAGTCTCAAAGGGGCACAGGCAAGGCCGCTGCAACCAAGAAGCTTGCAAAGCTGACAAATCCAGGGTGTCTACAGGGAACGGGGTAAATACTAGCACCCTGTTCTGTCTTTCTTCCTTCCACGATCCACACCAGGGCCCTCCCACCCCACCCCGAGCTACATTCAGCGCTGGACGCTTACTCCAACGTGGATTTCACATTCTGTTTCACCTCCTATCAGACACGTGCCTGCAAGAACACTCCATTCCTTCCCCCCAAGTGAATCGTTTCCTGGAGACGACCCCAGCTCTCCCTCCTTCATTTCTCTAAGTCTGAACCCCAGGAATTGAGCCCAACTGACAAACTGGTCTTCAAAGTCCTCAAACACCCGCAGGCTTTGCAGAACCCACGGGCTCCCAGGCTCGGCGGGGACACGCTGTTCCCAAAAACTCCAGGCTTCCACGGTAACCTCAGACTCTCCCCTGCCCTCCAACCTCGATTTAACTTGGATCTGATGAATAAATAGTAGCCTGGGTGGCAGTCCTGGCCCGGGGGTCTTTCTGCACCCAGCCAAGGGGAAAATGTAACGGGGACTCTCTGTCTCCTCTCCTGTGGCCCTGGGTCTTTGGCCTGGTCTTTATTTTCCTCTCACTTTCGAAAGGTCTGGAGGACACTTTGCTCTCCCGGGTCCACGGCCAGGGGGAGAAGAGAGAGTTCAGAGGAGCAAAACGGTGTCTGCGAAGGACAACCAAAAAGCAACCCCACAGAAGCGGCCGCCGGGCGCTGCGAACCCTCTTAAATTACACGCAGGCCCTCAAGCGGCTCCCAGCCTTGCGTCCAGGAAGGCCAACTCTCTGTGTATGAATTACAGTGCCGGGTGCCCGCAGCAGTGTGTAGGGAGGAACTCCTCTCACTGTCAAAGGCAGGCTGGGCTCCTGCCTCTTAGACGGTCAGAAACCGGGGACTGCTTTGTAAACCGTAGCCACAGCTTTCTGCTTCGACAAAGTCAGGGCCTTGGGAAGCTGCCTGGTGCCTCCTACGAATACAAGGGCTATTTCCCGGGGCCACTCCACACCCCAAATGCAGGGCCCCGGAGAGCAGGTAGCCCCAGAGTCTTAGGAAGAATTACCTTTGGGGCATTCACCCTCGCACCTCAACTCTGCGAATCAGCAAAAGCCGAGGCTAGATTCTCTGCGTCTTTGTAATGAAAACATAACAGGCGTCCATAGCCGTCTCCAGCTGTGCCCCGACACAGCCAGCCCATTTTATTCTTAAGATGTATGCCGCCCAGTTGTCGTGTGTGCACAGAGATCCCCGGGGCCAGCCCCTCTCTCTGAGCCTCTTACTCCCCGATTTCCACCACGGGACGACCCACCACTGAGGTCTCAGGAGGAAGGGCCAGAGGGGAGCTCCCCCGGGCCGCGCACAACCGGCTGCGCTCTGACAACCTTGACTTAGGACGCGCCCGCGAAGCCGCCAGCTTCCCCGGGGCCCCTCGCGCCCCATCCAGATCCCGGCCACCTCCGCTCACGGGAGTGGTTTTTATGGACCCAACAGCTTTCGCCAAGATCAAGCCTCGACGTTCAAAGGAAAACAATGAAATAATAATGAAGGGTTCCTTAAAGGAAACAGAACCGAGCTGACCCGGGGCCTTCCCGTCTCCTACCACGCAGCCTCGAGTCTTCCCGTGATCTCCGGGGGCCCGGCAGGCGCTGAGCGCTGGGAAGGCGCGTGGAGACGGCTCCTCTGTGCGTCTGGGTGACCGTAAATACAAGGCAGACAGGCAGAGACAGAAACACACATCCTAAGCCGTCAGGACCCAGGCCGGGCGCGGTGCCTCACGCCTGTCATCCCAGCACTTTGGGAGGCCGAGGCGGGTGGATCACCTGAGGTCAGGAGTTCGAGACCAGCCTGGCCAACATGGTGAATCCCCGTCTTTACTAAAAGCACAAAAATTAGCCAGGCGTGGTGGTGCATGCCTGTAATCCCAGCTACTGGGGAGGCTGAGGCAGGAGAATCGCTTGAACCCAGGAGGCAGAGGTTGCAGTGAGCCGAGATCGCACCACTGCACTCCAGCCTGGGGGACAGAGCGAGACTCTGTCTCAAACAAACAAACAAACAAAAAAAGGAAAGGAAAGAAAAAGAAAATGAAAAAGACATCTCAGGCCCTACGGCTTCAGGCACAGCCACCCGGATCCACCCCAGCCCGGGACCTTCCCGTGTCGGTGCCCACGCGCGCGGCCCCCGCTGCGACCCTCCCTGGGTCCCCCCGCACCCCGCTACCCACCACCCGCGTCTCCGGTCGGGTCCACTCCTGCCTTCCTTCCTTTCTTAGGCAAAGCCTGACGGCCCGGGCCTTACCCTGGCGAGACGGGAGCTGCAAATGTGCACAGCGAGGGGCGCGCGGGGCCGACTCCGTGGCGAGGAGGCGCCGAACCCCAGGAGGGCCCCCCTGGAGCCGGAGCGCAAAGGAACTTACCTTCTGCCACTCTCGCGGTGCCGAATTCTTTCAGTTTCTCCTTGTCATTGTCTACGTGGTCCTTGAACAAATGCACCGGGCAGTGGCCGCCGCCCTCCGTGATGTCCTGGAGGCTGGAATCCGACGTCCCCAGCTCCCGGGAGCGCGCCAGTCCGCTCTCCAAAACTTCCCGGTACGTAATGGAATCCTTCTTACCTCCGCCGCCTCCGCCTCCGCCGTTACCGTCCTTGCTTTTCTGGTCAAAAGACTTGGATACAAAAGCCGTGAGCTCTTCCATGGCTGGGGCCGGGGCTGGCGAGCAGCCGGGGCTGGTGGATGCGCGCGTCTCCCCGCGCGGAGAGGACGGCCCGTGCGCGCGGGTGGATCACCAGCGCTGTTATTTACGCCTTTCCATTGGAAATCTCACTATTTATACGCGGCGACCTCGCCCAGCCCCCCATGCGCTGCCTGTCTGGTGCAATTACTGGTCTCCGGGCTCCGCGGCGGACGCACGCAGAGACGCTGTGTCTCCCCCACCCCCCAGGCCGGCAATTGGCTTTCTTCTCATTTCATCACTGTTTGGCGTCCGTACACCTTGGTGCGAAGGGGGAAAGATCCCATTTTTGGAAGGGAGAGCGCGCGCGCAGGAGGGGGGCGCAGGCGCCCGAGCCCCCCACACAGGTTACCCGCGTTCTCTCCGTGGCCGGAGGAAAAGCAAACTCCAGTTTTCCTGCAGAGAGAGACAGAGAGACAAGGAGTTCACGGCTGGAGAGAGGAGGGTCCCAGTCGTCCGGCCGCCCTCGCTCCCGGGAGGAGCGCAGAGCCCGGCGCCTGGATCTTTCCAGGAAGCGCCCGGGTCGCGCCGGGGTTGAGATGGCGAGGGGGGGATCCGGGCGCCCCGGGGACGCACGATCTTGGGAGAAGATGAGCTCCAAGTTGGTGGCGGCGCGCCCTTGGATGGAGAGTTGGTGAGATGGAACGCGGCTGGAGAATCCCCGAAAGTGAGAAGAAGGGGCCGGGTGTCCCCAAACCGGGACGCGGGCGCTTGGGAGGCGGCGGCGGCGGAGGCCGAGGATCCCCGGGGCCGCCTCCCGGGTCTCCAGCGCCCGCAGAAAGAAGCCCAGGTCCCCGGGAGATCCGGTTCGTAAAGATCTATATTCTTTCCGCCCGCGCCAGATCCCGGCGGACCCCGGCGCGAGGCCTCCTCCCTTAGCGCCGCGCTGTCACCCTGGCGTCTGGGGTATTTACCGGGTGAAAAAAATACTTGTGTTTTTGGTTTTCATGGTGGGATGCTCCTGCTCGCTCCCTCCCGCCTCTCGCTATTGAATGTGCTTCAGGGGAAGCCGGTGCTCGCCATCGCGACCTGAAATTCGTTTTCCAAGTCCTGGAAACCAAACGCGTCACGGTTCCTGCCAAGGACCTTCTGCAAATAAAGTGGGGCACCAGGAGGCCCGGAGTCCCCTTCCTCCCGTAACCCCACGGCGCATCTTCCTCCCCGGCGGGGCCTGGGGACCCAGGATGACAGCTGAGCTGTGAACTTGTGTGAGATGGCACAGCAGTGGGGGGACATGAGTGACGGTGGGTTGGGGTGTGTGTAAGACACAGAAAGAGAGAGACAGACAGGGAGAGGCAGAGAGAGAAACGGAGAGACGGGGAGATGGAGAGAGAGAGACAGGGAGAGAGAGAGATGGAGAGAGAGAGAGAAAGAGAGAGACAAGGAAAGACAGAGAGAAAGGGAGAGACAGAGGGATGGAGACAGAGAAAGAGACAGAGGGGGAAAGACGGAGAGAGATGGAGAGAGAGAAAGAGAGACACAGACAGGGAGAGACAGAGACATGGAGACAGAGAGAAAGAGAGTCAAGGAGAGACAGAGAGAGATGGAGACAGAGAAAGAGACAGACAGGGAGAGACGGAGAGAGATGGAGAGAGAGAAACACAGGGAGAGACAGAGAGAGATGGAGAGAGAGAAAGAGAGACACAGACAGGGAGAGAGAGGGAGAGATAGAGAGAGAGAAAGAGAGACACAGACAGATGGAGAGAGAGAAACAGACAGGGAGAGACAGAGAGAGATGGAGAGAGAGAAACACAGGGAGAGACAGAGAGAGATGGAGAGAGAGAAAGAGAGACACAGACAGGGAGAGAGAGGGAGAGACAGAGAGAGAGAAAGGGAGAGACAGAGAGATGGAGAGAGAGAAACACACAGGGAGAGACAGAGAGAGATGGAGAGAGAGAAAGAGAGACACAGACAGGGAGAGAGAGGGAGAGACAGAGAGAGAGAAAGGGAGAGACAGAGAGATGGAGATAGAGAAACACACAGGGAGAGACAGAGAGAGATGGAGAGAGAGAAACACAGGGAGAGACAGAGAGAGATGGAGAGAGAGAAAGAGAGACACAGACAGGGAGAGAGAGGGAGAGATAGAGAGAGAAAAAGAGAGAGACAGACAGATAGAGAGAGAGAAACAGACAGGGAGAGACAGAGAGAGATGGAGAGAGAGAAAGAGAGACACAGACAGATGGAGAGAGAGAAACAGACAGGGAGAGACAGAGAGAGATGGAGAGAGAGAAACACAGGGAGAGACAGAGAGAGATGGAGAGAGAGAAAGAGAGACACAGACAGGGAGAGAGAGGGAGAGATAGAGAGAGAAAGAGAGAGACAGACAGATGGAGAGAGAGAAACAGACAGGGAGAGACAGAGAGAGATGGAGAGAGAGAAACACAGGGAGAGACAGAGAGAGATGGAGAGAGAGAAAGAGAGACACAGACAGGGAGAGAGAGGGAGAGACAGAGAGAGAGAAAGGGAGAGACAGACAGATGGAGAGAGAGAAACAGACAGGGAGAGACAGAGAGAGATGGAGAGAGAGAAAGAGAGAGACAAGGAGAGACAGAGAAAGAGATGGAGACAGAGAAAGAGAGAGACAGGGAGAGATGGAGAGAGAGAAAGGGAGAGACTGGGAGATGGAGAGAGAGAAAGAGCGACACGGACAGGGAGAGAGAGGGAGAGAGAAAGAGAGAAACGGAGAGACAGAGAGATGGAGAGAGAAAAAGAGAGACACAGATAGAGATACAGAGAGAGACAAAGAGAGGCAGAGACACAGAGAGGGAGACAGGGAGGGGGAAGAGAAAGAGGGAGAGAGGCAGAGACAGACAGAGAGGGAGATTCGGAGAAGGGTCTCTGGCTTAGAGCAACTTTCTGGGTCCTCAGAGGCCGGGTAACTTTTCTGCTTCTAAAGGCCTCCCCATCTCTGCCTCTGCTGGGAAACTGGGTCCCCAGGGACTGCGCCGTAAACCTCTCACAGCTGCTCACTGTCTCCCTACCGAAAACCCTCCGTCCTCCCAGCTCAGCTGTCTTCTCCAACCCCAAGGACCAGGCTTTCCTGGGGGGTCCCGTGAGGCCCAGGCTTTCCCCGACCTGAGGTTCCTTCTTGGGCCGCAATCTGGACCCCTTTGTCTAGTAGGAAACTCCGCTCTACCAGGGTGTCCGAGCCTCCAGGAATGAGCATGGGGACACCAGTCAGGAGCTGTGTGGCTATTCAAGGCCCCTCGGCCTCGGAGAAAAAGCAAAGGCCCTTTTTCAACTGAAGCCCCAATTGTAATTCTCACTGCAGACAAGTGGCTTTGAAATCACGCACGTCCGATTCATGGCACACTTTCTGCCTTTCCAACACCCCGCTTTTCCTAAGAGTTTCTGGCTACGCGAAAGAGATCTCATCTTTCTGTAAAACTCCAACTCTTCCTGTGGGATGAGCACGGAGGCGGCCTCACCCCTCTCACCTAAAGACCTTTCCCTTCTCTGACCAGAGCTTTTACGTTCTCTCCCTGCCCTTCCCTTTAAAGACAGGCAGGAAACACCCAGCGTTTGAGTGCTTGATAACATGTTAGAAATCCAGACGAGAGCTTTTTCTACCCCACACGTTTTTCGTTGCCAATTCAAGACGCTGTCCGAGAGGCCGCAGCTCCAGTCTGCAGAGTGGGTGGACTGTATGAAATGTTTTGCATTGACATTTTACAGCAGGCGGCTGCAGGCAGAAAGCAGGGTCTGCACCTCTCTTGGCCTGGGCTGTGTACAAGGGGGTGCTTGTTGGAGGTTTTACTGATGCTTCCCTGAGACAGGGAGAGAGAGAAAAAGAGAGAGAGAGGAGAGAGGGAAAGAGTCACAGAGATAGAGAGACAGAAAGACAGAGAAAAAGAGACAGAGAGAGAGGAGAGAGAGAGAGACAGAGGTAGACAGAGATACAGACAGAGAGAGAAAAAGAGAGAGGAAAGAGAGACACAGGTAGAGACACAGAGAGAGACAGAGAAAAAGAGACAGAGAGGAGAGAGACAAAGAGAGACAGAGACAGACAGAGAGACAGAGACAGAAAAAGAGAGAGAGGAGAGAGAGAAAGAGAGACAGAGATAGAGATACAGAGACAGAGAAAAAGAGAGGAGAGAAAGAGAGACAGAGGTAGAGACACAGAGAGAGACAGAGAAAAAGAGACAGAGAGAGATGAGAGAGAGAAAGAGAGACAGAGATAGACAGAGATACAGAGACAGAGAAAAAGAGAGAGAGGAGAGAAAGAGAGACAGAGACAGAGATACAGAGAGAGGAGAGAAAGAGAGACAGAGACAGACAGAGATACAGACAGAGACAGAGAAAAAGAGGAGAGAGAGAGACAGAGGTAGAGACACAGAGAGAGACAGAGAAAAAGAGACAGAGAGAGAGGAGAGAGAGAAAGAGAGACAGAGATAGACAGAGATACAGAGAAAGAGAAAAAGAGAGAGAGGAACGAAGACAGAGAGAAAGAGAGACAGAGATAGAGATACAGACAGAGACAGAGAAAGAGAGAGAGGAGAGAGAGAGACAGAGATAGACAGAGATACAGACAGAGACAGAGAAAAAGAGAGGAGAGAGAGAGACAGAGGTAGAGACACAGAGAGAGACAGAGAAAAAGAGACAGAGAGAGAGGAGAGAGAGAAAGAGAGACAGAGATAGAGATACAGAGAAAGAGAAAAAGAGAGAGAGGAACGAAGACAGAGAGAAAGAGAGACAGAGATAGAGATACAGACAGAGACAGAGAAAGAGAGAGAGGAGAGAGAGAGACAGAGATAGACAGAGATACAGACAGAGACAGAGAAAAAGAGAGGAGAGAGAGAGACAGAGGTAGAGACACAGAGAGAGACAGAGAAAAAGAGACAGAGAGGAGAGAGAGAAAGAGAGACAGAGATAGACAGAGATACAGAGAAAGAGAAAAAGAGAGAGAGGAACGAAGACAGAGAGAAAGAGAGACAGAGATAGAGATACAGACAGAGACAGAGAAAGAGAGAGAGGAGAGAGAGAAAGAGAGACAGAGATAGACAGAGATACAGAGACAGAGAAAAAGAGAGGAGAGAAAGAGAGACAGAGACAGAGACACAGAGAGAGGAGAGAAAGAGAGACAGAGACAGACAGAGATACAGACAGAGACAGAGAAAAAGAGACAGAGAGAGAGGAGAGAGAGAGACAGAGATAGAAAGAGAGACAGAGGAAGAGAGAAAAAAAGAGAGAGAGGAACGAAGACAGAGAGAAAGAGAGACAGAGATAGAGATACAGACAGAGACAGAGAAAAAGAGAGAGAGGAGAGAGAGAAAGAGAGACAGAGATGGACAGAGATACAGAGAGACAGAGGAGAGAAAGAGAGAGACAGAGATACAGAGATAGACAGAGAAAAATAGCGACAGACAGGGGACAGAGAGACAGACAGAGAGAGACAGCGAGAGAGAGAAGAGAGCAGCACACCAAGCCGATGAGAAGAGACTTTTCACCGTGTCTTGTTAGCGTATGTGACCGCCTCCCTGTATGAAATGCCTTTTGCCAAGCGTCCCAAAAGAATCAGGTTTCAGAGAAGTTAGTGGATGGACAAAAACAACGACTGCGAATAAAAACGCAAAGGGGAAAGAGACAAATGGCAGAGGGAAGAGGAGGAAAAGGAGTAGAAGGAGGAGGAGGAGGGAGAAGGAGGAGGAGGAGGAGGAGAAGGAGGAGGAGGAGGGACGATGAAGGGGGAGGATGGGGGAAGGAAGAGGAAAGAAATGAAAGAGAAAGAAAAAAGAAAGAGAAAGAAAGAAAGAAGAAAGAAAGGGAAGGAGGGAGGGAGGGAGAGAAGGAGGGAGGGAGGGAGGAAGGAACAGAGGGAGGAAAGGAAAGGAGGGAGGGAGAGAAGGAAGGAAGGAGGGAAGGAAGGAAAAAGCTTTCTGGAAAAGAAAAGGAAAGCTCCAAAAGCAATCTTGCCAAGTGAAAGAAAGAAAAGAAAGAAAGAAAGAAAGAAAGGAAGAGAGAAAGAAAGAAAGAAAGAAAGAAAGAAAGAAAGAAAGAAAAGAAAGAAAGAGGAAGAGAGGAAGGAAGGAAGGAAAGAACGAAGGAAGGAAAGAAGGCAAAGCTTTCTGGAAAAGAAAAGGAAAGCTCCAAAACCAATCTTGCCAAGTGAAAGGAAGAAAGAAAAGAAAGAAAGAAAGAAAGAAAGAAAGAAAGAAAGAAAAGAAAGAGGAAGAGAGGAAGGAAGGAAGGAAGGAACGAAGAAAGGAAAGAAGGCAAAGCTTTCTGGAAAAGAAAAGGAAAGTTCCAAAACCGAGCTCACCAAGCTCTGAGCGCAGGCCCCGAGCGCGCCCCGGAGGTTCATTCGCGTCCTGGCGTCCCCAGCGCGGTCACCACCTCCCGCAAACCCTGTGCGGACTCGGGCTGCTGCGTCCTGGGCGTCTGATCCGCTCCTACCCGCCTGTCCACCCTCCCATTTCTGTTTGCAGTAGAAAGAGACGCGCGGAAACGAAATAAAACAAAACCAAAAAAAAAAAAAGTGTGGGGAGCCCCTGTTCTCAGGACCCGGGCAAAAGCAGGCGGCCGCAGGGTGACTCGAAGACCCCTATTGGCTCCTGGGGGCCCCCCAGGGACCTGCCCTGGTTGCATTGACCCCAATGCCCAGGGTGCTGACCCCTCGCGCGCGCGCGCCAGCCCCGCAGTCGCAAAGGAAAAGCGAATCTCCGGATCCGGGACAGCGCTCTCCGCGGTCCGCCCGCCGGGGCTGGGGGTCCCGCAGCAGACGAGCCAGGATCCCAGGGGCTTCTCCTCGCCTTTGCACCCCGTCATGCAGCCCACAGCAAGCCGGAGCCTCTTATCCCGGCCTGGTTCCCCCCTTCCCTGAATTCCTCCCCAACTCCCCGCAACAGGCCCGAAGCTGCGGGGAGCGCGGCAGGGCTGAGGCTGCAGAGGGTCCCGGAGTTCCTCGACCTGAACTCGGTCCCAGCAAGATTTGCTTCTTATTTCGCCCCTGGAGACGCAGGCGGGGCTGGGAAAAGCTCAGACACGCAGCTCAGGAGCTGCAGGACGCGGCCAGCCCCGGCCTCCCCGCCGTGCGTCTTGCTGGCTGGGAGCAGTTGCTGGTGGTGACGTTTCTCCCCTTCTCTTTTCTCTCCCCAGGGGCGGAAAAGAAACCAGAGAGGAGACTCAGTAGCTGCTGTATCTGTTGTAGGACCTTGGAGGCTGGAGGCTTGCGCTTGGGCGTCCAGGCGTCTCTCACTCCCGTCCCCAAGAAATCTATGGGGCAGCCATGCGTCCTGACCAGCGCTTTCTAGAACGCACCTGCTGGGGGGAAACTCGAGGAACGCGCTTAGGATGGCTGCGAAGAGGAAGGAACTCTGAGACTGGCCCACTTTATCAAATAATCTGGCTTTTTCTATGTGAATTAGGTACGTTTTAAGGAATAAGTCATTTGCTCTCTCTCTCTCTTCTCTCTGACTTTCTCTCTCTGTCTTTCTCTCGCTTTCTGTCTCTGTCTTCTCTCTCTCTTCTCTCTCTTTCTCTCTGTCTTCTCTCTGTCTTTTTCTCTCTCTCTGTCTTCTCTGTCTGTCTTTTTCTCTCTCTCTGTCTTCTCTGTCTGTCTTTTTCTCTCTCTCTGTCTTCTCTCTCTGACTTTTTCTCTCTCTCTGTCTTCTCTCTCTCTGTGTCTTTCTGTCTTCTCTCTCTCTTCTCTCTCTGTCTTCTCTCTCTTTCTCTCTCTCTCTGTCTTTCTCTCTCTCTTCTCGCTCTCTTTCTCTCTCTCTGTCTTCTCTCTCTCTGTCTTTCTCTCTCTCTTCTCGCTCTCTTTCTCTCTCTCTGTCTTCTCTCTCTCTGTCTTTCTCTCTCTCTTCTCTCTCTGTCTTTCTCTCGCTCTCTGTCTTTCTCTCTCTTCTCTCTCTGTCTTTCTCTCTCTCTCTTTCTCTCTCTTCTCTCTCTGTCTTTCTCTCTCTCTCTGTCTTCTCTGTCTCTCTTTCTATCTCTGTCCTCTCTCTCTCTGTCTTTCTCTTTCTCTCTCTCTTCTCTCTCTGTCTTCTCTCTCTCTCTTTCTCTCTCTCTCTGTCTTCTCTCTGTCTTTCTCTCTCTGTCTTCTCTCTGTCTTTCTCTCTCTTCTCTCTCTCTGTCTTTCTCTCTCTCTCTGTCTTCTCTGTCTTCTCTCTCTATCTTCTCTCTCTCTGTCTTTCTCTCTCTGTCTTCTCTCTGTCTTTCTCTCTCTCTCTGTCTTCTCTCTGTCTTTCTCTCTCTTCTCTCTCTCTGTCTTTCTCTCTCTCTCTCTGTCTTCTCTCTGTCTTCTCTCTCTCTATCTTCTCTTTCTCTGTCTTTCTCTCTCTCCTCTCTCTCTTTCTCTCTGTCTTCTCTCTTTCTCTCTCTTCTGTCTCTGTCTTTCTCTCTCTCCTCTCTCTCTTTCTCTCTGTCCTCTCTCTTCTCTCTCTTCTCTCTCTCTTTTCTCTCTCTTCTCTGTCTGTCTTCTCTCTCTCCTCTCTCTCTTCTCTCCTCTCTCTTTCTCTCTTCTCTCTCTCTGTCTTTCTGTCTTCTTTCTCTCTCTCTTCTCTTTTCTTTCTCTCTCTGTCTTCTCTCTCTCTCTCTGTCTTTCTCTCTCTCTCTTTCTCTCTGTCCTCTCTCTTCTCTCTGTCTTTTCTCTCTCTTCTCTGTCTCTGTCTTTCTGTCTTCTCTCTCTCTCTCTCTTCTCTTTTCTTTCTCTCTCTCCTTTCTCTCTCTCTGTCATTTGCAGCACCAAGGGGAATAGAAGCCGTGAACCTTCAAATACTGAACACTTGATTTCTTTAACTCCCGAAAAGTATGGCTTTGATTATATTTTTTCAGTTTTAGCTCCAACGAAGCTCCGCTCTCTGGAACCTGATGTATTTACTTTAAATCAAATTTCACGCCCAGAGCTCTTAATTGCAGAGAGGCATTTGTACGGGGCCCTCTGGGGCCTCCAGCCCTCCTGATGCAGAACCTAAGGCCCTCATCCCTTCCCCGCCCCCTACTCCACGCCCATCCCCACCGGAAAACTGGGACCTCCTCCTGGGTCCTCCAGCCAGGGAGGAAACACTTTTCTTTTTATTTTATTTATTTTATTTTATTTTATTTTATTTTATTTTATTTTATTTTATTTTATTTTATTTTATTAGACTTTAAGTTTTAGGGTACATGTGCACAACGTGCAGGTTAGTTACATACGTATACATGTGCCATGCTGGTCTGCTGCACCCAAGAACTCGTCATTGACGTTAGGTATATCTCCTACAGCTATTTCAAGAAATACCCCTTCCATGTGGCCCACTTTTTTTTTAAGCACATAATTCGAAAGGCCATTTCTATTCATGATAAGCACGGAAGGGTGGGTATTCATGGTCTCGGACCAAGGTTCGGCCCCTATAACAACCACCAACCCCTCCCCGCACATTAAATATGTATAAGGATGTATTTAGGGTTTCAGAATTTTACAGACGTCTCAACACGTTTCCTAGACGAACTCTTGTTGTTTTTTTTTTCCTTCCCCCTCCCCTTTTAAAGTCAGAAACCTGGATTTGTACTCCCTCCGACGCTGTTTATTGATTGACGCAAACATCCACGTTGCCCGCGTGAAGCTAATAGATTTTCATTAAAGTGAGGTTTGTCAGTCTGGCTCGTGAATGGCTGAGACTGATCCAGTGGACAAGGGCAACCTCTATAATATTTAAAAAGGGCACGTAGGCCCTGGTTGGTTTTTTCTTCTCTCTAGAGGCCTGGCTGACCATATGTGTCTAAGGACCTGCCTTGGGAATGTAGCTTTGTTTTTCTGTGGGGTTTTTTTTTTTCTATTTGTTTCATTTTATCTCGCTTTTTCTACAAGTCCTAGTACCTACGTGTGTGTGTGTGCAGGAGAGGGTGTCTCTAAAATACCCCACCATGCAAACTTGCAATTTTTAAAGTAAAACTTCCTAGGAGAAAACGTTGTTTGCTTTTTCTCAGGGACCTTCTGTGGAATTTGCTTCTCTCTCTCTCTCTCTCTCTCTCTCTCTCTCTCTCTCTTTTAAACCTTAGCATGTACTTTGCAACATATGGTGGGCATTAGACCTCTTTCCTTTCGGATTTAATCACAGGGCCTCTATGTTTTATTTAAGAAAACTCTTATTTGTTTAAGAAAAACGTTATGTTTTTCAGGGAGCAAAGGCCTTTGTCACGAAGAAGAAACCCAGCAAGGCCGTTTGCTGGAGGCCACCGCTGCACAAAGAAGGGGCGGCCCTCCCTCGCCAGGAATAAATTCAGCCCCCTTTCTGCGGTCATTCATGTTCTGAGGAACACATCTTGGAGGTGTATTTCGACTGTCATTTCCACTTCTGGCACGGGCCTCCGCAAGGGGACAGAAAAAGAACTGGTCCTTCCTTCCTCCTGCCCGTGCCCCAGACGCGGGATTCGCGTCCCCAGGACGCACCGGCTTAAGAAATTGGCAGGACTCCCAAACAGGCTCCCAGTCTTTGGCCACGTCTCTCCAACGTCAAAACGCAGATGAAAGGAACGAAGACCTCCACCGCGCAGAGCCAGGAAGAGGCACACTTTGCTTCCCAAGACTAGAAGCTTCGGCAGAACGCGAATGGCACCCAGGGGCGCGGCGGGGACACGGGGCCCCGAGCCTCCGGAGAGCGAGGAGCGCGCACAGGGCACCGTGCCTGGTTCACCGCCTTCCTCCCCGGCTGAGGCCTGAGGTGAGGACCTGACCCTTGGGTAGGGCCAGCCCTGGGGCGACCAGGCCTTGGACAGCCCAGAGCGCGCCTATCCACCTGCCCCAAGCCCCCAGAGGTTTCCCATCGCTCCCATCCCCCCAACTCCAAGGAACGGGAGGATTCCCTGAGGTGGGGACCTGACTCTTGGGTAGGGTCATCGCCGGGGAGACCAGGCCTTGGACAGCTCCGAGCGCGCGTGTCCACCTGCCCCGATCCCCCAGAGGTTTCTCATCGCCCCGACCCCTCCCACTCCAAGGAACGCGAGCATTGCCTGTCGGGTGGAATCAGCACCGCGCAGCCTCTCCATCCTTTCCCTTCCCCTTCCAGAAGCTGTGTCTTTGGAAACGTATTCCAGGACAGAAACTTTGCCTTCTCTAGGAGCAGGCAGGAATTAATGGCCTAATTTGTGCCGCAGACCTGGCCGCCTCCTCCCCATCCTCCTGCCTCCGGGGGCTGGCCTGGAACAGAACTTCCGCGGGGACAAGGCCCAAGTCCTGACCAAGCGCAGCTTCTGGAGAGACAGCTCGACCCCGCGGGTGAGCGCAGGGGTTCTGGGGCCCCCACGTGCCGGTCCTGGAACCCCCACCCCCACCCCTGCCCCAGGCTCCTGGGCGCTCCTGGACCAGCCCGCGAGGCCACGACCCTAGGGGTCCCCCACGGTGCCCGGACTGGGGGCGCTTATCCATGCTCAGGGCCTCGGTGGGTGGGTGGGTGGGGGCTCGCCTTGCGTCTCTCCGGGGAACCCTTCATCCCACCCTACTAATGAGGCGCCCGCGCTGACCGCCCAAGGCTGCCTGTTGGGGGGCCGGGGATGCGCCCCGGTCATGCCCTGCGCTCACTGGGGAACTTGACCCGCGGTGGCTGGGAAGGCGGGGAGCGCAGAGCGCGCGGGGTCTCCAGGCAGGAGCGTGCGGGGCAGGGATCTGGGGGAGGGATTTGGGGGAGGTCCGAGTGCAGCCGGGCTAATTGGGGAGCTCAGGCGCCGGCCCGGGCCGGAGTGCGGGGGAGGGGGCCCCGGGGCGAGGCAGGGGAGGGCGGTTTCCACCCGCAGCTCAGCCTCCTGGCCCGAGGCGAAGCTTGGGGCGAGAGACCTGAGCTCGACCGGGCTGGACTCTCGCCCGGAGCCCAGCTCTGCGCTCTGCGCACCGCCCCGCTCTTCTCCCCCGCAGCGCACGGGGCAGGGGGCGCACCCGGGGTAGGGGTGGGAGCAAGCGACAGCCCAGCCACCCCCACGCCCCCAGCCACGCAGGATAAACCACCCGGGCATGTCTGCTTCTGCAGGCGTGGGCAGGAGAGCTACTCTGTGCCACTGGCTGAGGGTCCCGGGGGATCTGAGCGGACAGCTGTCTGCACTGGTCACTCAGGGAGTCTAGCTCAGGGCACTTGTCCGCTCGCCGCAGCTAAGAAAGCCCTGAGGTGTGTGGGGAGATACTGCAGGCAGGGGACTGCCCTGGGTTCACTTCATTCCTTCATCCATTCATTCCTTCATCCATTCATCCATTCATCCATTCATCCATTCATCCATTCATCCATCCATTCATCCATTCATCCATTCATCCATCCATTCATCCATCCATTCATCCATTCATCCATCCATTCATCCATCCATCCATCCATTCATCCATCCATTCATCCATCCATCCATCCATTCATCCATCCATTCATCCATTCAGCCATCCATTCATCCATTCATCCATTCATTCATCCATTCATCCATCCATCCATCCATTCATCCATCCATTCATCCATTCATCCATCCATTCATCCATCCATTCATCCATTCAGCCATCCATTCATCCATTCATCCATTCATTCATTCATCCTTTCATCCATCCATTCATTCATTCATCCTTTCATCCATCCATTCATTCACCCATCCATTCATTCATTCATTATGCTGTGTGCCTGCTGGCCTCAGCTGTCATCCTACCACACCTGTTGAGGCTGCCTCCGTGACCCTGTAGCCCTGGGTCTGGCAGCGGGGAGGTGGGAGTGACTCCCACCCCTGTTTTCAGAGGAGTCACAGTTCCTGGGGTTTCAGGAGCTTGGCCAGGGGAGTTCTGAAACGCCCAGGGCCTTCCCAGCGGGTCTGGGGTCTGTGTGGGAGTCAGGAAGGCAGCTTTCCAGGTTGGGAGTGGGGCCCCTTGCACCAGGGCGCAGTAAGGTGTCTTTGGGGGACATGTTTTGGGGTCTCTAGGTCTCCGTGACTTCAGGGTGCAGCCAGGTTGGACCAGAAAGACTGGGGTCCCCCGTGTGGCCAGGTGATTTGGGGACTCTGGGTCTCCAAGGACGAGAGGTTCTTCTGCACACAGGCCACGATGCCCAGGGCTATGACAGCGTGGGTGTGTGGAGGGGACATGAGACATGAGAACGTAGGGGTCTGGAGGGGAGGTGACAACCTGGGGGTCCAGAGGGTACCTGACACCATTGCGGTCTGGAGGGAGACACCATCATTTTCACCCTCTGCAGCTTTTATTCTGCTCATTTGCTTTCCCAAAATCCTTTCTGCTGCAAAACGGGCTGCGGTGCTTTAGGAGGATCTGATCTCCCAGAGTGCTGGAGACATTCCTGTGTTCCCCGGAGGAAAAAGACTCACAGAGCTCTGAAGGCATCACTGCCCGCAGGCAGGCATCAGGATCAAGCCAGCTGTGAAAGGGTCCTGTTTGCAGATTCTGTGAGTGATTAAATAGTACCTGAGCCCTGTGGGGGATGGAATGACGCCAGCCCCCATCTCCCCACCCCCCTCAAAAAAAGAGATATCCAGACCCTCATCCCCGGAAGCTGTGACTGTCTTACTGTGGGGGCCAAGGGAGCTTTGCCCTTTGAAAGTTTGCTGAAAAATTAATTTGCAAAAGGCAGAAGAATAGGAGAGGTCAGGCGCGGTGGTTCACGCCTGCAATCCCAGCACTTTGGGAGGCCGAGGCGGGCGGATCACCTGAGGTCAGGAGTTCGAGACCAGCCTGGCCAACATGGTGAAACCCTGTCTCTACTAAAAATACAAAAATTAGCCAGGCGTGGTGGTGCGTGCCTGTAATCCCAGCTACTCGGAGGCTGAGGCAGTAGAATCACTTGAACCCGGGAGACAGACGTTGCAGTGAGCCAAGATCTCACCACTGCACTCCAGCCTGGGCGACAGAGCAAGACTCCGATTCAAAAAAAAAAAAAAAAAATAGAATAGGAGAAAACACATACACATTTATGTCACGTGTGTACACAGGAGGCTTCAAAAGGAAGACCCAAAGATAAAAGGGAAATTATCCATTTTTGTGCTTTGGTTTAACAAAGCCCTGTAGAAACAGGATTGCACAAAAAGGGCTTTGACCTAAGGCTAATGGACTAAGTGGGGAAACAGAGCCAGGCCTGTCTGTCTAGAATCTTCTCGGCCTCTCTGAGCGGCGTTCCTTTCTTTTAGGTGTGGGGCAGGGTCTTCTCTGAAATGGGGGTCGTAGGACCTTCAGTCAAACAATGTATGTCAGCGAATTTCCTTATGACCGGTTTTTATACAGATACGGTAGAGGGAAAGTTAGAGTCTTATTTTTGGGTTTTATGGCTGGTTTTGGGGAAAAGGGGCTCCTGTATCTAGGATCCATATGGGGGAAGAGGAATTCTTGTTTCTCTGGTGTCTTTGGGGGAAAACAGCTCCTGTTTCTTTCTTTTTTTTGAGACTGACTCTTGCTCAGTCGCCCAGGCTGGAGTGCAGTGGTGTGATCCTGGCTCACTGCAACCTCCGCCTCCCGGGTTCAAGCGATCCTCCTGCCTCAGCCTCCCGAGTAGCTGGGATTACAGGTGCTCACCAACACGCCTGGCTATTTTTTCTATTTTTGGTAGAGACGGGGTTTCACCATGTTGGCCAGTCTGGTCTCGACCTCGTGACCTCAGGTGATCTGCCCGCCTCAGCCTCCCAAAGTGCTGGGATTACAGGTGTGAGCCACCGCGCCCGGCTTGGGGGCTCCTGTTTCTAGGACCCATGTTGAGGAAGATGGATTCTAGTTTTTCTGATGTCTTTGGGGGAAAAGGGCTCCTGTTTCTTTTTCTTTCTTTCTTTCTCTTTTTTTTTTTTTTTTTTTTTTTTTTTTTTTTTTTGAGACTGAGTCTTGCTCTGTCACCCAGGCTGGAGTGCAGTGGCATGATCTTGGCTCACTGCAAACTCCGCCTCCCGAGTTCAAGCGATTCTCCTGCCTCAGCCTCCCCGGTAGCTGGGATGACAGGTGTCCGCCATCACGCCCGGGAGTTTTTGTATTTTTACTAGAGACAGGGTTTCAGCATGTTGGCCAGGCTGGTCTCGAACTCCTGACCTCAGGTGATCTGCCCTCCTTGGTCTGCCAAAGTGCTGGGATGACAGGTGTGAGCCACCGTGCCCGGCTTGGGGGCTCCTCTTTCTAGGACCCATGTTGGGGAAGAGGGATTCTAGTTTCTATGGTGTCTTTGGGGAAAAAGAGCTCCCGTTTCTTTTTTTTTTTGAGACTGAATCTTGCTGCATCACCCAGGCTGGAGAGCAGTGGCACAATCTCGGCTCACTGCAACCTCTGCCTTCCAAGTTCAAGCGATTCTCCTGCCTCAGCCTCCCCAGTAGCTGGGATGACAGGTGCCTGCCACCACGCCTGGGAGTTTTTGTATTTTTACTACAGACAGGGTTTCACAATGTTGACCAGGCTGGTCTTGAACTCCTGACCTCAGGTGATCCACCTGCCTTGGTCTGCCAAAGTGCTGGGATTACAGGTGTGAGCCACGGCGCCTGGCTTGGGGGCTCCTGTTTCTAGAACCCCTGTTGGGGAAGATGGATTCTAGTTTTTCTGGTGTCTTTGGGGAAAAAGGGCTCCTGTTTCTTTTTTTTCTTTCTTTCTTTCTCTTTTTTTTTTTTTTTTTTTTGAGACTGAGTCTTGCTCTGTCACCCAGGCTGGAGTGCAGTGGCACGATCTTGGCTCACTGCAAACTCTGCCTCCCGAGTTCAAGTGATTCTCCTGCCTCAGCCTCCCGAGTAGCTGGGATTACAGGCATGAGCCACCGTGCCCGGCTTGGGGGCTCCTGTTTCTAGGACCCATGTTGGGGAAGAGGGATTCTAGTTTCTATGATGTCTTTGGGGGAAAAGAGTTCCTGTTTCTTTTTTTTTTTTTTTTTTTTGGAGACTGAGTCTTGCTGCATCACCCAGGCTGGAGAGCAGTGGCACAATCTCGGCTCACTGCAACCTCCGCCTTCCAAGTTCAAGCGATTCTCCTGCCTCAGCCTCCCCGGTAGCTGGGATGACAGGTGCCTGCCACCACGCCTGGTAGTTTTTGTATTTTTACTAGAGACAGGGTTTCACCATGTTGACCAGGCTGGTCTCGAACTCCTGACCTCAGGTGATCCACCTGCCTTGGCCTCCCAAAGTGCTGGAATTACAGGTGTGAGCCACAGTGCCTGGCTTGGGGGGGTCCTGTTTCTAGGACCCGTGCTGGGGAAGAGGGATTCTAGTTTCTATGATGTCTTTGAGGAAAAGAAGTTCTGAATTCCAAGACCCATGTGGGGGGAAGAAAAATTCTAGTTTCTCTGGTGGTGTCTCAGAGGAGAATGGGACTGAGAGGCAGGAGGATAAGAGAAGGTCAAAGAGAGAAACATTTGCCTCTCAGGCTGCTGATAAAGCCTTCATTTAGGGTATCATTTTCTAAGCTTCAATATGACCTTGGATGGCAAAGGGGACTTTAAAGATGGGATTCAGTTTGCCAAACTTATCCAAGTGGGTCCAATCTAATCAGATGCGCTCTCCATAGCAAAGAACTTTCTGTGCCTGGAGTCAGAGAGACAAGGAGAAGACGGCATCAGGAGGGTTCCAAGCACAGAGAAACTCAGCCTGCCCTTGCTACAGGGGTCCCAGGTGGGGGCAGGAGAAGGACCATGAGCACCTCCAAGAGCAAAGCCAGGTCCTGCATTGGGAACCTCATTCCTGCAACCCCAAGGAACTGAGCTTGGGCAAATGACCTGCCTGAATGCGGACATGGACCATCTCTTAGGACCCTCAGTCAGAGCCTACTGCGTGGATCTCATAATTGTGGCCATAGAAGGCTCTGAGGAGGGGATGCAGCTGGCGACGCTGTGCCTGATGTCTGACTCACAGTGACCGTAGGATGATGAAGAGGTGCCGTTTGGAACCATTGCATTTAGGATCACTTTTTACAGCAGCAAGAAGAAACAGATCCACCCACTTAGACGAGCACCTGCTTGTCTTCCAGGCACACGAGAGGGAAATACAGAAGTACATTCTCTGTTCTCACCGAGTTCCCATCTTACTGGAGGACACAGCCAATCAGGAAATACATCAGTCGAAAATCAGATACAATCTCACAAGACGGTAAGTAGACTGAAAGGCTGGGAGTCTGACAGTGATTGGGGCTGGGTGAAGTGGCTCACGCCTGTAATCCCAGCACTTTGGGAGGCTGAGGTGGGAGGATCACTTGAGCCCAAGAGTTTAAGACCAGCCTATGCAATATAGTGGGACCCTCCTTCTCTACTAGAAATTAGCCAGGCATGGTGGTGTGCACCTGTGGCCCCAGATACTTGGAAGGCTGAGGTGGGAGGATTGCTTGAGCCCAGGAGTTTAAGACCAGCCTGGGCAACATAGGGAGACCCCCCCTTCTCTATTAAAAATTAACCAGGCTTGGTGGCATGCACCTGTGGTCCCAGCTACTCGGGAGGCTGAGGTGGGAGGATCACTTGAGCCCAAGAGTTTAAGACCAGCCTGTGCAATATAGTGAGACCCTCCCTCTCTACTAGAAATTAGCCAGGCATGGTGGTGTGCACCTGTGGTCCCAGCTACTTGGGAGGCTGAGGTGGGAAGATTGCTTGAGGCCAAGAGGTTGAGGCTTCAGTAAGCTGTGATTTCACCACTGCACACCAGCCTCGTTGACAGAGTGAGAGCCTGTCTCTAAATACAGAGAGAGAAAAAGTGAGAGAGAGAAAGAGAGATGGAGGGAGAGAGAAGGAGATGGGGTGCAGGAGCTGTTTAGAAGGAGCTGGGAGTCAAGGATATGATGGAATACTGCTCAGCCATAAAAAGGAACCAATTAATGGCATTTTTAGCAATCTGGATGGAACTGGAGACAATTATTCTAAGTAAAGTAACTCAGGAATGGAAAACCAAACATTGTACGTTTTCACTCATAAGTGGGCAAAGCATAAGAATGATACAATGGACTGGGCCGGGTGCAGTGGCTCATGCCTGTCATCTCAGTGCTTTGGGAGGCCAAGGTGGATGGATTATGGGGTCAGGAGATGGAGACCATCCTGGCTAACATGGTGAAACCCTGTCTCTACTAAAAATACAAAAAATTAGCCAGGCATGGTGGTGGGCACCTGTAATCCCAGCTACTCGGGAGGCTGAGGCAGGAGAATCACTTGAACCTGGCAGGTGGAGGTTGCAATGAGCCAAGATTGCACCACTGCACTCCAGCCTGGGCGACAGAGCGAGACTCTGTCTCAACAACAAAAGAATGATGCAATGGACTTTGGGGACTTGCAGTGAGCCAAGATCGCACCATTGCATTCCAGCCTGGGCAACAGATTGAGTGTCCATCTCAAAACAAAACAAAACAAAACAAGGATGCAATGGACTTTGGGGTCTTGGGGAAAAGAGTGGGAAGGGGGTGAGGGATAAAAGACTACAAATTGGGTTTGGTGTATACTGCTCAGGTGATGGGTGCCACAAAATCTCACCAGTCGCCACTAAAGAAATTACTCATGTCGGTATAAAATGAACAATCACTGCAACAGATTAATGAAAATGTGTTGAGAGGGTCATTTATTAAAAGATTCAAATATTCTACTAAAATATTACAAATGTGTTCATCTCACTAATAACCAAAGAAACAAATTCAAATGGAAAATCGTTTTACTTACTAAATTGATTATAGCTAAGTCATTAATGGTCCAGGCTCTCAAATTATACTGACTCACTTTTTGCTATGACTCAATGTCTTTATAGAGATGTACTGGGGAAATAATGCCAATAACATATAGTGTTTATGGAAGGACTTCATTAATATTTATGATGCCATTGTTGACTTGCCTTGGATATTATCTGGGTCAATAAATGCCAACTATTGTTAAAAAAAAAAAAAGACAACCACCACCACCAACAAAAAAAACACACACACACACAAACAAAAGAAAAAAAAAAGACCTTACTCATGTAACCAAACACCACCTGTTCACAACAACCTATGGAAATAATTTTTTTTATATAAAAAGAAAGAGTTGGAAGTTAAAGTGACATTTAGTGCAGAATCTTGGGGAAGTGAGGGAAGGGGTTATGAGACCCTGGAGGGAAGTGCATGATAAGCAGATAAAACAAGGACAGGAGAAATTCCAAACAAATCCGTAATGAGATACCATCGCACACCAGCAGAATAGCCATTATTAAAAAGTCAAACAACAACAGATGTTGGTGATGATATGGTGAGAGGGCAACGCTGTACACTGCCAGTGGGAATGTAAAGTATTACAACCTCTATGGAAAATAGTATGGAGATTTTTCAAACAACTAAGAGTAGAACTAGTGTTCCATCCAGCCATCCTCAGAAAGGGTTTCTACCCAAAGGAAAAGAAGTCATTATATGTACTTGGATGTTGACCACAGCACCGTTCACAACAGCAAGGGCATGGAATCAACCTCAGTGTACATCAATAATGTACAGGATTAAAAAAAAGTGGGCCAGGCATAGTGGCTCAAGCCTGTAATCCCAGCACTTTCAGAAGCCGAGGCGGGTGGATCACCTGAGGTCAGGAGTTTGAGACCAGCCTGGCCAACATGGTGAAACTCCATCTGTGTTAAAAATACAAAAATTAACTGGGCGTGGTGGCATGCACCTGTAATCCCAGCTACTCGGGAGGCTGAGGCAGGAGAATTGCTTGAAACTGGGAGACAGAAGTTGCAGTGGGCCAAGATGGCACTACTGCACTCCAGCCTGGGCAACAGGGTAACACTCTGTCTCAAGAAAAAAAGAAAAATGTGGTATCTATACACCATGGAATACTATGCAGGCATGAAAAAGGAATGGTATCAAGTCATTTGCAGAAACACAGATGCAGCTGGAGGCCCTCATCCATGCACCTGGAGATTTGTCTGGGAGCAGGCTCTTCATCACAGCCCCTAAGTACATTAGTGCAGAATCAGAAAACCAAAAACTGCATGTTTTCATGTGGAAGTGGGAGTTCAACCATGTGTGGATATGATCACAGAGAGTAGAATACTAGACATTAGAGACTTGGAAGGTCAAGAGGGCCTGAGGGTAGGAGAGGGGTTGAGGGTTGAAAAATTATCTGTTGGGTACAATGTTCACTATTGGGTGACAGTTACACTAAAAGCCCACACCTCACCGCTACACAACACGCCCATGTAACATAGTCACTTGTACCACCTAAATCTATGAAAATATATTTTTTTAATTTAAAAAAAAAAAAACAAGGAGAGACAGGAGGCTGGAATAAACGTTTCACATTCAGAAGTAACCAAAGGGCTTCAGTGACCTACGTGCATGACCACATACAAAGTGGCACATTCACCAAAATGGCAGAGGATGTGAAGGGGAGTTTTAGGGGGATGAAAGGTGGCCTGTTTTGGGCTTGTTTTATTTGTGATGGTTACTGGACCTCTGAGATGTGGAGTCATTGGTTGGATTGCTGAGTGGGAGCTCCATGAGGAGACTGGGATGAGATAGACATGGATATATTTGGGAATTATTACATTGGATTGAATGAGATCCCCCAAGGCTTAAACATGCATAGGGAAGAGGAGAGGTCTGTCCACTGAGCCCTGGGCAGTGCAATGTTTATAGGGCGAGACAAAGGTTGGGATGCAGCAGGCTCAGAGGGGGTGGCCACGGATGTAGGAGAAAAACCAAGAGGGAAGTTATAAATGCCAACACTATTCAAAACATGACAAGAGAATTTCATCCACAACCTTATGGCGATGAATTTAACTGACGTGAAGCAGACAAATTCCTTGAATGACACAGGTCACCAAAGCTGACATCAGAAGAAGTAGAAAATGTGGATAGTCCTGTTTAGCATTTAAAAATCGGGGCTGTGATGAAGAGTCTGCTCCCAAAGAAATCTCCAGGCCCAGGTTGTCTAGTGAATTCTGTCTAAGGAAATACAGCAAACTTTCACAAACTTTTTCAGCAGTGGAGGGGTGGAGGCACTCCCTAAACCATTCTGGGAGGCCCGTAGGACCTCAACACTAAAACCACAAAAAAGCAAAGACACTGTGAAAAGAGATGGAGACCAGCATCAGCCACAAACACGGACACAGAAATCCTTCATAAAATGTTAACAAATTGGGTCACGTGTGCGTGTGTGTATGTGTGTGTGTGTGTGTGTGTGTGTGTGTGTGTGTGTGTGTCTTATCTATAAAGATACATCTAAAATGTTAGCAAATTGGATCACATATATATATGACATGATATATATAGGTATCTACATATATGACATATATACGATGATATATATATACACACACACACATATATATATTATATATATATATTTTTTTTTGAGAGATGGAGTCTCCCTCTGTCACCCAGGCTGGAGTGTAATGGCTCAATCTTGGCTCGCTGCAACCTCTGCCTCCCAGGTTCAAGCGATTCTCCTGCCTCAGCCTTCTGAGTAGCTGGGATTACAGGTGCATGCCACCACACCTGGATAATTTTTTGTATTTTTAGTAGAGACGGGGTTTCACTGTGTTAGCCAGGCTGGTCTCGAGCTCCTGACCTCGTGATCCACCCGCCTCAGCTTCCCAAAGTGCCAGCATTACAGACGTGAGCCACCGTGTCCCGCCTACATGATATATTAAGATATATCTAGATAGATGATAGATAAGATAGATAAAACAGATAGATAATATAGGTAGATAGATAGATGATATAGATAGATGGTAGATACATAGATAATATAGGTAGATAGATAAATAATATAGATAGATCTATAAAGCATATATAAATAATATAAGTAATATAGATACAGATAATATAGATATAGATAATATAATAGATATTATAGATAATAGATTATAATAACAGACAGATAATATAGATATAATATAATGTAAATATATCTATAATAGTTATAGATATAACATAATAATAGATCATAATATAGACAGTATAATATAGATAATATAGATAGATCCATAAAGGATAGATATCCTTTATATGTATTTTATATAATAATATAAAATAAATATATCTATGTCCTTTAGATATTTATCTCTTATATTTATATATTTTTATATATCTCCATTTTATATATATATATAGAGAGAGAGAGAGAGAGAGGGAGGGAGAGAGAGAGAGAGAGAGGGGAAATACATAAAGGACAGAGATATACATTTATTTTATTTTATTATTATTATTTTTTTAGACAGGGTCTTGCTCTGTCACCCAGGCTGGAGTGCCGTGGCATGATCATAGCTCACTGCAGGCTTGACCTCCCAGGCTCAAGTGATCCTCCCACCTCAGCCTCCCAAGTAGCTGGGACTACAGGTGTGGGCCACCATGCCCAGGTAATTTTTTGTATTTTTTTGTAGAGATAGACTCTTGCTATGTTGCCCAGGCTGTGAGCCGAGTTTGCACCACTGCACTCCAGCCTGGGCGACAAGAGCGAAACTCCATTGAAAAGAAAAGAAAAGAGAAGAGAAGAGAAAGAAGAGAAGAGAAGAGAAGAGAAGAGAAGAGAAGAAAAAGGAGAGAGGGAGGGGAGGGGGAGGGGAGGGGGAGGGGAGGGGGGGGAGGGGGAGGGGAGGGGAACGGGAGGGGAGGGGAGGGGGATGGGAGGGGAGGGGAGAGAAGGGAAGGGAAGGGAAGGGAAGGGAAGGGAAGGGAAGGGAAGGGAAGGGAAGGGAAGGGAAGGGGCTCTATTTGCCTTCAGTGCTCTCTGAGCTCAGGAAGATGTTGGTGCTATATGGACTTGGATGACCAAGATGACGTGGAGCAGCTCCAAGCCATTGCATGGCAGCTAGAGAGACAGAGCAAGACCCCATCTCTATAAAAGTTTCAAGCAGCCGGGTGCAGTGGCTAACACTTGTAATCCCAGCACTTTGGGAGGCTGAGGTGGGTGGATCACCTGAGGTCAGGAGTTTGAGACCAGCCTGGCCAACACAGTGAAACCCTGTCTCTACTAAAAATACAAAAATTAGCCGGGCGTGGTGGCAGGCACCTGTAATCCCAGCTACTCGGGAGACTGAGGCAAGAGAATCGCTTGAACCCAGGAGGTGGAGGCTGCAGTGAGCTGAGATTGCATCACTGCACTCCAGCCTCAGTAACAGAGTGAGACTCCGTGTCAAAATAACCCCAAAAAGCTACAAGCCAGGTATCTGCAAAATGCATACCTTTCCATTGATAAACAAAGATGATAACCAGGCCAGAGATAGTAATCCCAGCATCTTGGGAGGCTGAGGTAAGAGGATCGTTTAAGACCAGGAGTTTAAGACCACCCTGGGCAACATAGAGAGTCCCCATCTCTACAAAAAAAAACAAAACATTAGCTGGGTGTGGTGGTGGGCACCTGTGCTCCCAGCTACTCGGGAGGCTGAGGCAGGAGGATCGCATGAACCCAGAAAGTCGAGGCTGCAGTGAGCTATGATTGCACCACTGCACTGCAGCCTGGGCAACAGAGCCAGACCCTGTCTCTAAAACCATAAAAATTGAAAAGTAGTAATAAAACAAGAGTCTATTCACGAGACGCAGAAACAAGGTCTCCAAAGTGAGCCTTCTCTCCTTATTGAAAATCTCTCTTCCCCTCCCACCTGCCTGTACTGAAAACCTCCAAAACACTCATTTTTAGAGCAATCTATTTTTGTTTGCATGTGAAATTCTGTTTAAAAAAAAATGCCAGGGGCAGAAAATTTGGGCTCCTCTCGTTGTAGCTGGTGAATGACAACAGAAGGAACGCGACCTCGTTAAACTAGAAAATTACTGTAATTTCTTCATTTCGTTTCTGCCGACCGTGTGGCCCTGGGTTCTGGCGCTCCCAAGAGATTTTCACACACCGTCGTGGCATCCGAGGTGACAGCTTTGGATTAAGAAAGATGCTGCCTCCACAGCGTAAATCCCCCCACTTCGAGCCATGATCAAGTTTGGAAACACTGGGCATTAAATGGCTGTTTAATGAGCTGCTGCTGAGGGCTGTCCTCAGCTGCAAATGAGACTTCTCTTGGTCCCTTTCGTGCACTTCTGAAAGTGCATAAAAGTGCATGAAATCAGGCCTGAGATTGGGGACAGCAGCTGAAAAAGAAGATTCCAGAAAAAAAAAAAAACAGACAAACATTTCTGCAGAGGTTTGACCCAAGTCTTGGGAATCCGGAGAGATGCTCGCTGGCCTGTGGCTTCTGAGCTGGGCCGTCTTCCTGATCCTCTGGCAGAACTGCAGAGACCCTATAATATAGTTCAGCCCAGGCCAGGAGAGGCGGCTCACGCCTGTCATCCCAGCACTTTGGGAGGCCGAGGCGGGCGGATCACCTGAGGTCAGGAGTTCGAGACCAGCCTAGGCAACATGGTGAAACCCTGTCTCTACTAAAAATACAAAAATTAGCCAGGTGTGGTGGCGGGTGCCTGTAATCCCAGCTACTCGGAGGTGCTGAGGCAGGAGGATCACCTGAGCTTTGGGAGGTCGAGGCTGCAGAGAGCTGTGATTGTGGTATTGCACTCCAGCCTGGGGGACAGTGAGACCCTGTCTCAAATCACAGATAAATCTATATATATATGAAACATCTTCAGAGACTTGTCAGTAACCTGGGCGTCCTCAGATAATTGTCCTCTAGGCTGAAATATATACATATAAATACATATATAATAAATATATTTAATATGTAAATATATAAGATATGTTAGAAATTAAATATACTATATATTGTAAATTAAATATATTATATTACAAATTAAATAAATTATATGTTATAAATATATAATATGTAAATAAATTATATACTATAAATATATAATATATACATATATAAAATATTATATATCACAAATATATATTTCAGCCTAGAATATATATTATATATAGAAAAAACAGAACAAACATTTGTATATATTATACAAACATATATTAGTCTAGAATTATATATAATATATATAACATATATATTATGTATTAGCCTGGAATTACATATATAATATATGCTATATATTATATATAGTATATACTATATTATATATTATAATATATAGTATATACTACATTATATATTATAATATATATTATGTATAATATACTATATTATATAATTACTATACTATATATAATATACTATACTATATATTATATATTACATGTAGTATATATAGTATATATAGTATATATAATTATTCTATATAATATATACATAATGTAAGATAATATATAACATAACTATTATATCGTTTATATAATATATAGTATATATACTACATATAACATATTATATAGTGTAATATACTATACATAACATATAGTATATATACCGTATATTATGTGTGCATAATTGTGTGCATAATTATATATAATATATGCTATACGTATGCATATATTATGTGCATAATATATAAAATATATATTATGTGCATAATTATATATAATATATGCTATATATACTATATGTTATATATTACACTATATATAATTTATATATAAATTATATTATTATATATAATATATGCTATATATTACTATATATTATTTATAATTATATATATACACATATATACATTATGTATGTATGTGTATATACACACAATTATCTTAGGACACCCAGGCTACTGACAAGCTTCTAAGAATATTTCATTAAGAGCTTCCCTCCAAGCCCTAAGCCATTTCACTCCAGCCTGGGCAACAAGAGCAAAACTCTGTCTCAAAACAAACAAACAAAAAAAAAATGGTGAGGGTTTTATGTAGAATTCAGTCAGACCAGTAAGCATGTTGGAAAAAGGAAGGCTTCTGTCAGAAAAAGAAATCTAGGCTGCTCAAAGGAAACCAGATTTTCACTGAAGTGATTGTGGAATATCATCAGCTGGGTACATTTTATCTTTATTTTTATTATTTTTTTTTATAGAGACAGAGTCTTGCTCTGTTGCCCAGGATGGAGTGCAGTGGCCTGATCATCGTTCATAGCAGCCTCCAGCTCCTGGGCTCAAGTCATCCTCCTGCCTCAGCCTCCCAAGTAGCTGGGAATACAGGCATGCACCACCATACCTGTTTTTTTTTTATTTTTGTAGAGATGGGGTCTTGCTCTGTTGCCCAGGCTGGAGTGCAGTGACCTGATCATGGCTCACAGCAGCCTCCAACTCCTGGGCTCAAGAGATCCTCTTGCCTCAGCCTCCCAAGTAGCTGGGACTACAGGCATGCAGCACCATGCCTGGTTATTTATTTATTTATTTATTTATTTATTTATTTATTTATTTATTTTGTAGAGATGGAGTCTGTCTCTGTTGCCCAGGCTGGAGTGCAGTGGCCTGATCATGGCTCACTTGCAGCCTCCAACTCCTGGGCTCAAGTCATCTTCCTGCCTCAGCCTCCCAAGTAGCTGAAACTACAAGCATGCACCACCATGCCTTGATAACTTTTTTATTTTTGTGGAGATGGGATCTTGCTCTGTTGCCCAGGCTGGAGTGCCGTGGCCTGATCATGGCTCACAGCAGCCTCCAACTCCTGGGCTCAAGTCATCCTCCTGCGTCAGCCTCCCAAGTAGCTGGAACTACAGGCAAGCACCACCATGCCTGGTTATTTTTTTTATTTTTGTAGAGATGGGGTCTTGCTTCTGTTGCCCAGGCTGGAGTGCAGTGACCTGATCATGGCTCACGGCAGCCTGCAACTCCTGGGCTCAAGTCATCCTCCTGCCTCAGCCTCCCAAGTAGCTGAAACTACAGGCATGCACTACCATGCCTGGTTAAATTTTTATTTTTATTTTTTTGAGACAGAGTCTCTCTCTGTTGCCCAGGCTGGATTGCCGTGGCACAATCTTGGCTCACTGCAACCTCTGCCTCCTGGATTCAAGCAATTCTCTGCCTCAGCCTACTGAGTAGCTGGGATTACAGATGCATGCCACCGCGTCCGGCTAATTTTTGTATTTTTAGTAGAGACAGGGTTTCACCATGTTGGTCAGGCTGGTCTCAAAATCCTGACCTCGTGATCCACCCGCCTCGACCTCCCAAAGTGCTGGGATTACAGGCATGAGCCACTGCACCCGGCCTAAATTTTTTATTTTTGTAGAAATGGGATCTGACTCTGTTGCCCAGGCTGGAGTCCAGTGGCATGATTGTGGTTCACTGCAGGCTTGAACTCCTCGGCTTGAGCAGTCCCACTGCCTCAGCCTTCCGGGGAGCTGGGACTTCAGCCACACACCTGGCTAATGTTTTTGTTTACGTTTTGTAGAGATGAAGTCTTGCTATGTTGCCCAGGATGTTCTCAAACTCCTACGCTCAAGCAGTCCTCCTGGCTCAGTCTCCCAAAGTGCTGGGTTTAAACATATGCAACATTGCTCCCTGCAACTGGGTACATTTTGGAAATGTTTACACACTTCATTTTTTTTTTTTTTTTTTTTTTGAGACAGAGTCTCACTCTGTTGCCCAGGCTGGAGTGCAGTGGTGTGATCTCGGCTCATTGCAACCTCTGCTTCCCAGGTTCAAGCAATTCTCCTGCCTCAGCCTCCTGAGCACACTTCATTTTTTAACTGACAGAAGAAAATTGCATATGTTCAGGTGCACCACATAACTTTTTTTTTTGCTTTCTTGTTTTTTTGTTTTTTGAGATGGAGTCTCGCTTCTTTGCCCAGGCTGGAGTGCAGTGGCACGATCTCAGCTCACTGCAACCTCCACCTCCCGGGTTTAAGAGATTCTCCTGCCTCAGCCTCCCGAGTAGCTGGGGGTTACAGGTGCCCGCCACCATGCCCGGCTAATTTTTGTGTTTTTAGTAGTGACGAGGTTTCACTATGTTGACCAGGCTGGACTTGAACACCTGACCTCAGGTAATTCTCCCACTTCAGCCTCCCAAAGCGCTGGGATTGCAGGCATGAGCCACCATGCCTGGCCGCACGTAAAGTTTTGATGTGTATAAATATTGTGGAATGGATACATTGAGCTAATTAACATTGGCCTTTGCTCACATACTTACCATTTTCCTTTGTTGAGAACAGTTGACATCTATTGTTAGCAATTTTCAAGAATACAGTAAATGGTTATTAACTCTATTGCATATCTCTCTTTTTTTTTTTTTTTTTTTTTTTTTTGAGGGAGTCTCGCTCTGTCGCCCAGGCTGGAGTGCAGTGGTGCGATCTGGGCTCACTGCAAGCTCCACCTCCCGGGTTCACGCCATTCTCCTGCCTCAGCCTCCCAAGTAGCTGGGACTACAGGTTCCCGCCACCACACCCGGCTAATTTTTCTGTATTTTTAGTAGAGACGGGGTTTCACCGTGTTTTCCAGGATGGTCTCGATCTCCTGGAGTCATGATCCACCCGTCTCGGCCTCCCAAAGTGCTGGGATTACAGGCATGAGCCACTATGCCAGGCTGCACATCTCATTTTTAAACATTTGTAGATTAAATTAAGTGTGTGCCCGTGTTTAGAAAACTGGCACTCTTGGCCAGGCACAGTGGCTCACGCCTGTCATCTCAGCACTTTGGGAATTTGAGGTGGGCGAATCACGAGGTCAGGAATTCAAGACCAGCCTGGCCAACACGGTGAAACCCCATCTCTACTAAATATACAAAAATTAGCTGGGAGTGGTGGCGCATGCTTGTAATCCCAGCAACTTGGGAGGCTGAGGCAGGAGAATCGCTTGAACCCAGGAGGTGGAGGTTGCATTGAGCCGAGATGGCGCCTCTGCACTCCAGCCTGGTGACAGAGCAAGACTCTTAAAAAGAAAGGAAGGAAGGAAGGAAGAAGAGAGGGAGAGAGAGAGAGAGAGAAAGAAAGAAGGAAAGAAAGAAAGAAAGAAAGAAAGAAAGAAAGAAAGAAAGAAGGAAGGAAGGAAGGAAGGAAGGAAGGAAGGAAGGAAGGAAGGAAAGAGAGAGAGAAAGAAAGAGAAAGAAAGAAAGAAAAATGGAAGGAAAGAAGGAAGGAAGGAGAAAGAAGGAAGGAAGGAAGGAAAGAGAAAGAAAGAAAGAGAAGAAGAAAAAGGAAGGAGGGAAGGGAAGGAAGGAAGGAAAGAAGGAAGGAGAGGAAGAAAGAAAGAAAGAAAGATGGAAGGAAGGAAGCAAGGAAGGAAGGAAAGAAAGAAGAAAGGAAGGAAGGAAAGAAAGAAAGAAGAATGGAAGGAAGGAAGGAAGAAGAGAGAGAGAGAAAGAAAGAAAGAGAGAGAGAGAAAGAAAGAAAGAAAGAAAGAAAAATGGAAGGAAGGAAGGAGAAAGAAGGAAGGAAGGAAAGAAAAAGAAAGAAAGAAAGAGAAGAAGAAAAAGGAAGGAAGGAAGGGAAGGGAAGGAAGGAAGGAAAGAAGGAAGGAGAGAAAGAAAGAAAAAGAGAAAGAGAAAGATGGAAGGAAGGAAGCAAGGAAGGAAGGAAAGAAAGAAAAGAAAGGAAGGAAGGAAAGCAGGAAGGAAGGAAAGAAAGAAAGAAGAAAGGAAGGAAGGAAGGGAGGAAGGAAAGAAAGTAAGAAAGAAAGAAGGAAAAAAGAAAGAAAAGAAAACTGACATCCTTCATGCATTTGAATATCTACGCCTAAATATGCATGCAAACTAGCGCCTGCAGAATTCACCGTTGTGTCTAAAGCATCTTCTTGGAGACTGTCCCTGCACGGCTGGACAGTCCACAACCCCTTAATGTTAGTCCATCCCTCTTGGGTTTCTGAGGGATTCATCAGGTCCTGTGATTTCTAGTCACAGACTCGTTTGTAAAGCATGACTTTCTCCTTAACTGCCTGCTGTTAGTCATACGACAATCACCTCCATGGGGTTGGTACGTGGGTTGTAAGCAGGTTGACCTCAGTAAGTTACAGCTGCTGTCTGTGGCATGTCCAGAGGTTTGCAGAGAGGAGTCCAGAGTGGATATCAAAGATCAGCCCCTATGCATGCAAAGAACCCCAGAAACAAGAAAATGCCCACACACAATTGTCAGTTCCAGAAAGACTCGGAGCTTGTCTTGCCAAGCAAGAGACAGCAGCAAAGCTTAGCACCTCTTGACACCGTAGGCTTTTAACCTAGTGAAATGGTACCAGCCTACAACCTCTTGGAGAAAAGACTATAAATGAGACAAAAACAGACTGGATCTTGATCCCTAATTTGTCTTTTATTATTATTATTATTATTATTATTCGCCGTTATAGTCCTTGTTCCTTTCCATGCTGGAAACACCTGTCAAGTTTTAAATCCGTTTGCGTTCAGCCACGTTCACAGGCTCCCCAGTGACAGTCTGCGAATTTCAGGGGTGGTGGTTGAGAAGCGAGGAGATACGGTAACAAGTGAACGTCCTGTTCACTCTCTTGTCTCAGATGTTTGAATGATTCCAGCTGTCAGTAGAAGCATTCAGCTAATGATGCCAGGAAAAGCATCTGAAATGTTGTTTAAATAACCGGAAAAAATCTATGCTGACCCACAGCCAATATCCATTTGCTGAAATTAAAGGAATTCGGAAATCAAACATCGTCAGGTAGGGGCAGCATGGGCTGGGATTTTGGAAACTCACCTGTAATCTTCTCTATAAACATGGGACTGCAATGCAGAGAGTGTGTGTGGTGATGTGTGCAGGACAGCCTCAGGCTCCTTGGGGCGGGCCGCCGGGCGGACGCTCCCTCTCCTCACATCCCGGGGTATTCCTTGGGGTTCTCATTAGGACACAAGAAAATGTTTGCCAGCGAGGTGAAAGGGTGGGCTCTCTTTCCAAACAAGGTAAGCGATCCTTCTGCAGCGTCTTTTGCTGTCTTGTTGCAAGAAACAAGAGGCAACCTGGGTTGGTAGGGACCAACCTTTGGGGAGTGTCTCAGGACTCTGGTTTGCACAGGGCAATGAGCAGGCAGGGGGGACAGGTGAGCAGCTCTCCTGAGAGGCTGCAAAGCTCTTCCAAAGAACGCAGGTGGAGAATGCAGGTGATGCCTCATTCAGGAGGAGAGCTAGACAACACATTTGCAAGACAAGGACTCCCAGGGTTGCCCCACAAACCAGCAGGAGCTGGGGAAGAGGCAGGTGCCTTTTGGTTGGATACGTGTCTCTGGTTCCTGGTTCCTGGCAGGTTGCTATCATGTGACGTTGGTCAAAGAGAGTCAGTTCCTCCTTTTGGAGGCATCTCCCTCGACGCCTCCAGGAGGAATCAACCCTTCCATTCATGTGCCCAGCATGAGCCCTTGAAGCAGAAAAATCCCCTGCTGATGGAGTCCTGGAAGTAAGTCCCAACGGAGACTCATCAGTGAGTAAGCAGTGCCTGTCAGGCCTCTGAGCCCAAGCTAAGCCATCATATCCCCTGTGACCTGCACGTATACATCCAGGTGGCCTGAAGCAATTGAAGACCCACAAAAGAAGTGAAAATAGCCAGTTCCTGTCTTAACTGATGACATTCCACCATTGTGATTTGTTCCTGCCCAACCCTAACTGATCAATTGACTTTGTGACAATACACCCTCCCCGCCCTTGTGATAATGTACTTTCTGATAGTCCCCCACCCTTGTGAATGTATTTTGTACAACACACCCTCCCCACCCTTGAGAAGGTACTTTGTAATATCCTCCCCCGCCCTTAAGAAGGTACTTTGTAAAATCATCCCCACCCTTGAGAAGGTACTTTGTAATATCCTCCCCTGCCCTTAAGAAGGTACTTTGTAATATCCACCCCCACCCTTGAGAAGGTACTTTGTAATATCCTCCCCCGCCCTTAAGAAGGTACTTTGTAAAATCATCCCCACCCTTGAGAAGGTACTTTGTAATATCCACCCCCACCCTTGAGAAGGTACTTTGTAATATCATCCCCACCCTTGAGAAGGTACTTTCTAATATCCACCCCCACCCTTGAGAAGGTACTTTGTAATATCCTCCCCCGCCCTTAAGAAGGTACTTTGTAAAATCATCCCCACCCTTGAGAAGGTACTTTGTAATATCCTCCCCTGCCCTTAAGAAGGTACTTTGTAATATCCACCCCCACCCTTGAGAAGGTACTTTGTAATATCCTCCCCCACCCTTAAGAAGGTACTTTGTAAAATCATCCCCACCCTTGAGAATGTCCTTTGTAATATCCACCCCCACCCTTGAGAAGGTACTTTGTAATATCCTCCCCCACCCTTAAGAAGGTACTTTGTAAAATCATCCCCACCCTTGAGAAGGTACTTTGTAATATCCACCCCCACCCTTGAGAAGGTACTTTGTAATATCCTCCCCACCCTTGAGAAGGTACTTTCTAATATCCACCCCCACCCTTGAGAAGGTACTTTGTAATATCCTCCCCTGCCCTTAAGAAGGTACTTTGTAATATCCACCCCCACCCTTGAGAAGGTACTTTGTAATATCCTCCCCCGCCCTTAAGAAGGTACTTTGTAATATCCTCCCCACCCTTGAGAAGGTACTTTGGAATATCCTCCCCTGCCCTTAAGAAGGTACTTTGTAAAATCATCCCCACCCTTGAGAATGTCCTTTGTAATATCCACCCCCACACTTGAGAAGGTACTTTGTAATATCCTCCCCTGCCCTTAAGAAGGTACTTTGTAAAATCATCCCCACCCTTGAGAAGGTACTTTGTAATATCCACCCCCACCCTTGAGAAGGTACTTTGTAATATCCACCCTGCCCTTAAGAAGGTACTTTGTAAAATCATCCCCACCCTTGAGAAGGTACTTTGTAATATCCTCCCCCACCCTTGAGAAGGTACTTTGTAATATCCACCCCCACCCTTAAGAAGGTACTTTGTAAAATCATCCCCACCCTTGAGAAGGTACTTTGTAATATCCACCCCCACCCTTGAGAAGGTACTTTGTAATATCCTCCCCACCCTTGAGAAGGTACTTTCTAATATCCACCCCCACCCTTGAGAAGGTACTTTGTAATATCCTCCCCCGCCCTTAAGAAGGTACTTTGTAATATCCTCCCCACCCTTGAGAAGGTACTTTGGAATATCCTCCCCTGCCCTTAAGAAGGTACTTTGTAAAATCATCCCCACCCTTGAGAATGTCCTTTGTAATATCCACCCCCACACTTGAGAAGGTACTTTGTAATATCCTCCCCCGCCCTTAAGAAGGTACTTTGTAAAATCATCCCCACCCTTGAGAAGGTACTTTGTAATATCCACCCCCACCCTTGAGAAGGTACTTTGTAATATCCACCCTGCCCTTAAGAAGGTACTTTGTAAAATCATCCCCACCCTTGAGAAGGTACTTTGTAATATCCTCCCCCACCCTTGAGAAGGTACTTTGTAATATCCTCCCCCACCCTTGAGAAGGTACTTTGTAATATCCTCCCCCGCCCTTAAGAAGGTACTTTCTAATATCCACCCCCACCCTTGAGAAGGTACTTTGTAATATCCTCCCCCGCCCTTAAGAAGGTACTTTGTAAAATCATCCCCACCCTTGAGAAGGTACTTTGTAATATCCTCCCCCGCCCTTAAGAAGGTACTTTGTAAAATCATCCCCACCCTTGAGAATGTCCTTTGTAAGATCCACTCCCTGCCCACAAAAAATTGCTCCTAACTCCACCACCTATCCCGAACCTATAAGAACTAATGATAATCCCACCACTCTTTGCTGACTCTCTTTTCAGAATCAGCCCACCTGCACCCAGGTGATTAAAAAGCTTTATTGCTCACACAGAGCCTGTTGGTGGTCTCTTCACACGGATGCCTATGACAGTGCCCAGGTGTCAGTCCAGATCCAAAGATCTGGAACCAGGAAGGCAGGCAACAGTGTGGAGTGGAGAGTCAGGAAAGAAATTATGAATGTTTGAGGCTGCTTGCTGTCAAATGGCAGATAAGGGGATGTGGTTCACTTCTCCAAAACTTCTACTGCAGGTCAGCAATGCACATAGAGCAAATTTATGGAATGATGCTGGTGACAGAAGTGGAAATCAATTTCAAAGAAAATGTATGAGTCAGCTGTTGCTGTGTAACAAGTGACCCCCAAACTTAGCAGCTTAAAACAACATGCATTTATTATCTTATGGTTTCACTGGGTTGGGAGTCTGGGAGCAGCTTGGCTGGGTGCCTCTGGTTCACAGTTCCTAGCAGGTTACTGTCACTGTGTCATCCAGGGCTGGGATCTCATTTGAAGGCTCAACTGGTGAAAGGCACACTTCTAAACTCACTCATGTTGGCCAAAGATGGCCAGTTCCGTATCATGTGGACCTTTTTACAGGAGAACTTACAGCATAAGAACTTGCTTTCCCTAGAGCAAGGGCAGAGACAGACAGAAACAGAGAGAGTATGAGAGACAGGGAGACTACAAGAGAGATTGAGAGAGGGAGATTGAGAGACACAGACTGAGAGAGAGAAGTTGCAAAAGAGAAATTGAGGGAGAGAAGCTGAGAAAGAGATTGAGCAAAAGAGATTGAGAATGAGACTGAGAGAGATTGAGATTGAGAGAGAGGGAGGTTGATAGAGAGATTGAGGGAAAAGTTGATAGAGAGAGAGAAGAGAGAGAGAGGAAACCAGGAATCCACTGGTACCATTTAGGAAATGAGAAACCATCAATTTTGTTATCACTTCTATTGCTTGTAACCAGTAGAAAGAATGAGCCAGTCTACTCAGGAGAGAGAGAGAGCAAGAGAGCAAAGAAGTGCCACACTTTAAAACCATCATCTCTTCTGAGAATTGACTCATTTATCATGAGAACAGCATGACAAAAACTGCCCCTGTGATCCAATCACCTTCCACAAGCTCCCTCCCTGGACACATGGGAATTACAATTTGAGATGAGATTTGGGTGGGGACACAGAGCCTAACCGTATTAATCATTAAATCAATGATAGGCCAGGTTTGGTGGCTCATGCCTGTAATCCCAGCACTTTGGGAGGCCGAGGTGGGCAGATTTCCTGTCATTTGACCTAGGACCCACCCTACTCCAGGATGATCTCATCCCTAGATCCTTCACTTAATAACATTTGCAAAATTGCTTTTCCCAAATAAAGTTGCATTTGAAACTTCCAGGTGGACATAGATTTGTGGGGGGACACTTGGAGATGGCTCCAACTCCCATCCCTGCTGATTGGCAAGCAAGGCTTGTCCAAGACTCTGAGATCACAGATGATCAGACGTGTGATTTTTAGTTTTCCTACTCCTGCACTAGGAGAGATTATAGAGGGATGAAGAAGGAAGGTCAATGCTACTCCAACACCCCAGTTCTCTCTGCCTGTTCACCAGCCTTGTTTTACACCAGAGAAAAGAGGTGTAAGAGTTGACTCATTTATCTTGAGAACAGTATGGGGGAAACTGCCCCTGTGATCTGTCTCTCTGTCTCTGTCTCTCTCTGCAGTTCTTCTCTTCACTCAAGAGAAGAAGATGATCCAAGCATGAGATTACCAGGAAACGAGGACTATTGGGAGCTCTTCCAACATGGCTGCCTACCGCAAGAAGCCAGCTCGCTCCAACTGCTGCCAAGTCTACTGAAACCTGCCGGGAGTGAAGTCAGAGTCTGGCTGGGGTGTGTGGAAGCAGTCATTGGCCTCACCTCGTTAGACCCCGTGGATGTATGTGTCAAGACACACTTTGTGGATTTCCTCTGTTGTTGGGCCTGTCCAACCCTGTGCTGTAGCTGGAGCAGGTTGCTGAAGCTTGATATTAGAGAAGTGAAGGTGAGTTTTGTCCCCAGGGAGGCTTTCATCACCTCCAAGTCCCCAAGGAACCAAGGTACCTTCCAATCAAATCAAGGAGCATAGAATGTGTCTCAAACAACCTAACCCTACACAAGAGATGTATCATCATCATGGTTGTTTGCAGTAGCTGTCTTATACCCAGCATTGGCCATGGGCCAGCAATTGTGGTAAGCTCTTCCCTACAGTATTTAATCATTAGGTTATAATTTTTTTTTTTATGGAGTCTTGCTCTGTCACCCAGGCTGGAGCGCAGTGGCGTGATCTCAGCTCAGTGCAATCTCCACCTCCTGGGTTCAAGCGATTCTTCTGCCTCAGCCTCCCGAGTAGCTGGGATTACAGGCACCTGCCACCAGGTGAATTTCCTATTTTTAGTAGAGATGGGGTTTCACCACGTTGGCAGGCTGGTCTTGAACTCCTGATGTCAGGTGATCTGCTCACCTCGAGCTCCCAAAGTGCTGGGATGACAGGCGTGAGCCACTATGCCCGGCCAATGAATACACTTTTAAAACAATCACAAGTAGAGATTTTCTACCTTAGTTTTCCAAATATATGATATGTCCTCATAATTTTGTAGTCTCACATTAAAAAAAAAAAAAGTTGTATGGATGGGTACGGTGGTGACTCCCATCTGTGGTCCCAGCATTTTCGGAGGCTAAGGCTGGAGGATTGCTTGAGCCCATGAGTTTGAGACCAGCCCGGGCCACCTAGCTAGACACCCCCATCTCTACAAAAAATAAAAATAAATTTAAAAATCATTGTCATTTGCTTTGCTTCCATTTATTATGTGTATTTCACAATCTGCCTTCTTTTTCTTCAAAGCAGGTTTGTCGGGCTATAACTGACATATCGTACAATGCATCTATTTAAGGCACTCAGAGTCACTTTTAGGATATCTTTATCACCCCCCAAGGAAGCTGACTTGCCATCTTCAGATCCCTCCCTCCGTAGTTATCCCATCCTTGTTCCCCCAGTCCTAAGCAACTACTGATCCACCCTCTGCCCCAGTAGATTTTCCTATTCTGGACATGTGATTCGAATGGAATTGTACAATCTGTGGTCTCACTTTGCTCCTTTAATTTTGGAGAACACACACACATACCCCAGTCATGAAGATCAGCACCCCGGCACGTACAATCTGGCCTTATTCTATCATCTTCCAGAAAGCGCTGGCGATCAATTAAAAAGGCAGAACTGCAGAAACAGGGGTCTTACGTTGTGCCCTGGAGGTGACGGAACTGGATCTCTGTCAGATCCGGAGAAAATTTGCAGAGACCAACCACAGGCCACCCCGCCGCCTCCAGCATTTAGGTTTTTAGAATTGGCCTTTCTATACACCTTCGTTCCTTTTAATTTTGTCATTTTACCCTTTCTGAATATTCTTCGTGGCACCTTTTAGAGGATAATACAGTCTCCCCCGTCAACGAAAAGGCAGGGATGCTATATAATGTCATTCTTGGAAACAGGTCGTTTCTGTCCTTGTACGGTGCAGAGATGACAACACGATTTTTCTGTAATTCCGGTACGTTTTTTGACCTGTATTCCCCTGGGACTTGCAGATGTGGCTGGCTGCATGAGTTTACAATTCCGATGAGATCTCCACGAGCCATAATTTCCGGGGAATATCAGGTCCACTGAGGGTGATTAACTAGTTTCCGCTTGGACAACTGGGTCACTGGAGAAGCTGAAAATGGGCTCTCAGGTTTGGGGGGCAGCAAGGGAGACACAGGGACACAAGTGTTCAATTCAATTGCTATAGATCCACTCCTTCCATCCTGCAAAAGCTTGGACGTTTTGGTTTTCCGGAACATTCCGGTCATTCTCTCTTAAGAAAATGAAGCAACTTCATCTTGGCCTCGCGGGACAGGTGTCTGAGAGGAGGAAAGAAACAACTGCCTGTCTCGGGAAAATCATCTCAATTTCTCTGTTCTTGAAATCATCTTCCTCCTGCAAGAAAGATATCTCTGGTCTTACCACCTCCAAAGACATGAGACAACTTTTCTGGTTGAAAGAGGAGAGAAATTCTCTGTATTTCATGCTTTCTCAGCCCCTGAAGAGCCACTAAAACTGGGAAGATCAAGAATACAAATAGAATTTAAAAAATAAAGAGGATGGACCGGGGGCGGTGGCTCAAACCTGTCATCCCAGCACGTTGGGAGGCCGAGGCGGGCGGGTCACCTGAGGCTAGCAGTTCGAGACCAGCATGGCCAACATGGTGAAACCCTGTCTCTACTAAAAATACAAAAAAAAAAAAAAAAATTAGCTTGGTGTGGTCGCTCATGACTATAATCCTAGCTACTCAGGAGGCTGAGGCAGGAGAATTGCTTGAACCTGGAAGGCGGAGGTTGCAGTGAGCCAAGATTGCACCACTGCACTCCAGCCTGGGCGACAGAACGAGACTCTGTCTCCAATAAATAAATAAATAAATAGGAGCAGATATAAAGATAGCCAACCAGCAGCCCTAAGGGGTACTCTGCCTCTGGAGTAGCCATTCTTTTATTACTTCACTTTCTTAAAAAACTTGCTTTCACTTAAAAAGAAGGAAGAAAGAAAAGAGAGAAAGAAAGAAAGAAAGAAAGAAAGAAAGAAAGAAAGAAAGAAGAAAGAAAAGAAAGAAAAAGAGAGAAAGAAAGAAAGAAAGAAAGAGAGAAAGAAAGAAAGAAAGAAAGAAAGAAAGAAAGAAAGAAAAAGAAAGAAAGATGGAAGGAAGGAAGGAAGGGAAGGAGGGAGGGAGGGAGAGAGAGAGAGAAAGAAAGAAAAGAGAGAAAGAAAAAAGAAAGAAAGAAAGAAGGAAGGAAAGAAGAAAGAGAGAGAAAGAAAGAAAGGAAAAGAAAGAAAGGAAAAGAAAGAAAGAAAGAAAAAGAAAGAAAGAAAGAAAGAAAGAAAGAAAGAAAGAAAGAAAGAAAGAAAGAAAGAAAGAAAGAAAGAAAGAAAGGGGATCCACATGTTATAACAAACCAGCCAAATCTTACACTAAAATCCAGGCTCCTTCAACCAAAGGACTGCCAGGGATGAAGATCAATTTACAAAAGTCACCTCCAAACATTAGCCTCCATATTCTAAGCAATCTTATCTTTCAATATCACCTCAGCACCTGTTTTGTTTGGTTTGGTTTTTTGTGTAAATTGGGAAACAAAATAGCTTTGCTTTGTGTTTTAGCTGTTGTCATTATTTCCACATAAAATGTCACCCATCAAGACCCATGCATTTCTTTTCTTTTTGTTTGAGATGGAGTCTTGCTCTGTCATCCAGGCTGGAGTGCAGTGGTGCAATCTCAGCTCACTGCAACCTCCGCCTCCTGGGTTCAAGCGATTATCCTGCCTCAGCCTCCTGAGTATGTGGGATTACAGGTGCGCACCACTACGCTCAGCTAATTTTTGTATTGTTAGTAGAGACGGGGGTTTCACCATGTTGGCCAGGCTGGTCTCGAACTCCTGACCTCAGGCGATCCCCCTGCCTGGGCCTCCCAAAGTGCTGGGATTACAGGCGTGAGCCACCATGCCTGGCTAATGTTTGTACTTTCAATAGAGATGGAGTTTCACCATGTTGACCAGGCTGGTCTCGAACCCCTGACCTCAGTTGATCCGCCCCACGTCAGCCTCCCAAAGTGCTGGAATGACAGATGTGAGCCACCAAGCCTGGCTACTGTTTGTATTTTTAGTAGAGACGGGGTTTCACCATGTTGGCCAGGCTGGTCTCGAACTCCTGACCTCAGGTGATCCTCCCGCCTTGACCTCCCAAAGTGCTGGGATTACAGGCGTGAGCCACCGTGCCTGGCTAATTTTTGTATTTTTAGTAGAGCGGGGTTTCACTATGTTGGCCAGGCTGGTCTCAAACTCCTGACCTCAGTTGATCCGCCCGCCTCGGCCTCCCAAAGTGCTGGAATGAGAGACGTGAGCCACTGTTTCTTTCCTATGGCAACGATTTTCTTGGGACTCCCCTACTCAATAACTACAACCTCTACCTCTCCCTCGTCCTGGCTGCAGCCTGAAAAACGTGCATCCTTTGCAAGTCTTGGGAGGGGATAGTTTTATGTCCATCTATGCGTGTTGCCTGTGTGTGTAGACACAACCAGACTCCGTGCAGAGAAAAAGCTGCACCGTCCGGCTGCCAAACAAAAGGTCCCAAGTAAATAAATAAAAAATAAAACTTGTGAAAAAATCATCCTTGTCCACGTAGTTTTCCTAGGCCGGCTACAGCTGGGGGGCATGTTACCACGGCAACTGTGTTCACGAGCCGGGCTGTTTCTGCAGCCAGGGGTCTCGGGTGGACCAGCGAGCCTGTATTCTGCGTCTCCTGAAATGTGTCAGAAAACATCAGGAGGGGAAGGCCGGTGGTTGCGGATTGCCATAAATTTATAGCTAATCAGGTCCTTAGCGGCAGGCCTAATGGTAGGAAGGGGTGCAAGGCATGTGATTGGAGGTGGGCAGGGGTGGGAGGTGGGTCAGCGACCTGTACTTGGAGGGCAGAGCAGGATGCTGAGAATCCCAGAGACAGGGAAGGTGTATGGAGCTTTCAGCATTTTTACAGGCCACTCGAATGGGCCTTCCTCGCAGCCCCCTGCGTTCCCTTTGCCAGATGCATTGGATTGCATCACTGACAGAGATACACAGACGGTGCACCCGTGGCTGCTCTGTGGAACTAAAACAATTTCTGCCCTGGATCTCCTGGGTTTGGGTGACACTTTCAACTCAGAGCCAGCTGACCTACCTAACACGGTGCGTCTTCTCCTACAGCACCGGTGGATGCTTGGACGGCAAAATCATCTGTTCCAATCTGCAGAGGAAGACGAGTTATGTCCAGAAGGGTTGGGGCTGGAAATTTAAAAGCAAGAAAGTGGGCTCCTCCTTTTAAATAATCTCCTCCCATAGAAATGACATAATAAAATAAAATAGTAGGTTGCAAAGGCATCTGTTTAAGTAACGAAGGAAACCTTTCCCTGATATTCATTTTGAGTAATTCCCATGGAGTTTAGCAGTTTTGTTATTTTAAAACACACACACACACACACACACACACAGTGCAATTAAAAACATAATTTGTAGAACACAGTCTTTTCTGATATACTTGCTTTTCAGTATCATGGAGGGTTGGGGCTAGAAATTTCGTACGAAAAACGTGAGCTCCTCCTTTTAAATAATCTCCTCCCATAGAAATGACATAATAAAATAAAATAGTAGGTTGCAAAGGTACCTATTTAAGTATCGAAGGAAACCCTTCCCCGATATTCATTTTGACTAATTCCCATGGAGTTTAGCAGTTTTGTTATTTTAAAACACACACGCACACTGCAATTAAAAATATAATTTGTAGAAGACAGTCTTTTGTGATATACTTGCTTTTCAATATCACGAAGGTTTGGGGCTAGAAATTTAGGAGAGAAAACCTGGGGCCCCTTTTCTTCTTTTAAATAATCTCTTCCCATAGAAATGACATAATAAAATAAAATAGTAGGTTGCAAAGGCATCTGTTTAAGTAACGAAGGAAACCTTTCCCTGATATTCATTTTGAGTAATTCCCATGGAGTTTAGCAGTTTTGTTATTTTAAAACACACACACAGCCCCCACCGAGTACCATTAAAAAGAGTATTTGTACAACTGTGTTTTCTGATGCGCTGTTTCTGACTACAACAAAACAATGTATCAAAATACCCAAGCGATGTTTCAAACAGGGTGTACTGCACGTGAAATGCTTTCTCTCCAGCAAGAAACAGCCAGGAGGTGTCTTTGGGGTCCTGAGAGAAAGATGAAGATGTGGATCCTATTTAGAGAAGGCTGTCTTTCTGGTTTTTCAACACACGCCGAAGCTTGGGAGTTTGCGGTGGGGGTTAAGAAGCCGGTTCCAGGGTTTGTTATGGCTCATGACTTTTCTTTCAGCAAAGTTCCTCCAGGAAACGTCGCCTGCCTTTTCAGTTGATTTTGATTGTACGTGAAATGTCTACGGCTTGAGGATCCGTAATCTTGACGCTTTGGTGACCGATTCAAACAGTTGTCACCTGTAAACGGTCAAGGAGGTGAGGCCGGGCGCGGTGGCTCACGCCTGTAATCCCAGCCCTTTGGGAGACTGAGGCAGGCGGATCACGAGGTCAGGAGTTCAAGACCAACCTGGCCAACAGGGTGAAACCCCGTTTCTAGTAAAAATACAAAAATTAGCCAGGCGTGGTGGCGGGCACCTGTAATCCCACCTACTAGGGAGGCTGAGGCAGGAGAATCGCTTGAACCCGGGAGGCAGAGGTTGTGGTGAGCCGAGATCGTGCCACTGCACTCCGGCCTGGGCGACAGAGTGAGAGTCCGTCTCAAAAAAAAAAAAAAAAAAAAGTCCAGGAGCTGGACAGAAACGCAGACGACCAGGGCTTTCCGGCGTGTAAAGGTGACAGGAGTCAAAGGCAACGAGGATTCTACGCAGCCAGTCTCTCCGGTCGTCTGACGCAGGCTAATCTGTGCGCGTGGCAGCTTGGCGTCCACGTCTGAGTTTATTTTTATTATTCATTTATTTATTATTTATTTATTTATTTATTTATTTATTTATTTATTTATTTAAGATGGAGTCTTGCTCTGTCGCCCAGGCTGGAGTGCAGTGGCGCGATCTGGGCTCACTGCAAGCTCCACCTCCCGGGTTCGCACCATCCTCCTGCCTCAGCCTCCCGAGTAGCTGGCACTACAGGCGCCCGCCACCACGCCCGGCTAATTTTTTGTATTTTTAGTAGAGACGGGGTTGCACCGTGTTAGCCAGGATGGTCTCGATCTCCTGACCTCGTGACCCGCCCGCCTCAGCCTCCCAAAGTGCTGGGATGACAGGCGTGAGCCACCGCGCCCGGCCCCACGTCTGACTTTTACAGCAAAAAGCCATTGCTCAGACCCCTGAGGCTTGGATGATCACCTAAGGAAAGTTCTCACAGATTTTTATGTGCATAAGATACAGCAGGGCCAGGCACAGTGGCTCACACCTGTCATCCCAGCACGTTGGGAGGCCGAGGCGGGCGGATCATCTGAGGTCAGGAGTTCGAGACCAGCCTGGCCAACATGGCGAAATCCCATCTCTACTAAAAACACAAAACAATTAGCTGGACATGGTGGCACGCACCTGTAATCCCAGCTACTCGGGAGGCTGAGGCAGGGGAATTCCTTGAACCATGGAGGTGGAAGTTGCAGTGAACCAAGATTGCACCATTGTCCTCCAGCCTGGGCAACAGAGCAGGACTCCACCTCAAAAAAAAAAAAAAAAAAAAAAAGAGCAGGAGACAGAACAGCATCCTACATTTCTCTAACCAAGCACAGAAACATGTTAATCTCAATCACTGATAGTGAGGAAAACAAATCATCCTGCGTAGCAGGTGGAATAATATCTCCCCCACACAAATAATTTCATCTGGAACCCAGGACGGGTGACTTATTTGGAACTACGGTCTCTGCAGATATAGTTAGTTATAATGAGGTCATCCTGGTACTCCATTTAGGGCTGGGCCCTAAATACAATGACAGGTGTCCCTGTAAGAGACAGAAGAGGAGACGCAGACACAGAGGAGAAGGCCACGTGGAGATGGAGGCAGAGACTGGAGTGATGCGGCCACAAGCCCAGGGACACCTGGAGCCCCCAGGAGCTGGGAGAGGCAGGAAGGAGCCTCCCCTAGAGCTTCTGATGGGAGGAAGGTCCTCAGACAGCTGGATCACAGACTGCTGTTCTCCACAGCTGGGAGAGGATGAATCTCTGCTGTTTTGACCTTCCCACTCTGAGGTCATGGTCTTTTGTTCTGACAGCCTCAGGAACTCACACAATCTTCTCTCCACCATGGTTCTGAAGACAAACCATATCCCTGCCATTTCTTGCTTTTTCTTTTCTTTCTTTCTTTTTTTTTTTTTTTTTTTGAGACACAGTCTCACTCTGTCACCCAGGCTGGAGTGCAGTGGCACAATCTCAGCTCACTGCACCCTCCACCCCCTGGGTTCAAGCGATTCTCCTGCCTCAACCTCCCAAGTAGCTGGGATTACAGGCATGCGCCACCATGCCCGGCTAATTTTCGTATTTTTAATAGAGACGGGGTTTCACCGTGTTGGCCAGGCTGGTCTCGAACTGCTGACTTCGGGTGATCCACCCACTTCAGGCTCCCAACGTGCTGGGATGACAGGCATGAGCCACTGCACCCGGCCAGGCTGTTTGGACTCAGGTGTTTTTTGCACTTTAGCACGCGTTGGAGGCTTAGGGGAAGGAGAGGGAGAAGTCTAAAGACATAGTCTCACCCGTGCTCCAGCAATGAAAACGTCGCTACAGAGGTAGCAAAAAAATAAAAATAAATCAGAAAAAAACAGAAGTAGGAGGTGAGAGTCTCACTCTGAATGAATCTATCTCAACAAAAATGCCCTCAATTTTGAGCAGGAAGATTGTTTATTTTATTTTATTTATTTATTTACTTATATTTTTGAGACAGAGTCTCACTCTGTCACCCAGGCTGGAGTGCAGTGACACGATCTCGGCTCACTGCAACCTCCGCCTCCTGGGTTCAAGTGATTCTCCTGCCTCAGCCTCCTGTGTAGCTGGGATTACAGGCATCTGCCACCACATCCAGCCAATTTGTGTGTTTTTAGTAGACGGGAGTTTCACTAAGTTGGCCAGACTGGTCTTGAACTCCTAACCTCAGGTGATCGACCCGCCTCAGCCTCCCAAAGTGCTGGGTTGACAGGCGTGAGCCACTGTGCCCAGGCATCGTTTATTTTACTGTATAAAGTCAGTTTCGTTTTGTTTTATCTTATGTGTGATTTTATTTTTTGTTTAAAATAAATACACTTTAAAAATCTATTTGTATTTGACTCAGCGGCTTGCAGTCTCTGAGGCTGCATTTTTGAAACATGAACTACAGAACCAACGAATGGTAAGACCGAATACAAAAAAGCTCAGACCCAGATGAAGGAAGTGGCTTATAACCTCAGCAAAAATCCTGCCAACATGTTGCTAATTCCACATTTTTTCACAATTATTCTTCAGGGGTGGCGGGAGGCTGGTAACCTGTTTTGCCTTTTGCTGATGGGGCAGTGGAGGCTAATATTCAAAGGCAAATGCATAGATTCCTGGCTGGGCGCGGTGGCTCACGCCTGTCATCCCAGCACTTTGGGAGGCCAAGGCAGGCGGATCACCTGAGGTCAGGAGTTCGAGACCAGCCTGGCCAACATGGCGAAAACCCATCTCTGCTAAAAATACAAAAATTAACCGGGCATCATGGCGGGTGCCTGTCCTCCCAGCTACTTGGGAGGCTGAGGCCGGAGAATCGCTTGAACCTGGGAAGCGGAGGTTGCAGTGAACCGAGATGGCACCATTGTTGCCCAGATTAGAAAAAATACATTTTGGAGAGCATAGCTAGGTAAGATTGTCCACGCCAGGTGTTAGCTTTGTCATTTTACTGCAAACTGCAAGTAAACTTTCACACGCTGCCCGAGGTCCCACATATATGACAAGAGGTGTTCCTTTGTCTTATAGGCATGGATCTTATTAAGTACAGTTTTTTGGTTTTTTTTTTTTTTTTTGGTTTTTTTTTTTTTTAAGAAGAAAATGCATTTGGTTCTCTACGTATTCTTAATGTCAGAGAAAATTGTATCTGGGGCACAGTGGCCTGGAAAATCCATAAATCAGCATTCCAAAACAGGGTCATGTCCTGCCTTGGACATGGAACAGAAATCAAAACAGACAGGGTCCACCTCTGCAGGGCGGGTATACCTTCCCCAGTTACAGGCCCCTGAGCGCCCCGTCTTAATAGCCGGAGACAGGGATGGAGGAGGGAGGTGGGGAGGAGCTGGGGCGCCCGGTGCAGGGCAGAGTGTCAGCCCTGCAATTACTGTGGACTCCAGAATCCCCCTCGGAGGGAGCACGGATGACTCATTCTCCCTGCAAGGCAAAGACCTTCCTATTATCACCGAGACCTTGCAAAGCTCAAGGGGGCAGACGGCATGTTCCTGCTAGGGAGGGGTGCACAGAGGGGCCTGGGAGAACTCAAAGCCGGGGGCAGAACGATGGGCGTGTGGGAAGCAGGTCTCCGGGAGCACCTGCCCCTCATTGGGGTTTGCAGCTCAGCCTCCTGGCAGGTGCCACAGGTGGCCCAGGTGGGGGCCGGCGTGAGGAGAGCAGGCCCACAGGGAGGGCAACAGCAGAGGCATCTGGCTTACCTTGCGCTGCGCTGGATCCCAAGAGGGGCTGCGAAGTGTCTCTGGGGAAGGAGAAACACAGCTTGATGTTTTCTCAGCATAAAAAGGCGTCATGTCTTTATTACGGTGGGATGGGGGTGAGGGGGACCTGTTTTCCTGAGTCCCTCTCCACCCTCTGCCCCCCTCTTCCCTTTTCTCCCTCCTCCACCTTCTTCTCCTCCTCCTCTTCCTCCTCCTCCTTCCCCTCCTCCTCCCCCTTCTCCACCTCTCCCTCTTTCTCTTCCGCTTCCTTCTCCTCCTCTCATCTTTTCCTCCTCCCCTCTTCCCCCTTCTCTTGTTCCTCCTTCTCCCTCTCCTCTTCCTGTTCTTTCTCCTCCCCTCTCTCCTCCCCCTCCTTTTCTTTCGCTTCTTCCTCCTCTACCTTCTCCAACCTCTTCCTTCCCCTCCTCCCCCTCCTCCTCTTTCTCTTCCTCCTTCTCCTCTCCAGCCTCTTCCTCCTCTCCCTCCTCCTCTTTCTCTTCCTCCTCCTTCCCCTCATCCTCTCCCCTCTCCTCTTCCTCTTTCTCTTCTTCCTCCTCCATCTTCTCCAGCCTCTTCTTTCCCCTCCTCTTCCTTTTCTTCTTTCTCTTCCTCCTCCTCCAGGCTCTTCCTCCTCTCCCTTCTCCTCTTTCTCTTCCTCCTCCTCCTCTCCCTCCTCCTCCCCCTCCTCCTCTCCCTTCTCCTCTTTCTCTTCCTCCTCCTCTCCCTCCTCCTCTCCCTCCTCCTCTTTCTCTTCCTCCTCCTCCTCTCCCTGCTTCTCCCCCTCCTCCTCTTTCTCTTCCTCCTCCTTCCCCTCCTCCTCTCTTTCCTCCTCTCCCTCCTCCTCCCCTTTTTCCTCCTCTTCTTCCTGTTTCTCTTCTTCCTCCTCCACCTTCTCCAACCTCCTCCTTCCCCACTCTTCCTGCTTCTACTTCTCTCCCTCCCCCTTCCCCTCCTCCTCTCCCTCCTCCTTTTTCTCTTTCTCCTTTTCCTCCTCCTCCAGCCTCCTCCTCTTCCTCCCTCTCCTCCTCTTTCTCTCCCTCCCCCTTCCCCTCCTCCTCTCCCTCCTCCTTTTTCTCTTTCTCCTTTTCCTCCTCCTCCAGCCTCCTCCTCTTCCTCCCTCTCCTCCTCTTTCTCTCCCTCCTCCTTCCCCTCCTCCTCTCCCTCCTCCTTTTTCTCTTTCTCCTTTTTCTCCTCCTCCAGCCTCCTCCTCTTCCTCCCTCTCCTCCTCTTTCTCCTCCTTCCCCTCCTCCTCTTCTTCCTCCTCCCCCTCCTTCTTTTTCTCTTCCTCATCCTTCTCTTTCTCCTCCTCCAACCACTCCCTCCTCCTCCTCTGTCTCCCTCCTCCTCCACCTCCTCCTCTTTCTCTTCCTCCTCCTTCTCCTCCTCCAGCCTCCTCCTCCTCTTGTTTCTCCTCTTTCTCCCTCTATCTTTAATTTTTTTTTTTTTTTTGACACTGAGTCTCACTCTATCGCCCAGGCTGGAGTGCAGTGACCTCGGCTCTCTACAACCACCGCCTCCCAGGTTCAACAATTCTGCCTCAGCCCCCCGAGTAGCTGGGATGACAGGCACCTGTCACCACGCCTGACTAATTTTTGTATTTCTTTAGTAGAGACGGGGTTTCACCATGTTGGTCAGGCTGGTCTCGAACTCCTGACCTCAGATGATCCACCCACCTCGGTCCCCCAAAGTGCTGGGATTACAGGCACCTGCCACCACGCCTGGCTAATTTTTGTATTTTTAGTAGAGATGGGGTTTCACCGTGTTGGTCAGGCTGGTCTCGAACTCCTGACCTCAGGTGATCCACCCACCTCGGCCCCCCAAAGTGCTGGGATTACAGGCGTGAGCCACCACTCCCGGCCTTCTTTAAACTTCTTTATGAAGACCCAGAATGCAAGTTTATGCGTGATCTATACACACATATTTTATCTGGCACATGTATCTCTTTGATGGCCAGGACACAGCATGCTAGTGTGAACCATACTCCACACAGGATGACGGCTTCCTCACTGTAACATCATCTGCCAGCCAGAGCCCTGAAGCCATCGAGGATTTGGGTGGAAATTAGCTCCTGAAGGATCAAGAAGGTACTTTCTCCTAGAGGCAGGAAATTTAGGCAATTAAAATCCATTTTTGGCCGGGCGCGGTGGCCTCATGCCTGTAATCCCAGCACTTTGGGAGGCCGAGGTGGGCGGATCACGAGGTCAGGAGTTCAAGACCAGCCTGGCCAATGTGGTGAAACCCCGTCTCTACTAAAAATACAAAAATTAGCCGGGTGTAGTGGCAGGTGCCTGTAGTCCCAGCTACTCGGGAGGCTGAGGCAGGAGACTCACTTGAACCTGGGAGGTGGAGGTTCTTGAGGTCAGGAGTTCAAGACCAGCCTGGCCAACATGGTGAAACCCCAACTCTACTAAAAATACAAAAAATTAGCCGGGCGTGGTGGCGGGCACCTGTAGTCCCAGCTACTTGGGAGGCTGAGGCAGGAGAATGGTGTGAACCCAGGAGGCGGATCTTGCAGTGAGCCGAGATCGCACCACTGCATTCCAGCCTGGGTGACAGAGCGAGACTCCATCTCAAAAAAAAAAAAAAAAAAAAAAAGAGAGAGAGAGAGAGAGATACTTCTGAACAAAAACACCCACATCCCTACCTTCTTGAGCTCACTTTCTGGGCTGCGCCTTCAGTCAAATTTTGAGCAATTATTACTTGCATTCTGCAGTGTGTCAAAAACTAAATTTCAGTGTGGGATCGGTGGGATGAGTCACTCTGAGGAGTGGAGACGTTCCCATTTTATTTTATGTTATGTTATTTTTATTTAATTAATTTATTTATTTTTTGAAATGGAGTCTTGCTCTGTCACCCAGCCTGGGCAACATCTCGGCTCACTGCAACCTCTGCCTCCAGGTTCACGCCATTCTCCTGCCTCAGCCTCCCGAGTAGCTGGGACTACAGGCACCTGCCACCACTCCCAGATAATTTTTGTACTTTTAGTAGAGACGGGGTTTCACCCTGTTGGCCAGGCTGGTCTCGAACTCCTGACCTCATGATCCACCCGCCTCGGCCTCCCAAAGTGCTGGGATGACAGCCTTGAGCCACTGCACTGGCCTTATTTTTTATTTTTATTTTTATAAGAGTCAGGGTCTCGCTCTGTCGCTCAGGGTGGAGTGCAGTGGGATGATCATAGCTCACTACATCTGGTTTCAGTAGCATGCAGGGAAATCTTCAAATAACGCAAGTCACCAAACAGCCTTGGTCTGCTCCACCCAGAGATCTGTCTTCAGACAGGTTCAATGATCATCTCTAGCCAATAGCCATAATGTGTATGAAAAATCAATGCCTCGATTCCAGACGTGCAGAAAATGACCTCTCATGTCAAACATTACTCATTGTCTCTTTCCAGCTTGCTGTATGACCTCAGTGCTGGGTGGGTTTCCTCTCTGCTGTCTGATGACTCTCTGATGACTCTGTCTCTCTCTCTGTCTCTCTCTGTGTGTGTGTATTTATATATATATATAAACATATATATATATAAACATATATATATATTCCATTGCACATGCTGCAAAAGTTTTGTGTACATGCTTTTCCTCTGCTATTTAATGACCCCAAATCTCTCTCCTTCTTTCTCTCCCTTCCGTCACCCATTTCTCTCTCACCTATCTGTCATCTATTATCTATCTATCTATCCATCATTTATCTATCCATCTATCTACCCATCTGTCATTCATCTATTCATTTACTATTTATTGATCTATCTATTATTTATTTATCTATCTTTTATCTATCCATCGATCATTTATCTATCTGCCCAACTATCAGTTATCTGTCCATCTATTATTTATCTATTTATCTATCTATCCATCTAAATACCCATCTATCATTTATCTATCTTTCTATCCATCTATTATGTGTCTATCCATCATTTATCTATTCATCTATCATTTATCTATCCATCTATCAATCATTTATATGTTCATCTATCATTTATCTACCTATCATTTATATATCTATCTACCCATCTATCTATCCATCTATCATTTATCTATCTATCCATCAATCATCTATCTATCCATCTATCATTTATCTATCCACCAATCATTATCTATCTATCCGTCAATCATTATCTATCCATGTATCATTTATCCATCTATCCATCAATTATCTATCTATCCATCTATCATCTATTTATCCATCTATCATTTATCTATCCATCTATCATTTATCTATCCATCATTCATTATCTATCCATCTATCATTTATCCATCTATCCATCAATCATCTATCTATCCGTCTATCATCTATTTATCCATCTATCATTTATCTATCCATCTACCATTTATCTATCTATCCATCAATCATTATCTATATATCCATCAATCATTATCTATCCATCTATCATTTATCCATCTATCCATCAATCATCTATCTATCCGTCTATCATCTATTTATCCATCTATCATTTATCTATCCATCTACCATTTATCTATCTATCCATCAATCATTATCTATATATCCATCAATCATTATCTATCCATCTATCATTTATCCATCTATCCATCTATCATCTATCTATCCATCTATCATCTATTTATCCATCTATCATTTATCCATCTATCCATCAATCATCTATCTATCCATCTATCATCTATTTATCCATCTATCATTTATCTATCCATCATTTATCTATCCATCAATCATTATCTATATATCCATCAATCATTATCTATCCATCTATCATTTATCCATCTATCCATCAATCATCTATCTATCCATCTATCATCTATTTATCCCTCTATCATTTATCTATCCATCTATCATTTATCTATGTATCCATCAATCATCTATCTATCTATCCATCTATCATTAATCTATCTATCTAATAGGGTTTGGATCTGTGTCCCTGCCCAAATCGCATGCTGAATTGTAATCCCCAATGTTGGAGGTGGGGCCTGGTGAGAGGTGATTGGATCGTGGGGGTGGGCCCCTCAGGAGTGGTTTAGGCCTGGGGAGAGGTGATTGGATCGTGGGGGTGGGCCCCTCAAGAGTGGTTTAGGACCATCCCTTTGGCGCTGTTCTTCTGCTAGAGTTCTCACGCGATCTGGTTGATTACAAGTGTGTGGCACCTCCCCCGCCTCTCCTCTTACTCCAGCAATGTAAGACGTACCTGTTTCCCCTTTGCCTATAAGTTTCCTGAGGCCTCCTCAGAAGCCCAAGCCACTGGGCTTCTTGTACAGCCTGCAGAACCATGAGCCAATTCAACCTCTTTTCTTTATAAATTACCCAGGCTCAGGTATTGCTTTATAGCAATGCAAGAACAAATTGATATTCTATCTATCTGTCTATCTATCTATCTATCTATCTATCTATCTATCTATCTATCTATCATCTATCTAGCTATCTATATATGTCTATATATCTATCTATCATCTATCTATCATCTATCTATCTACCTATCATCTATCTAGCTATCTATCTATATATCTGTCTATATATCTATCTATTCTCTGTCTATCATCTATCTATCTATCATCTATCTAGCTATCTATCTATATATCTGTCTATATATCTATCATCTATCTATCTATCTATCATCTATCTAGCTATCTATCTATATATCTGTCTATATATCTATCTATCATCTGTCTATCATCTAGCTATTTGCCTATCTATCTATCATCTATCTAGCTATCTAGCTATCTATCATCTATCTAGCTATCTATATATCTGTCTATATATCTATCTATCATCTATCTGTCTATCATCTATCTGTCTACCATCTATCTATCTGCCTATCTATCTATCATCTATCTAGCTATCTATCATCTACCTATTATCTACCTATCATCTATCATCTACCTATTTAATCTATCATCTATCTATTATCTATCAATCATCTATTATCTACCTACCTATGATCTGTTTATCTACCTATCTATCTATTATCCATCAATCATCTATTATCTATCTACCTATTAGCTATCTATTTATCTACGTCTATGTACCTCATCTATCTATCCGTTATCTATCTCTATCTCTTTGTCTCTCTATCTAGCATTTATCTCTCTATCTCCTGTCTATCCATCATCTATCATCTATCTGCCTATCTATCTACATACTACCTATGTCTATCGTCTATCTCTGCATGTATACACACTGTAATGTGTATGGCTCTTTTATCCATGTATCTATCTCATCAATCAATCAATCAATCAATCAATCATCTATCTATGTATCCCTCTCTCTCTATCCATCATCTATCTCTCTATTCATCGTCTATCTCTCTCTCTATCCAGCATCTATTTATCTATCTGCCATTGATCTATTACCCATCTATCTGCCATCTATGTACATATGCATGTGCATACTTAACTGTCTACCTACCTACCTACCTTGTTTCATCCTTGATGCAATTAGTCATATGCTTCATGAATTAACAAGAACTGCTGCAAACATTCTCCTCCCTAAAGCAGAAGGAAGGATAAAGCGCATTATTCTGTTTGACTTTTGGGGTCATACGGTCACCACTGACAACCTCCTCAAACCCAGAACACCTTTAGGTGGGGAGGGCGACCGGTTCACACATACTTCTCCAAGGAAGCGCCTGTTCTGTTGCTGGCATATAAACCCTGCAACCCTCACCTCCAGACCCAGGTCTTTCTCGGGGGACCACCTGTTTAGCATCCAGCAACGAGTCATGCTGGAGCCTCTCCAGCAAGCTCTGAACACTAAACAGGTCCCCTCCCACGTTCTATGGGGACTCTCCTAACCTTCTGGGGCAAAAAAAGAAAAAAGAAAAAAAAATCCTAATTCGAAGCACATTGATCTCCAGGCATATGTTTTATATCAGGACCTATGAAACCAAGGTGAAAATGTGAAAATATGCTTGGAAATCTAGCATGTATCTGTCCATCTACCAGTTATCTATTCATCTGTTACTTATCTATTTATCTATCTAAATACCCATCTACCATTTATCTATCTATCCACCTATTGCTTATGTATCTCTCCATCATTTATCAGTCTATCTTTTATTATTCATCTATCATTAATCTGTCTATCCATCTGTCATTTATCTATCTACCCAGCTATCATTTATCTATTCATCTATCATTTATCTATTTATCCATCTATCATCTATCTGTCCATCATCTATCTTTTATCTATTCATCTATCATTTATCTATCTATCTATCCATCTGTCATTTATCTATTCATGTATTACTTATCTATTTATCTATCTATCCATCTAAATACCCATCTATCTATCTATCCATCCATCTATTGTTTATGTGTCTATCCATCATTTATCTATCAATGTGTCTTTTATCTATTCATCTACATTTATCTATCTATCCATCTGTCATTTATCTATCTTTCTATCATTTATCTATTCATCTATCATTTATCTATTTGTCCATCTATCATCTAGGTATCTGTCCATCGTCTATCTTTTATCTATTCATCTATTATTTATCTATCTATCCATCTGTCATTTATCTATCCATCTATCTTTTATCTATTCATCTATCATTTATCTATTTATCCATCTATCATCTATGTATCTGTCCATCATATATCATTTATCTATTCATCTATCATTTGTCTATCTACCCATCTATCTATATATCTACCCTTCTATCAATCTATCCATCTATCATCTACCTATATATCTGTCTACCCATCTATCAATCTCTCTATCCATCTATCATCTATCTATATATCTATCTACCCCTCTATCAATCTATCCATCTATCATCTGTATATCTATATATCTATCTACCCATCTATCTATCTCTATCATTTATCTATCTATCTATCAATCATACCCTCCCCTCGTCATTACCCCAGTTAGCTTGGGCTCTGGAGCTGGTCCAGTTGAAAAACAGCAAACAATCACCAGAGGAGAATCTCAGGCAGGACTTGCTGTACGTCAGAGGGAAGATGGAGGTTTCAAGGAGTCAACCATGTTGAATTCAACTCTGTGCCCTTCCTTCAGCAATAGCTGTGAGGTTTTCTAGTTACGAGACCTCCTTGCCCTCTGGAGTTGATGAACACTATTGGTGACCGCCATATTGCCAGCATTTCTTAATGTTATATTTCAGAGTAGGTTTGAAGTCAACCCAACTCCACCCATCACTGGGGCTGAGCAATAAGACTGACCATTCTTCAACCTCAGTTTCTCCATCTCTGAAGTGGGGATATGAAGTACCTCGAAGAGATAGTTCACAATGGATGACACAGCAAAAAGATCCTCACCAGACATAGCACCTCAACCTCAGACTTTCCAGCCCTCGGAACCATGAGACCAATGAACTCCCATTGTTTATAAATTACCTAATCAGTGGCACTCTTTTATAGAAGTACAAAATAAACTAAGATGAAGTCTGTCATCATTTTCGTTACAGCAGCCAGTGGAAGCTAATACCCTTTCTAATACCCTGCCTCTTCTGGGTGTCCATGAGTAACACAGGAAACATCTCATTTGTAATCAACACCTGCTCAATGTCAAGTTTGTTCAAAAGGGCTAACTCACTCAAGTATTACAATAAACCCAAGAGAGCCTCTACCTCCCCAGTTCCTCTTCATTCTTCTCCACTCTCTGCTTCAGGAGGCTGGAAAGTGTGGACTGTCTCAACAGCAACCATGAGCTCTGGTTTTCATTTGAGTTGTTGGGTTCAACATGCAAGAGATTAGAGGTAAGTTCTGAGCCTTCTCCTCAGATTCTGTCTCTGATAAGTCATCTTGCTCAAGTCCCTCCAGGACTTCCTCCCAGGCTGTTACACTGCTCAGTTTCTGCACAAACTCAGGGCTTGCACTGAGTCCTATGCCCATCTTTGAGCCAATTATGGTGCCAGGATGTTCACCTGCAGGAAACTGGTTGCTTAAACTGGAGGAGAGATAAAGGTTGTGCAGGTAGAGACAAACAATGGTCAGTGTAGGGTCCAAAGGAAGCAGCTGTCCTTACTCCTCACTGGCTAGAGCTATCCAGAGAATGTTCCAGAAGACACACATTTGGTTAAAGCACATTTATCTCCAGGCACATGTTTTCCATCAGGACCTTCAAAACCAATGTGAAAATATGCTTGGAAATCTGGCTTCACAAGAAAAACAGCAAATAAACACCAGAGGAGAATCTCAGACAGGACTTGTAAATCAGGAGGAAGACAGAGGTTTCAAGGAATGGAAGCCACATCCTGCTTTTCCTATGCTGGTGACATAGACTCCGTCTCCGAGCCTTTTCTTCAATCAGATGATTGATACGTAGACAGATGTACTGAGATAGATAGATATACAGATGTATAGATAGATACATGATAGATGATTGATACTTACAGATGTACTGATATAGATAGATGATTGATACATTGACAGATGTACTGATTGAGAGATAGATGATTGATACATAGATGTATTGATAGATAGATGGTAGATAGATGATAGATGATAGATAGATAGATAATAGATAGAGGAATAGATGACTGATATAGAGATGATATAGATAGATATATAGACAGAGCTAGAGAGATGATAGATGTAGGTAGGTAGATGATAGTCAGATGATGTTTGGATAGATAGAATACAGATAGCTTTAGGTAGTAGATAGATAGGGTAGATGGAAGATTGAAAGAGAGATGACAGAATATAAATAGATGACAGACGGATGATGGATAAATAAATAGATGGATAGATAGAGAAATAGATATAAAGAATGGATAGATGAATGGATAGATTGATAGATGAGTAGGTGAATGGAGAGATGATAGATGGATAGATGGAGAATGCATAGATGGATAGAGACATACACAATGATGCATCTATCAAACCAACGCCTGTTAGGTTTTCTGGTAAGGAGACCCGGTTGCTATCTGGAGTTGATGACACTCTTTGTGACCACCACCTTACCAGCATTTGTTAGTGCTATCTTTGGGAGCAGGTTTGGAGTCAGCCCAACTCCCCCCGTTACTACTGGTGCTGAGGAATGAGACTGACTCTTCTTCATCTTTAAAATGGGGAGATGATGTATCTGAAAGAGCCACAGTGAGCATTACATGGCCAGCCTCTCCATGGCAAGGGAGAGAGGCGCTTCCAGATGAGAGCAGAGCAAGAAGGCATCACTCTTACACTTTCTTGGGCCCGAATGGGTCATTGCCACCGGACAGATTCCTGGAGGTGTCCTTAAAATGCTTTACCTCTGCATCTGAGCACACAGGTGTAAGCCAGGAGTGTGCTGAAGAAAAGAACAAGCCCTGAGGTGGGGCATGAATGGTGCATCTGTTTGCAGGTGATCCAGATGGACTGGGATAACTTGACTGTTGGGTATTCACCTGAGAAAAGAACCACGCCCTGTACACCAGGCATCCGTGGCAACAGGCGTCGGTGGCAACCAGCTGTGAACACAGGAAATGCCTTTGACCCACCACCCCTGGGATCCAACTGAATCTTTTCACATCCTTCCAACCACCCACCTGCCTTCAGGAATCTCCCAGTGCCCACAGTCCCCTTGAGTCTGCAAACCAGGCTGTTACAGATTCTGAAGAATCCGCACACAGGTGTTCCCAGCTAGCCCCCGTCACCTTTCTGATTCTGCCACCGTTCTCCCAACATGGTGAGACCCCATGAATGTATGAAGCCTGTGCTTTGGGGAAAGATTTCTGAGACATTTTGTTTCCTGTGGAGACCAAAGGAAGCCACCTGGCTCTCACAGCAGAAAATTAGGCAGCAGGAGCTGAGGCATTTTGCAGAATGTGCCAGGGCTGTCAGCAAAGTGACAGACACATGTCACTCTCTGTCGGCACTGGCTTGTCACTCATCTGGGCTGTGACATGACACGGTGGATCATCTATTAACTGCCGCAGACCCTTAAAGACGCGAGGATTCATTTGCCTGTTGGTGAACGTGCAAAATTCCCGCGCGTGTTAGCAAGATCCGCAGGTGCACCTGGTTCCACGCAGGTAGACCTCAGACACCCCATTCTGCACATCCTCAGCAAAGGGGCTCATGCATGACAGCCCCAAATGGGATCTTATCTTGCTCCAACAGCCAATGAGAACGTCAAAGGAAATCCTCAACACGAAAACGTATGATGAGGTGTATAAAGAGTTAAACAAATTTATGAATAAAAATCCCACATGCCAAAAAAAGAGCTTATCTGGAATTCTGATGTATGGACTCTCTGGCATTCATTTTTATGTCATATTAAGATTTTTTATACAAACTCTTAGTGCTTGTTTTTCTTTTAAGAAGCAAGTCAAATAGTTTAGTTTTTTTAAAGAAACAAGTCAAGTATTAGCTTTGAAATTCTGAGAGCTGTCAGAATAAATTATTACTTAATAAATATTTTCATATTAATTGTAAAAATATAAAATTATTATATTTAATATAATAAATTTAATTTTAAATTATTAAAATTAAATAATTATAATAAATTATTTTAATAAATATTTTATATATTAATTATAAACATATAAAATCTTTAAAATACAATTATAATATATTTTCTAATATTTTAATATATGTGTTATATATTTATATTTTAACATATTTATTTTATTATATATTTATATTTATAATATATTTAATATATTTATTATAATATATTTATAAAATTATAAATATATTTAACATATTTGTTAATATATTATAAAATTAAAATATTTTTGTAATATTTTCAAAATATTAAAAATACAATTAATATTTTCAAAATTATTTATTAAAAATACAATAAGTATTTTTATATTAATTATAGAAATAAAAATTTTATGTCATATTAAAATTTTTATACAAACTTAGCACTTAATTTTTTAAAAAGTCAAATATTAGCTTTGAAATTCTGAGCGCTTTTAGAATAAATTATTATTTAATAAATATTTTATATTAATTATAAAAATATGAAGTTATTACATTTAATATAATAAATATAAATTTAAATTATGAAAATTTAAATTATTTTAATAAATTATTTTATACCAATATTTTATATATTAATTATAAATATATAAAATATGTATTTCTATAAATAAATAATATGTATTTTATATTTAAAAACATCTTTATTAAATATTTTAGTATATATTATATATTATATTTATTAGCTATATATTATGATATATAATATGTTATATGATATTATAATATATTTATTAGATATATTATAAAATTATAAATATATAATTTTATATATTTTATAAAATAGAAATATGTTTATTAATATATTTATAAAAACTATAAATATATTTATAAAATTAAAATAATTTTATATTTTAAAAATTATAAATATATAATTTTATATATTTTATAAAAATACAAATACGTTTAATATATTTATAAAATTAAAATAATTTCATAATATTTTTAAACTATTTAAAATATAATAAATATTTTTATATTCATTATAAAAATATAAAATTATATTTAATATAATAAACATAAATTTAAATTGTTAAAACGTAAACAACATTCATAAATCATGTTTCTTGCCTCCACTGAACCAAACGGCATCCGTTGCCCATTGTCTTGAGGACATGTGGTTGTATGGAGTGAAGTAGTCGGACGTCAGGAGGGTGGAATTAAAGAAGGGGAGGATGGGAGGCCCTTTCTGATACGAGGTGCAGTCCCATCATGGAACTGTCTGCCCACAGCTTGAGTGTACGTGGAGCCTCCATGACATATTTTTCAATGACCGTGGACCACAGTCCCGGGTAGACCAATCAGGAGCCGATTTGTAGACGGACAACCCTAGGGTGTCAGTCCTGACAGGCTGGGTTCTGTCCACCCTTGATGTCTGTCCAGCCACAGTCCTCTGAGCTCATGTATCTGCGGCTTGTCATTGCTAGTCAAATTCAAATACTTTCCCTTCCCTCATTTTCCTGGGTGTGTTTTGGGTGCCCAAGTTTCTTTTTCTGCATGATTGTAATCATTTTCATTCTTCTCAACGGTGTCTTCCCCATGCCTGAATGCAAGCTCTCATTGGATACCATCCTGGGTTCTGTAAACTATTGAAATAAAAGAGCATAAAAGCTGTTTCCAGTTTCCACTTTTTGTTTTGTTTTGTTTTGAGACAGAGTTTGTCATCATCCAGGCTGGAGTGCAGTGGCACAATCTCAGCTCACTGCAACCTCCGCCTCCCAGGATTCAAGCAATTCTCCTGCCTCAGCCTCCCGAGTAGCTGGGATGACAGGAACCCGCCCTAACTCCTGGCTAATTTTCGTATCCTTAGTAGAAAGAGGGTTTCACCATGTTGGCCAGGCTGGTCTCGAACACCTGACCTCAGGCGATCCTCCATCCTCGGCCTCCCAAAGTGCTGGGGTTACAGGCGTGAGCCACCGCGCCCGGCCTAGACTTTCTTAAGAAGACTCAAATATTAATGTATTTTTTTGTCCTGTATTCCATCCTGGGTTTCATCAGGACAAAACTCCCCATTTGAGTATCTTTCTGAACTTATGAGCCCCTAGAATACAACAGGAAGCTCGTGGACACAGCCCAGCTCAGACACAACATTGGTGGACAGTTACAGGGCTGCCCCAGAATGGAGCGTCAACCTCTCCACTTATATTTCGACCTTCTTGATTTCTCGACACATGTAAGATGTCAGGCATGAGGTCGAGAGATTGCCCATCATAACTAACCTGTCTTGGGGGGGTAGGATCCTAGAACCAGCTTTTGTATGCAAAATTAAGTCAGTTTCACTAAAATCAAACAAGAGATGACTGTAACACAGTAACCCACATAATTCAGACGAATAGCTGAATTACCTAGGGGAGGCCAATTTGGTTCCCACTGCTAAATAAATGCACACAAAATTAAGCATTATGATAGTTTATTCTTTCTCTGTTTTTTTGGGTTTCTTCCCCCCCAAGACAGGGTCTTGCTCTGTTCCTCGGGCTCGAGTACAGCGGCATGATCACACCTCACTGATGAAACCACAGGCATTCACCACCATGCTTGCTAATTTTTTTTTTTTTTTAGAGAGAGATAGGGGTCTTGCTGTGTTGCCCAGGCTGGTCTTGAGCTCCTGGACTCAAGTGATCCTCCTGCCTTGATTTTCCAGAGCCAGCTCATTCTCACCGTGTCTTAACAGCAGTTCGCGGCCGGGCACAGTGGCTCATGCCTGTCATCCCAGCACTTTGGGAGGCCAAGAAAGGTGGATCACTTGAGGTCAGGAGTTCAAGACCAGCCTGGCCAACATAGTGAAACCCGGTCTCTACTAAAAATATAAAAACTAGCCGGGCGTGGTGGTGGACGCCTGTCATCCCAGCTACTCGGGAGGCTGAGGCAGGAGAATTGCTTGAACCCAGGATATGGAGGTTGCAGTGAGCTGACACAGTGCCACTGCACTCCAGCCTCGGCAACAGAGTGAGACTCTGTCTCAAAAAACAAACAAACAAAACAAAACAAAACAAAACAGAAAAAAAACAGCCAGGCACAGTGGCTCAAGCCTGTAATCCCAGCACTTTGGGAGGCCAAGGCGGGTGGATGACCTGAGGTCGGGAGTTTGAGACCAGCCTGAACAACATGGAGAAACCCCATCTCTACTAAAAATACAAAAATTAGCCGGGCGTGGTGGTGCATGCCAGTAATCCCAGCTACTCAGGAGGCTGAGGCAGGAGAATCGCTTGAACCCAGGAGGCAGAGGTTGCAGTGAGCCAAGATCACGCCACTGCACTCCAGCCTCTGTGATGGGAGCAAGCCTCCATCTCAAAAAATATATATAGTGTGTATATATATATTTTATGTATACATCGTTTTATATATAATATATAATTATATATTTTTATATAATTATATATTATATCATATATTATATAATACACGATATAATATACTATATATTATATAATACACGATATAATATACTATATATTATATAATACACGATATAATATACTATATATTATATAATACACGATATAATATACTATATATTATATAATACACGATATAATATACTATATATTATATAATACACGATATAATATACTATATATTATATAATACACGATATAATATACTATATATTATATAATACACGATATAATATACTATGTATTATATAATACACGATACAATATACTATGTATTATATAATACACGATACAATATACTATATATTATATAATACACGATACAATATACTATATATTATATAATACACGATACAATATACTATATATTATATAATACACGATACAATATACTATATATTATATAATACACGATACAATATACTATATATTATATAATACATGATATAATATATAATGTGTATTATATAATACATGATATAATATATAATGTGTATTATATAATACATGATATAATATATAATGTGTATTATATTATACATGATATAATATATAATGTGTATTATATTATACATGATATAATATATTATATTATACATGATATAATATATTATATTATTACATGATATATTATATTATACATGATATAATATAATATATTATACATGATATATTATACATGATATAATACATTATATCATATATTATATTATACAATAGATATTATATATTATATTTTATATATGATATATGTAATTGATATATATGATATAGATGATAATATATGATATTATATATTATATAATATATTTGATAATATAAAATATGCTATATATTATATTTTATAATATATTTTGTAAGCATATATAATATATAATTATATATTATATTATATATCATATAATATATTATATATTTGATAACATAATATACTATATATTATATTTTATAAGCATGTATAATATATAATTATATATTATATATTATATATAATATTTTATATTATAAAAGATATAGTTATATAATATATTATAATTATATGTTATATATAATATATATTTTATATAAAAGATATATTATATGTAATTATATATTTTATATAATATATGTAATTATATATTATATAAAATATATGTAATTATATATTTATATAAAATATATGTAATTATATATTTTATATAAAATATATATTGTATGTAATTATATATTATCTATAATATATAATTATCATATATTATCTATAATATATAATTATCATATATTATCTATAATATATAATTATCATATATTATCTATAATATATAATTATTTTCATATATTATCTATAATATATAATTATCATATATTATCTATAATATAATTATTATATATTATCTATAATATGTAATTATTATATATTATCTATAATATAATTATTATATATTATCTATAATATGTAATTATTATATATTATCTATAATATTTATAATTATTATATATTATCTATAATATGTAATTATTATATATTATCTATAATATGTAATTATTGTATATTATCTATAATATGTAATTATTATATATTATCTATAATATTTATAATTATTATATATTATCTATAATATGTAATTATATATTATCTATAATATTTATAATTATTACATATTATCTATAATATGTAATTATTATATATTAGCTATAATATGTAATTATTGTATATTATCTATAATATGTAATTATTATATATTAGCTATAATATGTAATTATTGTATATTATCTATAATATGTAATTATTATATATTATCTATAATATTTATAATTATTATATATTATCTATATTTATAATTATTATATATTATCTATAATATATAATTTATTATATATTATGTAATTTTATATAGTTATATATAATTATATTATCTATAAAATATATATTATATATTTTTTATATCTGTATATGGCTGTGTAAAACACAATGTTAGCAGCACTATAGGGAGTGCAGGCAGCTGAGAGAGTCTTATGAGGCAGCAGAGACAAGACTGTCTCATTGCACATGGTAAGTATTCAATACATTGCAGTACTATCATCACAAGTAGCATTTCCTACACTGTTTCCCCTGTTAATTTCCTAACAGGAATGACTAGTAACACATGCCATTATTTGTCCTTTCTATGGCTGTTCTCTGCCTTTTCCTTTCTATAATAAATTTTTACAAGTTAAAAAGAAAAGAGCGTGTCATTGCTCAATTGCTTATAATAGCAAAAACATTGCAAAGTGTGATCGTGGCAAGTGGTTGCAGGATGTAAGGCAATTATCTCCTTATGTGGGATGGGAAATTGGAACCACAGATTGGAGGGAAAGTCAGTGCTGTCCACGACAATTAAGTGCAGGTTTTCTTCTGACCAGGCAATCCCACTTCTAAGTGTCTACCCTGGAGAAACTCTCATACTCAGGCACGACGTAGCATGGGGAAGCATGCTTGTTGCAGCAATGACTCTGATAGCAGAAAAACGGGCAGACTCTAATTGTTCGCCCAACGGGGGACTTGATGGATCCATACTGTGGATCACATCGAACAGATAAAATGAGAAAGTGGACCTCTGTGTGCTGGTGGGGAATATCTCCAACACAGGTTGTTGAGTGAGAAAAGTAACTTGGGGAATCTACAAGCAACAATACAACGTGACTCTATGAATGTTTTCACAAGTCACACACATGCAACAACAGGTCCAAATGTGTCTAAATGTGTGGAAAATGTTCTGGAAGGGTATTAAGTGACAATGGCAGTTATCTCGGGGGAGTGGATAAGAAATGAGTCTTCCTGGGACTGTAAACTAGTTCAACCATTGCGGAAGTCAGTGTGGCGATTCCTCAGGGATCTAGAACTAGAAATACCATTTGACCCAGCCATCCCATTACTGGATATATACCCAAAGGAGTATAAATCATGCTGCTATAAAGACACATGCACACGTATGTTTATTGAGGCACTATTCACAATAGCAAAGACTTGGAACCAACCCGAATGTCCAACAATGATAAACTGGATAAAGAAAATGTGGCACATATACACCATGGAATACTATGCAGCCATAAAAAATGATGATTTTATGTCCTTTGTAGGGAAATGGATGAAGCTGGAAACCATCATTCTCAGCAAACTATCACAAGGACTAAAAACCAAACACCGCATTTTCTCACTCATAGGTGGGAAATGAACAATGAGAACACATGGACACAGCGTGGGGAACATCACACACCAGGGCCTGTTGTGGGGTGTGGGGATGGGGGAGGGATAGCATTAGGAGAGATACCTAATGTTAAATGATGAGTTAATGGGTGCAGCACACCAACATGGCACATGTATACATATGTAACGAACCTGCACGTTGTGCACATGTACCCTAAAACTTAAAGTATAATAATAAAAAAAAAGACATGAGTCTTCTTTAGGAGGACTCTGCCTTTATTCAGAGTGTGTCTATGTTGTTCCCAAAGCACATTTCTAAAATAATTTCCTGAATATCTGCAAACCAATATATTGTCTTGGAAGACGACGAGGCAAAGGCAAAGTAAACAGGAACACATAGAGTAAAAATCATGTCTGGACTTATCTACTCATCTATCTCTCGTTCATCCACATACCCATCCACCTGTTCATTCATCCATTCACCTATGCATCCACCTATTCATTCATACAACCATCCACCCACCTACTTATCCATTCATCCATCTTTCCATTCACAAACACATCCGTCCATCCATACATCCATTTACTAATCGACCCATCCACTTATCTGTCCACCCATTCATCCATCCACTCATTTATCCACCCAGCCATCCACTCATTCACCTACCCACCTATCCATCCATCCACCTACCCACCCATCCATCCATCCACCCATCCATCCATGCATCCACCCATCTGTCCATCCATCTATCCACCCATTAACTCATCCATCATCCATCCATTTATCCATCCACCATCCATCCATCTACTCATATACCCATCCATCCATCCATGCATCCACCCACCCATCCATCTATCCAATCATTCATCATTCATCCATCTATCTACTCATACACCCATCCATCCACTCATCTAACCTTTCATCCACTCATCCACCTGCCCATTGATCCACTCATCCACCCATCCATCCACTCATTCACCCATTCATCCATCCACCCATCCACTCATTCATTATCCATCCATCATCCCATCCATCATCAATCCATTCCTCTACCCCTACACCCATCTATACACCTATCCACTCATCCATCTATCTGCCCATTGATCCACCCATCCACCCATCTATCATGTATCCATCTATCCACTCATCAATCTATCTACCACCCATCCATCCACCCATTCCCATTTATCATCTATCCACCCACCCATCTACCCATTCACTCATCCATCATCCATCATCCATTAATTCACCCATCCATCCACCCATCCAGCTATCCATCCACCCATCCATCCATCCATACACCCATCCACCCATCCATCCATCCAGTCATCTGCTTATCCATCATACATCCATCTACCCATCCAGCCATCTATACAACCATTAATCCACCCATCCATCCATCCACTCATCCAGCTATCCATCTATCCATCCATGCATACACCCATCCACCCATCATTCCATCCATCCACGCATCTGCTCATCCATCATGCATCCATCTATCCATCCAACCATCTATACAACCATTAATCTACCCACTCACTCATCCATCTGTCCACTCTTCCATCCATCCATCCACCCATCCATTCATCCGTCTATTCATCTACTCATCCATCATGCATCCATCTACCCATCCAGCCATCTATACAATCATTAATCCACCCACTCACCCATCCGTCTGTCCACACTTCCATCCATCTATCCATCCATCCATCCCTCCATCCATTCATCCATCCATTCATCCATCCACTCATCTGCTCATCCATCTGTCCATCTAGCCATCTATACAACCTTTAGTCCACCCACTCACCCATCCATCTGTCCACTCTTCCATCCACCCACCCACCCATCCATCCATTCACCCATTCATTCATCCATCCACTCATCTGCTTATCCATCATGCATCCGTCAGCCCATCCAGCCATCTATGTAACCATTAATCCACCCACTCACCCATCCATCTGTCCACTCTTCCATCCACCCATCCACTCATCCATTCATCCATCCATTCATCTGCTCATCCGTCTATCCATCCAACCATCTATCCATCTATACAACAATTAATCCACCCACTCACCCATCCATCATCCATCCATTTGTCCACTCTTCCATCCATCCATTCACTCATCCATCCACCCACCTACCTATCCTGTTTCATAGACGGCGACTTCTTGGTGTGTCCTCACACGGTGGAAGGGACAAGTGAGCTCTCTAGGATCCCTTTTATAAGGGCACTAATCCCATTCAGAAGGCTCCGCTCTCATGACCTCATCACCCCCCAAAGGCCCCACTTCTTAACGTCATCATCTTGGGGATGAAGAGTTCAACATAAGAATTTGGGAAAGAGCCCTACATTCAGACCACAATGGGGGCAGCTCCTACTCACCTGAGAGAGCAATATTAGGGATCCCATTGCATAGCAATTTTTTAGGGCCCTGTAGTCTTCATGGGTACAGTACTTCCTCATTGTGGACAGACTCTGTATTTGCAAATTTGCTTATTCACCAAAATTTATTGGTAATCTCAAAGTTAATACAAATTATGCCTTTGCTGTCTTCTCTGGACATGAGAAGAGTGGAGAAAAATTTGAGTCCGAGGCCGAGCGTGGTGACTCACGCCTGTAATCCCAGCACTTTGGGAGGCTGAGGTGGGCAGATCACGAGGTCAGGAGATCGAGACCACCCTGGTTAACAGGGTGAAACCCTGTCTCTTCTAAAAATACAAAAAATTAGCTGGGCATGGTGGCAGGCGCCTGTAAACCCAGCTACTCAGGAGGCTGAGGCAGGAGAATGTCATGAACCTGGGAGGCGGAGGTTGCAGTGAGCAGAGATTGTGCCACTGCACTCCAGCCTGGGTGACAGAGCAAGACTCTGCCTCAAAAATAATAATAATAATAATTTGAGTCGGAATTCTGCCCCATGGGGGACACTGTGCAATGACTGAAGACATTTCTGGTTATCACGACCAGGGAGGAGGTGACAGATACTACTAGCTTCTAGTGGGTAGAGCTCAGGGACGCTGCTGAGTATCCTACAGTATATAGGACAGCTCCCACCACGGAGAATTACCTGGCCCCCAATGTCAACAGTGCCTTAATTGAAAACACGTCATTCCAAGTTGCAGAATCAGTTACAGGAATATTGATTTTCACGAGGGCGTTGGCACAGTGCAGTCACAGACTCTGTATCACCTCATGTCACCGGGCTCTAACAGTCACATACCTAAAGCATCTTTCCTGGCTCATCACGCACGCTTCCTCCTCCCTCTCCTTTCAGTTTGATCCGTGTACATCCAACCCGTTGTAGAAAGAAAATGCCCGGAGAAAGGCTTGCAGGCACCAGTTGAAAGAAGCTTTGTAAAAACCGAGCAGGAATCTGGACAACCGTGAGACGCGATGGTTTATTTATTTGACATGAAAGGCGTCCTTTTGATCAAAACGCTGCCACTTGGCAAAAACCATGGAAGGATCACTGTGGATAAAAATCGCACTTAGCGGGGAAACAATGGTGGGGAGAGGGGAGTTTCAGGAAAGTTAATTTACAAATATACGTTTTGCATCTTTCGCTGAAGATGGAAAGAATGCATGCAGGTAACAAAAAAAAAATTCAATAAAATAGGCCTTGTAGACATTCACCTTCTGATGAATGCAGAATAAGACTTTACATTCTCGGGAAGTGTGTCCGTTATGTGGCATCTTGTTTAAAAGAGAGATTATGTTTCAGTAGGGTTGGAATAGGATTTAGGAATCTGCTTTTTTTGTTTTTTACATTTTCAAAAAAATTACATTTTAAATTATCATACTATAAAATTGATTTTCATGATATGCAGTTCGATGAACTTGAACACATTTTTGAAACATGTAAATGGCATCATGTTCGAGATACAGAATAGTTCTATCGCCTCCCCCAATTTTTCTCATTCTGTTTCTTTATAGTCACACGCACGTGCAGGCACACCAACGTCTAAGGGAATCTGCATTTTAAACACGAACCCTCGGTCGGGCGCGGTGGCTCATGCCTGTAATCCCAGCAATTTGGGAGGCCGAGGTGGGTGGATCACCTAAGGTCAGGAGTTTGAGACCAGCCTGGCCAACGTGGTGAAACCCCGTCTCTACTAAAAACACAAAAATTAGCCAGGCATGGTGGTGAGTTCCTGTAATCCCAGCTACTTGGGAGGCTGAAGCAGGAGAATTGCTTGAACCTGGGAGGTGGAAGTTGCATGAGCCGAGATCGCGCCACTGCACCCCAGCCTGCGGTGACAGAGTGAGACTCTGTCTCAAACAAACAAACAAACAAACACCCTCACATCATCCCTACTTGGTAAACCAATGGTGTAGTAAAGCTATCTTCATCCTCAGAAAGCTTCAAGACTGAACCAGGCTGAAGGGTTTATTGGCTAATGTGACTCTTGTCAAACCATTTATTTCTGAACATCACTTTGCAAAACAGGGATAATATCTATCTTTCAAAACAGGCATGAAGAAAAAGAAATAAGATAAGCAAAGGCTGGCATACAATAGGTGTTCATTAATAATGTCTATTATAATGTTTTTAGAAGTCAGAGTTTTAAACATAGAGTTTCAGATAGATAGGAAGACAAGTAGATAGACAGATAATAGATAGATAAGATAATAGATAGATAGATAGATAGATAGATAGATAGATAGATAGATAGAGAATATGGTTGATAGATAAGCTGATTGGTAGGTAGAGAGACAGGTAGATACAGAATACGATAGAGAAGATGATAGATAGGTAGATAGATAGATAGATAGATAGATAGATAATATGGTTGATAGATAAGCCGATTGGTAGGTAGAGAGACAGGTAGATACAGAATATGATAGAGAAGATGATAGATAGATAGGTAGATATAGATAGATAGATAGATAGATAGATAGATAGATAGATAGATAATAGATAATATGGTTGATAGATAAGCTGATTGGTAGGTAGAGAGATAGGTAGATAGAGAATAAGATAGAGAAGATGAGAGAAAATAGATAGATAGATAGATAGATGACAGATGATATATTGATACATGATAGATGATAGATAATATGATAGATAAAGATGATTGATACATAGATGGATAGATAAATAGGTAGACAGATAATATGATGGATAGATAAGATGACTGGTAGATAGATAGGTAGGTATATGATAGACAGGTAGATAGATAGATATAGAGAATATGATACATAGGTAGAAAGATTATTGGTAGGTAGGTAGATAGGTAGATGGATAATAGGTAGATAAGAGAATATGACAGATAAGATGATTGGAAGATAGTTAGCTAGGTAGGTAGATAGATACATAGATGAATAGATAGATAGATAATGTGATAGATAAAGATGATTGGTAGGTAGATGGATGGATGGATAGGTAGACAGAGAATATGGTAGAAAGATGGTTGTTAGGTAGGTAGATAGGTAGGTGGATAATAGGTAGATAGAGAATATGATAGATAAGATGACTGGTAGATAGGTCGGTAGGTAGGTAGATAGACCGAAAGATAGAATGGTAGATAGATAGATGCAGGCTTCTGGTTTTGACCAACATGAAGTAACAGAGATCAGAATTATCTTCCACTGGGCATAATACATGAAATGATGGCGTTCAAGACCCTGGACATGAAGCAATGAAAGACAATGATCTCTGAGAGATGGAAAAGTAATGCAGTGAGCCCTATGATCTCCCGGCTTACTGCCTGAGAGATTTTATAGGCGGCAGTACAAGGAGGCACAACACAGATGGAAACTGGAAGGCCTCTTGTGTTGAGAAGGTGGAGCTGAGAGTCTGGGGAGACCAAGGCAGGAAGAGTTCACAGGACAGAGTAGCAGATATGAGAGATCCACGTGGAGAAAGAAGCATAGAGACCTTCTGCAGAAGGTCCACCTAGAGAGCGTTGGGCTGAGAACTGATTGACATGTGTCTATGAGGAAATTATTCAAGGTGAGGGAAAGAACCAACAGAAATGACACATGGAAACAGGGAATAGTGACCAGCGTTCACACAATGTTCAAAAGGTGCCTGTTCTGACCTTCTAGATTGGAAAACTTCCATAGTTCATGGGGCGTTAGGTAGGATAGTGAGGAGGACCTTTCCTCAGTAGCTTGGACAAATTAATCCCGAATTAAACATTACTCTTCATTCCAACAGAATGAAACCAAGACCTGAAGGGTTCAAACTACCTCCAAGTGACTTCACAGAATCCCAGAACAAAGCTTCCACATAGTCAGAGGAATACGAAACTATTCAGAGCAAGGTAAAATTAAAAGTGGTATCCAGGCCAGGTCAACATGTTGAAACCCTGTGTCTACTAAAAATACAAAATTAGCCGGGCATGGTGGTGCATGCCTGTCATCCCAGCTAGTTGGGAGGCTGAGGCAGGAGAACCGCTTGAACCCGGGAGGCGGAGGTTGCAGTGAGCCGAGATTGCGCCACTGCACTCCAGCCTGGGCAACAAGAGCGAAATTCCATCTCAAAAAAAAAAAATGCAAATGAAAAGACAGCATAGGTCAGGCACGGTGGCTCACGCCTGGAATCTCACTTTGGGAGGCTGAGGTGGGTGGATCAACTGAGGTCAGGAGTTCAAGACCAGCCTGGCCAGCGTGGTGAAACCCCATCTCTACTAAAAATACAAAATCAGGCCGGGTGCGTTGGCTCACGCCTATAATCCCAGCACTTTGGGAGGCCGAGGCGGGTGGATCACCTGAGGTCAGGAGTTCAAGACCAGCCTGGCCAGCATGGTGAAACCCCATCTCTACTAAAACTAGAAAAATTAGCCGGGCTTGGTTGCTGGTGCCTGTAATCCCAGCTACTCAGGAGGCTGAAGCAGGAGAATGGCTTGAACCCGGAGGCGGAGGTTGCAGTGAGTTGACATCATGCCACTGCACTCCAGCCTGGGTAACAAGAGCAAAACTCTGTCTCTAAATAAATAAATAAGAGAGAGAGAGAGATGATAGATTACACAGATTGGCCGTGCACAGTGGCTCACGCGTATAATCCCAGCACTTTGGGAGACCGAGGCAGGTGGACCACCTGATGTCAGGAGTTTGAGACCAGCCTAATCAACATGGTGAAACCCCGTCTCTACTAAAAATACAAAAATTAGCTGGGCGTGGTGGCTGGCGCCTGTAATCCCAGCTACTCAGGAGGCTGAGGCAAGGAGAGTCGCTTGAACCCGGGAGGCGGAGGTTGCAGTGAGCTGACATCATGCCACTGCACTCCAGCCTGGCGACAGAGTGAGAAGTCTGTCTCAAAAATAAATAAATAAATAAGTAAAAATAAGCTCATTTGGGGGCAATATGGCAAGACTGTAGTGTGGCCGGCAGGCGTTTCCAAGGACTGGCCAGGAGCTGGATGAAAGAGGATGACAACCATTAAGATGCAGGGCTGTCTTCTCTGTGCGTTAGCAAGTCTGTAGTAGACAAGGAAGGCTGAGAGGATTTAAAGTGTCTTCTTATCTTCTGGGAGGGGACAAAGACCAGGGAAGGAAATCAGGAGCAATGCTGGCTTTATTTCCCCGTCTTTAAAAATACATATGATCAGCCAGGCACAGTGGCTCACGCCTGTCATCCCAGCACTTTGGGAGTCCGAGGCGGGTGGATCACCTGAGGTCAGAGGTTGGAGACCAGCCTGGCCAACATGGTGAAACCCCATCTCTACTAAAAATATAAAATTAGCTGGGTGTGGTGGCGGGTGCCTGTAATCCCAGCTACTCGAGAGGCTGAGGCAGGAGAGTCGCTTGAACCCGGGAGGCGGAGGTTGCACTGAGCCGAGATGATGCCACTGCACTCCAGCCTGGGTAATAAGAGCGAACTCCGTCTCAAAAAATAAAAATAAAATAAAGTGAAATAAAATAAAATAAAATAAAATAATAAAATAAAATAAAATAAAATAAAATAAAATAAAATAAAATAAAATAAAAAATAGATGTGATCCTTGAAGAATACACACATCAGCTCAACTTCTCAAGATGGATGTGGTAATGATTTTATCTTTGCCGCTCTTAATGAATCCTCTGTGTGTGTGTGTGTGTTTGTGTGTGTGTGACTTTTGTTCGTTTGATGGAAATAAATTTTGCAAGGTTAGGGCTATTGGACTAGGAACATAATTGATGATGATGACATTAAAATTATATCAGGAACGGGATGTCTCTTCAATAAAACTTCATTACTTGGGATCTCATAAATTCAGAATTTACGCAGAAATTTATCTTAGCACAGGCTATTAACCAAAGACTGAGTAAATTAACTGTGTAAAGATTTCAGGAGAGAAGCTGGAATTACTTAAGAAAGCAAGACTTTCCGTAGCTTAGAAGCACTTTTTTTTTTTTTGCATCTGAAAATGTGAGATTAATTGTGATTGTCTATCAAATAATCAGATTTTCCACCCAAGCACTATTCATCAAAACTTTGGAAGTATCCAATATCATACTCATGGAAAGTAAGCGTATTTTTGTAACGTTCTGTAATACCTGCTGTTCAGTCGTGGAGAATGGTGTTATTCATAGTTAATATAAATTAGTGACATTTTTGTTACAGCGCGTTTTATCTGAGTGCAGTGAGTTACTTTATAAAATTCTGTTTTATAGATTCTGCCTATCCCTTACTGCTACTAGTTGATGTTTTTTGCTGAGGGCCTCTTTCAGGACTGACTTCTAGTTCTGGCCTGCTGATGTCTGCTTTTTTTTATTTTTTTATTTTTTAGACAGAGTTTCGTACTCGTTGCCCAGGCTGGACCGCAATGGCGTGATCTCGCCTCACTGCAACCTCCGTCTGCCAGGTTCAAGCGACTCTCCTGCCTCAGCCTCCAGAGTAGCTGGGATTACAGGCACGAGCCACCACATCCTTCTAATTGTCTGCATTTTTAGTAGAGACGGGGTTTTGCCATGTGGTCCAGGCTGGAATTATTTTAACATGCTATGCTGTTTACGAATGGACTTCTAGTTCTGGCCTGCTGATGTCTGTTTTTTGTGGGTTTTTTTTTTTTTTTTTTTAAGAGGGAGTTTCGCCCTTATTTCTCAGGCTGGACTGCAATTGTGCGATCTCACCTCACTGCAACCTCCATCTCCCAGGTTCAAGCAACTCTCCTGCCCCAGCCTCCTGAGTAGCTGGGATTACAGGCGCCCGCCACCACGCCTGGCTAATTTTTGTATTTTTAGTAGAGATGCAGTTCCTCCATGTTGATTAGGCTGGTCTCCAACTCCTGACCTCAGGTGATCCACCCGCCTCGGCCTCCCAAAGTGCTGGGATGACAGGCGTGAGCCACCACGCCGGGCTAATTTTGTATTTTTAGTAGAGACAGGGTTTCACCATCTTGGCCAGGCTGGTCTTGAACTCCTGACCTTGTGATCCGCCTGCCTCAGCCTCCCAAAGTGCTGGGATTATAGGCTTGAGCCACCGCGCCCGGCCTCGACGTTAGGTTGTCAATACATGAGTCTTGTGAGGCGGGGGGCAGAATTCAGCCCATTGACTGTCCGTGAGTGTCTTCAAATGGAAACATTTTCATCCACACCTTCGTCCATACAGCAAACACCCTCGATCACCCCCACAAAGAGGGTGGCCTCCCATGACTGAGATTCTGCAAAATTTAAAACAATAGAAGGCGGCCGGGCGCGGTGGCTAACGCCTGGCATCCCAGCACTTTGGGAGGCCGAGGCTGGTGGATCATGAGGTCAGGAGATCGAGACCATCCCGGCTAACACGGTGAAACCCTGTCTCTACTAAAAATACAAACAATTAGCCGGGCGAGGTGGCGGGTGCCTGTAGTCCCAGCTACTCGGGATGCTGAGGCAGGAGAATGGTGTGAACCCCAGAGGCGGAGCTTGCAGTGAGCCGAGATGGTGCCACTGCACTCCGGCCTGGGCGACACAGCGAGACTCCGTCTTAAAAAAAACAACAAAAGGCAATCGTCTAATCTTTGAATCAGAGTTGGCCTAGGGTTCTGCTTCCCTAAAATTCAAACTCCTTCTGGATAAGCCACCCACAGAAGTCATTTTAAAACATCATCTGGGGCCGGGCATGGTGTCTCGTGCCCACCATCCCAACACTTTGGGAGGCTGAGGTGGGAGGATGGCTCGAGGCCAGGAGTTCAAGACCAGCCTGGGCAACACAGCAAGACCCCCATCTCTAGAAAAAATAAAAACAAAAGGAACAGGCCCAGCATGGTGGCTCATGCCTGTAATCCCAGCACTTTGGGAGGCCGAGGCGGGCGGATGACCTGAGGTCAGGAGATCGAGACCAGCCTGGCCAACACGGTGAAACCCCGTCTCTACTAAAAATACAAACATTAGCCGGGCGTGGTGGCGGGCACCTGTAGTCCCAGCTACTCGGGAGGCTGAGGCAGGAGAATGGCGTGAACCCGAGAGGCGGAGCTTGCAGTGAGCCGAGATCGCGCCACCGCACTCCAGCCTGGGCGACAGAGCGAGACTCCGTCTCAGAAAAAAAAATTAAATAAATAAATAAGTAAATAAGATAATAAATAAATAATCAAATAAATAATAAATCATATATAAATAAATAATAAATAAATAAAACAAAAAACCCAAAATCAGAAAACCAAATTATATATGCTTATAAAATATCGTATAACCAAAAGTAATCCTACACTGAGGTCCAAGCAGCCTCTCCGTGGCCGACGCCAGTTCGCAATCCATTTCTGTGCCATGGAGAGAGACGGTTACCTGTGAATTTCAGACCTCTGCAAACTTCCCCCTCCCCCCACCACCCCAAGAAGCATTTAAAGACAGGTGTGGTCAGGCCTACAGCTGTCCATCTGCAAGGTGCGACATGCAGCCGTGGTGACATTGGACGTCGTGAGGGGGGACATGCACCCTGTCCAGAGATGACTGTCCCCGGGGAAGACGGCTGGCTTTTTCCGGCGAGCCATAAAACAAGCTGAAAATAAAACACAGCAAACAAGACGTAGCTGAGCTCAGATCGGATGACGTGGCCTGTTTCTCTGTGTTGAACGTTGTGATTAAATCTGGTGAGGCTCCCCCCCACTCCAGGGGGAGAGAATTTTTGATTTGGAGGTTAAGCCAACATTAGCAAGAAAACATAAAATAAAGTGAGTGCAATTGCCGTAAGCAACAGAGGCACCCTTGATTCCAGGAATGTTTAGCTACAAAACGAGCATCCGCATAACGGTGTAAATGCAGCTAATGACGTGTGCAGAAGCCCTAGCTGGGCCACTGCCTGTAACTAATAAGAAATCAATTAGCTAATGAAGTGCCGATTACATGCAATGCTAATCTGAGCTGGGGTATTTTGGGTTTTTTCATGTTTCTCTCTTCCCTCCTTCTCTCCTTTATGAGGCTGTTTAATTGTGAGTGCCATACGGAGCGTGCAGTGTACAGCATGGCTAATGAAACATCATTATATGGTCGCTGCATTCTCCGAAGGGCTGAACGAGACCTGCTTGCCAATTATTTTTAATTGCCACGTATATCCTCACAACTGCGTCTTCCACGGCGCGCTTCAGAGGCCCGGCTGTCATGTCACACACACACACACACACACACACACAGAGCCAGCTTCTGTTTTTCTCTGCAGCCTCTGGACGTTCAGCTGTGGTCTCGGCCACGGTGCGTGACAGAGGACAGCGCGGCGAAGCGTAAACAGGGCCTGGGTGAAAATGCTTCTCCCTTCCTTGGATGGAGCCTGGTGTGGGACCTCTCCATAAATCCCCTCTCTCCATACATCCCCTCTCTCCATACATCCCCTCTCCAGAGCAGCCTCTCCATACGTCCCCTCTCCAGAACAGCCTCCCCATATATCCCCTCTCCAGAGCAGCCTCCCCATACGTCCCCTCTCCAGAGCAGCCTCCCCATACGTCCCCTCTCCAGAGCAGCCTCTCCATATGTCCCCTCTCCAGAGCAGCCTCTCCATACATGCCCTCTCCAGAGCAGCCTCTCCATATGTCCCCTCTCCAGAGCAGCCTCCCCATATATCCCCTCTCCAGAGCAGCCTCTCCATATGTCCCCTCTCCAGAGCAGCCTCCCCATACGTCCCCTCTCCAGAGCAGCTTCTCCATACGTCCCCTCTCCATACATCCCCTCTCCAGAGCAGCCTCTCCATATGTCCCCTCTCCAGAGCAGCCTCTCCATACATGCCCTCTCCAGAGCAGCCTCTCCATACGTCCCCTCTCCAGAGCAGCCTCCCCATATATCCCCTCTCCAGAGCAGCCTCTCCATACGTCCCCTCTCCAGAACAGCCTCCCCATATATCCCCTCTCCAGAGCAGCCTCCCCATACGTCCCCTCTCCAGAGCAGCCTCTCCATATGTCCCCTCTCCAGAGCAGCCTCTCCATATGTCCCCTCTCCAGAGCAGCCTCCCCATATATCCCCTCTCCAGAGCAGCCTCCCCATATATCCCCTCTCCAGAGCAGCCTCCCCATATGTCCCCTCTCCAGAGCAGCCTCTCCATATATCCCCTCTCTACAGCACCTTCTCCATACGTCCCCTCTCTAGAGCACCTTCTCCGTATGTCCCTCTCCAGAGCAGCCTCTCCATACATGCCCTCTCCAGAGCAGCCTCTCCATATGTCCCCTCTCCAGAGCAGCCTCCCCATATATCCCCTCTCCAGAGCAGCCTCTCCATATGTCCCCTCTCCAGAGCAGCCTCCCCATACGTCCCCTCTCCAGAGCAGCTTCTCCATACGTCCCCTCTCCATACATCCCCTCTCCAGAGCAGCCTCCCCATATATCCCCTCTCCAGAGCAGCTTCTCCATACGTCCCCTCTCCAGAGCAGACCCAAGCTGGCCAGTCCAAGCGGAGCTGGCTCCGGGGTGGGCGGAGACCTGGCATCCGATACGCGTGGGCTGTTCCCCCAGGGACACACCTGGCCCCCGACATACGTGTTTCCACCCCGGGACTCCAGCCTTTCCAACACGTCGGCACCTTGCATTTATGAAGTGGCTTAGACTGCGTAACTCTGCAAGTGACAAGCTGTCACCCCTGCAAACCGTGCTTCTGACCTGGCTGCGGTCCTCGTCCCTGAAATTGGCAGCCGAAGAGAAGGCAGAGGCTCCTGGTGCCCCGACAGTTTGATACGTTCCCAGGGAGATTATGTATCTGTATCTCGGTTGTGGGAAGCTCACACGGCATGACGGAACTTTCAATCTTCCATCTAAACGGGCTGTGGTTTCCCTGATGTTGACCAATCCGGGTCAGGACTCCTCCTTCTTGCCATCCAACATCTGGAATCTCACCATACAATGGCCCTTGGACATGTGCTTTAAAAAATAATAATAACAGCTTGGCATGGTGGTTCACGCCTGTCACCCTAGCACTTTGGGAGGCCAAGGCGGGAGGATCACCTGAGGTCAGGAGTTCGAGACCAGCCTGACCAACATGGTGAAACCCTGTCTCTACTAAAAATACAAACATTTGCCTGGCCTGGTGGCAGGCACCTGTAATCCCAGCTACTTGGGAGGCTGAGGCAGGAGAATCGATTCAACCTGGGAGGCAGAGGTTGCAGTGAGTTGAGATCACGCCACTGCACTCCAGCCTGAGGTCAGGAGTTCGAGACCAGCCTGACCAACACGGTGAAACGTCTCTACTAAAAATACAAGCATTTGCCTGGCCTGGTGGCGGGTGCCTGTAATCCCAGCTACTTGGGAGGCTGAGGCAGGAGAACCGATTCAACCTGGGAGGCAGAGATTGCGGTGAGTCGACATCATGCCACTGCACTCCAGCCTGAGATCAGGAGTTCGAGACCAGCCTGACCAACATGGTGAAACCCCGTCTCTACTAAAAATTCCAAAATTACCCAGGCATGGTGGCAGGAACCTGTCATCCCAGCTACTTGGGAAGCTGAGGCAGGAGAATCGCTTGAACCCGGGAGGCGGAGGTTGCAGTGAGCCGAGATTGCACCACTGCACTCCAGCCTGGGGGACAGAGGAAGTCTCCATCTGAAAAAAAAAAAACAATAGTAATAATAATAAGAGAATTTGTTCCGTCAGAGGAGGTGTGAGTCTTTGCTTTAACTTTTGAATCACATGCAAATTAAATTAGTTAATCCAGCTAGCCCCCCTCCACCTCCCCATTTCAGGAAACCCTGCCACCAGCAGCTGCCAGGGGTTCAGACGTCAGGGGAAGACAGATTTGATGTGACATTTTGTTCATTAAATAAACAAACCTGGTTCGGATAACAGCATTAGGTAGAAAGGCCCATCAATTCTCGTACCCTTAGTTCACGTAATGAGAAGTGACAATTTTTCTTTTACGTTCAGACACGCTCTATCGAGGAACAAAAGGGGGACAGGTGCCTGGCTACCACGGTCGGTATGAAAAAAAAAAGAAACAGAGAACAGCTGATGTATATTAATGAGAAACGTAACTTCTGGCCCAAGGCAACCTCAAGTCCATGGGGCTACTAACGACGTTACGGGGGAAAGAAAAAAAAATCGAACGACTATTTTTTTTTTAATTGTTTCATAATTTGGGGTTTTCTCCCCGGTTGACTTGGGACATTCGACAGAGTCACTGGCCGTGAAGAAGACAGTGGGGTTTCTACGTATGAGAACGAAAAAGGGAATCGCCAAAGACTTGTGCCTTTTTCCCATCGAAGATGAGGCATTGTCTTCAGCAGAGGCTCAGATCTGGGAGCAAAGGGAGTGGAAACCTGTCTGTAAAGAACCTCAACCCACAGGACACCTGAGCACGTGGGGACTTTAAAACTTTCATCGCCCTTGCAGATCCGAACGACAAACGCATTGAAATCTCAGGCAGTCGACCGTCCCGGCAGCAATGCCAGTATGTTTGGGTACATAAAAAATCACACCGCAGGCCGAGTGCGGTGGCTCACACCTGTCATCCCAGCACTTTGGGAGGCTGAGGCAGGTGGATCACCTGAGGTCAGGAGTTCGAGATCAGCCTGGCCAACATGGTGAAACCCCGTCTCTACTAAAAATACAAAAAACTAGCCGGGCATGGTGGTAGCTGCCTGTAATCCCAGCTACTCGGGAGGCTGAGGCAGGAGAATGGTGTGAACCCGGGAGGCAGAGGTTGCAGTAAGCTGACGTCGCACCATTGCACTACAGCCTGGGCAACAAGAGTGGAATTCCTTCTCAAAAAAAGAAAAAAAAAAATCACACCACAGGCCGGGTGTGGTGGCTCATGCCTGTCATCCCAGCACTTTGCGAGGCTGAGGCAGGCGGATCACCTGAGGTCTGGAGTTTGAGACCAGCCTGGCCAACAGGGCAAAACCCCATCTCTGCTAAAAATACAAAAAATTAGCTGGCCATGGCAGTAGCTGCCTGTAATATAGACAATATTTCCTCTGCACGTGTGTGTTTGTGTGTTTTTATGTGTTTGTGTGCATGTATTTGTGCTTTTTGTGTGTGTGTGTACGTGTATTTGTGCATTCATATGTGTGCATGTTCGTCTGTGTGTCTGTATGTTTATGTGTATTTGTGCATGTTTGTGTGCATGACTGTGTGTATCTGTGCATGTTTGTGAGTTTATTTGTGAATGTCTGTATCTGTGCATGGTTTTTTTTGTGTATCTGAGCATGTGTGTGTTTGTGCATGTTTGTCTGTGTGTATTTGTGCATGTATGTCTGTTTCCGCATGCTCATATGTGTGTCTGTGTGTGTCTGTTTGCATGATTGTGCATGCATGTGTGTTTCTGCACGTCTGTTTGTGTATATTTGTTTATATGTGTGTATTTGTGCACGTTTGTGTGTGTTTCTGTGTGTTTGTGCATGTTTTATGCCTGATTGTGTGTATGTGCAAGGAAGGAAGGAGGGAAAGGGAGAGAGAGACAGGAAAGAAGGAAAGAAGGAAAGGACGAGAGAAGAAAGAAAAAAAAAGAAAGAAAGAAAGAGAGAAAGAGAGAGAGAAAGAGAAAGAAAAAGAAAGAGAGAAAGAGAAAGAAGAAAGAAATAAAGAAAGAAAGAGAAAGAAGAAAGAAAGAAGGAAGAAAAGGAAGAGAGAAAAAGAAAAAAAGAAACAGAAAGAAAGAAAGAGTAAGAAAGAAGAAAGAAAGAAGGAAAGGAAGAGAGAAAAAGAAAGACAGAAACAGAAAGAAAGAAAGAGTAAGAAAGAAGAAAGAAAGAAAGAAAGAGAGAAAGAGAGAAAGAAAGAAAGGAGAGAGAGAGAGAGGAAGGAAGAAAGAAAGAAGAGAGAGAGAGAGGAAGGAAGAGAGAGAAGTATTCACCTAGAAGAGATCATGCAAAAACGCAAGAGTGTGGCTGTACCCTGGGAACAAATGGGAAGATTGTATGTTGGTGACCCTTGATCTTACTCTTTTATTTCAAAAAATTATAAGGTTTTTGCAGGAAGGGGCAGATAGTCTTCAACTTATTGAGGTGGCTGGATGAATGGATAGATGGATGATTGGATGGATGGATGCATGGATGGATAGATGAATGGGTAGGTGAATGGATCAATGGATGGATGGATGAGTGGATAGACGGATGGGTGGATGGATAGATCGATGGATGGGTGGGTGGATGGATGGATAGATAAGTAAATAGATGAGTGGCTGTGTGGATGAATGAATGGATGGATGGATGAATGGATGGATAGATGGGTGGGTGAATGGATGACTGAATAGATGAGTGGATGGATGGATGGATGAATGAATAGAAGAATGAAAAATGGATAGATGGAAGAATGAGTGGTTGGATTGATGGATGAATGGATATATGGATAGATGGGAGGGTGGATGGATGGATGGATGCATAGATAGATGGATGATTGGTAGGTTGGATAGATAACAGATGAATGGATGGATGATTGGGTAGGTAGATGGATGAATGGATGATTGGATGGATGCATGAGTGAATGGATGGACGGATAGATGGATGATTGGATGGATGGATGGATGGATGGATGGATAGATGGATGGGTGGGTTAATGGATGGATAGATAAATAAATACATGAGTGGGTGGATGGATGAATGGATGGAACGTTGGATGGATGGATGGATGGATGGATGGATGGATGGATGAATAGATAGATGGATGGGTGGGTTAATGGATGGATAGATAAATAAATACATGAGTGGGTGGATGGATGAATGGATGGAATGTTGGATGGATGGATGGATGGATGGATGGATGAACAAACAGATGAATGAATAATGGATAGATGAATGAATAAGTAGATGGATGGATGGATGGAAGGATGCATAGATAGACGGATGATTGGAAGGTTGGATGGATAATGGATAAATGGATGGATGAGTGGGTAGGTGGATGGATGGATGGATGAGTGGGTGGATGGATGGATGGATGGAAGGATGGATGGATGGGAAGATGGGTAGATAAATGGGCAGATGGGTGAGTGGGTGGGTGGATGGATGGATGGATGGATGGATTGATAGATAAATAGATGAGTGGCTGGGTGGATGAATGAATCGATGGGTAGATGGGTGGGTGGATGGATGGAAGAAGGGATGGAAGGCTGGATGGATGAGTGGACGGATGGATAGATAGATGAATGAATAATGGATAGATGAATGAATGAGTGGATGGATGGATGGATGGATGCATAGATAGATGGATGATTGGAAGGTTGGATGCATAATGGATGAATGGATGGATGAGTGGGTAGGTCGATGGATGGATGGATGGAGGGATGGATGGATGGATGCATGCATGCATGGATGGATGGATGCATGGATGGATAGATGGGTAGATAAATGGGAAGATGGGTGAATGGTTGGATGGATGGATGGATGGACAGATGGATGGGTGGGTGAATGGATGGATAGATGAATAAACAGATGAGTGGCTGGGTGGATGAATGAATCGATGGGTAGATGGGTGGGTGGATGGATGGATGAAGGGAAGGAAGGTTGGATGGATGGGTGGGTGGATGGATAGATGAATGAACAGATGAATGAATCATGGATAAATGAATGAATGAGTAGATGGATGGGTGGATGGAAGGTTGAATGCATAATGGATAAATGGATGGATGTTCTCAGTAGGTGGATGGATGGATGGATGGATGGATGGATGGATGAAAGTTTGGATGGATGGGTGGATGGATGGATAGATAGATTAATGAACAGATGAATGAATAATGGATAAATGAATGAATGAGTAGATGGATGGATGGATGGGTGGATGGAAGGATGCATGGATAGATGATTGGAAGGTTGGATGGATAATGGATAAATGGATGGATGAGTGGGTAGGTGGATGGATGGATGGATGGATATATAGATGGGTAGATAAATGAGCAGATGGGTGAGTGGGTGGATGGATGGGTGAATGGATGAATGGGTGGGTGGAATGATGTATGGAAAGATTAATGGACGAAGAGATAGATGGGCAGATGAATGGGCAGATACGTAAGAAAAAAACCTGTCATTGAATATGTGTGTCTAGATTGTGCCTATCTAGTTTTTAAAAGGCTTGGATTCCTCACCAAATTTCTTTAGGGCCATCCAAGAATTCCATATTTCCTGGTTTATGGAGCGATAGGGCAAGCTATTTTTAAGCCATACAAAGTTTAACTGTGTATTTTGTCATATAGGGAATTTTTAAACAGGAGAAAACTCTTCTTGTCTTATTTATCATTAAAAGTAGGGTAAGTATTTTCTCTTAAAAAGCTTACATTTTCTTTGCCTGAGGAAATAAATAAGAATGGCTGAAATCTGTTCGGAAAACTAGTCAGCTGATGCAGCCAGGGAAACCTCTATATAAGCAGAAAATAATCTCGGACACAAGCAACAGCCACCTAATTAATGGACTGATCTGCGCAGGCTCTGGTGGTGAGTGAGAACACTCCTGTCTGTCGTACGGTGAAGGTAGAGCATTTAATCCTGCTAGCTGCACATTTTATAGACATCTATGGAAGTTATGAACAGCTGATTAGTGCAGTTCAGAGATACAGAAAGCCTTCAGGCAGGTCTGTCCTCTAAACTGGGGCACGGACATTAAGAGCAGGGACGAAAGAAATACGTGATCAGGAAATTAATGAATCCAGGATCCCCAGGAAGGGAGATGGACAGCTACCCTCTTCGACAAAACGGCGCATCCCATCACGGAGATCAAAATGACAAAGCCACATGGGATGAGTTTCCATCCACCCCAAGAATTCACCTCATTCATTGGATCTGCTTACATTTTGTTGTAGGGATAGGTGAGCAAACACTTTCCCTGGGGGAAAAGATAGCCATACAAATAAACCAGTTTACCTGAGTCATTTAATCCCAAAAAGTCAGCTCCAAAAGTCAAGTCTCATAACTACGTAGATGTTTTGGGTTTTCTTTGTTTTTTTTGTTTGTTTGTTTCTGATGGAGGCTTATAACTATGTAGATCTTGTTTTTCTGTTGTTGTTTGTTTTCGTTTTTGTTTTTTGAGATGGAGTCTCACTCTGTCACCCAGGCTGGAGTGCAGTGGCACAATCTCAGCTCACTGCAACCTCCGCCTCCCTGGTTCAAGCAATTCTCCTGCCTCAGCCTCCTGAGTTTCTGGGGCTACAGGGACCTGCCACCATGCCCGGCTGAATTTTTGTATTTTTAGTAGAGACGGGGTTTCATCATGTTGGCCAGGATGGTCTCGATCTCCTGACCTCGCGATCCGCCCACCCCAGCCTCCCAAAGTGCTGGGATTACAGGCATGAGACACTGCTCCTGGCCTACTATGTAGATCTTGAATCAGCATTGAGTCTCAACATCCTTCCTCATTTGAGACATTAAAACCACAAGATACCACTACATATCCACAGGAATGGCTACAAAAAAAAAAAGATGTTATTAAGTATTTGTGAGAACCACTGTGTGTAGAAATGTCAACTGATATAGTCACTTTGGAAAACACATTGACAGTTTCTTAAAAAGTGGAACACACACACCTGTCATCCCAGCACTTTGGGAGGCCGAGGCAGGTGGATCACCTGAGGTCGGGAGTTCGAGACCAGCCTGACCAACATGGAGAAACCCCGTCTTTACTAAAAATACAAAAATTAGCCGGGTGTGGTGGTGGGCGCCTGTAATCCCAGCTACTCGGGAGGATGAGGCAGGAGAATCGCTTGAACCCTGGAGGCGGAGGTTGTGTTGAGCTGAGATCGAGCCACTGCACTCCAGCCTGGGCGACAGAGTGAGACCCCATCAAAAAAAAAAAAAAAAGTTGAACACAAACTCACCATTCAATCCAGCAATTCCTCCTGTGGGCGTCTACCCAAGAGAAATGAAAACTTATGTTTACTCAAAGACTTGTAGGTAAATATTCCTAGCAGCATGATTTGTAACAGCCAAGACGTGTAAACAGCCTATGTCTTTTCAGCAGGTGAACAGATAAAGACACTGTGGTCTTTCCCTGCAATGGAATATTATTCAGCCAATGACATACCGATATATGGTCCAACACGGATGCACCTCAAAAACATAACGCTAAGTAGAAGTCTGGGATAAAAGACTCCATATTGTGTAATTCGATGCAAAGAAATTGCGCAGAAAAGGAAAATCCATAGAGGCAGAATAGAGATGAGTGGTTGCCTGAGGCTCTGGGCAGAAATGGGATAAGGGAAGACAAGTGAGTGACAATAGCTATGCAATTTCTTTTCTGGGGTGATAAAAATATTCCAGAATTAGATTTGGTGATGGTCGTGCAACTCTACAAATTTACTAAGAGGCATTGAACTGTATAGTCAAAATGAATGCATTTCGTGGTATGTCAATTAAACCTCAATACAGTTGTTTTTTTGTTTGTTTTTTGTTTTGTTTTGTTTTGTTGCTTTGTTTTTTGAGACGAAGTCTCGCTCTTGTCGTCCAGGCTGGAGTGCAATGGGGTGATCTCAGTTCACTGCAACCTCCGCCTCCCAGGTTCAAGCGATTCTCCTGCCTCAGCCTCCCAAGTAGCTGGGATTATAGGCGTCCACCAACAGGCCCTGCTAATTTTTGTATTTTTAGTAGAGATGGGGTTTCACCATGTTGGCCAGGCTGGTCTCGAACTCCTAACCTCAGGTGATCTGCCTGCCTCGGCCTCCCAATATGCTGGGATTACAGGCATGAGCCACTGCGCCCAGCCCCTTCTCTCTCTCTCTCTATTTTTTTTTTTTGTTGTTGTTTGTTTGTTTTTACAGAGTTTTGCTCTTGTTGCCCAGGCTGGAGTGCAATGACACGATCTTGGCTCTCTGCAACCTCAGCCTCCCGGGTTCATGCGATTCTCCTGCCTCAGCCTCCCGAGTCGCTTGGATTACGGGCACCGGCCACCATGCTCGGCTAATTTGGTATTTTCAGTAGAGACGGGGTTTCACCATGTTGGCCAGGCTGGTCTCAAACTCCTGACCTCAGGCGATCCACCCGCCTCAGCCTCCCAAAGTGCTGCGATTACAGGTGTGAGCCACTGCACCTGGCCGAAATAATGACATTCTTATCAGGCATGACATCCTAAGTCCTTCAGAGTGACCTCCCAGAGCTCAAAGGCAAAATCCAGATCTGTTTGGGGGCAAGCTTATATCTTTACTACACATTCACCGAAGGAAAAAAAAAAAAAAGTATGTTTTCTAGATGCCAAGACCTCTGCTAAAATTAGTTACAGCTATAAACAAGTGGTCACATTTTGTACTTTTCATGTCTCTGTGAGTCACGGTCACTGCCCACGTCAGACGCTTCCTTTTCCAGCAGGGTCCAGGAATTCACGATGCTCACAGCCCAGCCATTTCCATGGCCCGGCCAGGCCCTGAACGCAGAAGCTTGCTCTGCAAATGGGATGCAGGCGGGCCAGCCAGCACCGTCGCGCTCGGGGACCCCTGCCTCCCAAGCCAGCCGGCGACATCCCCTTTCTTGGGAGATTAAGACCCCATTTGTTGTCATGATCTGCAGGTTCATCCCTAATGATCCACGTCCCCGCTCCAAAGCCGTCTTGCTGACAGCAAGTGCCACGTGTGATTAGAGGCCCTGAGAGAGTTGATCCCCGCCACCCTCCACGTGCCTGCAATCTAATCACTTCTCAGACAGACAGTGAGGTTCTAGGGACAGGCAGCGACCTGCGCTCTCCCCACCCTCTCCCCCGAATGCCTGCAAACGCTAACTGGGGCTTGGTCTTCTCTGTTAGAGTCTTGGTGATGCCCTGGACAGCAGCAACTCCACGCAAACTATCCAAAAGACCCCCACCCTCCGGATAGTGGATGGCAAAGTGGTGTCTGAGACCAACGACACCACAGTTCTGAGGCATGAAGCCAGCAGAAGCAGGGTGTGTACCCTTTGGGGAGCAGGAGGCCCATAAACAGTTCAGAGTTCATTGGATGTTACAGCTGCTAAATAAAGAAAAGGTGTCTAGGCATCAAAGCCTGCTTACACCCTGCCACACACAGATCACAGATGCCCACGCCCAGGTCAGCTGGAAACTACGGACTGTCTGCAGCTCCTCATGCTTTCGAGGTACCCCTGGACAGCAGCTCCCCAGGTTACGCAGAGACCTCCTTTGCAACCTGTTACTATTTGTCGTTTTCTTTACCGAGTGTCTCCAAGGAACCCTTCACACAAATCTCATTAAAAACCTCATCAATACTTGGAAGGCCGACGCAGGTGGATCAAGAGGTCAGGAGATCGAGACCATCCTGGCTAACACGGTGAAACCCCGTCTCTACTAAAAATACAAAAAAATTAGCCGGGCGTGCTGGTAGGCGCCTGTAGTCCCAGCTACTCAGGAGGCTGAGGCAGGAGAATGGCGTGAATCCAGGAGGCGGAATTTGCAGTGAGCTGAGATCGCGCCACTGCACTCCAGCCTGGGTGACAGAGCGAGACCCCATCTCAAAAAAACAAAACAAAACAAAACAAAAAACCTCCTCATCACACTTAAGAAACAAGGTTCTCTCTTCCCCCGTGGTCAATGGGGAAGTACCTGTTGGACTTGCCCCAGTCACCTGCTCCAGCCTCTGGTGCATATCAAAACATCTCTGTCTGTTTCTCAAATGATTGGGGTGAGGTATGAGGGGCCGGGCATGGCGGCTCACACCTGTAATCCCAGCACTTTGGGAGGCCGAGGTGGGCGGATCCCCTGAGGTCAGGAGTTCGAGACCAGCCTGACCAACATGCTGAAACCTCGTCTCTACTAAATATACACAAATTAGCCAGATGTGGTGGCGGGCACCTGTCATCCCAGCTACTCGGGAGGCTGAGGCAAGAGAGTCGCTTGAACCCAGGAGGTGGAGGTTGCAGTGAGCCGAGATCACACCACTGCACTCCAGCCTGGGCGACAGAGTGAGACTCCGTTTCGAACGAAAGAAAGAAAAAGAAGAAAGAAAGAAAGACAGAAAGAAAGAAAGACAGAAAGAAAGAAAGAAAGAAAGAAAGAAAGAAAGAAAGAAAGAAAGAAAGAAAGAAAGAAAGAAAGACGGAAGGACGGAAGGAAGGAAGGAGGAAGGAAGGAAAGAAATGAAGGAAGGGAGGAAGGGAAGGAAGGAAGGAAGAAAGAAAAGGGCTTTTCTTTTCTTTTTTTTTTTTTCTGGAAGGCTTTTAAGCCAAAGTGTTGAGAAGTAAATTGAACCCACACGCGTCTGATTCATTTAGCCCTTAACTCATCGAAAAGTCATTGGGTCAGAATGGCTTGATTTCAGAAAGCATTACAAAATGTCACTCCCTTTGAGCGAGGGAGAAGTACTCTGTTAGGAAATTTCTCTCATTATCCCAGAGAGAGGGTTGACGTCTCTGGAAAATACACACACACACACACACACACATACACACACACCCATAAAAAGGCCTTGAAGACTGGATGGGGTTAATATTGATTCAATGTTTCCACTTAGCCCTGGTCATGGAAGCAGAGAAAACACTCTCACCCTTTTCAAGAGGAACTTCACACTTCCTTGGGGGATGGCTCCCCACCAGCAAAGCCACTTTCTGCAGAAGAAAATAAAATCTGGCCGGGCGCAGTGGTTCACGCCTGTCATCCCAGCACTTTCCTAGGCCGAGGCAGACAGATCACGAGGTCAGGAGATCAAGACCAGCCTGGTTAACACGGTGAAACCCCGACTCTACTAAAAATACAAAAAATTAGCCGGGCGTGTTGGCGGGTGCCTGTAATCACAGCTACTCGGGAGGCTGAGGCAGGAGAATCGCCTGAACGCGGGAGGTTGAGGTTGCAGTGAGCCGAGATTGCGCCACTGCCCTCCAGCCTGGGAGACAGAGCAAGCTTCTGTCTCAAAAAAGAAAAAAATAAAAAGAAAAAATGAAATCTTCTGGCTGGGCGCGGTGGCTCATGCCTGTCATCCCAGCACTTTCGGAGGCCGAGGCGGGCAGATCACGAGGTCAGGAGATGAAGACCAGCCTGGTTAACATGGTGAAACCCCATCTCTACTAAAAATACAAAAAATTATCCGGGCGTGGTGGCGGGCACCTGTAATCCCAGCTACTCGAGAGGCTGAGGCAGGAGAATCGCCTGAACCCGGGAGGTGGAGGTTGCAGTGAGCTGAGATTGTGCCATTGCACTAGAGCCTGGGTGACAGAGCGAGACTCCATCTCAAAAAATAAAACAACAGAAAAAAAATGAAATCTTATGGCCAGGTGCAGTGGCTCACGCCTGTAATCCCAGCACTTTGGGAGGCTGAGGCGGGAGGATCATGAGGTCAGGAGATCGAGACCATCCTGGCTAACATGGTGAAACCCTGTCTCTACTAAAAATACAAAAAATTAGCCGGGCATGGTGGCAGGTGCCTGTAGTCCCAGCTACTCGGGAGGCTGAAGCAGGAGAATCACTTGAACCCGGGAGGCGGAGGTTGTAGTGAGCCGAGATCGCGCCACTGCACTCCAGCCTGGGTGACAGAGAGAGATTCCGTTTCCAAAAAAAAAAAAAACAAAAAACAAAAACAGAAATCTTCACACCGTGGCAATATCAAAGCCGACATGGTCTTGGGATGGTCAACATTCTACGGCCACCATATTGGGTGTGTAATGCATGGAAATGTCAACATCCTACGGCCACCATATTGGGTGTGGAATGCATGGAAATGTCAACATCCCACGGACACCATATTGGGTGTGGAATGCATGGAAATGTCAACATCCTACGGACACCATATTGGGTGTGGAATGCATGGAAATGTCAACGATTGGGTGTGTAATGCATGGAAATGTCAACATCCTATGGACACCATATTAGGTGTGGAATGCAAGGAAATGTCAACATTCTATGGCCACCATATTGGGTGTGCAATGTGTGCAAATGTCAACGTCCTACGGACACCATATTGGGTGTGGAATGCGTGGACATGTTGGGGAGAGAAAGATGGGGCAGGCAAGAGCTCCTTACAGCCCCTTCTGAAACAAACGCAATCACGTAGGGCAGGTTGAGAACCAGCAAATATCCCCTCTGGTGTTTGCCCTCCTTTTGGAGTCTGGGTTTCCAAACATGAACAACCAAACATCAGGTTGACGAAGCAATCACCATATAACAATGTTCAATCCCTAACATTGACAGAAATGAAAATCACCAGTGCAGCATCTACAAAAGTCTCCTTTTATCCATGAAGGATGCATTTCAAGACCCCACGGGGATGCCGGAAACATCCAGTAGCAGCAAGACCTGTATATGCTGTGCTTCCTCCTAGACGCACATACCTATTCTAAAGTTTAGTTTGTAAGTTAGGCAGAGCCAAAGACAAACAACAATAACTAATAGTAAGATAGAACCATTATAGAAATACTCAAGCATCACTCCTCTTGCACGCCGGGGCCATTTTTTAAGTCAAGTAAAGGTTCTTCAACACAAGCATTAAGATACCACAACACTCGCTCTGATCACTGAAGCGGTTGCTAAGTGACTAATGGACGGATTGTGTCTACAGCATGGTGGGGGCACCAGACAGAAAGATGAGTCATATCCCATGCGAGACACATCAGAATAGCACACAATTAAAAAACCACATAAATCGTTGCTTTCTGGAAAAAAAATTTTTTTTTAGATGGAGTCTCGCTCTGTTGCCCAGGCTGGAGTGCAGTGGCGTGTTCTTGACTCACTGCAACCTCTGCCTCCTGGGTTCAAGCAATTCTCCTGCCTCAGCCTCCCGAGTAGCTTGGATTACAGGCATGTGCCACCACACCTGGCTAAATTTTGTATTTTTAGTGGAGACGGGGTCTCATCATGTTGTCCAGGCTGGTCTCGAATTCCTGACCTCAAGTGATCCACCTGCCTCAGCCTCCCAAAGTGCTGGGATTGCAAGCATTAGCCACCACGCCCGGCTGCAAATCTTAGGTAGGAATTTGTTTTGTTTTGATTTGTTTTTTTGAGCCGGAATTTCACTCTTGTTTCCCAGGCTGGAGTGCAATGGCGCAATCTCGGCTCACCACAACCTCTGCCTCCCGGGTTCAAGTGATTCTCCTGCCTCAGCCTCCTAAGTAGCTGGGATGACAGGTATGTGCCACCACGCCCAGCTAATTTTGTATTTTTAGTAGAGATGGGGTTTCACCCTGTTGCCAGGCTGGTCTGGAACTCCTGACCTCAGGTGATCTGCCTGCCTCAGCCTCCCAAAGTGCTGGGATTACAGGTGTGAGCCACTGCAGCTGGCCAGGTAGGATCTTTATAGCAGTGTGAGTACGAACTGATACACATACACATCCAAATCTCGGGAACTTGTGGATGCAGTAGGCTGTCTGGCAAAAGGAACTTTGCTGATCCCATTCAGATAAGGGGTCTTGAAATGGGGGATTATGCTGGGTTATCTGGCTGGGCCTTAAAGGTAAACACAAGAGACCACGAGCCAGGGAGGCAGAGGGAGTTTCCATAGAGAGGTAGAGGAGATAGAAGGTGATGGGATGTATGGTCACAGGTCAACGAATGCAGGAGGCCCCAGACGACAAGAAAACAGGTTCTCAGCACGTATTAAAAGACCTGCATGGGCCAGGCACAGTGGCTGATGCCTGTAATCCCAGCACTTTGGGAGGCTGAGGTGGGTGGATCACGAGGTCAAGAGATCAAGACCAGCCTGGCCAACGTGGTGAAACCCTGTCTCTATTTTAAAAATACAAAAATTAGCCAGGCGTGGTGGTATGCTCCTGTAGTCCCACCTACTCAGGAGGCTGAGGCAGGAGAATCGCTTGAAACCAGGGGGCGGAGGTTGCAGGGAGCCGAGATTGCGCCATTGCACTCCAGCCTGCTGACAGAGTGAGATTCCGTCTCAGAAAAAAAAAAAAAAAAAAAAAAAAGACCTGCATGTATTAAAAGACCTGAATGTTGTCTTTGAAAGATGTCCAGCCAGGTGTGGTGGCTCATGCCTGTAATGTTAGCACTTCGGGAGGCCGAGGCAGGCGGATCACTGGAGGTCAGGAGTTCGAGACCAGCCTGGCCAACATGGTGAAACCCCGTCTCTACTAAAAATACAAAAAAAAAAAAAATTAGCCAGATGCACTGGTGCACGCCTGTAATCCCAGCACTTTGGGAGGCCCAGGCAGGTGGACTACTTGATGTCAGGAGTTCAAGACCAGCCTGACCAACACGGTGAAACCCCGTCTCTACTAAAAATACAAAAATTAGCTGGGCGTGGTGGCGGGTGCCTGTAGTCCCAGCTACTTGGGAGGCTGAGGCAAGAGAATCGCTTGAACCTGGGAGGCAGAGGTTGTAGTGAGCCGAGATCACGCCACTGCACTCCAGCGTGGGCAACAGAGCAAGACTCCATCTCAAAATACTAACAATCCGTGGATATCCAATGATTCTAGTATCGAAAAGAAATTCTAAATTGCTCCTTTAGCCTGAGTTCCTGTTCTCCTTTAATTTTTTGCTCTCCCTTGAAGGGTAATTATTTAAAAGAATTATCTTTTGGTTGGCAATCATCTCATTTTTAACACTTACTGTCGTATCTCAGAAAAAAATGAGGTCGGAGGGATCCTATTTGCTCAGAAATACCCCTCCTGTAATAACAGAACTTTGCCAATGTTCTCCGCAGTTACTTGGTTTTAGTTTTAATTTATATTTTATCCAGGAAAAGAACACAGACGAATATAAATAAAACGTTCGGTGTCCGCCCCCAGTAACCAGTTTTCCAAAACTTTTCTCTTTTGAATTTTCTTATTTATTTATTTACTCATTTATTTTTTTGAGACAGAGTTACACTCCTGTTGCCCAGGCTGGAGTGCAACGGCATGGTCTCGGCTCACGGCAACCTCTGCCTCCCGGGTTCAAGAGATTCTCCGGCCTCAGCCTCCCGAGTAGCTGGGATTACAGGCGCCCGCCATCACACCCAGGTAATTTTTGTATTTTTAGTAGAGACGGGGTTTCACCATGTTGGCCAGGCTGGTCTCGAACTCCTGACCTCAGGTGATCCACCCACCTTGCCTTCCCAAAGTGATGGGATTACAGGTGTGAGCCACTGCGCCCAGTCTGTGGTGTGATTTTTTTTTTTTCTTTTTTTGAGACAGAATTTCGCTCTTGTTGACCAGGCTGGAGTGCAGTGGCGTGATCTCAGCTCACTACAACCTCTGCCTCCCGGGTTCAAGGGATTCTGTTGCCTCAGCCTCCCCAGTAGCTGGGATTACAAGTGTACACCACCATGTCCGGCTAATTTTTGTATTTTTAGTAAAGACAGGGTTTCTCCATGTTGGTCAGGCTGGTCTCGAACTGCCGACCTCAAGTGATCCTCCCACCTCAGCCTCCCAAAGTGCTGGAATTACAGGGGTGAGCCACCACGCTCGGCCCCCAGTAACCAGTTTTTTTCCTATATGTCTTGCTACATTTATCTCAGCCAGAAGCAAAAATGCACAATAATCTCATCCTTATGGACAGAAAGGACCATTGTCTTTCATAAAACCAGCTCGTCTTTCCAAACAGTTTAAGTGCCTGGTTGTAGTTTCAATAGGACTGATTTCTCCCACGAAGAGGTTGGAAGATCTGATGTCACAACCTCCACCGACCAGACCAGCCCGGGCAGTTTTCCACGGACACATTTGCTTCCCTTTGACTCATGACTGCACTTTTGTTCTAGATTTCCGGTTTCCGATGGCCCTGGCATCCAGCATCTAGAAGGCCAGGCTTGGTGGCTCACACCTGTGATTCGAGCACTTTGGGAGACCAAGACAGGAGGATCGCTTGGGGCCAAGAGTTCGAGACCGGCCTGGGCAACATAGTGAGACCCTGTCTTTACAAAAATAAAAATTAGCTGGGCATGGTGGCACATGCGTGTTGTGTAATCCCAGCTACTCAGGAGGCTGAGGTAGGAGGCTCACTTGAGCCTGGGAGCTGGAAGATGTAGTGAGCCGAGATCACACCACTGCACCCCAGTCTGAGCGACAGGGTGAGACCCTGTCTCAAAAAAAAAAATGTTTTAAATGAGAACAAAAGTAGGCTACATCTGTAGGTGTTAACACCTTGATTTGTGTTCTAATGGAAACCCTCTGCTTGTTAATCCAAGCCAAGGATTTTTAAAAAATTCTTTAAATAACCTGTTACAGGCGTTGCTGCCTCCATTTTTCTGAGCCCATTCCTGGCTCCATTTTTCCCTCCAATATCCCGCCAGCTTTGTCCCGAATTACAGACACTTCCAAACAGACACAGGCCCAGAGGAATCTTCCACAATTTCCCTAGACCCACGGGGCAGTAGGTTGTGCACTTCTGACTGGGCGCAGTGGCTCACGCCTGTCATCCCAGCACTTTGGGAGGCCGAGGCAGGTGGATCGCCTGAGGTCAGGAGTTCGAGACCAGCCTGGCCAACATGGTGAAACTCGGTCTCTAGTAAAAATACAAAAATTACCCAGGCATGGTGGCGGGCGTCTGTCATCCCAGCTACTCAGGAGGCTGAGGCAGGAGAATCGCTTGAACCCGGGAGGCGGAGGTTGCAGTGAGCCGAGATCACGCCACTGCATTGCAGCCTGGGCCACAGAGCGAGACTCCGTCTCAAAAAAGAAGATGCGTTTCAGACCCGTCTCTGGGAGGACAGTGCATGGGGCTGAAAACCACTGATGGCTTTGGCTGGAAAGTTTGCAACGCCACAAATTTTGCTGAGGAATGTTCCCCGCGGTTTCCCGAAAAAAAGCATCACGGATGTTCAGGAGGAGAACCGCCCTCCATAAAGCTGGCTGCAAAACCCACAGGACATAACGGAGCGTCTTTAGTGAGCGCAGCGCTTCCGCTGGCTTGGGCCCTGAGGCTGGACACCACCCTGCCTGGGAACGTGGACCCTGCCACGTTGACTCACGGGGTGGAACATCTCCTTTATTTTCTGCAGGCCCTGCCCCACCAGAATGGTGGGTGGTTCCCATTTCTCTTCGGTCTGGTCGTGTTTTTTAACTACTGACGCTTTGCACGTCCAATCCTGGGGATGAGAGGGGACACGGCAAAGTCACCAGGGTAACTAGTGCCAGCCCTCTGCACCCTGGGACGCCCACACTCGTGTGCCTTTCTTTGGCATCAGGCGTGTTCTTTTTAAGGAATACGTTTCGTTTTCATCGACCGGGACATAAATGAAAAGAAAACAAGTCGTGAGCGTAAAATACGGTGAACGGTGGCCTCACCGCATTTGTGACACACTCGTTGCTTTCCCCAGCGTCCTCGCGTCATAAATATGGAACTGCGGTGAGCAGTGGACCTGCCCCTTCTTTGCTTCCTACCTACAAATCCAGAGGGGTCCACCTCCAGCCCCTGGCTATGTCCACACCACCAGGAGATTTACAACAGCGGCCGGCCTAGGCGGGGTCTCGTTAAAGGAGGGTTCTTCTTTGGAAAACACACCACGAGCCATACTTATAATTTAGGTGGACTATTTTAAAACAGGCCTGGGTTCCCCGCCTTCCCGGTTTTGCAAAAATCGCAGAGCTTTTTTTTTTTTTTTTTTTTTTTTTTTTTTTTCTGGAATGTCGTCCCTGTCACCCAGGCTGGAGTGCAATGGATGGATCTCGGCTCACTGCAACCTCCGCCTCCCGGGTTCAAGCGATTCTCCTGCCTCAGCCTCCTGAGTAGCTGGCACCAGCCACCAAGCCCAGCTAATTTTTTTTGCATTTTTAGTAGAGACGGGGTTTCACTATGCTGGCCAGGCTGGTCTCGAACTCCTGACCTCAGGCAATCCACCCGTCTCGGCCTCCCAAAGTGCTGTGATGACGGGCCTGAGCCACCGTGCCCGGCCAATCACAGAGCTTTCAACGGCCCTCTTTCCTCACAAATTGACCCTGTTTGTTGAGGGACACTCTGAGCCTCCCCCACAGGGGCTGGGATGTGTGTCTTCCCATCCATGACATTCAGGAAGCAGAATGTCTCCCCTTATCCTCCACCTACGGACGTTTCCAGGTACCTGCCTCTCGCACGGTCAAATATGTAAACAGCCACCTACGTTCCGAGTTCCTGTCTGGGAATAGAAGGCAGGTGCAGCACGTTGGCCCTGGATGTCTGAAAAATGCAAATTGATGTTTTGCCAACAGTTGGACGCTTTGATATAAGCCTGTAACCTGGGATGAGGGGAGCCGGGAAGAGGGAGAACATGGTAAAAGTCATTTAGACTTGCTACGGGCTGCAGGATGCCTCCGAATTCTAGGACAAGACCAGGCACGTTGGCTCACACCTGTAATCCCATCACTCTGGGAGGCCGCCGTGGGAGGATTGCTTGAGGCTAGGAGTTCAAGACCAGCCTGGGCAACATACCATGACCCTGTGTCTACAAAAATTAAAATGAAAATTATTCAAGCGTGGTGGCACACGCACCTGTATTTCCAGCTACTCAGGAGGCTGAGCTGAAAGGATAGCTTAAGCCCAAGAGTTTGAGGCTGCAGTGACCTATGACTGGACTACGGCACTCCAGCCTGGGCAACAGAGCAAGACCCTGTATCTATTGAAAAAAAAAAAAAAAAAAAAAAAGCCAGGTGCCGTGGCTCACACTTGTAATCCCAACACTTCGGGAGGCCAAAGCAAGCAGATCTCTTCAGGTCAGGAGTTCGAGACCAGCCTGGCCAACATGGTGAAACCCCTTGTCTACTAAAAATACAAAAAGAGCCAGGCGTGGTGGTGGGCACCTGTTATCCCAGCTACTCGGGAGGCCGAGGCAGGAGAATGACGTGAACCCGGGAGGCGGAGGTGAGCTGAGATCGCACCACTGCACTCCACTTTGTCTCCAAAAATAAAACACAAAGACTCTTTCTCTCTTATCCTGGCACAGTCTGGGAGTGTCTTGCCGCTTGCCAGCTTGGGATCTTTCTTTCTTTCTTCCTTTCTTTCTTTCTTTCTTTCTTTCTTTCTTTCTTTCTTTCTTTCTTTCTTTCTTTCTTTCTCTTTCTTTCTTTCTTTCTTTCTCTTTCCTCTCTCTTTTTGTTTCTTTCTTTCCTCTCTCTCTTTTCTTTCTTTTTTCTTCTTCCTTCCTTTCTCTTTCTTTCTTTCTTTTCTTTCTTTCTTTCTTTTCTTTCTTTCTTTTTGTTTCTTTCTTTCTCTTTCTTTCTTTCTTTCTCTTTCCTCTCTCTTTTTGTTTCTTTCTTTCCTCTCTCTTTTCTTTCTTTTTTCTTCTTCCTTCCTTTCTTTCTTTCTTCTTTCTTTCTCTTTCCCCTTTCTGTTTCTTTCTTTCCTCTCTCTCTTTTCTTTCTTTCTTTCTTTCTCTTTCCTCTCTCTCTTTCTCTTTCTTTCCTTTCTCTCTCTTTCTTTCTTTCCTTCCTTCTTTCTTTCTTCAAGACCAACCTGGACAGCATAGCAAGACCCTATCTCTACAAAAAGTTTAAAAATTACCTGGGCATGCTGGTGCATGCGTGTAGTCCCAGCTACTCGGGAGGTTGAGGTGGATCGCTTGAACCCGGGAAGTTGAGGCTGCAGAGCAAGACTCTGTCTCTTAGAGGAAAAAAAATCTTCTGATGTGTGAAAATAATACTGTATTATGAAAGAAGACTTATTTTCAGAATATGAGTGCTACTGTAGGGTGGGTAAAATGTTGTATATACAACTTACTTAGAAAACCTGTTTTTGGCCGGGCACGGTGGCTCATGCCTGTAATCCCAGCACTTTGGGAGGCCGAGGTGGGTGGATCACCTGAGGTCAGGAGTTCGAGACCAGCCTGGCCAACACGGTGAAACCCAGTCTCTACTAAAAATACAAAAATTGGCTGGGCTTGGTCGCGTGCACCTGTAATCCCAGCTACTCAGGAGGCTGAGGCAGGAGAATCGCTTGAACCCGGGAGGTGGAGGTTGCAGTGAGCTGAGATCACGCCACTGCACTCCAGCCTGGGTGACAGAGTGAGACTCCATAAAAGAAAGAAAGAAAGAAAGAAAGAAAGAAAGAAAGAAAGAAAGAAAGAAAGAAAGAAAGAAAGAAAGAGAAAGAAAGGAAAGAGAGAGAAGGAGAGAAAGAGAAAAAAGAAAGAAAGAGAAAGAAAAGAAATATGTTTTTTTAAAAAATATTTGTTTAATATATGTCTCTTATTCATGTATATAGATAGGTATATTTAATATCATTTCAATGGGTAAATAAATTAGTTGTTTATATATTTAGCTCATTTATTTATATGGGCATATAGGTGGATACACACACAACATATATATATATATAAATGGCACAATGCTGGCCAGGGACAGTGGCTCACATCTGTAATCCCAGCACATTGGGAGGCCGAGGCGGTAGGATCAACTGAGGTCAGGAGTTCGAGACCAGCCTGGCCAACATGGAGAAACCCCGTCTCTACTAAAAATACAAAAATTAGCCAGGCACGGTGCCAGGTGCCTGTAATCCCAGCTAGTAGGGAGGCTGAGGCAGGAGAATCACTTGAACCTGGGAGGTGGAGGCAGGAGAATCAGTTGAACCCTGGAGGTGGAGGTTGCAGTGAGCCGGGATCGTGCCACTGAACTCCAGTCTGGGCAACAAAGCAAGACTCCACCTCAAAAAAAAAAAAAGGCACAATGCTAGCCAGGCACAGTGGCTCATGTCTGTAATCCCAGCATGTTGGGAGGCTGAGGCAGGAGGATCCCTTGAGCCCAGGGGTTCGAGACCAGCCTGGGCAACATGGTGGAAACCTGTCTTAAAATGACAATAAAAAAACAGAATAAACTGGCAAAATGCTGATTATTGATGCCAAGTGGTGGGTTTATGGGAGTTCTTGTTAGCATTCTTTTGGCTTTTATATATGGCCGGGTGGTTTTTAAAAATAATACCAATTTCGGCCGGGCATGGCGGCTCACGCCTGTAATCCCAGCATTTTGGGAGGCCGAGGTGGGTGGATCACCGGAGGTCAGGAGTTCGAGACCAGCCTTGCCAATGTGGTGAAACCCCGGCTCTACTAAAAATACTGAATAATAAAAATACTAAGAATACTAAAAAATAAAAATACTAAATAATAAAAATTAGCCGGGCATGGTGGCGGGCGTCTGTAGTCTCAGCTACTCGGGAAGCTGAGGCAGGAGAATCGCTTGAACCTGGGAGGTGGAGGTTGCAGTGAGCCGAGATCGCACCGTTGCACTCCAGCCTGGGTGACAAGAGTGAAACTCCATCTCAAATAATAATAATAATAATAATGCCAATTGAAAGTTAAAAGGCTCTGGAGGCTGAGGCAGGAGAATCTCTTGATCCTGGGAGGCAGAGGTTGCAGTGAGCCAACATTGTGCCATTGCACTCCAGCCTGGGTGACAAGAGTGAAACTCCATCTCAAATAATAATAATAATAATAATAATAATAATAATAATAATAATACCAATTGAAAGTTAAAAGTTTCTGGAGGCTGAGGCAGGAGAATCGCTTGAATGAGGGAGGCAGAGGTTGCAGCGAGCTAACATTGTGCCATTGCACTCCAGCCTGAGTGACAAGAGTGAAACTCCGTCTCAAATAACAATAATAATAATAATAATAATAATAATAATACCAATTGAAAGTTAAAAGGCTCTGGAGGCTGAGGCAGGAGAATCTCTTGATCCCGGGAGGCAGAGGTTGCAGCGAGCCAACATTGTGCCATTGCACTCCAGCCTGGGCAACAAGATTGAAACTCCATCTCAAATAATAATAATAATAATAATATCAATTGAAAGTTAAAAGTTTCTGGAGGCTGAGGCAGGAGAATCTCTTGAACCTGGGAGGTGGAGGTTGCAGTGAGCCGAGATCACGCCATTGCAATGAGTCAAAATTGTGCCATTGCAACCAGCCTGGGTGACAAGAGTGAAACTCTGTCTCAAATAATAATAATAATAATAATAATAATAATAATATCAATTGAAAGTTAAAAGTTTCTGGAGGCTGAGGCAGGAGAATCGCTTGAATGAGGGAGGCAGAGGTTGCAGCGAGCCAACATTGTGCCATTGCACTCCAGCCTGGGTGACAAGAGGGAAACTCCGTCTCAAATAATAAGAATACCAATTTAAAGTTAAAAGAATCAGAGCTAATTCTGATACTCAGACAAGTTAAGGGCAAACACTGACAGCAAAAGCATGCTGGGGACACATTCCTGCTAGTCCCAGGTCCACCAGGCACTTGTACAAGTGGGGGACAGTGGGGTGGGGGGCCAGAGGGGGTCTCACCTGCGTCAGCCCTACCCCGGTGTCTCGTCCAAGAACGCTTGCCTGGTACACAACCCCCATCTTCCCCACTGTCATTTATGTCATGACTCTGTTCTAAATTTAATTTAATTTTCATTTCTTGCCCTCAGAGGAGCTGAGAGCAGCTGGTCCCATTGAGCTGTTGGTCCTGAAGCCCTCAGGACTGTTATTAAATTGCAAATCACACCCCAATTGCTATGCAAACAGCCTGGGTGCCCCTCGCTGTGTTACACACCTGGGCAGAGGCCTGGGGGCAGAAACCCAGTCTCCAGGGCTCCCTGCAGAGCCACACTCACGGCCGCCTTTTCACCCCGGGAGGGAAACTGCCCGTGATTCCAGCTGTAAATGCCAGTGGAAAAGGAATGCAGCATCACGAGAGACTGTGGAATCAAAATGCCTCTTAAAGAAATCAAAAAGTGGCCACTGGAGGATGGTCATCTTGGAGGGCTTTTAAAAGTCCTGCCTCTCACAGTGACGACACTTTGCTGCTACAAGATCCATGGGAGAGCCTCAGCCAGGTCCTGACGGAGAGGCAATACTCACACCCGGGGGAGGCTCACGCCAGCAAAACCGAAGGCGCGGGCAAAAGTAAGAGGAGTCAGACAGCTTAAAAAAGGAGGGAATAAAATTAAACGTGAGAATGCCACTAGAAGGCAAAGGACTGCTGAAAGTTATCTCCGTATACATGCGCACACACACCCACTAACACACATGCACACACACATTGCACACACGTGCACACACATATACATACCCACAGATATGCACACATAACATATGCATAAGGACTGCTGAAAATTATCTCGGTATACATGCAAACACACACACATATATATACACACATGCACACACACATATACACACGTGCACACACACATTGCACACAATGCACACACTTATATACATACACACAAATATGCACACACATATACATACATATGCACACATGACATATGCATAAGGACTGCTGAAAGTTATCTCAGTATACACGCACACACACACATATATACACACATGCACACACATATACACACGTGCACACACATACACATACACACATGCACACACATATACACACGTGCACACACATACACATACACACATGCACACACACATATACACACGTACACACACATATATACACACATGCACACACACATACATACACACAGATATGCACACATAACATGCATAAGGACTGCTGAAAGTTATCTCGGTATACACACACACTATACACACATGCACACACACACATATACACATACGTGCACACACATACATACACACGGATATGCACACATGACATATGCATAAGGACTGCTGAAAGCTATCTCGGTATACACACACACTATACACACATGCACACACACACATACACATACGTGCACACACACTATACACACATGCACACACATACACACATGCATACACATATACATACACACAGATATGCACACACATACACATACACACATATGCACACATAACATGCATAAGGACTGCTGAAAGTTATCTTGGTATACATGCAAACACACACACTATACACACATGCACACACACATATTTACACAATGCACACACATATATACATACACACAGATATGCACACATAACATATGCATATACATACGTTATAACACATACATACATATATACACACATACACACATATACACACATTATACACACATGCACACATATACATACACAGATATGCATGCATAACAAATATATGCAGAAACACATATACATACACACGTTATAAATGCATACACATACATACACACATATACACATACATGCACACATATACACATACATACAGACATATACACATGCACACACAAATACATACATGTGCACACATATATACGCGCATAGGCCTATACACATACATGCATATTCACACATATATACACATACATACGTACACCTACAGACACATATAGGCGCATGCCTGCACACATACATGTACATTCACACACATATATGTCAGGCCTCTGAGCCCAAGCGAAGCCATCATATGCCCTGTGACCTGCACATATACATCCAGATGGCCTGAAGTAACCGAAAAATCACGAAAGAAGTGAAAATGGCTTGTTCCTGCCTTAAGCGATGACTTTACCTTGTGAAATTCCCTCTCCTGGCTCATCCTGGCTCAATGAGCACCTTGTGTCACCTGCCCCCTGCCAGCCAGAGAACAACCCCCTTTGATTGTAATTTTCCACTATGTACCCAAATCCTATAAAACGGCCCCGCCCGTATCTCCCTGCAGTGACTCTCTTTTCGGACTCAGCCCGCCTGCACCCAGGTGATTAAAAAGTTTTATTGCTCACATGAAGTCTGTTTCGTGGTCTCTTCACACGGACACGTGTGACAATATACACATGAGATGGCTTCTCTACCCATTACGCTTTCATTAAACACCTGGCACTTACAAATATTTAGGAACACCTGTAATCTCAGCACCTTGGGAGGGCGAGGTGGGTGGATCACGAGGTCAGGAGATCGAGACCAGCCTGGCTAACACGGTGAAACCCCGTCTCTACTAAAAATACCAAAAAATTAGCCGGGCGTGGTGGCGGGCGCCTGTAGTCCCAGCTACTCGGGAGGCTGAGGCAGGAGAATGGCGTGAACCCGGGAGACAGAGCTTGCAGTGAGCCGAGATGGCACCAACTGCACTCCAGCCTGGGCAACAGAGCGAGACTCCGTCTCAAAAAAAAAAAAAAAAAATTAAGAATAATCATTGTGAGCTGCTGAGAACCCTGGTTCAGCTCGATGAAGACAGAAGCCTTGGCAAGTTTGCAAGACACGTCCAGGCGCAAACAAAAACATCTCCATCCAGGTTGGGTGCAGTGACTCACACCTGAAATCCCAGCACTTCAGGAGGCCAAGGCAGGAGAATCGCTTGAGCCCAGGACTTTGAGACCAGAGTGGGTCACACGGTGAAAGCTTGTCTCTACAAAAACAAAGAAAAAAAAAAATTAGCCGGGCATGGTGGTGCACTCCTGTAGTCCCAGCTACTCAGGAGGCTGAGGTGGGAGGATTGCTAGAGCCCAGGAGGTTGAGGCTGCAGTGAGCTGTGATTGCACCACTGCACTCCAGTCTGGGTGACAGAGTGAGACCCTGTCTCCAAAAAAAAAAAAAAAAAAAACAGAGAAAGAGAGAGAAGAAAGGACAGAGACAGAGGGAAGGAAGGAAAGAAGGAAGGAAGGGAGGGAGGGAAAGAAGGAAGGAAGAAATGAAGGAACGAAAGAAGGAAGGAAGGGGAAGGAAAGGGAAGGGAAGGAAGAGAAAGAAGGAAAGAAGGAAAGGGAAGGGAGGGAAGGGAAGGAAGAGGGAAGGAAGGAAGGGAAGGAAGGGAGGGAGGGAGGGAGGAAGAGAGAAAGGAAAGAAAGAAAGAAAGAAAGAAAGAAAGAAAGAAAGAAAGAAGAAAGAAGAGAAGGAAAGAAGAGAAAAAGGAAGGAAGGATGGAGGGAGGGAGGGAAGGAAGAAAAGGAATAAGGAAGGAAAGAGAGAGAAGAAAGAAAAAGAGAAAGGAAGGAAAGAGGAAGGAAGATGAGGAATAAGGAAGGAAAGAGAGAGAGAAGAAAGAAAAAGAGAAAGAAAGGAAAGAGGAAGGAAGATGAGGAATAAGGAAGGAAAGAGAGAGAGAAGAAAGAAAAAGAGAAAGGAAGGAAAGAGGAAGGAAGATGAGGAATAAGGAAGGAAAGAGAGAGAGAAGAAAGAAAAAGAGAAAGAAAGGAAAGAGGAAGGAAGATGAGGAATAAGGAAGGAAAGAGAGAGAGAAGAAAGAAAAAGAGAAAGGAAGGAAAGAGGAAGGAAAGAAAAAGAGAAAGGAAGGAAAGAGGAAGGAAGATGAGGAATAAGGAAGGAAAGAGAGAGAGAAGAAAGAAAAAGAGAAAGGAAGGAAAGAGGAAGGAAGATGAGGAATAAGGAAGGAAAGAGAGAGAGAAGAAAGAAAAAGAGAAAGGAAGGAAAGAGGAAGGAAGATGAGGAATAAGGAAGGAAAGAGAGAGAGAAGAAAGAAAAAGAGAAAGGAAGGAAAGAGGAAGGAAGATGAGGAATAAGGAAGGAAAGAGAGAGAGAAGAAAGAAAAAGAGAAAGGAAGGAAAGAGGAAGGAAGATGAGGAATAAGGAAGGAAAGAGAGAGAGAAGAAAGAAAAAGAGAAAGGAAGGAAAGAGGAAGGAAGATGAGGAATAAGGAAGGAAAGAGAGAGAGAAGAAAGAAAAAGAGAAAGGAAGGAAAGAGGAAGGAAGATGAGGAATAAGGAAGGAAAGAGAGAGAGAAGAAAGAAAAAGAGAAAGGAAGGAAAGAGGAAGGAAGATGAGGAATAAGGAAGGAAAGAGAGAGAGAAGAAAGAAAAAGAGAAAGGAAGGAAAGAGGAAGGAAGATGAGGAATAAGGAAGGAAAGAGAGAGAAGAAAGAAAAAGAGAAAGAAAGGAAAGAGGAAGGAAGATGAGGAATAAGGAAGGAAAGAGAGAGAAGAAAGAAAAAGAGAAAGAAAGGAAAGAGAAAGGAAGATGAGGAATAAGGAAGGAAAGAGAGAGAAGAAAGAAAAAGAGAAAGAAAGGAAAGAGGAAGGAAGATGAGGAATAAGGAAGGAAAGAGAGAGAAGAAAGAAAAAGAGAAAGAAAGGAAAGAGGAAGGAAGATGAGGAATAAGGAAGGAAAGAGAGAGAGAAGAAAGAAAAAGAGAAAGGAAGGAAAGAGGAAGGAAGGAAGGGAAGGAAGGAAAGAAGGAAAGGGAAGGGAGGGAAGGGAAGGAAGAAAAGGAATAAGGAAGGAGAGAGATAAGAAAGAAAGAAAGAAGAAAGAAAAAGAAGAAGGAAAGAAAGAAAGGAAGAAAGAAGGAAAGAAAGAAAGAAAGAGGGAGGGAGGAAGGAAGGAATTCATTCTCCATATAGTCTCCACAGTATCCAGGAGAAGCGTTTCTCCAGCAGCCAGCTGGGCTAAACTTGCTCCAGTGAAATTTTGGAATTTCTCTCCGCCACTGAGCACACCTTCGTTTTCTCTCCCATCGCTCTCCTTCCTGCACCTCTCTGCGGCTGCCCCAGCTGCAAGGTCAAGCTGCAGACACACCTGTTACCCATCATGACAAGTCGCAGAGTGTGGTCGGCGCCAGAGGGACAGTATCCCATTGCCTGAGGGGATGCTCTCCGTTTTCTGCAAAGATGTCAGACAAAAATCAGGACTATCAACGCGTGCTCCGAAGCCCTGGGTTGCACTGTGGCCTGCAGGACAGAAGGAACCACACCTACTGGGGAAAGAGACCCAGGAAGGTGGCAAGTGGACAGAAGGGAGCAGGGCTGTTCCTCCTGGAAAGCCAAGAATCCCAGCCCTCGTCCCCAGTCCTCTCTGCACTCCCCAGCCCTCTGCGGCCCAACGCCAGTTCAAACCAACTGTCACCTCTCTTATGAAGATACAAGCTGGCTCGCCTTCCTCACCGAGCCGACACGGCCTCGTAGACTTTGATCTAATTCTGTTTGCTGTCTTATGATGCATGAACGCTGTCAGATAAAGAGATGTTGAAAAAGGCCCTCCTGAGCTGTCAGGGCTGACAATGCCGCGTGATGGATGATGATGCAGAAAACAAACAAACAGTCCTTCCCTGACGGGGAAAAGGGTGCAGGCCACACACGAGGCCGATCCCACGGCCCGTACTGCAGTCCGAGTTTTTTGCAAGGACCAGGTCCCCTTGCCTGTTGAGCCCTCTTCTGATCAAAGACTCCGCCGTCCCCCCACCCCTGCTGTCTTACCGGTGAAGGCTTCAGAGTTGAGTAAGTGTCTGGGGAGGCAGCACCTGTGGACGTGAACATCAGCCTCCAAGGTGGACATTCCCTATTTTGGTTTATTTTTGTCTCTTCCTTCCTTCCTTCCTCTTTCCTTCCTTCCTTCTTTCCTTCCTTCCTTCGTTCCTTTTCTTTCTTTAAGTTTTTTATTTAGATATAATTGACATAGCATAAAATTCCCCATCTGAGGCCAGGAGTGGTGGCTCACGCCTGTAATCCCAGCACTTTGGGAGGCCGAGGCGGGTGGATCATCTGAGGTCAGGAGTTCGAGACCAGCCCGGCCAACATGGTGAAACCCCGTCTCTACTAAAAACACAAAAATTAGCTGGGTGTGGTGGTGGGCGCCTCTAATCCCAGCTACTAGGGAGGCTGAGGCAGGAAAATCACTTCAACTCGGGAGGTGGAGGTTGCAGTGAGCTCAGATCGCTCCCCTGCACTCCAGCCTGGGCAACAAGAGTGAAACTCCGTCTCAAAAAAAAAAAAAAATAATAACCCCATTTGAATGATTTTTAATGCTCTGCAATCACCGCCTCTATTTAGTTCCAGAACATTTTTATCACTCCAAAAAGAGACCCTGTATGCAGGCAGCAGTGAGTCCCCAGCCCCTCCCCGGCCCCTGGTAACCACAAATCCACTTTCTGTCTCTGTGGGTTTGCCTGTTCTGGGCATTTTATATAAATGGAATCCTGCGTGATATGGCCTTTTGTGTCTGGCTTCTCTCACTGAGCGTGATGTCCTTGAGGTCCACCCACACTGCAGCCTGTCTCAGAGTTAGCTTCCTTCCTTTTCATGGGTGTATAATATTCCACTGCATGGATGGACCACATTGCATTTATATAACGGAATCCTACACAACGTGGCCTTTTGTGTCTGGCTTCTGTCACTGAGCGTGATGTCTTCCAGGTCCATCCACACTGCAGCCTGTGTCAGAGCTAGCTTCTTTCCTTTTCGTGGGTGTATAATATTCCACTGCATGGATGGACCACATTGCGTTTATCCATCAACAGACCCTTGGTTTTTTTCCATCTTTTGGCTACCGTCAAACTTGCTGCTGTGAACACTGTCCTACAGTCCTTGTTTGACTCTCCTTTGGTTTTTTTTTTTGAGATGGAGTCTCGCTCTGTCGCCCAGGCTGGAGGGCAGTGGCACACCCTCAGCTCACTGCAACCTCCGCCTCCCGGGTTCATGCTATTCTCCTGCCTCAGCCTCCCGAGTAGCTGGGACTACAGGCGCCCACCACCGTGCCCGGCTAATTTTTTGTATTTTTAGTAGAGACAGGGTTTCTCCATGTTAGCCAGGATGGTCTCGATCTCCTGACCTCGTGATCCACCCGTCTCGGCCTCCCAAAGTGCTGGGATCACAGGCGTGAAACACCGCGCCCGGCCTTGAGTCCCTTTTAAAAATTCTTTTGGGTACACATGTAAGAGTGGCATTCTGGTGATACGGCACCCGTACGTTAAAACTTTAGCAAATCCCGTAAGTTCTTCCTCATTTTTGTCTGTGTTTGTGGATTGGTTTCCACAGACACGTTCCAATTCTAAATGGAGGTACGATCATGGACGCAAACTGGAAAATGCAGAAATGCATAAAACAAAGATGATCGGCCGGGCACGGTGGCTCACACCTGTCATCCCAGCACTTTGGGAGGCCGAGGCGGGTGGATCACCTGAGGTCAGGAGTTCGAGACCAGCCTGGCCAACATGGAGAAACCTCGTCTCTACTAAAAAAAAAAATACAAAATTAGCTGGGCGTGGTGGTGCACACCTGCAATCCCAGCTACTCGGGAGGCTGAAGCAGGAGAATCGCTTGAACCCGAGAGGCGGAGGTGGCAGTGAGCCGAGATTGTGCCATTGCACTCCAGCCTGGGTGACAAGAGCGAAACTCTGTCTCGAAAAAAAAAGAAAAAAAAAACAAACAAAGATGATCTTCATTGTGACCCTCATGGAAAGAATCATGATCACCCCATATTATCTCTGCATGGATGCACCCAGCATGGACCCCTTCCCCTGCCCCAGGCTGCACCCTCCCTTCAGGTCAGGGCCAACCCACCTTTCTCCAGGAAGCCTCATCCATCTCTCCGAGACCCCCGCCCTTCTAAGGAATTGGCCCCCATCCAACAGCCGGAAGGAAGATGGCACCTGGTGGACAGCAAACGCTTTGATGAATACGTGAAGGAACTAGGAGTCTGAATCGCTTTGGGAAAAACGGACTCAATGGCCGAACCAGATTGTATCGTGACTTGTGATGGCAAAAGTCTCACCAGAAAAACTGAGGGCACTTTGAGAAGACAGTGTTCCTGTACCCTGGGAGAGAAGTTTGAAGAAACCACAAGTGAGGACAGAAAAACTCAGACTAACAAGAAAACCAAAAGATGGGAAATTAGTGTCGGACTGTGTGATGAGCAAAGTCACCTCTACTCACATCTATGAACAAGTAGAATCAAAATCCCAGCATCATGGTCAGGTGCGGTGGCTCAGGCCTGTCATCCCAGCACTTTGGGAGGCTGAGGTGGGCAAATCATGAGATCAGGAGTTTGAGAGCAGCCTGACCAACATGGTGAAACCCCGTCTCTGCTAAGAATACAAAAATGAGCCGGGTGTGGTGGCGGGCGCCTGTAGTCCCAGCTACTCGGGAGGCTGAGGCAGGAGAGGTGGAGGTTGCAGTGAGCCGAGATCCTGCCATTGCACTCCAGCCTGGGCAACAGAGTGAGACTCCATCTCAAAAAAATAAATAAATAAAATAAAATAAAATAAATAAAAATCGCATCATTACTTTGGACAGGAATTAACTACGAGAATAAACATGCTCAGTCCAATGAAGCAAATCTGCATAGTGCTTCTTTTTTCATTACTGTGTTCAATTATCTTTATCACAACCATTTTCCATGCAGCTATTTCAAAGTGTTGGATTAATTAGGATCATCCCTTTGGTTAATAAATAAATGTGTGGCCAGGCACGGTGGCTCACGCCTGTAATCCCAGCACTTTGGGAGGCCAAGGCTGGAGAATCACGAGATCAGGAGTTCGAGACCAGCCTGACCAAGATGGTGAGACCCCGTCTCTACTAAAAATACAAAAGTTAGCCAGGTGTGGTGGTGCATACCTGTAATCCCAGCTACTCGGGAGGCTGAGGCAGGAGAATCGCTTGAACCCGGGACACAGAGGTTGCAGTGAGCTGAGATCGTGCCACTGCACTCCAGCCTGGGGACAGAGCGAGATTCATCTCAAAAATAATTATTTACTTATTTACAAAAATAAGTAAATAATAAATAAATGTGTTTATTTATTATTAAAAGTAAATAAATAAATGTGTTTGTGCCAAAAAGAAGAGAAAGAAAACAGAAAGGAAGGAAGGAAGGAAAGAAAGAAAGAAAGTTTTTCTGAAAGAAAGAAAGAAAGAAAGAAAGAAGAAAGAAAGAAGGGAAGAAAGAAGGGAAGAAAGGAAGGAAGGAAAAAAGAAAGGAAGGAAGAAAGGAAAAAGAAAGAAAAGAAAGAAAGAAAGAGAAAGCAAGCAAGCAAGAAAGAAAGAAAGAAAAAAGAGAAAGAAAGAAAGAAGGGAAGAAAGGAAGGAAGGAAAAAAGGAAGGAAGAAAGGAAAAAGAAAGAAAGAGAAAGAAAGAAAAGAAAGAGAAAGCAAGCAAGAAAGAAAGAAAGAAAAAAGAGAAAGAAAGGAAAGAAAGAAAGAAAGAAAGAAAGGAAAGAAAGAAAGAGAAAGAAAGAGAAAGCAAGCAAGAAAGAAAGAAAAAAGAGAAAGAAAGAAAGAAAGAAAAGAAAGAAAGAGAAAGAAAGAAAAGAAAGAAAGAGAAAGAAAAGAAAGAAAAAGAAAGAAAGAGAAAGCAAGAAAGAAAGAAAGAAAGAAAAAAGAGAAAGAAAGGAAAGAAAGAAAGAAAGAAAGAAAGAAAGAGAAAGAAAGAAAAGAAAGAAAGAGAAAGAAAGAAAAGAAAGAAAGAGAAAGAAAGAAAGAAAGAAAGAAAGAAAGAAAGAAAGAAAGAAAGAAAGAAAGAAAGGAAAGAAGGAAAAGAAAAGAAAGAAAGACAGACTTTTGCTAAGCCTGGCTGTTTGGATCCAGGTGTTCAACCTGCTCCTTCCCCAGATCTCACTGAGATGGGAGCAAAGAAATGAACCCACCAGGACCAGAGGAGCTGCAGAGAATAAAACAGCCAAGCAGGCTGTGCAGTGGTGCGATCTCTGCTAACTGCAACCTCCACCTCCTGGGCTCAAGCAATTCACATGCCTCAGCCTCCTGAGTAGCTGGGATTACAGGCATGCACCACCACACCTGGCTGATGTTTTGTATTTTAGTAGAGATGGGGTTTCACCATGTTGCCCAGACTGGTCTACAACCCCTGAACACTCATCTCAGCCTCCCAAAGTGCTGGGATGACAGGCATGAGCCATCAAGCTCGACCTAAAATGACTTTCTCCTATGGAATGAGGGTGATTATCCCTGGAGGTATGTTTTCTTTTCCTCTTATGGCAAAATAGAACCTCACTCACAATCCTACTTTGCTCTCTCATTCAAAATAAAAAATTGAGCTGGGTGTGATGGCTGATGCCTGTCATCCCAGCACTTTAGGAGGCCGAGGCAGGCGGATCATGAGGTCAGGAGATCGAGACCATCCTGGCTAACACAGTGAAACCCCGTCTCTACTAAAAATACAAAAAATTAGTCAGGCGTGGTGGTGGGTGCCTGTGGTCCCAGCTACTTGGGAGGCTGAGGCAGGAGGATTCCCTTGAGCCCAGGGGGTTGAGGCTGCCATGAGCTTTGATTGTACCACTGCACTCCAGCCTGAGAAACAGAGCAAGACTTTGTCTCTAAAAAATAAATAAATAGTCCATGAAATAAAATAAAAAACTCATAATTTCTCTATGTCTAGTTGCCCAGGCATGTCTGTTCTGGATAAGAATGGCCCCAGAGCTCCACTGCCAAAGAGGGCTTGTTCCTGGAAGAGAGAATTCTTGCAGAAAGATGAGGAAAAAAATGCAACAGAAAGGGAAGGTGCTCTGCCAGTTGGAGAAGAAAGGACAGTTGATAAATTTATTTTTATTTATTTTTTAAATTATACTTTACGTTCTGGGTACATGTGGAGAACGGGCAGGTTTGTTACGTAGGTGTACACGTGCCATGGTGGTTTGCTGCACCCATCAACCCGTCATCTACATTAGGTATTTGTCCTAATGCTCTCCCTCCCCTAGCTCCCCCAGCCCCCGACAGGCCCTGGTGTGTGATGTTCCCCTCCCTGTGTCCATGTGTTCTCATTGTTCAACTCCCACTTATGAAGGAGAACATGCAGTGTTTGGTTTTCTGTCCTTGCGACAGTTTGCTGACAATGGTGGTTTCCAGCTTCATCCATGTCCCTGCAAAGGACATGAACTCATCCTTTTTGATGGCTGCATAGTATTCCATGGTGTGTATGTGCCACATTTTCTTCATCCAGTCTATCGCTGATGGACATTTGGGTTGGTTCCAAGTCTTTGCTATTGTGAATAGTGCTGCAATAAACATACGTGTGCATGTGTCTTTATAGCAGCATGATTTATACTCCTTTGGGTATATACCCAGTAATGGGATGGCTGGGTCAAATGGTATTTCTGGTTCTAGATCCCTGAGGAATCGCCACACTGTCTTCCACAATGGTTGAACTAGTTTACAGTCCCACCAACGGTGTAAAAGCGTTCCTATTTCTCCACATCCTCTCCAGCACCTGTTGTTTCCCCACTTTTTACTGATCGTATTCTAACTGGCGTGAGATGGTATCTCATCGTGGTTTTGATTTGCATTTCTCTGATGGCCAGTGATGGTGAGCATTTTTTTTATAGGTTTGTTGGCTGCATAAATGTCTTCTTTTGAGAAGTGTCTGTTCATATCCTTTGCCCACTTTTTGATGGGTTGTTTTTTTTCTTGTCAATTTGTTTAAGTTCTTTAAGTTTAAGATATTTCTACTTATTTGTGTTTAGACTCTCATTGTCAATCACAGCCACACTGAGATAAATTCTGTCCAGAAAAATCCAGGTCCGCAAATGTCCCATAATATCGGGGGAGGCCTGAGGAAAGGTACTCCTAAAGAAAAAGAAACCTCCCATACTTCGTCAACCAGGGAAGACACTGACTTCCTTTTCCCTTCCCTTTGAGCTCTGGAAATGCCTCATTTTCAGAAGAGCGATTCCTTTCTCAGCCCACCGTCTCTGGTTCATGTCAGCTGAGGTGAAATCAAAACCTCCAGATCCCAAGGCTAAACCCACAAGTCAAAACATCCTGTGTGTGGGTGCGTGTCCAAGCTATTCATCAAGCCAATTTGAGGACTTTGCACAGAGTTTAAAAGGTGTCCTGCTTTTGATAAGGCAGAATTGTTTGCACGTCGTACCAATTCCTCAGCGGCAAAAAAGTGCAAATTGGCTGGCCGGAGCCGGGGGCTTCAGGGAGGCATATGATACCACTTAGGTTGGCATGAAAGCCATCTGTGTTCATATCACATGTTTTTGAGCAAAGAATGTGAGGTTACCAAAGGTCAGAGTCACGCTGGCTTTAAAAAAAAAAAGGGGGGGCGGGTAGGGAGGTGTAGCCTGGAATACATAGAAACACTCACCAAGAATTTTTCTAATTTATTTTCTAATAACAGAACGTGGCTGGAAAGTCATCTTCCAAGGTGTTACAAGAATGCATGAGATAGTTCAGTCTTTGTGCCTAAAAAAAAAAAATTATTCAGCTTTTCCAACACCATTGGAGTTTCACCCTCCTGAGCTGCCGGCCATCCAGACTGGGTAGATTTCTCAGGATTCTTGTTCAAAAGTGGCCAGGTGACCCTTCTGAATCCCTCTGTCACCTGCAAATAAGAATCTTTTTTTTTTTTTTTTTTTTTTTTGAGACAGAGTCTCGCACTGTCACCCAGGCTGGAGTGCAGTGGCACGATCTCGGCTCACCGCAAGCTCCGCCTCCCGGGTTCAAGTGATCCTCCTGCCTCAGCCTCCCGAATACCTGGGACTACAGGCGCCCGCCACCACCACGCCCGGCTAATTTTTGTATTTTTAGTAGAGACGGGGTTTCACCGTGTGAGCCAGGATGGTCTCGATCTCCTGACCTCGTGATCCACCCGCCTCAGCCTCCCAAAGTGCTGGGATAACAGGCGTGAGTTCAAGAGCAGCCTGGCCAACATAGTGAAACCCTGTCTCCACTGAAAATACAACAATTAGCCGGGCATGGTGGCGGGCACCTGTAATCTCAGCTACTAATGTAGATGACGGGTGGATGGGTGCAGCCAACCACCGTGGCACGTGTATATACCTATGTAACAAACCTGCACGTTCTGCATATGTATCCCAGAACTTAAAGTAAAATTAAAAAAAAAAAAAAGAAACAAAAACTAATAACATACCAGGGAAAAACGAATAAAGGGAGTGTGGTCCTTTCTCTAAGAGAGTATTACCATGTTACAAAAAACACATGGCACATGTATACATATGTAAGAAACCTGCACGTTGTGCACATGTACCCTAAAACTTAAAATATAATAATAATAAAATTTAAAAAAAATGATCAAGTTTATATTCCAAAAAAAAAAAAAAAGCCTTCTTCTATTTATGGCATTGTAATTCTCCCTTATCTGATATTATTCCTTGTCTCTGGCCAGGATCGTTTGCATAATGGACCATCGTTGAAAAACGCAGGAGAGGAAGACAGATGGGCCCGTCGGCCACAGATATTGTGACTCGCCCGTCCCTGGGGAGGTCCCGGGACTCCGCCATGGAGACAGAAAAATGGAAAAGGGAGAATCAAACTTAAAAAAATACAACGAAACACCAAAGCACCTTATATCGAACAAAATACATTGTTAGAGGTGAACAAAGACAGCAAGATGGAGAAAGCGTACATACATCAAAACTTTAAAAGAGATAAACCCCAAAGAGAGAAACTCATGTTACCTTAGAAGAATAAAATAATATTATACAGGCTGAGGTGGAGGATGGAGGGTTAAGCCCCTTCACCTCCCACCCCAACTGGTCCCTGATGTCAATCACTCACCCACTTATTCATTTATCCATCTTTCAATCCAGCCGCCTACCTGAAATCCAGCATTGGCTGATACAGGACACGACTTAAAGGGAAAAATTCAAGCTGGGAACTGTCTCAGACAACCCTGTCTCCTATTTGACTCCTAAAAAAAAAAGATAGCTACCAGGAGAAAAGAGCCACAGTCTTCCCTCACAATCTATCCACAGAAATTCCTCGTGGACAAGGGACAAGACAGAACTCAAGAGCTGAAAGCATCCCTCTACTCACTGAGATAAATGCATATCTCATGGTCTCCTTTGGAAAGGCTAATTAGAAACTCAACAGGACCGGGCGCGGTGGCTCACGCCTGTCATCCCAGCACTTTGGGAGGCTGAGGTGGGCGGATCATGAGGTCAGGAGTTCAAGACCAGCCTGACGAAGATGGTGAAACCCCGTCTCTACTAAAAATACAAAAACTAGCCAGGCATGGTGGCAGGCACCTGTAGTCCCAGCTACTCGGGAGGCTGAGGCAGGAGAATCACTTGAACCTGGGAGGTGGAGGTTGCAGTGAGCCGAGATCCCACCACTGCACTCCAGCCTGGGTGACAGAGCGAGACGGGCGCAGTGACTCACGCCTGTCATCCCAGCACTTTGGGAGGCCGAGGCGGGCGGATCATGAGGTCAGGAGTTCAAGACCAGCCTGACCAAGATGGTGAAACCCGATCTCTACTAAAAATACAAAGAATAGCCAGGTGTGGGGGCGGGTGCCTGTCATCCCAGCTACTCAGGAGGCTGAGGCAGGAGAATCACTTGAACCCGGGAGGTGGAGGTTGCAGTGAGCCGAGATCCCACCACTGCACTCCAGCCTGGGCAACAGAGCAAGACTCCATCTCAAAAAAAAAATAAAAATAAAAATAAAAATTCTCATTTTCAGGTGACAGAGTGAGACTCATCTCAAAAAAAAAAAAAAAACAAAAAGAAAGAAACTCAACAGAACACAAGTGTTTGTCTCTTGCCTACCTGTGATCTGGAAACCCTCTTCCCGCCTCATATTGTCCTGCTTTTCCAAACCAAACCAACACAGAGCAAGCTGTGCCCTGACCACCTTGGGACACGTCGTCAGAGCCTCCTAAGATGGTGTGACGGACGCTGTCTTCTTAACCTTGGCAGAAGAAACTTCCTGACTTGCTGGAGATCTGTCTCAGATATTTGGGGTTCACAGGCGTCTTATCCCGGGAGGTGACCGTGTATGAGAGATTTAATGAGGGTAGGAAGACACTTCAGAGATACTCTCTTAAATATGTTTTAGGGGCAACCTCACGGACCAGGGGCCATGAGGACAGCAAAGATCCAGCACCCACATGCACAGTATTTTTTCTTACCATCTAGTCCTTTATTTAAAATAATAATGATAATAATAAAAGATTGGCTGAGCCCTGCTCCCGGGTGAAAACACAGACGTAGGAATTGAGATGGTGGATGAGATTATAGGTGTGGATGAAGTCCCTGGGAGAACCTAGAGTGAGAAGGAAAGAGCCAGGAGTAGAATGTAGGACCCTCCAGGAGAGGAGGAGGCGAAGGAGGGCGAGAGGACGGCCAGGAAAGGATTGGGATGCAGTGAGAGGAGGGGGGAGAAGGGAGAGGGAGAGAAGAGAGAGAAAAGAGAGGAATGAAACAGAGAAAGGAAAGAGGAGAGGGGAGAGAGAGAGAAGAGAGAGGGAGAGGAAGAAAGAGAGGGGAGGGACAGAGGCAGACGGAGAGGAAGAGAAGAGAGAAGGGGAGAGAAAAAGAGGAAAAAAACAGAGAGAAGAGAGAAAGAGAGGGGCAGAAACACAGACAGAGAGGGGGAGAGAGACAGGGAGAGGAAGAGGAGAGAGACAGGCACAGAGAGAAAAAAGGAATGAAACAGACAGAAGAGAGACAGAGAGAAAGAGGGGGAGAAACACGGAGACGTGAGAGAGAGAGAGAGAGGAAGAGGAGAGACGGGGAGAGAAAAAAAGAGGAAAAAAACAGAGAGAAGAGAAAGAAAGAGAGAGAAGCGAGGGAAAATGCAGAGAAGAGAAAAAGAGAGAGAGAGAGGCACAGTCCAGTCTGCAGCCCCCACAGAACCTGCAACCTCTGCCCCTGCTAAAAGCCAGAGTGGAGACCCTTCATCTCTTCAGTGGAGGAAGGAGCTCCTGCTCCCACAGGGAAAGGGGATGCAGGGAGAGGGAAGGAGCTCCTGCTCCCACAGGGAAAGGGGATGCAGGGAGAGGGAAGGAGCTCTCACTCCCACAGGGAAAGGGGCTGCAGGGAGAGGGAAGGAGCTCTCACTCCCACAGGGAAAGGGGATGCAGGGAGAGGGAAGGAGCTCTCACTCCCACAGGGAAAGGGGATGCAGGGAGAGGGAAGGAGCTCCTGCTCCCACAGGGAAAGGGGCTGCAGGGAGAGGGAAGGAGCTCTCACTCCCACAGGGAAAGGGGATGCAGGGAGAGGGAAGGAGCTCTCACTCCCACAGGGAAAGGGGATGCAGGGAGAGGGAAGGAGCTCCTGCTCCCACAGGGAAAGGGGCTGCAGGGAGAGGGAAGGAGCTCTCACTCCCACAGGGAAAGGGGATGCAGGGAGAGGGAAGGAGCTCTCACTCCCACAGGGAAAGGGGCTGCAGGGAGAGGGAAGGAGCTCTCACTCCCACAGGGAAAGGGGATGCAGGGAGAGGGAAGGAGCTCTCACTCCCACAGGGAAAGGGGATGCAGGGAGAGGGAAGGAGCTCCTGCTCCCACAGGGAAAGGGGCTGCAGGGAGAGGGAAGGAGCTCTCACTCCCACAGGGAAAGGGGATGCAGGGAGAGGGAAGGAGCTCTCACTCCCACAGGGAAAGGGGATGCAGGGAGAGGGAAGGAGCTCCTGCTCCCACAGGGAAAGGGGCTGCAGGGAGAGGGAAGGAGCTCCTGCTCCCACAGGGAAAGGGGATGCAGGGAGAGGGAAGGAGCTCTCACTCCCACAGGGAAAGGGGCTGCAGGGAGAGGGAAGGAGCTCTCACTCCCACAGGGAAAGGGGATGCAGGGAGAGGGAAGGAGCTCCTGCTCCCACAGGGAAAGGGGCTGCAGGGAGAGGGAAGGAGCTCTCACTCCCACAGGGAAAGGGGATGCAGGGAGAGGGAAGGAGCTCTCACTCCCACAGGGAAAGGGGATGCAGGGAGAGGGAAGGAGCTCCTGCTCCCACAGGGAAAGGGGCTGCAGGGAGAGGGAAGGAGCTCTCACTCCCACAGGGAAAGGGGATGCAGGGAGAGGGAAGGAGCTCTCACTCCCACAGGGAAAGGGGCTGCAGGGAGAGGGAAGGAGCTCTCACTCCCACAGGGAAAGGGGATGCAGGGAGAGGGAAGGAGCTCTCACTCCCACAGGGAAAGGGGCTGCAGGGAGAGGGAAGGAGCTCCTGCTCCCACAGGGAAAGGGGCTGCAGGGAGAGGGAAGGAGCTCTCACTCCCACAGGGAAAGGGGATGCAGGGAGAGGGAAGGAGCTCTCACTCCCACAGGGAAAGGGGATGCAGGGAGAGGGAAGGAGCTCTCACTCCCACAGGGAAAGGGGCTGCAGGGAGAGGGAAGGAGCTCTCACTCCCACAGGGAAAGGGGCTGCAGGGAGAGGGAAGGAGCTCTCACTCCCACAGGGAAAGGGGATGCAGGGAGAGGGAAGGAGCTCTCACTCCCACAGGGAAAGGGGATTCAGGGAGAGGGAAGGAGCTCCTGCTCCCACAGGGAAAGGGGATGCAGGGAGAGGGAAGGAGCTCTCACTCCCACAGGGAAAGGGGATGCAGGGAGAGGGAAGGAGCTCCTGCTCCCACAGGGAAAGGGGCTGCAGGGAGAGGGAAGGAGCTCTCACTCCCACAGGGAAAGGGGATGCAGGGAGAGGGAAGGAGCTCTCACTCCCACAGGGAAAGGGGATGCAGGGAGAGGGAAGGAGCTCTCACTCCCACAGGGAAAGGGGATGCAGGGAGAGGGAAGGAGCTCCTGCTCCCACAGGGAAAGGGGATGCAGGGAGAGGGAAGGAGCTCTCACTCCCACAGGGAAAGGGGATGCAGGGAGAGGGAAGGAGCTCTCACTCCCACAGGGAAAGGGGATGCAGGGAGAGGGAAGGAGCTCTCACTCCCACAGGGAAAGGGGATGCAGGGAGAGGGAAGGAGCTCTCACTCCCACAGGGAAAGGGGATGCAGGGAGAGGGAAGGAGCTCCTGCTCCCACAGGGAAAGGGGATGCAGGGAGAGGGAAGGAGCTCTCACTCCCACAGGGAAAGGGGCTGCAGGGAGAGGGAAGGAGCTCTCACTCCCACAGGGAAAGGGGATGCAGGGAGAGGGAAGGAGCTCTCACTCCCACAGGGAAAGGGGATGCAGGGAGAGGGAAGGAGCTCTCACTCCCACAGGGAAAGGGGCTGCAGGGAGAGGGAAGGAGCTCCTGCTCCCACAGGGAAAGGGGATGCAGGGAGAGGGAAGGAGCTCCTGCTCCCACAGGGAAAGGGGCTGCAGGGAGAGGGAAGGAGCTCTCACTCCCACAGGGAAAGGGGATGCAGGGAGAGGGAAGGAGCTCTCACTCCCACAGGGAAAGGGGATGCAGGGAGAGGGAAGGAGCTCCTGCTCCCACAGGGAAAGGGGATGCAGGGAGAGGGAAGGAGCTCCTGCTCCCACAGGGAAAGGGGATGCAGGGAGAGGGAAGGAGCTCCTGCTCCCACAGGGAAAGGGGCTGCAGGGAGAGGGAAGGAGCTCTCACTCCCACAGGGAAAGGGGATGCAGGGAGAGGGAAGGAGCTCCTGCTCCCACAGGGAAAGGGGATGCAGGGAGAGGGAAGGAGCTCCTGCTCCCACAGGGAAAGGGGATGCAGGGAGAGGGAAGGAGCTCTCACTCCCACAGGGAAAGGGGATGCAGGGAGAGGGAAGGAGCTCTCACTCCCACAGGGAAAGGGGATGCAGGGAGAGGGAAGGAGCTCTCACTCCCACAGGGAAAGGGGATGCAGGGAGAGGGAAGGAGCTCTCACTCCCACAGGGAAAGGGGATGCAGGGAGAGGGAAGGAGCTCCTGCTCCCACAGGGAAAGGGGATGCAGGGAGAGGGAAGGAGCTCTCACTCCCACAGGGAAAGGGGATGCAGGGAGAGGGAAGGAGCTCTCACTCCCACAGGGAAAGGGGATGCAGGGAGAGGGAAGGAGCTCCTGCTCCCACAGGGAAAGGGGATGCAGGGAGAGGGAAGGAGCTCTCACTCCCACAGGGAAAGGGGATGCAGGGAGAGGGAAGGAGCTCTCACTCCCACAGGGAAAGGGGCTGCAGGGAGAGGGAAGGAGCTCTCACTCCCACAGGGAAAGGGGATGCAGGCAGAGGGAAGGAGCTCCTGCTCCCACAGGGAAAGGGGCTGCAGGGAGAGGGAAGGAGCTCTCACTCCCACAGGGAAAGGGGATGCAGGGAGAGGGAAGGAGCTCCTGCTCCCACAGGGAAAGGGGATGCAGGGAGAGGGAAGGAGCTCTCACTCCCACAGGGAAAGGGGATGCAGGGAGAGGGAAGGAGCTCTCACTCCCACAGGGAAAGGGGATGCAGGGAGAGGGAAGGAGCTCTCACTCCCACAGGGAAAGGGGATGCAGGGAGAGGGAAGGAGCTCCTGCTCCCACAGGGAAAGGGGCTGCAGGGAGAGGGAAGGAGCTCCTGCTCCCACAGGGAAAGGGGATGCAGGGAGAGGGAAGGAGCTCCTGCTCCCACAGGGAAAGGGGATGCAGGGAGAGGGAAGGAGCTCTCACTCCCACAGGGAAAGGGGCTGCAGGGAGAGGGAAGGAGCTCTCACTCCCACAGGGAAAGGGGCTGCAGGGAGAGGGAAGGAGCTCCTGCTCCCACAGGGAAAGGGGATGCAGGGAGAGGGAAGGAGCTCCTGCTCCCACAGGGAAAGGGGCTGCAGGGAGAGGGAAGGAGCTCCTGCTCCCACAGGGAAAGGGGATGCAGGGAGAGGGAAGGAGCTCCTGCTCCCACAGGGAAAGGGGATGCAGGGAGAGGGAAGGAGCTCTCACTCCCACAGGGAAAGGGGATGCAGGGAGAGGGAAGGAGCTCTCACTCCCACAGGGAAAGGGGATGCAGGGAGAGGGAAGGAGCTCTCACTCCCACAGGGAAAGGGGATGCAGGGAGAGGGAAGGAGCTCCTGCTCCCACAGGGAAAGGGGCTGCAGGGAGAGGGAAGGAGCTCCTGCTCCCACAGGGAAAGGGGTTGCAGGGAGAGGGGCCACAGGTGGTCTCTTATCTCTCTTACCCCAGCCGGCTGGGGCTGCGGCTATCCCAGAACAGAACACAGGGGCTAACTTAGAAACCGCAGACATTTACCGCTCAGAGCTCTGGAGGCTGGAAGACAAAGATCCAGGTGTGGTGGGTTCTGTGTGTATGGAAAGGCCTCCTGCTTCATAGACAGCGCCTTCTCTCTGTGCCCTCACGTGGTGGAAGGGGCCTCCCCGGCGACCCTTTTATAAGGGCAGTCATCCCAGCCATGAGCCTCCAACCCTATGACCTCCTCACCTCCCAAAGACCCCACCTCCCAATATCATCAACTTTGGAGAGAGGATTTCTTTCCTTTTTTTTTTTTTTATTATACTTTAAGTTCTGGGGTACATGTGCAGAACGTGCAGGTTGGTTACATAGGTATACACGTGCCATGGTGGTTTTCTGCACCCATCAACCCGTCGTCTACATTAGGTGTTTCTCCTAATGCTCTCCCTCACCTTCCCCCAACCCCCTGACAGGCCCTGGTGTGTGATGTTCCCCTTCCTGTGTCCATGTGTTCTCATTGTTCAGCTCCCACTTATGGGTGAGAACATGCGGTGTTTGGTTTTCTGTTCCTGTGTGAATTTGCTGAGAATGATGGTTTCCAGCTTCATCCATGTCCCTGCAAAGGACATGAACTCATCCTTTTTCATGGCTGCATAGTATTCCATGGTGTGTATGTGCCACATTTTCTTCATCCAGTCTGTCATTGATGCGCATTTGGATTGGTTCCAAGTCTTTGCTATTGTGAACAGTGCCGCAAAAACATACGTGCACATGTGTCTTTATAGGAGAATGATTTACAATCCTTTGGGTATATACCCAGTAATGAAATTGCTGGGTCAAATGATATTTCTGGTTGTAGATCCTTGAGGAATCACCACACTGTCTTCCACAATGGTTGAACTAAGGATGGGGAGACAATTTCAACACAGGAATTTGGGTAACACAGACATTCAGGCCACAGCTGAGCACGGGACAAGCATCACTGCTGAGCTGGCCGCCCCGTGGACACCACCTACCTGCACGCCCGCTTGCCTGTCAAAGATCAAATGCCAAGGACGGTCAAAAAACCCAACGTTTATCAAGCTCTCTCTGGGTGCCACGTCCTTCTGCGCAACTGGGCTTATTAAGACACAGATAGAAACAGCGTTCGTTGGAATCTGAACACTGAGATACTGTAAATATCCTGCCAAAAGGAAGGAATCTCTGAAAACATTGTCATGACAATCATATTAACAGATATTTCATCTTCTCCGCCTTGGGTAGGGCTTTGCAAGGTCTTTGTAGAGAATTTCCGTTCAAGCCTCCGAGAATCCTCAAGGGCCCTCTGCCTCCGGAAGGATTTGAAGGTCTTGGTGGAGACAGCGTTGAAGAAATATCATTAAAAGCAAAATCTGCCAACCCCGGGGACCTCACCACGAAGGTAAAAGAGAAAAGAAAATGATTTTATTGTGGAACCAGCATCAAACCAGAATGCCAAGCCTATCACAAGCAATTCACTAAAGAGGTTGTAATGACACGAAGCAATCTCACCCTTCGCTAGATGTAAGTGTGTACAGCCCATTGCCTTAGCTGGCTTTTGCAATCTCGAGTCAGGTGACAACTTAGACCCTTCTCGTCCGCAGACACTGGAGCTAGGGGCGTTTTCCTCCTTCATGATCTCATTTGAAAAGAGGTGGCTCCCAGGTCCTTGGGGAAACGTTCCTGGGTTATGAGACAGGCAAGTGGATTATTTAGACTTGAAAAAGATTTATACCCCTTTGCCGGGCGCGGTGGCTCACGCCTGTCATCCCAGCACTTTGGGAGGCCGAGGCGGGCGGATCACGAGGTCAAGAGATGGAGACTATACTGGCTAACACGGTGAAACCCCGTCTCTACTAAAAATACAAAAAAAATTAGCCGGGCGTGGTGGCGGGCGCCTGTAGTCCCAGCTACTTGGGAGGCTGAGGCAGGAGAAAGGCGTGAACCCGGGAGGTGGAGCTTGCAGTGAGCCTTGTCACGCCACTGCACTCCAGCCTGGGCGACAGAGCGAGATTCCATCTCAAAAAAAAAAAAAAAAAAAAAAAAGAGCAAGCACATACATGGGACACTGTTTATCTTTGAAAGAGGAGGCTGAGGTTATTCTGTCTGATTATGTCCAGTGTCTCCTTTTTATTCTTTTTTTTGCATAAATAAAATACGTTAATTATAGAATTAGAAAAGAATACACTTTGAGAAGGGAGAATGCTGTTGATGGAAAGAAAAGGGTCATGGTAAAACACTATCTCTACTAAAAATACAAAATTAGCCGGGTGTGGTGGTGCATGCCTGTAATCCCAGCTACTCGGTGGGCTGAGGCAGGAGAATTGCTTCAACCCAGGAGGCGGAGGTTGCAGTGAGCTGAGATTGTGCCATTAAACTCCAGCCTGGGCAACAGAGCGAGACTCCATCTCAAATAATAATAAGAAGAAGAAGATATCTTGGTCCTAATATCTAAACATATCAAAAAGTTGGCCAAACAAACATGTGAAAAAAAAGCTCATCATCACTGGTCATCAGAGAAATGCAAATCAAAACCACAATGAGATACCACCTCACACCAGTTAGAAGGGCGATCATTAAAAAGTCAGGAAACAACAGGTGCTGGAGAGGATGTGGAGAAATAGGAACACTTTTACACTGTTGGTGGGACTGTAAACTAGTTCAACCATTATGGAAGACAGTGTGGCGATTCCTCAGGGATCTAGAACCAGAAATACCATTTGACCCAGCCATCCCATCACTGGGTATATACCCAAAGGATTATAAATCATCCTGCTATAAAGACACATGCACACGTATGTTTATTGCGGCACTATTCACAACAGCAAAGATTTGGAACCAACCCAAATGCCCATCAATAATAGACTGGAGAAAGAAAACGTGGCACAGAGACACCATGGAATACTATGCAGCCATCAAAAAGGAGGAGTTCATGTCCTTTGCAGGGACATGGATGAAGCTGGAAACCATCATTCTCAGCAAACTAACACAGAAACAGAAAACCAAACACCGCATGTTGTCACTCATAAGTGGGAGTCGAACAATGAGAACACATGGACACAGGGAGGGGAACATCACACACCAGGGCCTGTCAGGGGGTGGGGGGATAGGGGAGGGAGAGCATTAGGAAAAATACCTAATGTAGATGATGGGTTGATGGGTGCAGAAAACCACCATGGCATGTGTATACGTATGTAACAAACCTGCCCGTTCTGCACACATACCCCAGAACTTAAAGTAAAATAAAACAAACACACAAACAAAAACTGAAAAAAAGAAAGTTGGCCAAAATATATGAACAGGACTTGGACGCTGGCTCATTTCTACGTTGGTATCTTAAGTAGTGATATTTTGTAAAAATCTGACCCAGACACGCTACTGTCTCTCTCTCTCTCTCTTTCTCTCTAATCCAAAATCATCTTTGGAAAGAAACACAACTCTTGTAAAAAATAAAACACGAGGCACCTGACTCACAAGACGGCAGCCTCAAGTTACACCACAAGTAACCGAGGTCCTTTCTGTTCACCACCACGTGGCCTCAAGGTTGCAAGGAGGCTGCTGCTGATCCGGGCATCACAGCCACACTCAGAGACAGGAGCGGAGTAGAGGTGGAGGGGCCGTGCTAGCCACACCTCCTCTTGTATATTTACCTTCCGTTCCATTGGCTGAGATTGGACCCCAGGGCCACCCCTAGGTAAAGAGAAGCAAAAGGTTGTCTTTGGCAGGTAATTCAACTGCTGGTTGTTCACACAACACCTCTTTTCAAAATTGGTTTTATAGCCCGAGTGGTGGCTCATGCCTGTCATCCCAACACTTTGGGAGGCTGAGGCAGGCAGATCACTTGAGGTCAGGAGTTCAAAACCAGCTTCAGCAACAAGGCAAGACTGTCTCTAAAAAAAATAAATAAATAAAACAAAAAAATTGCCAGGCATGGTGGTGCACACCTGTGGTCCCAGCTACTCTGGAGGCTGAGGTGGGAGGATCACTTGAGCCCAGGAGTTCGAAGTTCCAACGAGCCATGATTGCACCACTGTGCTCCAGCGTGGGCAGCGGAGTGAGACCGTGTCTTGCAAAAAAACCCAAAAAACAAAAACAACAGTTTTCTATGACTAGAGGGAAGTCACTCAGTTGTAGCATCATTTCCGAAGGTCCCTCCTTCTCTGAGCTTGGAATAACCGGGAAAATTGGATAAGGTTAGAGAAAACAAGGGGAGTAATGACCTAGTTCCCAACAGACCATCGGCTCCAAGCTCTTCCTATGTTGAGTATTAGAGTTTTGGAGTAAGTTCCATGGATGAGGTGGCTTCCATTTCCTAATCAACCTCAGAGAAAACAAATCATGTGTAAAGGTTGCCGACATTCCCAGTTAAACACAGAAGGAGGGGACCTTTTAGCCTCCGTAGCTGTTGCTTTTTTTTTTTTCTTTTTTTGAGACAGAGTCTCGCTCTGTCACCCAGGCTGGAGTGCAATGGCGTGATCTCGGCTCACTGCAACCTCCACCTCCCAGGTTCAAACAATCCTCTCCCTCAGCCTCCCGAGTAGCTGGGATTACAGATGCCTGCCACCACGCCTGGTTAATTTTTTGGTATTTTTAGTAGAGACAGGGTTTCACCATCTTGGCCAGGCTGGTCTTGAACTCCTGACCTCCTGATCCACCTGCCTCGGCCTCCCAAAGTGCTGGGATTATAGCCATGAGCCACCCCACCTGGCCCCTGCAATATATATATATGTATTTTTTTTTTTTTGGTGGCATATTCTGAAGCTCTTCAGGGTCTCCCAGGCTAATTCTTGAGACAGTCACCATTTTCCCTCCAGTGGAAACTCGGAGCTTCACCGGGAAATCGTTCATTTCAATCAGGATGTAGGGGACCTCACCCCATAGAACCATCACGCTATTAGGGCAGGAAAAGCAAAAAACTGTAAAAAAGCTGACACGTTTGTTTTTTTAATACAGGACGTAACTTAATTAATTAACTCTAAAATCCAGCATATAAAGTAGATCACTGGCCACTAGAAGAAGAGTAATTGATTTTTTTTTCTACCCAATACAGTTGCATAATTTATTCTTATTATTCATTTATATGGCATCTCTCTTTTGAGAAGTGCATAATGGTTTTGCAACTTTGGTGTCTTATTAAACATTCATCATCGCCCTCAGAGGACGGCAAGAGGCAAATATTATTACATTATCCAACAATTTCTCCATGAAAACCTATAATTGGAATGAAAAGCCATTTCAAGGAATGAAATAATGCCAGTGAAAGGTAACGCTGAGATAATTGAATGATCGGCTTTTCTGATATTCAGCACAAAAGAGCCGTAAATTGACTCTCTTGTCCAGCCCAGGTACCACATTGCTAACGGTGACATGACCACAGACCCCAGGAATGCAGCTTCCTACGGGTGGGTGTCTGCCCCTTGGGGCAAAGGATCGGGAGGGAGTCACTTCCTGCTGCGTTCTGCCTGCTTTTGGCAAGGTTGAGAGAGAGAGAGAGTGAAATATGTGTGGGAGCACGGATATTGATAATCCAGTTGGATGATAGATAGATGGATAGATAGATAATAGACAGATACATACATACATAGATAGATGGATAGATAGATGATAGATAGATATAATACATAGATACATAGATGAGAGATGATAGATATAATAGATGATAGATAAGATAGATGATAGATATAATAGATACATAGATGATAGATATAAATAGATATAATAGATAGATAATAGATGCAATAGATAGATGATAGATAAGATAGATAATAGATATAATAAATACATGATAAGATAGATGATACATACATACATAGATACATAGATAAATATAATAGATACATAGAATATAGATACATAGATATAATAGATACAAAGAATAAATAGATATAGATAAATAGATAAAATAGATACATAGAATACATAAATAGATATGGATACATAGATATAATAGATACATAGAATAGATATAGATAAATAGATACATAGAATACATAAATAGATATACATAGATATAATAGATACATAGAATAAATAGATATAGATACATACATAAAATAGATACATAGAATACATAAATAGATATAGATACATAGATATAATAGATACATACAATAGATATAGATACATAGATAAAATAGATACATAGAATACATAAATAGATATAGATACATAGATATAATAGATACATACAATAGATATAGATAAATAGATAAAATAGATACATAGAATACATAAATAGATATGGATACATAGATATAATAGATACATAGAATAGATATAGATAAATAGATACATAGAATACATAAATAGATATAGATACACAGATATAATAGATACATAGAATAAATATAGATACATAGATAAAATAGATACATAGAATACATAAATAGATATAGATACATAGATATAATAGATACATACAATAGATATAGATAAATAGATAAAATAGATACATAGAATACATAAATAGATATAGATACATAGATATAATAGATACATACAATAGATATAGATAAATAGATAAAATAGATACATAGAATACATAAATAGATATGGATACATAGATATAATAGATACATAGAATAGATATAGATAAATAGATACATAGAATACATAAATAGATATAGATACACAGATATAATAGATACATAGAATAAATAGATATAGATACATAGATAAAATAGATACATAGAATACATAAATAGATATAGATACATAGATATAATAGATACATACAATAGATATAGATAAATAGATAAAATAGATACATAGAATACATAAATAGATATAGATACATAGATATAATAGATACATCGATAGGTAAGATATATAGATAGATTAATAGATAGAGAAAGAGAGAGAGATGATAGCTGATCATCTCTCTTCTAGGTCTATATGGGCTACATTCACGGCGCCCCTTTCCCTGTGGGAAAGAAAAAGAAAGAAAGAGAGAAAGAAGAAAAGAAAGAAATGAAGGAAGGAAGGAGGGAAGGAAGGAAGGACAGGAAGGAAGGAAGGAAGAAGGGAAGGAGGGAAGGACAGGAAGGAGGGAGGCAGGCAAGAAAGGGAATACTTTTTGCTGTTGTTGACCAAATGATTACCTTTAGAAATCCTTAAATGATGAGTTTAATTTCAAATGCTGAAGTGGTTACAAACAGGCTTTTCTCACCACCATTTATGAGCTATTGAAACAGTCGCTTGATTCTCAACTGTGTTTGTTGTGAGACGTGTGTGGTAGCACCCAAAACCAGTCCAGTTTTTCAACTATGGAAGTGTAGGTTTGTTTTTTTTGGTTTTGTTTTGTTTTTAAGAGGCCAAGACACATAGATTTAGCGTTAACTTCTGAAAAAAAAGTGCAAGAAGCATGAACATCTCTTTCTGTACATTAGAAATGTGTCTCAGAATGCAATATATTGGATAAAAAGGGGAAAAACACCACAGAGAGGTGACATAATCTCACGGTGGCCCCTGGGCTTTGTTTAAAGAAAATAAATCAGTCTGGGAGTGGTGGCTCACGCCTGTCATCCCAGCACTTTGGGGAGGCTGAGGCAGGTGAATCACCTGAGGTCAGGAGTTCGAGACCAGCCTGGCCAACATGGAGAAACCCCATCTCTAGTAAAAATACAAAAATTAGCCGGGCGTGGTGGTGGGCACCTGTAGTCCCAGGTACTCGGGAGACTGAGGCAGGAGAATGGTGTGAACCCAGGAGGCGGAGGTTGCAGTGAGCCGAGACCACAGCACTGCACTCCAGCCTGGGTGACGAGGGCGCAACTCCATGTCAACAAAAAGAACAGAATTCGGCCGGGCACGGTGTTTCATGCCTGTAATTACAGCACTTTGGGAGGCCAAGGCAGGTGGATCACCTGAGGTCAGGAGATCGAGACCATCCTGGCCAACATGGTGAAACCCTATCTCAACTAAAAATACAAAAATTAGCCGGGCGTGGCGGAGGGCACCTGTCATCCCAGCTACTCGGGAGGCTGAGGCAGGAGAATCGCTTGAACCCAGGAGGCGGAGGTTGCAATGAGCTGAGATCGAGCCACTGCACTCCAGCCTGGGTGACAAGAGCGAGACTCCATCTCAAAAAAAAAAAAAAAAGAACAGAAGTCAGATGTCCTCAGGAACCCTGATGTTATCCTAGGGGGATATCCTAAGAAGTATCAAGACCCCATAGCCACCAGCAGCAAGCACAGCAGTGGCCAAACTTTGAAATTCTTTTCTATGTATAAGCAAGTCTATTAAAAAATAAACGCAGAACAGACAAATTCGTTGAGACAGAAAGGAGCTTTGTGACTGCCAGGGGCTGAGAGAGAGGGATTGGGGCTGTGACTGTTTGATAGGTTTCCTTCTGGAAAATTCTATTCCTAGAATATTTTGCTCCCCCAGAAGGAACCCTATGAAACAGACACACCCCCAATCCCTCTCATTGTAAATGTACAGCAACATTGTAAATGCACACACACGTCCCTGAACTGTTCACTTTTGAAAGGATTGCTTGCGTGCCATGCAAACTTAATCTCAGTTTTAAAAAATTGAGAAGCTGGGTGTGGTAGCTCACGCCTGTAATCCCAGCGCTTTGGGAGGCCAAGGAGGGCGGATCACGAGGTCAAGAGATCGAGACCATCCTGGCCAACACGGTGAAACCCCGTCTGTACCAAAAATACAAAAAATTAGCCGGGCTTCGTGGTGGGCGCCCCTTCGTCCGGCCTGAAGTCTCTTTTATAAGGGATGAATCCCATTCATGAGGATCCAACCCTCCTGACCACCACGCGCCTCGGCCTCCCAAAGTGCTGGGATTACAGGCGTGAGCCACCGCGCCCGGCCAGATGTCCACATCTTAATTCATCGTAAGTTCCTTCAAATCAACCGTTGTTGAGGCAGAAATCAACTGGCTCTTGGGGCTCATGATGTGGGGGTGACCTACCACATTTGTGTGTGTGTGTGTTTAGTGTGGTGTCTGTCCTGTGCAGAGTGTGTGTGTTTAGCGACGTCTGCGTCTGTTGCGTGTAATTGTAGATTATGTGTTATGTGTGTGTATTCAGTGTGACGTCTGTCCTGTGCAGAGTGTATGTGTTTAGTGTGGTTTGTGTGTGTTGTGTGTAGTGTGTATTTTCTGTGTTGTAAGTGTGTGGTGTCTGGTATCTGTATTGTGCATAGTGTGTGTTTAGTGTGGTTTGCATGTGTTGTGTGCAATGTGTATTTTGTGGGTGCAGTGTGTGTTTAGTGTGGTTTGTGTTGTGTGTAGTATGTATTTGTGTGTTTTGTGTGTGTATTGTGTGGCATCTGTGTTGTGCATAACGTCTGTGTTTAGTGTTGTGTATATGTAGTAGGTATTTTGTGTGTTGCATGTGTGTGTTTTATGTGGCATCTGTTTTGCGCACAGAATATGTGTTTAGTGTGGTTTGTGTGTATTTTGTGTGTTGTATGTGTGTGTGTTGTGTGGCATCTGTTGTGCACAGTGTATGTGTTTACTGTGGTTTGTGTGTGTTGTGTGTAGTGTGTATTTTGTGTGTTGTAAGTGTCTGTTGTCTGGTATCTGTATTGTGCATAGTGTGTGTTTACTGTGGTTTGTGTGTGTTGTGTGTAGTGTGTATTTTGTGTGTTGGGTGTGTGCGTGTTGTGTGGCATCTGTGTTGTGCATATGTGTTTAGTGTGGTTTGTGTGTGCTGTGTGTAGTGTGTATTTTGTGTGTTATATGTGTGTGTGTGGTGTGGCATCTGTGTTGTGCATAGTGTGTGTGGTTTGTGAGGCCAGTCTGTGTTTTTCTATGTATTTTGTGTGTCATATGTATTTTGTGTATATGTGTATTTAGTGTGGTGTTTGTACTGTGCAGAGTGTGTGTGTTTAGTGTGGTTTGTGTGGTTTGTGTGTAGTGTGCATTTGTGTGTGCAGTGTGTGGTTTGTGCTGTGTTGTGTATAGTATGTATTTGCGTGTTTTATGTGTGTGTGTTCTGTGGCATCTGTGTTGTGCATATGTGTTTAGTGTGGTTTGTGTGTGTTGTGTATATTTTGTGTGTTCTATGTGTGTGTGTTGTGTGGCATCTTTGTTGTGCATAGCATATGTGTTTAGTGTGGTTTGTGTGTGCTGTGTGTAGTGTGTATTCTGTGTGTTGTGTGCAGTAGGTGTTTTGTGTGTAGTGTGTATTTTATGTGTTGTGTGTGTGTGGTGTGGCATCTGTGTTGTGCATAGTGTATGTGTTTACTGTGGTTTGTGTGTGTTGGGACTGGGACCTAATGGCTGTCTACACAGCAGGCTCCTATGCAGCTCCATCCTGGGACTGGGACCTAATGGCCGTCTATGCAGCAGACTAGGATGTACCTGCATCCTGGGACCTAATGGCCGTCTACACAGCAGGCTTGACTCCAGCTCCATCCTGGGACTGGGACCTAATGGCTGTCTACACAGCAGGCTCGACTCCAGCTCCATCCTGGGACTGGGACCTAATGGCTGTCTACACAGCAGGCTCCTATGCAGCTCTATCCTGGGACTAGGACCTAATGGTCATCTACGCAGCAGACTCAAATCCAGCTCCATCCTGGGACCTAATGGCCATCTATGCAGCAGACTTGGATCCACCTGCGTCCCGGGACCTAATGGCCGTCTATGCAGCAGACTTGAATCCAGCTCCGTCTCAGGACCTAATGGATGTCTACACAGCAGGCTCGAATCCAGCTCCGTCCTGGGACCTCATGGCCATCTATGCAGCAGACTCAAATCCAGCTCCGTCCCGGGACCTAATGGCTGTCTACACAGCAGGCTCGAATCCAACTCCATCCCAGGACCTAATGGCTGTCTACACAGCAGGCTCGAATCCAGCTCCATCCCGGGACCTAATGGCCATCTATGCAGCAGACTCGAATCCAGCTCTGTCCCGGGACCTAATGGCTGTCTACACAGCAGGCTCGAATCCAGCTCCATCCCGGGACATAATGGCCGTCTATGCAGCAGACTCGAATCCAGCTCTGTCCCAGGACCTAATGGCTGTCTACACAGCAGGCTCGAATCCAACTCCATCCCAGGACCTAATGGCTGTCTACACAGCAGGCTCGAATCCAGCTCCGTCCCGGGACCTAATGGCCGTCTATGCAGCAGACTCGAATCCAGCTCCGTCCCAGGACCTAATGGGTGTCTACACAGCAGGCTCGAATCCAGCTCCATCCTGGGACCTGATGGCCGTCTATGCAGCAGGGTTGGCCGCCCACCCCGAGTTTATTCAGCTGCGGCCGCGCCGTCATGCCGTGGAGACTGTCGGCTTTTTCCGGGATCTTTTTTATCATTGCCTTTGCAAAGGTTCCGTCGAGTTTTATGCTGAGCTATGAAATTAGACCGATCGATTTTCTTCCTGCGTACAGAGGCAGAGGGGGAGCGACCTGGCTTTATGAAGTTGTAACGAACTGAATACCGAGGCTTGGCTCTGATCTCGTCTGCAGCAGTGGACGACTAATCCGTGTCCACACTCCACCGAGGATCTGAACAGTCCTGGGCAGGAGGAGGAATCTTCAGACTCGACCCCATCCAGAGGGACGGGGGTTCGAGGCCTGGCTGGTCCCGTCCTGCACTCCCCGGACGCTCCGGCCGTAGGATTTGCAGCTGATTTTAATTGCTTGTCGCCTCTGCTGGCTCACGATGGCTCCGGGAACCCAGCACAGAGACGTAGCACAATGCCAGGCCTGATTTTAATTTCTCGTCGCCTGTGCTGGCTCAGATGGCTCCGGGAACCCAGCACAGAGACAGGCCGGCTCGCAGAAGAGATGCTTCCCGGGAGCGTCTGGGAGGGAGCCTGGCTCTGGCAAGCCGGGGAGGGCTTTGGGGACCGGATTTGCGCTGGGGATGGCCATTCTGCCTGGGATTAACAGGATTAAAAAGCATTAAATGAGCGTCCTCCAACTCCCCACAGCAGACTTGCTTTCCGAAAGGATCCTCCTAGAGGCTCTGAGCACCCGGGGTGACCACAGAAAATAAAGGTTCCCCTTTAGCATGACAAAGGAGGGCTGCACGCATCCAGGGGTACAAATGCTCTGCCATATCCTCAATCCCATTGTTCCCCGCTCCGACACGGGGCCCCCTTCCTCCCCTTTCCCTTTCCCTTTTTTGTTTTTTTTTTTTTTAATTTCTCCGTGCAGAGCTCAAGGTGTCATATTAATTATTTAAATCTCGGGAAGATTTCAGCAGTGATCCACCAAAGGCCCTCTTCGGAGCCAGAAGGCCTTGGCTCTGTGTTAGTTTTTCTTAATTAGAGCTGAAATGAGAACTTTGATCTCCGGGCACAGAATGGCCAAAGAGGAGGCGGGGAAACTTCCCATGCGATTTTTTTTTTTTTTTTTTTTTTTAGTTTTTTTCTTTTCTGCCATACCTATCGTCTGTCTGGGCTGTTACTGTATGACACTTTGATCCACCTCGTTCTGGGGAAACAATTCAAGTACAAGAGGAACTTAAACAACTCAAAGGGCCGGCCGGGATGAGAGCCCAGTGGTTCGTCTGTCGGTCACCGCCTGCCAACACAGTTTTGTTATTTATTTTGGCCGTCTACACAGCAGGCTCAGATGCAGCCACATCCTGGGACCTAATGGCTGTCTACACAGCAGGGTCCAATGCAGCTCCGTCCCAGGATCTAATGGCCATCTATGCAGCAGACTCAGATGCAGCTGCATCCCGGGACCTAATGGCTGTCTACACAGCAGGGTCCAATGCAGCTCCATCCCAGGACCTAATGGCCGTCCATGCAGCAGGCTCAGATGTAGCTGCATCCCGGGACCTAATAGCTGTCTACACAGCAGGGTCCAATGCAGCTCCGTCCCAGGACTTAATGGCCGTCTATGCAGCAGGCTCAGATGTAGCTGCATCCCGGGACCTAATAGCCATCTACATAGCAGGCTCGAATCCAGCTCCATCCTGGGACTGGGACCTAATGGCCGTCTACACAGCAGGCTCGACTCCAGCTCCATCCTGGGACTGGGACCTAATGGCCGTCTACACAGCAGGCTCGAATCCAGCTCCATCCTGGGACTGGGACCTAATGGCCATCTATGCAGCAGACTCGGATGCAGCTACATCCTGGGACCTAATGGCTGTCTACACAGCAGGGTCCAATGCAGCTCTGTCCCAGGACCTAATGGCCGTCTATGCAGCAGGCTCAGATGTAGCTGCATCCCGAGACCTAATAGCCATCTACATAGCAGGCTCGAATCCAGCTCCATCCTGGGACCTAATGGCCATCTATGCAGCAGACTCGGATCCACCTGCGTCCTGGGACCTAATAGCCATCTACATAGCAGGCTCCACTCCAGCTCCATCCTGGGACTGGGACCTAATGGCCGTCTACACAGCAGGCTCGAATCCAGCTCCATCCTGGGACCTAATGGCCATCTATGCAGCAGACTCGGATCCACCTGCGTCCTGGGACCTAATAGCCATCTACATAGCAGGCTCAACTCCAGCTCCATCCTGGGACTGGGACCTAATGGCCGTCTACACAGCAGACTCGGATGCAGCTACATCCCAGGACCTAATGGCTCTCTACACAGCAGGGTCCAATGCAGCTCCGTCCCAGGACCTAATGGCCATCTATGCAGCAGGCTCAGATGTAGCTGCATCCTGGGACCTAATGGCTGTCTACACAGCAGGGTCCAATGCAGCTCCATCCCAGGACCTAATGGCCATCTATGCAGCAGGCTCAGATGTAGCTGCATCCCGGGACCTAATGGCTGTCTACACAGCAGGCTCGAATCCAGCTCCATCCTGGGACCTAATGGCCTTCTATGCAGCAGACTCAGATCCACCTGCATCCTGGGACCTAATAGCCATCTACATAGCAGGCTTGAATCCGGCTCCATCCTGGGACTGGGACCTAATGGCCGTCTACACAGCAGGCTCGAATCCAGCTCCATCCTGGGACCTAATGGCCGTCTATGCAGCAGACTCGGATCCACCTGCGTCCTGGGATGCAGACATGGGGGACAGAGAAGGGATCCTCATCCCAGGCCTCCAACGTGGGGACATGGGGACTAGTCTTGCCTCATTAACGCCTCTGTGTCTGCAGGAGCAGCGGCCGCAGCAAAGGCCCTGATTAAACAGCAGGCCTGAGTTTTCTCTGCAAAAAAAAAAAAAAACGTTTTCCTCTCTCATCGTGGTTTTGCAGACCGGAGCTTCCCCAGAAAGAGGTCACCTCCGAGGGCTCGCCTCGTTAGAATGCCTGGCTCATTTGCATTTGTCTTATGGAAAAAGCACAGGGTGACATCAAGCAATCGGGGGAAAAAATATATATATATATATCAAAAAGTGAGCCACAGTTCACGGAAGATGAAATCTGTGAATTTCACCCAACGCCTCGGAGAGACTACGGTACGGCTTCCTAACGACAAAATCAAAAAGACATCCCCAGCCTCCACCAGCAGGCCCGGCCCCGGGGCCCCGAGCCCACCCTGTGTCCGCCGAGCCCACTTCGCTGAGCTTTGCCTACGAGCCTTCGTTAGCGACCAACGCAGATCAATCCGGCCCCCGGTTCCCTTTGGAATGATTCAGCTGCGTGTCACCCCGTGGGTCAGCGGCGGTTTCCCCCCACTTGCAGAGAACGGGAAGAGGAGCATTTGCTGAGATATCCCTCCAAGATTGAAAGAGCCGGTCTCACAATATCAAGCCGAAGACTCATCCGGAGGTTCTGAGGTTTAGGGCTCTAAATTATAGCAACACGACTGCAATCTTTGAGGGTTTTTTTTTTCTTTCTCTTTTTTTAAATAAGCATGCATATTTTAGAGTGCATTTTCTGCCTCAGAAATAATTGGGATTTACAGCTGTTAAGATAATGACATGCTGTCTCTGTCAGACTCTCGGAGACAGAAGGAGGATTTCTCCCTGGCCTATGGATCCCAGAAGACTGGGGTGTGGACAGACTTTTCCCTGTACCCCCATAATCCAGCACCTCTGGGGCCCAGGGGCAAATGCATATGCTTTGTGATAACGTGTGCGCCTTCCCTTAAGACTCCAAGGCGACAGGACGGCCAGGAAGAGGCTCACAGTTGCTATAATTCCAGCAAAGACACTCCCATGTCTCAGGGCAGGGAATGGGAGAAAACACCTGTTATTTGTCCTGGGAAACAGTCCAAGCCAAGACTTACCTGGTCAGGTGAGCAACGTGGCTTTGACAGCCCCAGACAGCAGCTCAGGAATGTAACGCGCTCAAAAAAAATTTAAAAAAACTGAATTTCTCTAAAACGGTTGTCTGCTGGCAGAGACGGTTAAAAAAAGTCACTTTGGGCTGCGCATGGTGGCTCATGCCTGTCATCCCAGCACTTTGGGAGGCCGAGGCGGGTGGATCCCCTGAGGCCAGGAGCTCCAGACCATCCTGGCCAACATGGTGAAACCCCGTCTCTACTAAAAATACAAAAATGAGCCAGGCGTGGTGGCGGGCGCCTGTAATTCCAGCTACTCGGGAGGCTGAGGCAGGAGAATCGCCTGAACCCGGGAGGCGGAGGTTGCAGTGAACCGAGATCTCACCACTGCACTCCAGCCTGGGCAACAAGAGCGAAACTCCATCAAAAAAAACAAAAAAACAAAAAAACACCGAATTTCTCTAAAACGGTTGTCTGCTGGCAGAGACAGTTAAAAAAAAAATCACTTTGGGCTGGGCACGGTGGCTCACGCCTGTAATCCCAGCACTTTGGGAGGCTGAGGCGGGTGGATCCCCTGAGGTCAGGAGTTCGAGACCAGCCTGGCCAACATGGTGAAACCCCATCTCTACTAAAAATACAAAAATGAGTTGGGCGTGGTGGCGGGCGCCTGTAATCCCAGCTACTGGGGAGGCTGAGGCAAGAGAATCACTCGAACCTGCAGTTCCAGCTATATATTTTTTATATATAAAATCTCTAACCTGGGAGGTGGAGGTTGCAGTGAACCAAGACCACGCCATTGCACTCCAGCCTGGGTGACAGAGGGAGTCTCCATCTGAAAAAAATATATATATATATAAATATATATTTGTAGGTTTATATATAATATAAAAATATATATAAATATGTTTATATATTAATATAAATATAGGTTTATATATTATATATAAATATAGGTTTATATATATTATAAATATAGGTTTATATATAAAAATATAATATGAAAATATATATTGCATATATTACATGTATATAAATATTGCATATATTACATATATTAGATATTACATGTATATTATATTGCATATTATATATGTGTTATATATGTGATATGTAAGTTATGTATGTGTACATTATATATTTTATATTTTATATATGTAATATATTACATATTATGTGTAGTATAATGTATATTATATATGCAATATAATGTATATGGTATATTATGTATGTAATATAACATATATATCTGTAGTATATATAATATGTGTCATATATAATATGTATGTAATATATAAAATATATACATATTAGCCAGGTGTGGTGGCGTGCCCCTGCAGTTCCAGCTACTTGGGAGGCCAAGGTGAGATGATCTCTTAAGCCCAGGAGTTTGAGACCAGCCTGTGCCACGTAGCAAGATCCCATCTGCATTTTAAGAAAAAAAAACAGTTGGGGAGTGAACACCTTTATAGAGAGAGAAAATAAATATCTCTGGGTTCACTTAGGTGAGATGGAGGAATTGCTTGATTAACTATCCTTCCAATCGTTTACATACCAGCCAAGCTCAAAAGGGAGGTGTGGTTTGGAGCACGCCTCCAAGGCTGGGCACCCAGCTCCCAGCTCCCAGCTCTCCGGCATCGTTCGTGTCAGTTACGGAGCGGTAACCGGGACGGTGTGACAGGTGCCCATTCACAATGGGGAAGTGTTTCCTACGCAGGCAGCACACGCAGACCCCAGAGTGGTTTGTTTGTTTGAGATGGAGTCTCGCCCTGTCACCCAGGCTGGAGTGCAGTGGTGAGATCTCGGCTCACTGCATTGTCCACCTCCCAGGTTCAAGCGATTCTCCTGCCTCGGCCTCCCGAGTAGCTGGGATTACAGGCACCCACCACCACACCCAGCTAATTTTTGTATTTTTAGTAGAGACGGGGTTTCACCGTATTAGCCAGGATGGTCTCGATCTCCTGACCTCATGATCCGCCCGCCTCCGCCTCCCAAAGCTCTGGGATGACAGGCGTGAGTGGTATTTACTATCTAGGTGGGAATCATGAGTCGGCTCCTTGCGAGGGGATGTCCCACGACGGGGAATGTCACCTTTTTTCCTTGCAGGCTTTGAAAATCGAGACATCCTTGCGACCTCCTGTTTTGGGGAGAAACAATCCTGTTTCTTCATGACACTCATTACGTCCATTTCATCAGGTGCAATTTCCACGGCTATCAAGTCCTGGCCGCTTGATGGCCATGGACAGGAGGAGAGAAGGGTGCTGGCCAGACGGAGAGAAGGGTGCTGGCCAGACAAAGCCAAGGGTGCTGGCCAGACAAAGCTAAGGGGTTACGAGAGCCAGCCCACCTTCGTCCCCAAAGGAGACAGAGTGGCTCCGAGGCCATCGATGTCCGGCCGGCCGGGGCCTGCTCTCTTCTGGAAAATGAGTTTTTTGCCGTTGGTGAGTGCCAGGGTCCCTCTCAGAGCCCGTCTCTGCAAGGGGATCTTTTAATTACCTCTTTCCCCCAGTGACTTCTTTCGCCCCTGGAGGGGTGGCAAAGCTTTCATACTGTATCCTATTTTAATCTGTCATGACTGAGGAAGCCAGATGGCTCTTGATGACAAGCTCTCCCTCAAAACAGCCCGAACTTTCTATCAGAGGATTTGTAAGATGACGGTTTAAAAAGAGAGAGGCTGGGGGGTGCGTTTGCCTCCCACAAAATAACCTGAATTTTAATTGGACATCATAGTTTGGCAGTGATTTCCACGTGATTACCATTTCTGGTTAAGGAGCAGGTGGATTAGACGCGTAACCAAAATGGTATTAAAAGTTCCCAGAAAGGAGATTTACTTTTAAAATACGGAATCACGAAGAAAAGTTGTCAGGACCCTCATGTGTGGGACTCAGGGCTTCTAACAACTTCCCCTTGCCCAGCGCGTCCCTTTTTTCTTTTTCTTTCTTTTTTTTTTTCTTTGAGACGGAGTCTCGCTTTGTCGCCCAGGCTTGAGTGCAGTGGTGTGATCTCAGCTCACTGCAACCTCCACCTCCTGGGTTCAAGCGTTTCTCCTGTTTCAGCCTCCTGAGTAGCTGGGATGACAGGTGCACGCCAACGCACCTGGCTAACTTTTGTATTTTTTGTAGAGGCAGGTTTTGCCGTGTTGGCCAGACTGGTCTCCAACTCCTGGCCTCAGGTGATCTGTGTGCGACTGTTAATGTGTGTGAGTCTGTGTGTGCTCATGCGCACTGATCCGTGTGTGTCTGTGTATGTGTGTGAGTCTGTATCTATACTCACATGCACTGATCTGTGTGTGACTGTTGCCATGAAAATAGATGTGTGTGGGTGCACGTTTCTACCTGTGGGTGTGTGCACATGTGTGTGACTGTGTATGTGTGTGTCTGTGTACTCATGCGCACTGATCCCTGTGCGACTGTGTATGTGTGTGTCTGCAGACTCACACACATAAACAGTAACACAGATCAGTGCGCACAACACACAGACACACACATACACAGTCACACATGGATCAGGGCGCATGAGCACATGCAGACACACATACACAGTGAATGCACAAAACTAGGAGTGTGTGCTTTGCATTGTGCGTGTATGTGCATGTGCATTTGCATGTGAGGGCTCATGGCTGTGTGTGCTTGCCTTCTGTACACGTATATGCATATGGGCTTGTGTGCATGTGTGAGGCTTGCAAGAATGCGTGCATGCACCTGCACGTGAGGGCTCATGACTGTGAATGTGTGCTTGCCTTCTGTACACATATATGCATATGGGCTTGTGTGCATGTGTGGGGTTTGCAAGAATGCGTGCATGCACCTGCACGTGAGGGCTCATGACTGAATGTGTGCTTGCCTTCTGTACACCTCTGTGCAGAGATACTTGTGTGCATCTGTGCATGTGGGAGCTTGAATGAATGCATGCATGCAGTTGTATGTGAGCGCTCATGACTATCAGTGTGTGCTTGACTTCTGTACAAATATATGCATATGGGCTTGTGTGCATGTGTGGGGTTTGCAAGAATGCATGCATGCACCTGCACGTGAGGGCTCATGGCTGTGTGTGCTTGCCTTCTGTACATGTATATGCATATGTGCTTGTGTGCATGTGTGGGGCTTGCAAGAATGCGTGCATGCGCCTGCATGTGAGGGCTCATGACTGTGAATGTGTGCTTGCCTTCTGTACACGTATATGCATATGTGCTTGTGTGCATGTGTGAGGCTTGCAAGAATGCGTGCATGCACCTGCACATGAGGGCTCATGACTGTGAATGTGTGCTTGCCTTCTGTACACATATATGCATATGGGCTTGGGTGCATGTGTGAGGTTTGCAAGAATGCATGCATGCACCTGCACGTGAGGGCTCATGGCTGTGGGTGTGTGCTTGCCTTCTGTACACGTATATGCATATGAGCTTGTGTGCATGTGTGGGGTTTGCAAGAATGCGTGCATGCACCTGCACGTGAGGGCTCATGACTGTGAATGTGTGCTTGCCTTCTGTACACCTCTGTGCAGAGATACCTGTGTGCATCTGTGCATGTGGGGGCTTGAATGAATGCATGCATGCAGTTGTATGTGAGCGCTCATGACTATCAGTGTGTGCTTGCCTTCTGTACACATATATGCATATGGGCTTGTGTGCATGTGTGGGGCTTGCAAGAATGCGTGCATGCACCTGCACGTGAGGGCTCATGACTGTGAATGTGTGCTTGCCTTCTGTACACATATATGCATATGGGCTTGTGTGCATGTGGAGGCTTGAATGAATGCATGCATGCACCTGCACGTGAGGGCTCATGGCTGTGGGTGTGTGCTTGCCTTCTGTACACATATATGCATATGGGCTTGTGTGCATGTGTGGGGTTTGCAAGAATGCGTGCATGCACCTGCACGTGAGGGCTCATGACTGAATGTGTGCTTGCCTTCTGTACACCTCTGTGCAGAGATACCTGTGTGCATCTGTGCATGTGGGAGCTTGAATGAATGCATGCATGCAGTTGTATGTGAGCGCTCATGACTATCAGTGTGTGCTTGACTTCTGTACACATATATGCATATGGGCTTGTGTGCATGTGTGGGGTTTGCAAGAATGCATGCATGCACCTGCACGTGAGGGCTCATGGCTGTGTGTGCTTGCCTTCTGTACATGTATATGCATATGCACTTGTGTGCATGTGTGGGGCTTGCAAGAATGCGTGCATGCACCTGCACGTGAGGGCTCATGACTGTGAATGTGTGCTTGCCTTCTGTACACATATATGCATATGGGCTTGTGTGCATGTGTGGGGTTTGCAAGAATGCGTGCATGCACCTGCACGTGAGGGCTCATGACGGTGGGTGTGTGCTTGCCTTCCGGACATGTGCGCATGTGTGTGGGGGCACGCACTTAATACCGTCCCCTGTTCATCTCTCAGATTGCCCTTTTCTTCTACGTTCTACCCCCAACAGGCCAGGCCTGTTCTCCCACCTCCCTCGCTGAAACCCCATCTCCTCCGTCCTTCTCTCTGGTCCTGTGTGTTTGTGAGCTTGGAGGACAGTGCCTTCATCCAAAATTATATCAACCAGCAAGATTACACCCTCTTTCTTCTGAAGCTCCCAAAGGCATCTCTATAAATCCCTTGTTCTTCCTTCCTTCGGAGGTGGAGATTTGTACAAGGCAGGACTAATCCCAGGGCCAGAAAGCCACCTCTCTTCACCTTCAGGTGGGCCAGAGCTGAGCCACAGTCCACTGCCCACTCATAAGACACCTCGGGCCGGGCGCAGTGACTCACGCTTGTAATCCCAGCACTTTGGGAGGCCAAGGCAGGTGCATCACCTGAGGTCAAGAGTTCAAGACCAGCCTGGCCAATATGGAGAAACCCTGTCTTTACTAAAAAAAAAAAAAAAAAAAAAAAAAAGTCGGGCACGGTGGCTCACGCCTGTAGTCCCAGCACTCTGAGAGGCCGAGGCGGGCGGATCACGAGGTCAGGAGATCGAGACCATCCTGGCTAACACGGTGAAACCCCGTCTCTTCTAAAAATACAAAAAATTAGCCGGGTGCAGTGGCGGGTACCTGTAGTCCCAGCGACTCGGGAGGCTGAGGCAGGAGAATGGTGTGAACCCGGGAGGCAGAGGTTGCAGTTAGCCGAGATCGCGCCACTGCACTCCAGCCTGGGCGACAGAGCGAGACTCCATCTCAAAAAAAAAAGAAAGAAAGAAAGAAAAATACAAAATACAAAATTAGTTGGGCATGGTGGCACATGCTTGTAATCCCAGCTACTTGGGAGGCTGAGGCAAGAGAATCGCTTGAACCCGGGAGGCAGAGGTTGCTGTGAGCCGAGATCACGCCAGTGAACTCCAGCTTGGACAACAAGAGTGAAACTCCATCTCAAAAAAAAAAAAAAAAAGAGAGAGAGAGAGAGAGAGACCTCAGCCACCACTGCTCACATAATCCTTCTCCCCTCGTTAGATGTTATCTGCAGGCTGCACTGTCAGAAAAGTATCATCCCAGAGACAAACCATTCATCTGTCAAATACACACAGTTTGCACGGAAGGCGTGGAGACACCCACGTTATGGGTGCATTCGCCCAGGTTTAAGGTCTAGTTAGCACTGGGCTTGGCAAAGAGCATGACTTTTCCTCCTTCTGCGTCCGGTCTTCTGAGCCATGTGCTAATATCCTGGGACTCTGTCTGGTTTTGTTTTTTTTTTTTAACATTGCCTAAATCATATTTTCCATTTAAAGAAATTTCTAAAGAACAGTTGGCAAGTATTCAGGTCACCTTCTCCCCAGGGCTCACTTAGCACCTGCATGTAGATGGAGTGTTCCGCGCCGGCCGTCAACACCAATCGCGGCTGCATCACTCACGCAGTCAGCGTCCTGCTGCTGGCCGGCTCCAGCTGGACATCCTGTCTGCCGCTCTGAAAAGCAATCACATCATACTGGAACACCAGAGTGTCCAAAGCACACCTCAGCCTCTGCAGTGCCCATCTCACAGTCTCTAAAGCACACCTCAGAGTCTGCAATGCACACCTCAGAGTCTCCCGTACCCATCTCAGTCTCCAGTGCCCACGTCAGAGTGTCCAATGCACACCTCAGTGTCTGCAGTGCACACCTCAGGGTCTCCAATGCACATATCGGAATCTCCAAAGCACATCTCAGAGTCTCCAATGCCCATCTCAGTCTCCAATGCCCACGTCAGAGTCTCCAATGCACACCTCAGGGTCTCCAATGCCCATCTCAGAGTCTCCAAAGCACACGTCAGAGTCTCCAGTGCCCATCTCAGAGTCTCCAATGCACATCTCAGAGTCTCCAGTGCCCATCTCAGAGTCTCCAAAGCACAGCTCAGAATCTCCAATGCCCATCTCAGAGTCTCCAATGCACATCTGAGAGTCTCCAATGGACACCTCAGAGTCTCCAAAGCACATCTCAGAGTCTCCAAAGCACACCTCAGAGTCTCCAATGCACATCTTAGTCTCCAGTGCCCATCTCAGAGTCTCCAATGCACATCTCAGAATCTCCAGTGCCCATCTCAGAGTCTCCAAAGCACAGCTCAGAATCTCCAATGCCCATCTCAGAGTCTCCAATGCACATCTGAGAGTCTCCAATGGACACCTCAGAGTCTCCAAAGCACATCTCAGAGTCTCCAAAGCACATCTCAGAGTCTCCAAAGCACACCTCAGAGTCTCCAATGCACATCTTAGTCTCCAGTGCCCATCTCAGAGTCTCCAATGCACATCTCAGAATCTCCAAAGCACAGCTCAGAGTCTCCAATGCACATCTCAGAATCTCCAAAGCACAGCTCAGAGCCTCCAGTGTCCATCTCAGAGTCTCCAATGCACACCTCAGAGTCTCCAATGCGCATCTCAGAATCTCCAAAGCACAGCTCAGAGCCTCCAGTGTCCATCTCAGAGTCTCCAATGCCCATTCAGAATCTCCAGTGCACATCTCAGAGTCTGCAATGCTCATCTCAGAGTCTCCAGTGCATGTGGGTGTACCAGCACCTGCCTCTAAGAATGCTTCAGCTCATGTTGAACGAACATGTCTTCAGCACCCCTGTACTGGGTGTTTTACAGGCATTGTTTCTGCACATCAAAAAAATTCCAGACTCAAATGCTTGCAGGAGGAGGCAGGTCAGGTCAGTAAGGCAGGCCTGATGTGAGAGAGACATCGGGGAGCAGTGGAGACTGCGGCGAACATCCCATCCAGCCCACTGGTGTTGGGCAAGAATGAAGGCACGGGTTGGCCGCCCCTTCCAAAAATATTTCAAGGAACCCAGGAATTGGGTGTTCATGATCAGTGGGCCAGTGTTTAAAATATTAGCATTAATTTAAGGATACTGTCTCTTCCAAGAAAAATACGATGGCCAGCTACTTTACAATGTCGTCTCTGTTTTCTTGCGTTCATTCTGCAAGTCACAAATTACCAGATAAAAATGTGAGTTTAGGCAAGTTTTATAAATTGTCTGAGGACTGAGCAGGAAAGGGTAGGACCTGGAATTTCAACTCAGAGGCCAGTTTCAAAGACAATCTAAGCTCCCCACGGCATGAGGCCCCCCAAAAGTGTCATTCATTTCAGAATTGGATTCCTCTTCAAAGAGGCGAGGCTTAAGGAACCAAGCTTAGATTTCATGGGTAACTTAATCCAGTATGAGGCATCATTGCTTTTCCTTTCTTACAGCCTTTTTGTCTCTCTTTTCTCTTTCTTTTCTTTCATTTCTTTTTCCTTCCTTCCTTCCTTTCTTCCTTTCTGTCTTTGTCTTTCTTTTCTTTCTTCCTTCCTTCCTTTCTTCCTTTCCCTTCGTTTCTTTTTCTTGTCTTTCTTTTTTCCTTCTTTCCTTCCTTTCTTCCTGTCTCTTTCTTTCTTTTTTCCTTCCTTCCTTTCTTCCTCTTTCTTTCTTTTCTTTCTCTTACTTTCTTTTTTCTTCTTTCATTCCTTTCTTCCCCTCTGTCTCTTTCTTTTTCCTTCCTTCCTTTTCTTCTTTCTTTCTTTCTTTCTTCTTTTTCCTTCCTTCCTTCCTTCCTTCCTTCCTTCCTTCCTTCCTTCCTTCCATCCTGTCTCTTTCTTCTCTTTCTCTTTGTGTTTCTTACAGGGTCTCTGTCTGCTGCCCAGGCTGGAGGGCGGTGGTGCAATCTTGGCTCATTGCAGCCTCCAACTCCTGGGCTCAAGCAATCCTCCCACTTCAGCCTCCCTGAGTAGCTGAGACCACAGACAAGCTGAGACCACAGCTCACTGCAACCTCTGCCTCCCTGAGTAGCTGAGACCACAGACAAGGGACACCACACCTGGCTACTTTTTTTATTTTTATTTTTTGTAAAGATAGGGTCTCCCTAAGTTGCCCAGGCTGGTCTTGAATGCCTGGCCTCTGGCAATCCTCCTGCCTTGGCCTCCCAAAGTGCTGGGATTACAGGCATGAGCCACCATGCCTGGCCAATTACTGTGTTTTAAAAGTACATGGCCAGACACAGTGGCTCATGCCTGTAATCCCAGCACACAGTGGCTCATGCCTGTAATCCCAGCGCTTTGGGAAGCTGAGACAGGTGGATCACGAGGTCAGGAGATTGAGACCATCCTGGCTAATGCGGTGAAACCCCGTCTCTACTAAATAATACAAAAAATTATCTGGACGTGGTGGTGGGCGCCTGTAGTCCCAGCTACTCAGGAGACTGAGGCAGGAGAATGGCGTGAACCAGGGAGGCAGAGGTTGCAGTGAGCCGAGATTGTACCACTGCACTTCAGCCTGGACAACAGAGCCAGACTCCATCTCAAAATAAATAAATAAAAATTAAGTCATGAAATGTAGCTTCAAATGTACATGAAGGGCCGGGCGCGGTGGCTCATGCCTGTAATCCCAGCACTTTGGGAGGCCGAGGCAGGCAAATCACCTGAGGTCAGCAGTTCGAGACCAGCCTGACCAACATGGTGAAACCCCATCTTTACTAAAAATACAAAAATTAGCTGGGCATGATGGTGCATGCCTGTAATTCCAGCTACTTGGGAGGCTGAGGCAAGGCTTGAACCCGGGAGGCAGAGGTTGCAGTGAGCCAAGATCACGCCACTGCACTCCAGCCTGGGTGACAGAGCAAGACCCTGTCCCAAAAAAAACAAAAAAAATGTAGGTGAATATTACATCTCTACATTCAGAAGTACTTTCCAAGAATAAAAACAATGGAAGAAATTATATGAACAAGACTGATCAATTTGACTACATTCAATTTTAAAACTCTTTAGGTTTAAAAAACAATTTCAAGTAGCATAAAAGAAGTTGAAAAATATTGATAAAATATGCCAATGATAAAAGAGCCTGTGTCCTTAATATATAAAGAGCTCTTACAAATCAACAAGAATGATTGCTATTTATTGAATGCTTTCTGTGCATTAAAATTCTGTGCTACTCAATGTACATATATTATCTGGTTTAAATGTCATAAAAACTCTAGGCAATTTGCTACAGACGGAGAAAGTGAAAATTAAAGGCATAAATTAACTTCTCCGGAGAAACGGAGCTAGTAAATTGTCGTGTTGTGTTTGGATTCAAACCCAGTTCTGTGTGACTCTGAAGTTCAGGGCCCTAAGAACTGGTAAACACTGGAAAAATAAGCAAACATCTCAAGTAATTTACAAAAGAGAAACACACATGGCTTGTAAACATGAAAAAGAATTGTCCCCCACTAAAAAGTCGTCTTTAAATGCCAAGTCAAAACAATGGATGCCGTTTTGAAACTATGAAATTTGCAGAATTCCTCATTTTCTTTTTAAAATGAACCTCAATGTTCATCACAGCGTAAGTCCCGGGCGACCTCTTGCTCTGCCGGCAGGAACGTAAATTAGAACAGCTTTTCCCGCAAGCCGTTTGAGACTATGAATAGTGCCTTTTAGCAGTTGGTATATGAAATCCAATAATTTTACCTGAAGGAGTCAATCTTAACAATCCACGTTTTATGAGCTAGAAGGTTTAGGGAATCATCTACATTCTCTTAAATAACAGCCTGGTCAAATAGCTGCCGGCGGACCTAGAAGGATCCGTGTCACGTAGGAATCCAAAATCTTGTTTTTGAGAAAGACGTAATAACATTAAGACATGCTCCTGATACAAGGTTCCTAAAATGTGGTCATCTGCAGGTTCGGGGACCCACGGGGGAGAGGGACGCGGTGTCACCGTATTCTAGGTCTTCCCGGGCCATCCTTTATCAGAAACGGGATGAGTTTCCACCAAGAAATTGGGCCCCACCGAGGCCTTCATTGATCTTCACCTAGAAGCTACGTCAAAGCCAGTGTCACTCAGGCCCAGGCGGAAAAACGTCCCACGCAGAATTTCAGGGAATGAGGAACCAGGATGTCTGCAGACCAGGAGTCCAAGGAATACTGCCTGTTGAGGTGAGCATTACAGGCCTGCTGTATACACACCAGGCAGGAAGGCCACAGGCCGACTGTATACATCCCACTCCTGGGAGGGAGACCACAGGCCAACTGTATACATATCACTCTAGGGAGGGAGACCACAGGCCGACTGTATACATATCACTCTAGGGAGGGAGACCACAGGCCGGCTGTATACATCCCACTCCTGGGAGGGAGACCACAGGCCAACTGTATACATATCACTCCTGGGAGGGAGACCGCAGGCTGCTGTATACATCCTTCTCTAGAAAGAGAGACCACAGGCCGACTGTATACATCCCACTCCTGGGAGGGAGACCACAGGCCGACTGTATACATCCCACTCCTGGGAGGGAGACTGCAGGCTGCTGTATACATCCTTCTCTAGAAAGAGAGACCACAGGCCGGCTGTATACATTCCACTCCTGGGAGGGAGACCACAGGCCGGCTGTATACATCCCACTCCTGGGAGGGAGACCACAGGCTGACTGTATACATCCCACTCCTGGGAGGGAGACTGCAGGCTGCTGTATACATCCTTCTCTAGAAAGAGAGACCACAGGCCGGCTGTATACATTCCACTCCTGGGAGGGAGACCACAGGCTGCTGTATACATCCCACTCCTGGGAGGGAGACCACAGGCCGGCTGTATACATCCTTCTCTAGAAAGAGAGACCACAGGCCGGCTGTATACATTCCACTCCTGGGAGGGAGACCGCAGGCCGACTGTATACATCCCACTCCTGGGAGGGAGACCACAGGCCGGCTGTATACATCCTTCTCTAGAAAGAGAGACCACAGGCCGGCTGTATACATCCCACTCCTGGGAGGGAGACCACAGGCCAACTGTATACATATCACTCTAGGGAGGGAGACCACAGGCCGGCTGTATACATATCACTCCTAGGAGGGAGAGCACAGGCCGGCTGTATACATTCCACTCCTGGGAGGGAGACTGCAGGCTGCTGTATACATCCTTCTCTAGAAAGAGAGACCACAGGCCGGCTGTATACATCCCACCCCTGGGAGGGAGACCGCAGGCCGACTGTATACATTCCACTCCTGGGAGGGAGACCACAGGCCGGCTGTATACATCCTTCTCTAGAAAGAGAGACCACAGGCCGGCTGTATACATTCCACTCTAGGGAGGAAGAGACCACAGACCAACTGTATACATCCCACTCTAGAGAGGGAGGCCACAGGCCAGCTGTATACATCCCACACTAGAGAGACAGACCATAGGCCGGCTGTATACATCCCACACTAGGAAGAAAGAAACCACGGGCTGACTATATACATCCCCCTCTAGGGAGAAACACCACAGGCCAACTGTATACATCCCACACTAGAGAGACAGACCACAGGCCGGCTGTATACATCCCACTCTAGGAAGAAAGAAACCGCAGGCCGGCTGTATACATCCCACTCTACAGAGGGAGACAACAGACCAGCTGTATACATCCCACACTAGAAAGACAGACTGCAGGCCAACCGTATACATCTCACTCTAGGGAGGGAGAGACCACAGGCCAGCTGTATACATCCCATTCTAGGAAGGCATATATACACACAATCGCATTGAAACATTTAGAACTAACTCAGATTCAGTGTGCCACCAGTGGATATTGGGAAAGTGGGAAAGTGGCTTTATAATTTAAGAAGCAATGTGTCAGAGATGGTTAAATTAAGTTTCTGTCTGTAACAAAATCCATACATCTATGTACGTATGTGTGATAAATATAGATGTATGCATATATATGGTCAGGTATGTGTGTATATAAACGTGTGTGTAGAGGCCGGATGCGGTGGCTCACGCCTGTCATCCCAGCACTTTGGGAGGCCGAAGTGGGTGGATCACGAGGTCAGGAGTTTCAGACCAGCCTGGCCAACGGGGTGAAATCCCGTCTCTACTAAAAATACAAACATTAGCCGGGCGTGGTGGCGGGCGCCTGTAGTCCCAGCTACCTGGGAGGCTGAGGCAGGAGAATCGCTTGAACCCGGGAGGCGGAGGTTGCAGTGAGCCGAGATCGCGCCACTGCACTCCGGCCTGGTGACAGAGCGAGACTCCATCTCAAAAAAAATGAAATAAAATAAAATGACAGTAAAACAAAATAACATGACACACCGAATATCAGGTTAAAACTAGAAAGTTGGGGCAACGATTCAGGTGCTTGGCCTCTGTCTCCAAATCTGGTTGCAGCTATAGACAACGTCTAAATTTTTTTGCCTGTGTTTTCAGCCAGACAAACGTTTGCCTTCCTGTTCCCTCCAGGGGGAGAGCGCTCGATTGACTTTATTTTCATCTCGATGAATGATTGCATGTATTCTGCACCTCCCTTCCCGCCCAGACCTACCTTATCATAGACGGTGTGCGTGACTGAACACGATCATTTCAGCTCCTAGCCTTGAAATAAAACGCCGCTTGCCGACGGACGTCTGCAATGATGATGTAATTTCAGCCTTGTTGTTCCAGGAAAGCTTTGTCCCTGAATCACCTAAAACAAACAAACAAAAAAAGGTGGGTTGTCGGGGAAGGAGACCCGTGGTGTCTACATTCATATCTATCTCACTCTATCTACCAGGCGGATTTGCATTTGGGGACATTTGCCCCCACCCCGAGTCCCCGGTTCACAAAGGCAACGGTACGTGTAATCTTCTGAGTTGACAATGATGTATGGCTCCGGAGAAACGCACTATTCAGAAATTATCATGGAACAGACACTCCCCCACCCTCTACATTACTTCTTACGTCAACAAATGCACCGCCGTTTCTCCAGAGGCCGCCAAACTTGCGGCCACCTCGTTCTACAAGGAGGCGAGCCAGCCAGACTCATGGTGGCGAGCGAGAAAACGCCGTTCCCGGGGGCTTAGAGGTTCTCCTTTGCACAAAGCCTGGGAGTTTTGTTAGTGACTTCAGAGTCAGGTCCCGTACCAACAACACCGTCCGATCTAGACGGCATCCTCCTGGTGGGAAATTGCCTTATTTCTCCCTCTTAAGCAAGTGATTTGAATTAGGATTTGTTTTTCTTTCTGTCTTTCTTTCTTTCTTTCTTTCTTTCTTTCTCTCTCTCTTTCTCTCTTCTTTTCCTTTCTTTCTCTTTCCTTCTTTCTTTCTTCCTGATCTCTCCCTCTTAAGCAACTGATTTGAATTAGAATTGGTTTTTTCTTTTCTTCTTTCTCTTTCCTTTCTTCCTTCTCTCTCTCTCTTTCTTTCTTTCCTCCTTCTTTCTTTGTGCATTTGCAGTTGGCTACTTGTTACTACTTGTCCAAACAGCTGGGGAACCTGGCCGGGCATGGTGGCTCACACCTGTCACCCCAGCACTTTAGTTGGGAACTTCCTGATCTCTCCCTCTTAAGCAACTGATTTGAATTAGAATCTTCCTTCCTTCTTTCTTTCCTCCCTCCCTTCCCTCCTTCCTTCCTCCCTCCCTCTCCTTCCTTCCTCCCTCCCTTCCCTCCTTCCTTCCTCCCTCTCCTTCCTTCCTCCATCTCCTTCCTTCCTCTCCTTCCTCCCTCCCTCTCCTTCCTCCCTCTCCTTCCTCCGTCTCCTTCCTTCCTTCCTCCCTCCCTCTCCTTCCTTCCTCCCTCTCCTTCCTCCCTGTCTCCTTCCTTCTTTCCTTCCTCCCTCTCCTTCCTTCCTCCCTCTCCTTCCTTCCTCCGTCTCCTTCCTCCCTCCCTCTCCTTCCTCCCTCCCTCTCCTTCCTCCCTCCCTCTCCTTCCTTCCTCCCTCTCCTTCCTCCCTGTCTCCTTCCTCCCTCTCCTTCCTTCCTCCCTCTCCTTCCTTCCTCCCTCTCCTTCCTCCGTCTCCTTCCTTCCTTCCTCCCTCCCTCTCCTTCCTCCCTCCCTCTCCTTCCTCCGTCTCCTTCCTTCCTTCCTCCCTCCCTCTCCTTCCTCCCTCCCTCTCCTTCCTCCGTCTCCTTCCTTCCTTCCTCCCTCCCTCTCCTTCCTTCCTCCCTCTCCTTCCTCCCTCTGTCTCCTTCCTTCTTTCCTTCCTCCCTCTCCTTCCTTCCTCCCTCTCCTTCCTCCGTCTCCTTCCTTCTTTCCTTCCTCCCTCTCCTTCCTTCCTTCTTTCCTTCCTTCCTTCCCTCCCTCCCTCTCCTTCCTTCCTCCCTCCCTCCCTCCTTCTCTCTCTCTCTTTCTCTCTTTCTTTTTTTTTTCTTTCTGCAGTTGCAGTAAGCTTTTCTGGATTTGCAGAAACTATAGGCCGGCCGTATGCATCCGGCATACAGCTTATGTTATGGACAGTATGTTAGCACTTGTCCAACCTGGCCGGGCACGGTGGCTCACAGCTGTCACCACAGCACTTTGGAAGCTGGGAAGAGTGCTTGAGCCTAGGGGTTCCCAACCAGGCCAGGCAACATAGTGAGACTCCCCTTCTAGGCAAAAAATTAAAAAATTAGCTGGGCATGGTGGTGTACACCGGTAGTCCCAGTGACTCAGGAGGCTAAAACGGGAGGATTGCTTGAGCCTGAGAGGTTGAGGCTGCAGTGAGCTATGATCCTGCCACTGCACTCCAGCCTGGGCAATAGAGCAAGACCCTGTCTCTTAATAATAATAATCATTAGTATTATACTTCCCAGGGAGTATATTATTACTACTATATTATAAAATAGATACCATATTATAATGTATAATATAATACATAAATATATATTATTATGTATTAAATATTATATATCATTATATATTAAATACAATACATAAATGTTATATAATATAATGTAAATGTTATATAAAATATAATAAATATATTAATATATTAATATAATTACATATTAATCATATAATGTTTTATATTATATATTAACATAGTAAAATATGTAATTATATTATATATAATATATTAATTATAATATATTAATTAATAATATGCGATTATTATTATATATTGGCCAAACGCAGTGGCTAACACCTGTAATCTCAGCACTTTGGGAGGCTGAGGCAGGCGGATCACCTGAGGTCAGGAGTTTGAGACCAGCCTGACCAACATGGAGAAACTCTGTCTCTACTAAAAATACAAAATTAGCCGGGTGTGATGGCGCATGCCTGTCATCCCAGCTACTCCGGAGGCTGAGGCAGGAGAATCGCTTGAACCCGGGAAGCAGAGGTTGTGGTGAGCTGAGATCGCTCCCCTGCACTCCAACCTGGGCAACAAGAGCGAAACTCCGTCTCAAAAAACATATATATACATAATTATATATTAATATAATTATTATTGTAGTAATATCACATAATATATAATTATTTTATTATTATAGAATTTTTATTACAAATTATATTATAAAATTATTTTATTAATTATATTATTACATAATTATTTTATTAATTATTATGGAATTTTTATTACAAGTTATATTTATTATAAAATTATTTATTATAAAATTTATAAAATTTATTATAAATTATTTTATTAATTATATTATTATATAATTATTTTATTACTATAGAATATTTTGTTATACGTTATATTTATACAATTATTTTATTAATTATTAAAAATAATATTTTATTAATTATTAAAATATTTTATTTATTATAAAGCAATATTTTATTATTATAAAATAGTATTTATTATTATAAAATAATATTTTATTAATTATAAAATATAATTATATTATTATTATACAAAATAGCAGGGGAAGGCAAGGATATTTAAGGGTGTTTTATGTGGTACAATGAGTCTCCAAAACACACAGCCACCTCCAGGATACGAAGCTCCCACCTCCAGCCCCCCGGAGTGCCCAGAGCCGCCCTCTTCCCGGACAATTGTCCCACAGACGCCATGAGAGAGACGGCACCAGCTTCTCCGGATCAAGGCGCCTTAACTTTCTATAACTCTCTAATCATTCGGAAGATTCCCAAACAGCAGTGTCAGAGGTGTTGGAAGTAAAGCAACTCCACTTTCAACAGGGGCTGGGTAAAATGAGGCTGAGACCTTCTGGGCTGCATTCTCAGAAGGTTCAGATTTTTTTTTTTCTTTTTTTTAAGACAGAGTCTCGCTCTCTCACCCAGGCTAGAGTGCAGTGGTGCAATCTCAGCTCCACTGCAAGCTCCGCCTCCCGGGTTCAAGCGATTCTCCTGCCTCAGCCTCCTGAGTAGCTGGGATTACAGGCACGCGCCACCACACGCCCGGCTAATTTTTGTATTTTTATTACAGACGGGGTTTCACCGTGCTGGCCAGGCTGGTCTTGAACTCCTGACCTCGTGATCCACCCACCTTGGCCTCCCAAAGTTCTGGGATTGCAGGTGCGAGCCTCCACGCCCGGCTAATTTTGTATTTTTAGTAGAGACGGGGTTTCGCCATGTTGGTCAGGCTGGTCTCAAACTCCCGACCTCAGGTGATCCGCCCGCCTTGGCCTCCGAAAGTTCTGGGATTACAGGCATGCACCTCCACGCCTGGCTAATTTTGTATTTTTAGTAGAGACGGGGTCTCGCTATGTTGGTCAGGCTGATCTGGAACTCCCAACCTCAGGTGATCCACCTGCCTCGGCCTCCCCAGGTTAAGGCATTCTAACCTACAGGTTGAGATAGGAGGTTGGCACAAGACAGAGGTCATAAAGAGTTGCTGATAAAACAGCTCGCAGTGAAGAAGCCGGCCAAATCCCGCCAAAACCAAGATGGCAACGAAAGTGACCTCAGGTTGTCCTCACCGCACTAATTGTACCTTACACTAACTGTAATTCATTTGCTGCTAAAAGACACTCCCACCAGCACCAGGACCATTTACAGATGTCATAGCCACGCAGGAAGTTACCCTGTATGTCCTAAAAACAGGAGGCATGAGGCCGGGCGCGGTGGCTCACGCCTGTCATCCCAGGCTGGTCTCGAACTCCTGACCTCAGGTCATCCACCCTCTTCAGCCTCCCAAATACCTTGTTTATTAAAAGGCATCTTTGGGCCGGGCACGGTGGCTCACGCTTGTCATCCCAGCACTTTAGGAGGCCGAGGCGGGCGGATCACGAGGTCAGGAGATCGAGACCATCCTGGCTAACACGGTGAAACCCCGTCTCTACTAAAAATACAAAAAATTAGCCGGGCGTGGTGGTGGGTGCCTGCAGTCCCAGCTACTCGGGAGGCTGAGGCAGGAGAATCGCTTGAACCCGAGAGGCGGAGGTTGCAGTGAGCCAAGATCGCACCATTGCACTCCAGCCTGGGTGACAGAGCAAGACTCTGTCTCAAAAAAAATAAATAAATAAAATAAAATTTAAGAAGCAGATAAATAAGTGACTAGAGCCCCGCCTGGTTTCAGCTCATCTCCAAAGATGACCAAAGGAGGGATGAGTTATTTTCCCAGCATGGTCCTCAGAGACCCCTCTCCTGCACCCCAGGGACTCGAGAAGTCAAGGCTTGGTTTCCCGCTGTTCTCACCAAAAATAACCCGATCCCCTAACCTCCCTTTGAAATACCGGAAAAAAAAAATCAGGACGGCTCACGGAGGCAACACTGCTACACAGATACCTTCTTTGGAGCGAGGATGAATTTTAAATGATCACAAGAAAAAGAGATGTTTCATGAGAGAGATGCCAGGCACAGCCCGTGGCCCCCTGGGATCACCAAAAATCTGGTACTGGGGGATCGCCACCGTCTCAGGAAGGGGGCTGCAAGCATCCCAGGCAGGAGGGGACGGAGAGTGATGAGCTTTGCACCGATGGAAATAAAAATAGAACACTGTGTTATGGAGAGAATGACAAGTTAAATGACAAGCATTTAACCGTCTCTGTGCGCAGAAATGCGGACGGCTGCAGAAATGCAATAGAGGATTTTCTCCTGTTGCTTCCAAGTGAATGAGGGCCTGGGGACCATCCTGTACCCGTCTGCCTGTGCTCCGGAAGGCTGGATGCTTCGGGAAGGAGGCCAGGAGGCAGGACCAGCCGGAGACCGGGTCTGCACCTGTCACGGGTGAGCAGCGTTTGCTGGCTCGGGCAGACGGGGTTTCACCTGTAATGCCCAACCTCCTTTTTACTAACCCTGTTTTTAGACTCTCCCTTTTCCTTCAATCACCTAGCCTTGTTTCCACCTGAATGGACTCACCCTTAGCTAAGAGAACCAGACAGACTCCATCATGGCTCTTTCACTGGCAGCCCCTTCCTCAAGGACTGAACTCGTGCAAGCTGACTCCCAGCACATCCAAGAATGCAATTAACTGATAAGATACTGTGGCGAGCTATATCCGCAATTCCCAGGAATTCGTCTGATTACTAACGCCCGAAGCCCTGCGTCTATCACCTTGTAATAGTCTTAAAGGCCCTGCACCTGTTTACTTCCCTGTAACCATTTATCCTTTTAACTTTTTTGCCTACTTTATTTCTGTAAAATGGTTTTCGCTAGATCCCCCTCCCCTTTCTAAACCAAAGTATAAAAAAAAAATCTAGCCCCTTCTTCGGGGCCGAGAGAACTTTGAGCGTTAGCCGTCTCTTGGCCGCCGGCTAAATAAACGGACTCTTAATTCGTCTCAAAGTGTGGCGTTTTCTCTAACTCGCTCCAGGTACAACACGGGAACATCCTTTACCCAACTGATGCCTGTGCAGACGTCGCTAACAAATGCTGCTCACCTGTGACAGGTGCAGACCGGTGTCCGGCTGGCTGGACGTCTGGACATCTGGACGTCTGGAGGGCGGCCGGCCGGTCCTGCCTCCTGACCTCCTTCCCCAAGCATCCAGCCTTCCGGAGCTTCTCCGTGCCCTCCCCTTCCTTCTTTCTTTCCTCCTGTACATTGCCTAGAAATCGCCAGAAAGCTGCCACCGCGTCTACAGAAACAAAAACATTATCTTCGGGAGCACGCTGGGTGCATTTAAACCGACCCCACTGCCTTCTTCTAAACTGGGATCTGGAAGGAATGCTGAAGGATCTGGAAGGAATGCTGAAGGATCTGGAAGGAATGCTGAAGGATCTGGAAGGAATGCTGAAGGATCTGGAAGGAATGCTGAAGGATCTGGAAGGAATGCTCAGCATCCTATGGATTTTTTTTTTTTTTTTGGCTCTTTTTCCTTCTAAGATGACAGTGAGGCTGTTAAGCATAATAATTGTCCCTGAGTGAGTCACCCTCGCTGTTCCGCTTTTGCCTCCAAGGCAGGCTCTCCGCCCCCCGCAGAGGTCAGGGGTCACGTCTGCTAAATCACGCAATATCCCCGAATCCCAGGCGAATGAGGCCCTTCACAAACTGCTGCTGGTGATTAAACCAGCCCGGCATGAAACGCGGGCTCTAAATTGCGATTATTTGAATGATGGATGGCGTGTCTAACGAGACCATTATTGCCACGAGTGACCTTCTGGGCTGAAGACGGTTTCGATATAAGCAACACTCTCACGCGGCCGGGGTGATGGCCGTGTGCACCTGTGTGTGCGTGCCCGCGTGTGCACGTGTGTGTGTGTGATGCGTGCACCTGTGTGTGTCCTCGCTCTCTCTAGAGCTTGTCTCCGATTCTTTGAACTGCCACACAGGCAATGCCACCCTCACTGGATGTGTCATCCGAGCAGTCCCCTTAATGAGACCATTTTCATACACCTGGGCTGAAAGTGCCCCACGCCTAAAATACTCACGGGGTGAAACTTGAGTTCCCGTGCGTGCGTGTCCTCGTCCTCCATGGTAGGGAAAAAGAAAAAGGAATGGGAGAGAAAAGGGGTGTCTCCGGGAAGCCACTCACACATGCAGATGTAATTAAGTTGAGGATCTTGAGGTGAGATCATCCTGGATTAGGTGAGCTCTAAATGCAATGACAGGTGTCCTTGTAAGAGACAGAAGAGGACACACAGACACAGAGGAGAAGTCCACGTGGAGACGGAGGCAGAGACTGGAGTGATGCGGCCACAAGCCCAGGGACACCTGGAGCCCCCAGGAGCTGGGAGAGGCAGGAAGGATCCTGCCCTAGAACCTCTACAAGGAAGTGGATACAATTGTAATGGATTGAACAGTGGCCCCCAGAAAGATCTGTCCACATCCTAAAGCCCAGAACCTAGAATGAGATATCGTTTGGAAATAGGGTCTCTGCAAATGTGATTAAGTGAAGGATCTTGAGATGAGATGATCATGAATGAGGGTGGACCCTAAATGCAATGACAGGTGACTTTCTAAGAGACAGAAGAGGAGACACAGACACAGAGGAGAAGTCCACGTGGAGACGGAGGCAGAGACTGGAGTGAGGCGGCCACAAGCCCAGGGATGCCTGGAGCCCCCAGGAGCTGGGAGAGGCAGGAAGGACCCTCCCCTAGAACCTCCAGAAGGAACTGGATACAATCGGAATGGGTTGAACCATAGTCTCCCCGAAAAGCTATGTCTACATCCTAACTCCCTCAACCCATGAATGGAATCTTATTCGGATATGAGGTCTTTACAGATGTAACTAAGTCAAGGATTTCGAAATGAGATGATCCTGGATTAGGTGAGTCCTAAATCCATTGACAGGTGTCCTTCTAAGAGACAGAAGAGGAGACACAGACACAGAGGAGAAGGCCACGTGGAGAACAGAGGCAGAGACTGGAGTGATGCGGCCACAAGCCCAGGAAGCCTGGAGCCCCCAGGAGCTGGGAGAGGCAGGAAGGACCCTCCCCTAGGGCCTCTGGAGGGAGCTCAGCCCTGAGACCGCTTCATCTCAGACTCCTGGTCTGCAGGACTGGGAGAGGATAAATTTCTGTTGTTTTAAGCTCCCAGTATCTGTGAATGAGAACTTATTTGAAAATAGGGTCTTTGCAGACACAGTTAACTCAAGAAGTTTGAGATGAGGTCATCCTGGAGTAGGCTGGGCCCTAAATGCAATGGCAGGTGTCCTTGTAAGAGACAGAAGAGAAGACACAGACACAGAGAAGAAGGCCACGTGGAGAACGGAGGCAGAGACTGGAGTGACGCGGCCACAAGCCCAGGAAGCCTGGAGCCCCCGGGAGCTGGGAGAGGCAGGAAGGACCCTCCCCTAGAACCTCTGGAGGGACTGTGGTCCTGCCTACACCTTGATCTCAGACTCCTGGACACCGGGACTGGGAGAAAACAAGTTGCTGTTGTTAGAAGCCCAGAAACTCCTACAATACAGGGCCCAAGACCACTCCTTTCCTTCCCCCTCTTCCCCAGGAGCCTGTCCCTACCAAAAAAAAAAAAAAAAAAAAATTAGCCAGGCGTGGTGGTGCATGCCTGTGCTCCCAGCTACTCGGGAGGCTGAGGCAGGAGGATTGCTTGAGCCCAGGAGTTGGAGTCTCACTGGGTGACAGAGCAAGACTTCGTGTCTACAAAAATAAAAATAAATCAATGAAACACACAAGAGGACAGAAACACAGGAAACGCGTGACGTAGAAAGCACGTAGAAAATAAATAACAAACTGGGAGACTGAAGTCCCTCCTAAAATCCTCATAAGCCAGCCAAAAGGAAGAAAATTTGGCGCTTGCTACAACAAACGTGAGTCTTGGAGCAGTGACGAAGCCAGACACAGAAAGATAAACACTGTGGGGCCGGGCGCCGTGGCTCACGCCTGTAATCCCAGCACTTTGGGAGGCCGAGGCAGGCGGATCATGAGGTCAGGAGATCGAGACCATCTCGGCTAACACGGTGAAAGCCCGTCTCTACTAAAAATACAAAAAAATTAACCAGATGTGGTGGCGGGCGCCTGTAGTCCCAGCTACTCGGGAGGCTGAGGCAGGAGAATGGCGTGAACCCGGGAGGCGGAGCTTGCAGTGAGCCGAGATCGCGCCACTGCACTCCAGCCTGGGCGACAGAGCAAGACTCCATCTCAAAAAAAAAAAAAAAAAAAAAAAAAAAGATACACACTGTGGGATTCCATTTACAGGAGGTCCCTGGAGTCCTCAGAGTCATGGAGATGGAGAGGAGGTTGATGGCAGCCGGGGAAAGGGAGTGAGTGTGTAAGGGGAACAGGGTTTCTGTTTGGGAAGATGAGAAACTTCTGGAGATACGGATGGTGGTGATGGCTGCAGAAGCCAACTGCAGTTCAAACTGCTGTGTACATTTACACACGGTGAATGCCGGCCGGGCACGGTGGCTCACGCCTGTCATCCCAGCACTTTGGGAGGCTGAGGCAGGTGGATCACCTGAGGTCAGGAGTTCAAGACCAGCCTCACCAACATGGGGAAACCCGGTCTCTACTAAAAATACAAAAAATTAGCCGGGCGTGGTGGCGGGCGCCTGTAATCTCAGCTACTCGGGAGACTGAGGCAGGAGAATCGCTTGAACCCAAGAGGCAGAGTTTGCAGTGAGCCGAGATCATGCCATTGCACTCCAACCTGGGCGACAAGAGTGAAACTCTGTCTTAAAACAAAATACATGGTTAATGCTCTAGACTTTGTGTTATGTGCGTTTTACCACAATTTGAAAAACACTGGAGGCCGGGCACAGTGGCTCACGCCTGTCATCCCAGCACTTTGGGAGGCTGAAGCAGGCGGATCACCTGAAGTCACCCATCGAAGACCAGCCTGGCCAACATGGTGAAACTCCATCTGTACTAAAACACTGGGGGGAAAGTGTCAGGAAGCGGCAGGTTAAGGAAAGGAAATGGTACGATTTTCTGGCCGGAAACGGGGAAAGGGGTCGGGAAGCGGCAGTCGAAGGAAAGGAAATGGTACGATTTTCTGGCTGGAAATGGGGGTGCTGTGTAGCTGTCACCTCTGGGTAAACAGCTCCTGACACGTGTTCAATAGGATTACGTTAAAACAAGTGGGTCGTGATTGATAACCTAATATCCAGACCGTGCGGATCATCTATCACCAGGAGTATATTAATTATTCAGAGGAGGTCCCTTATCTAGGTGTTAAGCCCTGGATGGATTAGATATTTGTTAGCATTAGGATAGCATCCTAATGCAATCCCACTCCTTGGCCCGCAACCCACTGACAGGCCCCGGTGTGTGATGTTCCCCTCCCTGCGTCCCTGTGTTCTCATCGTTCAGCTCCCACTTAGGAGTGAGAACATGCGGTGTGTGGTTTTCTGTTCCTGTGCGAGTTTGCTGAGAATGATGGTTTCCAGCTTCATCCATGTCCCTGCAAAGGACATGAACCCATCCTTTTTCGTGGCTGCATAGTATTCCATGGTGTCTGTGTGCCACATTCTCTGTATCCAGTCTATCATTGATGGGCATTTGGGTTGGTTCCAAGTCTTTGCTGTTGTGAACAGTGCCTCAATAAACATACGTGTGCATGTGTCTTTATGGTAGAGTGATTTATAATCCTTTGGGTATATACCCAGTAACGGGATGGCTGGGTCAAACGGTATTTCTAGTTCTACATCCTTGAGGAATCGCCACGCTGTCTTCCACAATGGTTGAACTAATTTATTTACACGTACTCCGATTTGCCTTAGATAAAGCTACAGGATAGCCAGGCAGGAAAAAGCACATACACATCAGCCCAGAAGGACTCGCCTAGATCGTTTTTATGTTAAACAAAGCAAAAGTAATAATAATAATAAAATTAAAATAATAAAGGAGACAGACTTTGTGGTTGCAAATCTGTCTGAATGTTTCTTGGGTGTTATTTTTTCCCCATCCCCGCCCCCCTCCAATTTATTGCTGAAATCAGCCGGTTAAATGGTGGCTCAAGAAGTCAGGCTCTCTCTGGTATCCAATTATCTCCTCCTTTCCTAACCAGAAACAACAGGTGTCCACCAGGTCTGCAAACAGCGTAGAAAAAAAAAAATACATATCCAGTCGTTTAAAAATTGTAAATCTATGCCGTATGAATTTAAACCAGACGTGCTTCAGCTGAGGGGCAGGCTGAGTTCCAGCCAACGGTTTCGAGCAGGAAGGGCAAGAAATAGCTCTCATTATATTTCCTTAGCTGACTGTTATTCCAGGAAACCTTTGCTTAAAGGTGCCGGTGCCCAGTTAATGATAGTTGCCTTCCCCAAAGTCAAAGCTATTTTGTGAAAAGGAGTGTATGACACTATTTGCTAGCATTTAGGAGACCTGCATTATTTAGAATTGAATCTTCAAGAGAGGAACAGACTGCAGACATAAACATCCTCATTATTTTGAATCCGAGTCATCTTCCACAGCCACAAAAAAAAAAAAAAAAAAATTATTAAAGCAAACCTTTTAGGGATCGTTGGTCTGTGATTCATTTGGATTATTATTTTTTTTTCCAGCTTCCTTTCTTTTCCTTAAAATCTCACAGACACTCGGAGCTCTGGATAAACGCCGGCTTACGGGTGGCGCACGGTATTTTAGCTGCATTGGACATTATTTATTTTCCGTGAAAACCCTGTGCTTTCAACACAGTTCACCGAATATGCAGCTCTCCTCATTCCATCCGCTGCCAGTGCTTATCCTAGTTTCTGAGAACATTAAAATGAATGCAAACCTCTCTGCCCCTGCCATCTGGGCCCATTCAGCCCTCACCGGGGCCCGTGTGTTCATCACACCTGCTGCCCATAGCTGGAAAGTTGGCGGTAGGTCTTCTGAAATACGTGTGTCAGGATTAAAGTTATCCATTCAACCCCACTGCCGCCCTCTGGAAGGGAAGATGCCTCTTTCACGCCCCCACTCACCTCCAGCTCTGGGCTAAGGGGGTGACCCTATGAGGCAAGGAAGCCACTTTGGGGATGCTCTGAGCCCTGGTCCCCCTCATTCCCCGAATGCCACCTCCCGGGTACCTGGTGGAGACGTTCGCATGATGTGGGACTTTCCAGGTACCGCATAAGAGAAGGTGCTGGCCAGGAGCGGCGGCTCACACCTGTAATCCCAGCATTTTGGGGAGGCTGAGACAGGAGGATCGCTGGAGACCAGGAGGTCGAAGCAACCGTGAGCTGTGATCACACCAGGGTACTCCAGCCCAGGTGACAGAGCAAGACCCTGTTTAAAAATATATATATTTATATATTTGTATGTATATATAACATTAAAACATTATATGTATATAGCATTAAAATGTTATATATGTCATATATAAATATAAAACATTTATATATAACATTAAAACCTTATATATATAACATTAAAACCATATATATATATATATTTTTTTTTTTACAGATAGTTGTTATTTCAGACCTTGTCTCAAAAACAAAAAAAGAGGCCAGGCATGGTGGCTCACGCCTGTAATCTCAGCACTTTGGGAGGCCGAGGAGTGAGGATCACTTGAGCCCAGGAATTCAAGACCAGCCTGGGCAACATAGTGAGACCCTGTATGTACCAAAAGAAATCAAAAACTTAGCTGGGCGTGATGGTGCATGTCTGTAATCCCACATACTTAGAAGGCTGAGGTGGGAGGATCGCTTGAGCCTGGGAAGTTGAGGCTGCAGTGAGCTATGATTACACCACTGCACTCCAGCCTGGGCAACATAGTGAGGCCTGATCTCCACAAAAGATCAAAAACTTAGCCGGGCGTGGTGGCGCACACATGTAGTCCCAGCTACTTGGGAGGCTGAGGCAGGAGGATCGCTTGAGCCTGGGAAGTTGAGGCTGCAGTGAGCTATGATTACACTGATGCACTCCAGCCTGGGCAACATAGTGAGGTCTCATCTATACAAAAGATCAAAAAATTAGCCAGGCATGGTGGTGCACACATGTAATCCCAGCTCCTTGGGAGGCTGAGGCAGGAGGATCGCTTGAGCCTGGGAAGTTGAGGCTGCAGTGAGCTATGATTACACTGTTGCACTCCAGCCTGGGCAACACAGTGAGATCCTATCTCAAAAAAAAGAAAAAAGACAAAACAAAAAACACAACATTTTTTAAAAGAGAAGATGCTGTTTCAGGACACGGTAGTCTCCGCTCACTTAGGCATATCTGGGACCGGGTATATCTGTGAGCAGGTTTGTGTGAAGTCATTTTCCAAAGACAATACACCAATTTCCGAAAGGAAGCAGTGAGCCGTAGCAGCTCAGGAACCCCAGACTGGGTTCACCTTCCTATATAGCTCCGTGGGGAGGGATCCCGTCTAGCGTCCTAGGCGTTCGTAGGGTACAGACCGCAGACACAGAGGGAAGGCGGGGGCCGTAGGAGGGCCGGGATTGTGTTGTTTTTCACTGCAATGACATAAAACGTATTATATGAAATTCACCATAAATTTCACAACATAAAACTCACCACTTTAACCGCCGTGAAAATCTCAGTGGCATTGAGAACATCACTGCGCCGTGTAACCACCCCCTCTGTCTACTTCCAGAACATCCTTCTCCCCATAAAAGGAGACCCCCTCCCCAGGAAGCAGTTCCTCCTCATTCCCTCCCCACAGCCTGTGGCAACCACTCATCTGAGCTCTCTCTCTGTGCATTGGCCGCTTCCGGACAGTTGACGTAAGGGGATTGTACAATAAGCCAAAGGAAATATCGCTGAGTGTGACTTCTTCAGGGTGTATCCACGTTGCAGCCTAGGTCACAGCCTCATTCTTTTTCATGGCTGTATAGTACTCCACTGGGTGGGCACAAAGTGAGTGAACCACTGTTTGTTTATCGATTCATCCACTGAGGGACACCTGGATGGTTTCCATGTGTGTGCTCCTACAAACGTGAGCGAGCAGATATCTCTTCCAGTCCCTCTTTCTTTTTTTTGAGACGGAGTTTCACTCTTGTTGCCCAGGATGGAGTGAAATGGCGCCATCTCGGCTCACCACAACGTCCGCCTCCCGGGTTCAAGGGATTCTCTTGCCTCAGCCTCCTCAGTAGCTGAAATTACAGGCAGGCACCTCCACGCCCTTGGCTAATTTTGTATGTTTAGTAGAGACGGGGTTTCTCCATGTTGGTCAGGCTGGTCTCCAACTCCCGACCTGAGGTGATCCACCTGCCTCGGCCTCCCAAAGTGCTGGGATTACAGGCGTGAGTCACTGTTCCCGGCCCCTCCTTTCTATTCTTTTAGGTACATACTTAGCTGGGGTATTACTGGGTTCTATGGAAATTCTCTGTTTCACACTTTCAGGAGCCCCTGTGGTCCCATGAAAGCCAGATAAGAATCAACAGGCCCGGCACAGCGGCTCACGCCTGTAATCCCAGCACTTTGGGAGGCCAAGGCAGGTGGATCACCTGAGGTCAGGAGTTCGAGACCAGCCTGGCCAACAGGGTGAAACCCCATCTCTACTAAAAATACAAAATTTACAAGTGGTGGCGGGTGCCTGTAATCCCAGCTACTCCGGAGGCTGAGGCAGGAGAATGGCTTGAACCTGGGAGGCGGAGGTTGTGGTGAGCAGAGATCGCGCCATTGCTGTCCAGCCTAAGGGACAAGAGCGAAACTCCATCTCAAAAAAAAAAAAAGAAAAAATCTACATCCACAGGACCCCGGCACTGGGGCAGGGCAGGAAGGAGGGGCAACAGCAGGTCTTGGCGGGGCTCCTGGCTGCTCACATGTGGTGAGCCGGTCTCAAGGCCAGGCTGGAGGCTCTGAAGGAGGTTTCAGCTGACCTCAAGGACTAGCAGCTCCTTCCCCTCTTACTAACACACAGGCATTCATTTACCAGAATGAATACTGGAGATAAATTTTCCAGCCTGGGGGGTGGAGGGAACAGCTGTTTTTTGCTGCCCCATTTCACATAAAGCAAAACACTACATGAGGCCCACGCTATTCCCACGAGCCTCTCCCCATTTGCTTTCTGATGGCCTAACTTTCCATCCAGCCTTGGTGTCTGGGGAGCTTCAAGATTCCAGAACCCGGCTGGGCGCGGAGGCTCACGCCTGTAACCCCAACACTTTGGGAGACCGAGGCGGGAAGATCACCTGAGGTCGCGAGTTCGAGACCAGCCTGGCCAACGTGGTGAAATCCCGTCTCTACTAAAAATACAAACATTAGCCGGGTGTGGTGGCTCATGCCTGTAATTCCAGCTACTCGGGAGGCTGAGGCAGGAGAATGGCTTGAACCCGGGAGGTGGAGGTTGGAGTGAGCTGAGTTGGCACCATTGCACTCCAGCCTGGGCAACAAGAGCAAAATTCCATCTAAAAAAAAAAAAAAAAAGGATTCCAGAACCTTCCTCCCAAACAAGGAAGGTGGGAAAGAAACCCAGGCCGTCCCTGACAACTTTCTGAGCATGAACAAGTCAGAAACAGAACTTGGGGGGGCTGAGGTCTATGGAGCCTGGAGGAGGGCTACACCCCAATTCCCGATCCTACCCCAAAGGTCACCCCAGCAGCCACATCATTTTTAGCCCTAGGTTTGAATAACTACATAAATATGGTTTGTAAAAATGAATAGGTGTTATTTGTGATAATAATCCCAGGCAGGGCACGGTGGCTCATGCCTGTCATCCCAGCAGTTTGGGAGGCCAAGGCAGGTGGATCACTAGAGGTCAGGAGTTCGAGACCAGCCAGACCAACATGGTGAAATTCCATCTCTACTCAAAATACAAAAGTAGCCAGGTGCGGTGGCTCACACCTCTCATCCCAGCACTTCGGGAGGCTGAGGTGGGTGGATCATGAGATCAGGAGTTCGAGACCAGCCTGACCAACATGGAGAAACCCCGTCTCTACTAAAAATACAAAATTAGCCGGGCGTGGTGGCGGGCGCCTGTAATCCCAGCTCCTCGGGAGGCTGAGGCAGGAGGATCGCTTGAACCCGGGAGGCGGAGTTTGCGGTGAGCCGAGCTCATGCCACTGCACTCCAGCCTGGGCGACAGCGCGAGACTCCATCTCAAAAGTAGATAAATATATAATCCCAGCACTTTGGGAGGCTGATGTGGGAGGATCACTTGAGCCCAAGGGTTTGAGACCAGCCTGGTTTGCAATATAGTGAGACCCCCATCTCTACAAAACATTAAAATATATATATATATATATATATATATATATATATATATATAGCCAGGTATGGGCCCGGCGTGGTGGCTCACGCCTATAATCCCAGCACTTTGGGAGGCCGAGGCAGGTGGATCACCTGAGGTCAGGAGTTCGAGTCCAGCGTGGCCAGCTTGGTGAAACCCTGTCTCTACTGAAAATACAAAAATTAGCCAGACGTGGTGGCGGGTGCCTGTCATCCCAGCTACTCGGGAGGCTGACACAGGAGAATCGCTTGAACCTGGGAGGCGGAGGTTGTGGTAAGCCAAGATCACACCGCTGCTCTCCAGCCTGGGTGACTGACCCTGCCTCCAAAAAAAAAAAAATAGACAGGCATGGTGGCATGCACCTGTAGTCCCAGCTAGTTGGGAGGCTGAGGAGGGAAGATTTCTTGAGCCTGGAAGATCAAGGCTGCAGTGAGCTATGATTGCACCACTGCCCTCCAGCATGGGCGACAGACCAAGAAGCTGTCTCAAATAAATAAAATCATAAAATGAAAATAAATATTGCTAATACATAATGCAATGGTCCACAAGGTCGCTGGCCTGTGGATTGTGAGCAGAACGGCCTGTCTTTGCGTTCAGAACCTCACACTTACACACCCCTGCTCCCGGCCTCTGTGTCCCTCTGTCTCTGACACACACAGACACACACACACACACACACACACAAAGTATGTGATACTTTCTCCTGTCAATCTCAGAGAACTCCAATGAGACTGTAGGAAACGTGAACACATACGTGATCAATTCTGACAGTTCTTGGCAGCCGGGCAGCTGAGCCCTGGCTAGCATCTCTCTCTCCCCATCCAAGATTGAGTTTGGACGGAAACTCAGTCCTCATTTAAGAAGCAATTAAAGGGCCTTATAGACTGCTGGAGAATGAAGTGATTAATGCAAAGAGTCTCGTTTAATAGGGATATTAAGTAAACTGCTGCTTAAAACGCCCATTTATCATCCACGGATTCCTATTTGCCTTCCCGTTCCGCCAGCATGAGCATTTTCAGGAGGCAGGAGGTTTCCTGAGCGCGGCCGTTGCAAATGCCAGAAATCAAGCCGGTGGGTTTTTAGCTAATTCTGAGGGAGGCTAAACGGAACCCATAGCACGAGAAGGGGGTTGCCATGAGAGTTCGTGACAACTTCGAGATGCAGAGAACACACAGGATGTCGGCAAGGGAGTCCGGCCCCAGCTGCCCGCCGGGGAACACAGGGCGTACCACACCCCCAAATCCCTTTCCCCAAACACTGTGGGGACCCAGACGGGTGGCTGCTAATTCTGAAAATCGCGTGAATGTTGGCCGGTGTGGTGGCTCACGTCCGCGATCCCAGCACTTTGGGAGGCCGAGGCGGGAGGATCACTTGAGGTCAGGAGTTGGAGACCAGCCTGACTCACATGGTGAAACCCCACCTCTACTGAAAATACAAAAAAAAATTAGGCAGGTGTGGTGGCGGGGGCCTGTCATCCCAGCTGCTCGGGAGGCTGAGGCAGGAGAATCGCTTGAATCCAGGAGGTGGAGGTTGCGGTGAGCCGAGATCGTGCCATTGCACTCCAGCCTGGGCGACAGAGTAAGACTCAGTCTCAGAAAAAAAAAAAGGCCAGGTGTGGAGGCTCATGCCTGTAATCCCAGCACTTTGGGAGGCCAAGGCAGGCGGATCACCAGGTCAGGAGTTTGAGACCATCCTGGCCAACATGGTGAAACCCTGTCTCTACTAAAAACACAAAAATTAGGCAGGCGTGGTGGTGGGTGCCTGCAATCCCAGCTACTCGGGAGGCTGAGGCAGGAGAATCACTTGAACTCAGGAGGCGGAGGTTGCAGTGAGCCGAGATTGCACCACTGCACTCCAGCCTGGGCGACAGAGCAAGACTCCATCTCAAAAAAAAAGACCTTCAGAGAAAATCCAACACCACCAAATGTCAGATGTGGCAACTTATAAACAACAGACAAATGCTGCGCGCAGTGGCTCCCACCTGTAATCCCAGCAGTTTGGGAGGCCAAGGCAGGTGGATCACCTGAGGTCGGGAGTTCGAGACCAGCCTGGCCAATATGGAGAAACCCCGTCTCTACTAAAAATACAAAAATTAGTCAGGCATGGTGGCAGGCGCCTGTCTTCCCAGCTACTCGGGAGGCTGAGGCAGGAGAATTGCTTGAACCCAGGAGGTGGAGGTTGCAGTGAGCTGAGATCACGCCACTGCACTCCAGCCTGGGTGACACAGCGAGACTCTGTCTCAAAAAATAAAAACACATATTTCAATCATCATCTTTATTTCTTTTTTAAATCATGGCAACTTTTATTTCGGATTCAGGAGGCTCATGTGCACATTTGTTGCTTGAGTATAATGTGTGATGCTGAAGTTTGGGGCATGAAGGATTGTGCCATCCAAGTACTGAGCATGGGACCCAACGTATGATTTTTCCGCCTTTGCCTCCATCCTTCCCTCCCCCGTCTAGCAGACGCCAGCATCTATTGTTCCCATTTCTATGACTATTTGTACCCAATTTTAGCTCCCTCTTATGTGGGCCTCCACTGAGGCAAGAGAATGGCGTGAACCAAGGAGGCGGAGCTTGCAGTGAGCCGAGACCGCGCCACTGCACTCCAGCCTGGGCGACAGAGTGAGAATCCGTCTAAAAAAAAAAAAAAAAAAGAAGAAGAAGAAGCGCCTCCAGCTGCATCCGTATTTCTGCAAAGGACATGATTTGATTCTTTTTCATGGCTGTGTAGCATTCAATGTTACAGATGGATCATATTTTCTTTTTTTTTTTTCCGAGACAGAATCTTGCAACCTCTGCCTCCCAGGCGCGACCTCAGCTCGCTGCAACCTCCGCCTCCCGGGTTCAAACGATTCTCCCGCCTCAGCCTCCGAAGTAGCCAGGGTTCCAGGTGTTCACCACCAGGCTTGGCTACTATTTGTATTTTTTTTTCTTTTTTTGAGCCGTAGTCTCACTTTTGTCACCCAGGCTGGAGTGCAATGGCATGATCTTGGCTCACTGCAACCTCCACCTCCCGGGTTTAAGTGATTCTCCTGCCTCAGCATCTCAAGCAGCTGGGATTACAGGCACCTGCCACCACGCCTGGCTAACTTTTTTTTTTTTTTTGAGATGGAGTCTCACACTGTCACCCAGGCTGGAGTACATTGGTGCGATCTCGGCTCACTGCAACCTCCACCTCCCAGGTTTAAGTGATTCTCCTGCCTCAGCCTCCCGACTAGCTGGAACTACAGGTGCCCACCACCATACCTGGCTGATTTTTTTGTATTTTTAGTAGAGATGGGGTTTCACCATGTTGGTCAGGCTGGTCTCGAACTGCTGACCTCGTGATCCACCCGCCTCAGCCTCCCAAAGTGCTGGGATTGCAGGCGTGAGCCACCACGTCCGGCCTCAAGACTCTTTCTAATCCCCACCTCCTCCTAAAGCACCAGCCATCCTGCATAGAACCAAGAAACCCCAACAGGTTTCCTAACGAAATTGCCTGAGCTGTAACTTCTGCCAAATAAAATAAGCGTGTGGCAGACGGCGACCGAGGACTTTGCGTGAGCACGGACGGAGATTAGGAAGCAGCCGACTTTCCTGAGCAGCCTCTGCCTTCAGGAGCGTCTCGGCACGGCGGGCACGCACCTCACCCACCCTCCCCGGGGAGTCCTCCTTTGGCACATCCCTGGGGTGCCCTGGGGAAGTCACCGGGCCAGGGCCAGGGCTGGAGATGGCCGGTACCACAGTCTCAGAAGAGAGCAGTGAGGGCCCACAGGTGCCCAAGGGTCTCTCTCTCCAACAGAGCCTCCTCCTCGGGGAAAGGACTTCTGAGAGCAGGTGCAAACGTGTGCACGGCCCACCACGGCGTGTCTGCTCCTGACAGACTCATCCCGCAAGCCCAGGACGAACAAGGATGGGAGGATCCTGCGGAGCCGACAGTGACGTCACTCCCGAGACGCAAAACAAAGCAAAGGGGGGCTGGAGGTGGCACTTCCTTCAGGCAAGAGGGGCTCTGAGGAGAGGCCGCCAACGTTCACTGACATGCATGCACACACACAGACATGCAGGCGAATGCACACACAGGTACACAGATACACAGAAACATGTACACACATACGTACAAGGCACACCCACATTCACACAGACACACACATACAGACACATTTGCACACACACACACATATACAGGCAGATGCACGCACAGACACACAGATACACAGAAACGTACACACGTACGTACATAGGCATATGTACACTCACACAGACACACATATATGAACACATGTGCACACAGACACATATACAGGCATATGCATGCACAGACATACAGAAACATGTACACATATACGTGCATAGGCATGCCCACCTCACGCAAATACACACACATGAATGCCACTCACACGCATACACACAGAGACACACAGGCATATGCATGCACAGACATGCAGAAACATGTACACACATGTCCATAGGCACATTCACACACTCAAGACACAGGCGTATACGCAGACACACAGAAACATGCACACACACACGTGCATAGGCATGCCCACACTCACACACACATCCACTCACATGCACGCACACACACATGCAAGCATATGCACACAGAAACATGTGCACACATATGTGCATAGGCATGTCCACACTGAGACACGCACATACACTCCCACGCATGCACTCAGACACGCATACAGGTGCATGCATGCACAGACATGCAGAAACACATACACACATAGGTGCATAGGCACACGTCCACCCTCACACTAACATACACACACACTCACACGCATGCACACAGAGACACACAGGCATATGCATGCACAGACATGCAGAAACATGTATACACATGTCCATAGGCACATTCACACACTCAAGACACAGGCGTATACAGACACACAGAAACATGCACACACACACGTGCATAGGCATGCCCACACTCACACACACATCCACTCACATGCATGCACACACACATGCAAGCATATGCACACAGAAACATGTGCACACATATGTGCATAGGCATGCCCACACTGAGACACGCACATACACTCCCACGCATGCACTCAGACACGCATACAGGTGCATGCATGCACAGACATGCAGAAACACATACACACATAGGTGCATAGGCACACGTCCACCCTCACACTAACATACACACACACGCATGCACACAGACACACATGGGCGTATGCACACACAGAAACATGCACACACACACGTGCATAGGCACGCTCACACTCAGACACACACACATACACTCACATGCATGCACACAGACACACATACAGGTGCATGCATGCACACATACATACACACATGGACACACATAGACACATGCTGACGCCACACACAGATGCACACACACGGGCGCGTGCGCACACACGGACACACACAGAGGCACGCAGACACCACACACACATGTGGACACACGTGCACACACACACGCGGACACGCTCACGCTGCATGGAGGCCGTCCAGCCTGCCCTTCCCGCAAACACCTGACATGCCCTTGCTGGAGTAAAAAATACAGATGCAAATGACTCTTTTACAGGGGGGTTAGCGCATCATTTCTCCCCACTCTGCATCTTGCGTGTGTGACGGGGCACGGGGCGGCAGCCGGGGCCGGGGGTCGGCCAGGACGGTGCTGGGTGAACCAGGGCTCCCCCCACCGCAGCCTCCGTGTGGACCGGTCGTCGACATGATGTGTCATAATTTGGCCTCCGAAGCTGACAGGCCCGGCTGACTGGGGGCATTAAATCATTGCCCCGAGGGACTCTCACTCTGGCAACGCGCGCTGGTACGGCTGTCATCTCCTCCCACACAGTACCTATCATTTTTGACATGATTGGATCAAAATTAGTCAGTGCATTTAGATGTAAATTACACACATCCAAGAATCGTAATGAGCACGAAAAAAAAAAAGAAATACAGCCCTGTAGAGTTGACACGGCCCACGGCTTCCATCCGTCCTGCACCGCGTCCCCGGCTGATGAGCCCCCTGATAATGAAACTGGCGTATCAAAAAAAAGTCAGGAAACTTTTTTGAGGGGCATATTTAACCGAGCCTTAAATTCCCATATAAGTCTGTAATGTTGGCTCACCCAGAAGTCCCCGCTTTACCCAACGGCTCCCAACACAGAGAGAGACATAGCTGGTCTCTCCTGAAGCGTGGCTCAGCCCTGGCACGGCTCTCACCTCTGCTCACGTATCTCGGGCCTTTTCTCCCCATTCCCCCTGGATTCCTTCCTAATGCAGAATTCTCTTCCGAGGCACAAGGAGACACTGTCCACCTGGGCTTGTGACCCGGGCATTCTCGGGGTCAGCTTTGCCGGGATAGGGCAGGGGGCCACTGCTATCTTTCTCTGCAGGCTGGACGGCTTCAATGGGGGAGCTGAAATTATCTACTCAATGCCTACTTCCTCCTGGAATTGGGACTCAGCTGCCAGAAAACCTTCCCGAAACAGTCCCTCTAACGCTGAGGACCTTCCAGGTCCAGCCAGCCTCATACTCCAGGCCAAATGTCTCCCGCCGGCTCCAGATACACACAGGTTTGGGGTCAGGACCTCGTACTAACCCTCCTCAGCCAACCCACAGCTTTGAGAGCTGGTTTCTAACAACTGCATTATTTAAGCCGGCTCATGAACGACGGCGTTATTTCAGCACCAAACTAGCCTACTTTGCCTGTAACTGGTTTTACATTTGTTTTTTTTAAACATGGCCACACACACACACAAAAGAAGGGGAGAAACGCTTCTGAACACATACCTTTAAATATTCCTTAATCAGACACGCTTGATAAAACTGACAGGGCTGTCCAGAGGGCAGACACAAAACTCTTTCTCCTGCAAACCGTGGAAATCTTGGTGCGTAGAAACAGCTCTCCCCGCTCATGCGGGAAAACCTCACTTCAATTTGACATCCGGAGGTAACGACGGGGCACCTGCGTGCATCCCCAGCTCAGCCTTTCCACGGGGCCAGGCGGGCTTGAATTGAGTTAGGTAATTAGTGTGTGTTTGGCCTGTCACCCGTGTTTAGGGCAATAGCCTGGTGCATGAAGCCGTCATTAAACATCTCGGGCTGTGATGACCGCGTGTGTGGGGAAATTCTGGGGCCGGCAGGCGGAGAGGGGTGTCCCAAGGCAGGCCAGGGCTGGAGGGTATATAGAACCACCGTGGCAGCCAGGCTCTGGGAGCTCTCCGAGGTCTCTGAGACAAGATGATTACCGGAGCCAGAAGGTTAAACTGTCTTCACGCTTCCCCCAGCAGGTTGACAGCGTAAGGTAAAATACTTGTGTTTCACTGGAGCAATTCAAAACTCCGTCTACGATACACAGACAGAGCCCCCAACATCCAGGTTTTCACAGCAACGTAAAGAAATCCTGAAATAAAGCAAAAATGTACCTGAGCATTTTTTTTCTTTTCTTTTCTTGAGACGGAGTTTCGCTCTTGCTGCCCAGGCTGGGGTGCAATGGCGCAGTCTCGGCTCACTGAAACCTCCGCCTCCCGGGTTCAAGCCATTCTCCTGCCTCAGCCTCCCGAGTAGCTGGGATTACAGGCACCTGCCACCACGCCCAGCTGATTTTAGTATTTTTAGTAGAGACGGGGGTTCACCGTGTTAGCCAGGCTGGTCTTGAACTCCCGACCTCAGGTGATCTGCCCACCTCTGCCTCCCAAAGTCCTGGGATTACAGGCATGAGCCAACGCGCCTGGCCTATTTTTTGAATTATTATTTTATTTTTAAGACAGGGTCTGGCTCTGTTGCCCAGGCTGGAGTGCAGTAGCTCAATCATGGCTCACTGCAGCCTCGGACGCCTGGACTCAGGCGATCCTCCCTCCTCGGACTTCCCAGTGTCTGGGACTACAGACGTGAGCCACCACGCCTGACTAATTTTTTTTTTATTTTGTGTAGAAATCGGGGTCTTGCTATGTTGCCCAGGCTGGTCTTAAACTCCTTGGCGTCAAGCAATCCTCCCACCTTGGCCTCTCAAAATGCTAGGATTGCAGGATTGCAGGCGTGAGCCACCGGCCCGGCCGCCCTTGGCCATTTCTGACCTCCGAGCTGAAGGACTCAGTATATTTGAAATGCGGTGTTTGCGGCCAGGCGTGGTGGCTCGGGCAGGTAACCTGCGGTCAGGAGTTCGAGACCAGCCTGGCCAGCATGGTGCACAGATATGGCGTGCACCTGTAACCCCAGCTACTTTGGAGGTTGAGGCATGAGAATCACTTGAACCTGGGAGGCGGAGGTTGCAGTGAGCCGAGATAGTACCATTGCACTCCAGCCTGGGGGTACAAGAGCAAGACTCCTTCTCAAAAAAAAAAAAGAAAGAAAAGAAAACAGAAAGCAAAACCAGTGTCTTATTTTCTCCATGAAGGAATCCCGTACTTCCATATCAGTGCTAAAATCATAGGGGGCTTAAACCTATCGATGCCTAGCATTCCATTATTGGAACGCTAAGCATCTGGCAGTTATTTACCGCCTATTGTCAAAGTCATTGCCAAGGTCTGGTTTTTCACACATATCTGCAAATACAAGAAACTGCCACCTCCAGCATAAAACAGGACATCTTTGGGAAGCACGATGCCGGCCCTTCAGTTTCAACTCAGGACAAAATGAAGATTTTATTTTTTATTTTTAATTTTTGAGACGAATTTTCACACTTGTTGCCCAGGCTGGAGTGCAAAATCTCGGCTCACTGCAACCTCCGCCTCCCAGGTTCAAGCAACTATCCTGCCTCAGCCTCCCGAGTAGCTGGGATTACAGGCACCCGCCACCACGCCCAGCTAGTTTTTGTATTTTTAGTAGAGACGGGGTTTCACCATGTTGGCCAGGCTGGCCTCGAACTCCAGACCTCAGGTGATCGGTCCGCCTTGGCCTCCCACAGTGCTGGGATTACAGGTGTGAGCCACCGTGCCCAGCCCAAAACAAAGTTTTGAGACCTCTTCTCAGAAAAAGAAAATCATCCTGTTTGCAAACCATTGAATAGACAGGTAGATAACTGACTGATGGACAATTGATAGATATGATGAAAGATGATACATAGTTGATTTGATAGGTAAATAGATGATTGATAATTGATACAGATGATTGATGATTGATGCATAAATGATATAGATCAAGGATTGATGATTGATAGCTGATTGATAGGTATGATGGATAATTGATATAGATAGATGATTGATGATAGTTGATAGGTATGATGCATAATTGATATAGATGATAATTGATAAATAGTTGATTGATAGGTGTGATGGATAATTGATATAGATTGATAGGTAGTTGATTGATAGGTATGATGGATAATTCATATAGATAGATGATTGATGATAGTTGATAGGTATGATGCATAATTGATATAGATGATTGATAATTGACAAATAGTTGATTGATAGGTTTGATGGATAATTGATATAGATGATTGATGATTGATAGATAGCTGATCGAAAGGTGTGACGGATAATTGATATAGATTGATGATAGGTAGTTGATTGATAGATATGATGGATAATTCATATAGATAGATGGTTGATTGATAAGTATGATGGATAATTGATATAGATAGATGATTGATGATTGATAGGTATGACAGATAATTGATATAGATTGATGATTGATAGATGGTTGATTGATAGGTATGATGGATAATTGATATATGATTGACGATTGATAGCTGATTGATAGGTATGATGGATAATTCACACAGATAGATGATTGATGATATATGATTGATAGGTTTGATGGATAATTGATATAGATGCTTGATGATTGATGATTGTTAGTTGATTGATATGTATGATGGATAATTAGTATAGATAGATGATTGATGATAGATAGTTGATTGATAGGTATGATGGATAATTGATATAGACAGATGATTAATGATAGCTGATTGATAGGTATGACAGATAATTGATATAGACAGTTAATAGGTAGATAATTGACTGATAGATCACTGATAGGTGATAGATAGACAAACAGAGATTGTCTCAGCCTCAGGCAGTGTCTTTCAGCCCTGGTACTTCCGACACATGGGACTGGACGATTCTCTCTGGTGGGGCTGATCTGTGCACTGTAGGGTGTTGAGCAGTGTCCCTGGGCTTCACCCACCAGCGACCAGAAGCACCCTCACTCCACAATCCAGACAACCAAAAGTGTCCCCAGAGACTGACAAAGTGTCCTCAGAGGAGACAATCGGCAGCAGCTGAAAAGCACAGATTAGATAGATAGGTAGATAGATGATAGATAGATAATGGGTCAATAAATAGATCTGTAGATAGATGATAGATAGATAATAAAGATTGATGATAGATAATAGATAAAGGTAGATAGGCAGATCTAGATAAATAGGTAGATTGGTGGATGATAGATGATAGATTGATTGATTTATATATGATAGAGATAGATAGGTAATGGATGGGTAGATGATAGATGAATGATAGATGGATAGATAGATGATAGATAATAAAGATGGGTGATGGATGGATGAATGACAGATGATGGATAAATTGATTTATAGATGATAGAGATGATAGATGATGGATGGATGAATAGATAGATGTATGATAGATAATGGATAGATGGATAGATGGATGGATGGATGGATAGATGGATGGTTGGGAGAGAGAGAGATTATAGATAGATGATAGGTGGATAGATAGATAATAGATACATAGATAGATACATAGATAGATGATAGATAGATGATAGGTAGATAGATACATAGATACATAGATACATAGATAAATGATAGATGATAGGTGGGTAGATAGATAGATAGATAGATAGATAGATGCATAATAGATTGAGAGATTGATTGATTGATTGACAGATGATAGAGTCCCTCAGATAGTGTCTCTCAGCCTCACCTCTGCTGACATTTGGGGCTGGAGGATTCTCTGTGGTCACTGTAAGGTGGTGAGCAGCATCCCCGGGCTCCACAAACCAGGTGCCAGGAGCACCCCCCTCCCAGTTACCACACCCAGAACCGCCCCAGACAGTGCCGAGTGTCCGTCGGGGTGCATGTTCATCCCCAGTTGAGAACGGTCGCTCCCCAGTTCCCCCGGAAGCCATCCTCATTTCTAAAGTTCCAAGAACCTGGCCAGGCCGTTTCACCTCTCCACAAACATCTGACTTCTGCTCTGCTATATATTTAGAATCCTCTCCATTCATATTTATACCCACAGAGTCCTCTGCTGGCTGAACCCCTGGGCTCAATTTTTCAGCACGAAAAGAGCCTTTTTATTCCCATGGATTTTCACATGAAAACAGAGTGCATCGGATGGAGACGCACAATCCAAGAGGCAGCTCCACCGGCAAAAGGCCTGGAGAAAGTGCAGCTCCTGTGGGCTCCTGGGAACTCAAGGGCAGCAGGATGATGGGTGGGTACCACCGAGAGGAAAACTTCAGAGCAGGTGCAGAGGCTGACAGACGGCAGGTGCAGAGGCTGACAGACGGCAGCCTCCACCACAAACCAGAGCAGCATAAACAGACACAGTCTCAAGCCACAGCATGAGACATAAATAATGGCATTGCTTCCTTACCACAACACTCAGAGGCAGGCGCTATTTTCAGGTACATTTTTCCCGATGAGGAAATGAGGGGTTCATAGATGGTGAGAATTTCTCCTAATGCAATCCCTTCCACAGCCCCACAGCCCTCGACAGGCCCGGGTGTGTGATGTTCCCCTTCCTGTGTCCATGTGTTCTCATTGTTCAACTCCCACTTAGGAGTGAGAACATGCAGTGTTTGGTTTTCTGTTCCTGTGTGAGTTTGCTGAGAATGATGGATTCCAGATTCATCCATGTCCCTGCGAACGACATGAACTCATCCTTTTTGATGGCTGCATAGTATTCCATGGTGTCTATGTGCCACATTTTCTTTATCCAGTCTATCATTGATGGGTTGACTTGCTTAGAAAAACTTCCCTGTTGCCAAATACTGAGTGATGAAGAAAAACTCTGGGACTCATCTAGAAAGACGGTGAATTCAGAGAGCCGACATCATGGTGCACGCTAAGCAAAGACGACGGGCTTTGAAAACCTGCTGGGAATAGCAAAAGACTTGGGACCAACCCAAATGCCCATCAATGATAGACTGGATAAAGAAAATGTGGCACACAGACACCATGGAATACTATGCAGCCATGAAAAAGGGTGAGCTCCTGTCATTTGCAGGGACATGGACGAAGCTGGAAACCATCATTCTCAGCAAACTCACACAGGAACAGAAAACCAAACACCGCAAGTTCTTACTCCTAAGTGGGAGTTGAACAATGAGAGTATTTTTTTTAATCTTTATTTTTGCAGAGATGAGAAGCTAACTCTATTGCCCAGACTGGAGAGCTGTGGTACGATCTTGGCTCACTGCAGCCTCGACGTCCTGGGCTCAAGGAATGCTCCCACCTTAGTCTCCCCAGGAGCTGGGACTACAGGTGGAAACCACCACATCTACCTGATTTTTTTTTTTTTTTTTTTGAGACAGAGTCTCACTCTGTCGCCCAGGCTGGAGTGCAGTGGCGTGATCTCGGCTCACTGCAAGCTCTGCCTCCCGGGTTCACGCCACTCTCCTGCCTCAGCCTCCCGAGTAGCTGGGACTACAGGCGCCCGCCACCGCGCCCAGCTAATTTTTTGTATTTTTAGTAGAGACGGGGTTTCACCGTGTCAGCCAGGATGGTCTCGATCTCCTGACCTCATGATCTGCCCGCCTCGGCCTCCCAAGATATTTTTTTTATAGAGCTGGGGTCTTGCTATGTTGCCCAGACTGGTCTCAAACTCCTGGCTCCAGCGATCCTCCCACCTCAGCCTCCCAAAGTGCTGGGATTGCAGGCGTGAGCCACTGCACCCGGCCCCAAAGCACTTTTGGAAGGAATTTGAGGAGCAGATGCAGTAAGTGTCTCATGCATTATTTATTTTGCTTAGGAAGCATTTAAAATAATCCCCCTGCCAGGCACAGTGGCTCCCACTTGTAATCCCAGCACTTTAGGAGGCCGAGAAGGGAGGGAGGATCCCTTGAGCCCAGAAGTTTGAGATCAGTCTGAGCAACCTCATGACACCCCATCTCTACAATAAATTAATTAAATTAAATTAAATAATTCCCCAAGGTCCTCAGAACCACATTCAGTGATACACTTCCAAATACAACACATATAACTATGTATTTCTGTTATACATATAATAAAAGATATAACAAAGTCACATACAGTTGGTGCGGTTTGATCTAAACTATTCAAAGAAAAGTGACGTCACTGGGCACGGTGGCTCATGCCTGTAATCCCAGCACTTTGGGAGGCCGAGGCAGACAGATCACCTGTGGTCACTAGTTCAAGACCAGCCTGGCCAACACGGTGAGACCCCATCTCTACTAAAAATACAAAAATTAGCCAGGCGTGGTGGTGAGCACCTGTAGTCCCAGCTCCTCAAGAGGCGGAGGCAGGAGAATCACTTGAACCCAGGAGGTGGAGGTTGCAGTGAGCTGAGATCGTGCCACTGCACTCCAGCCTGGGTGACAGAGTGAGATTCCATCTTGAAAAAAAAAAAACCAGAAAAGTGACATCCTCACAATCTGTTGCTTCATTGGTGCAACCTCACCAGAGAGTTCTGAGGCCAGTGTGGACGCGGCTGCCATTTTTCTCTATATGATAGAGATAGACAGGGAATGGATGGATGGAGGGATGGATGGATGGATAAATACATACAGGATAGATAGATAAATAGACAGGTGATAGATAATAAAGATAGATGTGGGTGATTGATAGATGATGGATAAACTGATTGACTTACAGATGATAGAGATGATAAATAGAGGAGGGATGGTTGAGTAGATGCATGGATGGATAAATACATACAAGATGGATGAATAGATGGATAGATACATAGAAGACAGATAGATGATAGAATAGATGGATGGATGGATGGATAGATAAATACATGCAGGATAGATAGATGGATGAATAGATGATAGATAGATAATAGAATAGATGGATGGATGGATGAATACATACAAGATAGATGGATGAATAGGTGGATAGATACATAGATGATAGATAGATGATAGAATAGATGGATGGATGGATAGATAAATACATGCAGGATAGATGGATGAATAGATGGATAGATACATAGATGATAGATGATAGAATAGATGGATGATGGATAGATAAATACATGCAGGATAGATGGATGAATAGATGGATAGATACATAGATGAAGATAGATGATAGAATAGATGGATGGATGGATGGACAAATACATACAGGATAGATGGATGAATAGATGGATAGATACATAGATGACAGATAGATAGATAGATAGATAGATAGATAGATAGATAGATACATAGATAGATACATAGATAGATACATAGATAGATACATAGAATGGATAAATACACACAGGATAGATAGATGGATGACTAGATGGATAGATACATAGATGACAGATAGAATAGACGATGGATGGACGGATGAGAGAGAGATAGATGATAGATAGATAGATGATAGGTGGATAAATAGATAGATAATGGATAGACAGATAGATGATTGATTGATTGATTGACAGATGATAGATAGAGTCCCTCAGTCAGTGTCTCTCAGCCTCAGCTCTGCTGACATTTGGGGCTAGAGGATTCTCTGTGGCCAAACAGACCCCAGAGTGGTGTGTGGTGTGGTGTGGTTTAGACAAACGAGGCAGATGTTTTGAAATGCCAGCTTCCCTTGGTGCTCTGTGGACCCTCCATGGGCTTGTATTTAGTCCCAAATGGAGATCACGCCTGTCCCATTGAAGTGGCCTGTTCACATCACAGCTCCCCACCCTTCAGGAGGAATCAGACGCCCACCTTCGACCCATGGTGGGTACAATGTGAACTCCGTGTGCCTTGGGCCACCTTGTGGGCTGAGGTTGACGTGCACCTGTCATCCCAGCTACTCCGGAGGCTGAGGCAGGAGAATCACTTGAACTCGGGAGGCGGAGGTTGTAGTGAGCCGAGATCGTGCCACTGTACTCCAGCCTGGGCGACACAGCGAGACTCTGTCTCAAAAAAATGAAAAAAAAAATAAATAAAATAAAATGTCTATCCTAAATGAAATTTGCTGTGAGTATGGTGGGTACAGCTTGGGAAAATGAGTAGGTGTTTGGTGAAAAGGGAGGGGGGGAGGTCTCCCCTTTCTCTCAGCTGAGTGAAATCGAAGAGGAAAAAAATCTTAAAAGAAGGGGGAGGACTTGTAGGCTTATGCTAAAGTCCTGGAGTTGTAAAAGATAAAGGAAAGGGGACAGACAGGGTGGCTCACGCCTGTCATCCCAGCACTTTGGGAGGCCGAGGCAGGTGGATCACATGAGGTCAGGAGTTCGAGACCAGCCTGGCCAACATGGTGAAACCCCATCTCTACTAAAAATGCAAAATTAGCCAGGCGTGGTGGCAGGTGCCTGTACTCCCAGCTACTCAGGAGGCTGAGGCAGGAGAATCTCTTGAACCCGGGAGGCAGAAAATGCAGTGAGCCGAGATCACGCCATTGCACTCCACCCTGGGCAACAAGAGGAAAACTGTCTCAAAAAAAAAGAGTGGGCAGGACTTCTTGTTTTTTCGGGGGGCTTCTTGTTCTTGTTGTTTTCTGTTTTGAGACAGAGTCTCGCCCTGTCGCCCAGGCTGGAGTGCAGTGGTGCAATCCTAGCTCAGTACGGCCTCGGACTCCCGGGCTCAAAGGATCCTCCTGCCTCAGCCTCCCGAGTAGCTGGGACTACAGACCACCCCCCCCCCCCATCTACACCCGGCTAATTATTTTTTTTTTTATTTTTCTAGAAACAAAGTATCACTACGTCACTCTGTTGCTCAGGCTATAGTCTCAAACTTCTGGTCTCAAGCAATCCTCCGACCTCAGCCTCCCAAAGTGGTAGGATTACAGGCATGAGCCACCACGCCTGGCCAAATGTGTGTTTTTTTGAGCCACTCTGTGAACGGCCATTTGTTACACCTGCTGAAACAGCTTCGTAAGGGTGAGGCTTGTATTTCCAGAACACTATCTTGCTTGATCCTTGTAGCAAACCTACTACGGTATAGATGCCTTAGGCATATTTACAGATGTGTTGGCTGAGTGCAGTGGCTCACCCCCCTAATCCCAGCACTTCAGGAGTCTGAGGCGGGAGGATCAGTTGAGCCCAGGAGTTCGAGGCTGCAGTGAGCTATGATGACACCACAGAGCTTCAGCCTGGGAGACATAGCGAGACCCCATCTCTATCTGTTGGCTGAGTGCAGTGGCTCACCCCCCTAATCCCAGCACTTCAGGAGGCTGAGGTGGGAGGATCAGTTGAGCTCAGGAGTTCGAGGCTGCAGTGAGCTATGATGACACCACAGAGCTTCAGCCTGGGAGACATAGCGAGACCCCATCTCTATCTGTTGGCTGAGTGCAGTGGCTCACCCCCCTAATCCCAGCACTTCAGGAGGCTGAGGCGGGAGGATCAGTTGAGCCCAGGAGTTCGAGGCTACAGTGAGCTATGATGACACCACAGAGCTTCAGCCTGGGAGACATAGCGAGACCCCATCTCTATCTGTTGGCTGAGTGCAGTGGCTCACCCCCCTAACCCCAGCACTTCAGGAGGCTGAGGTGGGAGGATCAGTTGAGCCCAGGAGTTCGAGGCTACAGTGAGCTATGATGACACCACAGAGCTTCAGCCTGGGAGACATAGCGAGACCCCATCTCTATCTGTTGGCTGAGTGCAGTGGCTCACCCCCCTAATCCCAGCACTTCAGGAGGCTGAGGTGGGAGGATCAGTTGAGCTCAGGAGTTCGAGGCTGCAGTGAGCTATGATCACACCACAGAGCTTCAGCCTGGGAGACATAGTGAGACCCCATCTCTACCAAAAAAAATCATTTAGAAAAAAACAGCCAGGCATACTGGCACACACCTGTAGTCCAGCTACTCAGGAGGCTGAGGCAGGAGTATGGCTTGAGCCCAGGAGGCTGAGGCTGCAGTGAGCTGGGATCACATCCCTGCAGTCCATCCTGAGCGACAGAGCAAGACCCTGTCTCAAAACAAAAAATGCAAGGACCCTGATCACGTCACTGCACTTCAGCCTGGGCAACAGAGAAAAGCCTCATCTGTACTAAAAATAAAAATAACGGGCCGGGCGTGGCGGCTCACACCTGTCATCCCAGCACTTTGGGAGGCCGAGGTGGGTGGATCACAAGGTCAGGAGATCGAGACCATCCTGGCCAACACGGTGAAACCCCGTCTCTACTACTAAAAATACAAAAAATTAGCCGGGCGTGGTGGCGGGCGCCTGTAGTCCCAGCTACTCTGGAGGCCGAGGCAGGAGAATGGCGTGAACCCGGGAGGCGGAGCTTGCAGTGAGCCGAGATTGCGCCACTGCACTCCAGCCTGGGCGACAGAGAGAGACTCTGTCTCGAAAATAAATTAATTAATTAATTAAAATTAAAATTAAAATTAAAATTAAATTAAATTAAAATTAAATTAAATTAAAATTAAATTAAAATTAAATTAAAATTAAATTAAATTAAATTAAAATTTAAAAAGCCAGACATCTTGTCTTGGGCCACCTGTCTGAGCTTGGAACCCAGGAGGGATACTCCCCACGGTGTACACCCGTGAAGCCCCCTCTCAACACCGATCCCTTTGCTGAATACAAAAGGCTCTTCATTTCCAGAGTATAAAGTAGATCTCTCTTGAATTTCTAGATATCCTCAGACAATAACAACCAATCATTAGAGGTGGCCCCACAGCCTTGCTCCCCAGTAGGGTGGAAGGCAGAGGCGCTCAGAGGCACCCCCAGCTCGGGGGCGAGTCACCTATGACCACAATTGCCATCATTAGTGAGCTGGGCTCAGCTCCTCAGAAGCTGGAAAGCACGCTCGCAAACACCCTTTGATCATTTCTATTTCTAGGCCTTGAGTGATTCAATAAAACATACCTCTAAATTCAGATCCTTTCTGCGATGCCCTGTTTCGACTTTGAAGTTAAATTATCTAAAAGGAGTAACTGCCTAAGTTTTCTAGGCAAACTTCTCCATACTCGCGGCTTTTTCGTGGGAACTGCACTCACTGAAAGCAAGGTAATGTTCCTGCAAAATAGTATAAAGAGGCCGGTCGGGTGCTACGGTTCGTGCCTGTAATCCCAGCACTTTGGGAGGCTGAGGTGGAAGGATTGCTTGAGCCCAGCAATTGGAGAGCACCCGGAGCAACATAGCAAAACCCCAGGTCTATAAAAAATAATTTTTTGGCCAGGAGCAGTGGCTCACACCTGTAATCCCAGCACTTTGGGAGGCTGAGGCGGGTGGATCACCTGAGGTCAGGAGTTCGAGACCAGCCTGGCCAACATGGAGAAACCCCATCTCTACTAAAAACACAAAAATTAGCTGAGCGTGGTGATGGGTGCCTGTCATCCCAGCTATTCAGGAGGCTAAGGCAGCAGAATCGCTTGAACCCAGGAGGCAGAGGTTGCACTGAGCCAAGATTATGCCATTGCACTCCAGCCTGTGCAACAGAGTAAGATTCTGTCTCAAAAAAAAAAAAAAAAAAAAAACCAGAAAGAAAATTAGCTGGGCATGGTGGCGGGCACCTGTAATCCCAGCTACTCAGGAGGCAGAGGCAGGAGAATCACTTAAACCCAGGAGGCAGAGGTTGCAGTGAGCTGAGATCACACCACTGCACTCCAGCCTGGGCGACAGAGCAAGACTCCATCTCAAAAAAAAAAAAAAAGAAAAAAGAAAAAAGAAAATTAGTCTGGCATGGTGGGCACCTGTAATCTCAGCTACTCAGGAGGCTGAGGCAGGAGAATCACTTAAACCCAGGAGGTGGAGGTTGCAGTGAGCCGAGATCTCACCATTGCACTCCAGCCTGGGCGACAGAGCAAGACTCCATCTCAAAAAAAGAAAATTAGCCTGGCATGGTGGGCACCTGTAATCTCAGCTACTTGGGAGGCTGAGGCAGGAGAATCACTTGACCTCAGGAGGCGGAGATTGCAGTGAGCTGAGATCGTGCCACTGCACTCCAGCCTGGGCAACAGAGCGAGACTCCATCTCAAAAAAAAGAAAGAAAGAAAGAAAAAAGAAAAGAAAATTAGCTGAGTGTGGTGGGGGGTGCCCGTAATCCCAGCTACTCAGGAGGCTGAGGCAGGAGAATCGCTTGAACCCAGGAGGTGGAGGTTGCACTGAGCCGAGATTACACCGTTGCACTCCAGGCTGGCTGACAGAGCGAGACTCTTTCTAAAAAAAAAAAAAAAAAAAAAAAAGCCTATTCCCATCATATACGAAATGTGTAGAACAGGCAAACCCATAGAGACAGAAGGAAGATTTTGAGTTGCCTGGGAATGGGGAGGGAAAATGGGCAGTTCTTCTCCTGGCTCTGTTTTTGAGGGATGACAATATTCTGGTATTATGTAGATGATATGCTACCACAACAAGGTGAATTCAGTAAATACCAACAAATCCTTCTGCTTGAAAGGGTTGCTGGCTGCGTTGCCTCACCTGTGTAATTGCAGCACTTTGGGAGGCCGAGGCAGGAGGATCGCTTGAGACCAGGAGTACAAGATGGGCCTGGGCAACACAGTGAGACCCTGTCTCTACCAAGAAAATAGTAATAATACAAAAATTAGCCAGGCATGGTGGGGCATGCCCACGGTCTCACCTACTCAGGAGGCTGAGGCAGGAGGATCACCTGAGCCCAGGACATTGAGGCTGCAGTGAGCTGTGATTGCACCAGTGCACCCTAGCCTGGGCAGCAGAGCGAGACCCTGTCTCAAAATAAATACATAAGTAATAAAAATAAAATGGTTGATTGCATGTTTCGTGAAACTCACCTCAATTAAAAAAAAAAAAAAACTTAAAACAGAGTTCAGAGGCCAGGCATGGTGTCTCACGCCTATAATCCCAGCACTTTAGGAGGCCGAGGCAGGTGGATCACCTGAGATCAGGAGATCGAGACCAGCCTGGCCAACACGGCAAAACCACATCTCTATTTAAAAAATAAAAAAAATTAGCCAGGCGTGGTGGCCGGTGCCTGTAGTCTCAGCTACTCGGGAGGCTGAGGCAGTAGAATCGAACCCAGGAGTCGGAGGTTGCAGTGAGCCTAGGGTGCACCACTGCACTCCAGCCTGGACGACAGAGCGAGACTCCCTGTCAAAAAAAAAAAACAAAAAACAAAAAAACAAACAAACAAAAAAACCGAAAAACCCAGAGTCCACCGTGACTCTCACAGTCAGGACTGAGCCAGGAAGAATGGGATCAGGGTGTGGTATTCCTAGCCCTCGCCAGGCCATCCCCAAGGCTGCTGTCTGCAGAAATGGAAGTCACCCCCCGTAGCGCGTGAACTCAGAGCACTTTCAGCCAACAGCGCAGAAATCGCGGAAACAAAGGGAAAAAGAAAAGCCCTTTTTGAATATTTTGAATAAACAAAGGGAAAAAGAAAAGCCCCTTTTGGATATTTTGAATACAACTTGGGGTCTCCTGCTGCCTCGGCCATGCTGTGAACATAAATAAATCAACGCGGGGGTGTGTTGCATCCATTGGGATTGTCCCAAAAGCACAGAAAGAATCAGAAGACAGTGGCCTTTCTCAAGCATTAATATTTCACCAGGCTCAGGACCTCCCTGGATTACAAATTAACAGTAATCAGGTCCCAGGAGCTCTGCCCTCTCCCCACCCAAATCCATCATCGTTTTCCTGAAAAGCGTTTTTGTTTTGTTTTCTTTTTGCTGATTTGCTGATTTCACACCACCCTATCCCATGTAAAACTCCCTTCTTTTCTGAAAATGAGATTTTTATAATATAAATCAGAAGTGCTCGGTAAAAGAGGGTGTGAGCCCCACGCTGAGTCCCTGACTCCCCCAGCTACTCCCTCTCCAAACAGAGCCATTGATGGGGAAGCTTTGCCCTTTGACGCCCTTGAGATCATCGTGCTGTCCTGAGCGTCTGTCAACCCCAAATCCGGGGGAGGGCTCCAGCTAATTACAGATAGGCCCATCAAGGGTCGGGGCCCAGGTCTTCACATCCTCCACATTAATGCCCTCTTCTGACCTCCTTCCAACTCTGACAAAATATCTTCTCTGGCTGGAAAGTTCTGGGGCTTTCTATCAGGCTGCGAAGTTTGAAGCAAATTGGACAAGCCATTTTTGACTTACGAGGCCGTGAAAAATTAATATGTTTCTGAGTTCTGCGAAAGTGTCCAAACTTTTTCTGCTCATAACTCAAAAAAAAAAAAAAAAAAAGGAGGAGAAACTCATCTTTGGGGAGTTTTCTAACTTGCCCTGCACTCAGTCAAAAGAAAAGGGTTTTATTCCGTTTGCGTTGTGTTGTTTTGCTGTTTTGTTATTTTGCAGAGTTGGAAGGTATATCACGGAGATCCTGGTGGTGGGAATATTCTATGGTAAGGGTGTTCTCCCATAATGATATTAATTATAATTTAGCAGGTGTTTGAAGAACAACGGTCAGTATACACTGAATGTCGTGTTCCCCCGACAAATTGCTATGTTGAATCCCTAACCGCTAAGGTGATGGTGTTAGGAAGTAGAGTTTTGGAAGGTGATGAGATTGTGAGGATGAAGCCTCATGAATGGGATTAGTGCCTTTATAAAAATTACAGACCCCAGGCCTGTAATCCCAGCACTTTGGGAGGCCGAGGCTGGCAGATCACAAAGTCAAGAGATCGAGACCAGCCTGGCCAACAATGGTGAAACCCTGTCTCTCCTAAAAATACAAAAATTAGCCAGGCGTGGTGGTGGACACCTGTAATCCCAGCTACTTGGGAGGCTGAGGCAGGAGAATCCCTTGAATGCGGGTGGCAGAGGTTGCAGTGAGCTGAGATCGCACCACTGCACTCCAGCCTGGCAACAGAGCAAAATTCCATCTAAAAAAGGAAAAAAAAAAAAAAAAGGAGTGGGGGACCCCAGGCCAGGCACGGTGGCTCATGCCTGTAATCCCAGCATTTTGGGAGGCCAAGGCAGGAGGATCACCTGAGGTCAGGAGTTCGAGACCAGCTTGGCCAACATGGTGAAACCCCATATGTACTAAAAATACAAGAATTAGCCAGGCTTGGTGGTGGACACCTATAATCCCAGCTACTTGGGAGGCTGAGGCGGGAGAGTCAGTTGAACCCAGGAGGCAGAGGTTGCAGCGAGCCAAGATCGTGCCATCGCACTCCAGCCTGGGGTACAAGAGCATAACTCCATCTCAAAAAAAGGGGGGACCTCAGAGAGCTCCCTCACCCCTTTCACCATATGAGGACACAGCCTGATGGCACCGTCTATGAATGAGCAAACAGGTCCCCATCAAACACAAAATCTACCACGCCTTGATCTGGGACTTTCCCCACCAAACACCAAATCTACCACGCGTTGATCTGAGACTTCCCAGCCTCTAGAGCTGTGAGCAGTAAATTCTTATTGTTTCTAAGCCATGCAGTCTATGGCATTCTGCCATATCAACACCAAGGGAGTAAGACAGCTGCCACCAGGTCTATGAGATTCTAGCTTCTATTTAGCAAAGGCTCAATGAAACCAGAAGAGAGGAAGATGTGTCCTGCTTTTCAATCCATGCCCCCTGCACTGTGAACCCAGTCACAATTCTTTCCTCTTACCCACACGTGGCCAATAGTTGGTCCTCTCTGTGGCTGTCCTGCCTCTGATTTGTGTCCACAGTGAACCCACCTCAAGGTTGCAACAAATCTCCTCTTCCTCTCCCACTGGCTGATCCTGTTGGTCATCGTGAAATGTTTCCTGAGGTTCCCAAAGCTCGCCCCACCCCAAACCGAGGGCACTTTCTTCCTGATGCCTGAGTTCCTCATGCTCCTTCCATGAACACGTGAGATGGGGAAGCTGAATCATCGTGCTGGGACTCGGAGCCTTGTCATTTTGGGGTCATTCCTGCCTCACACGTCTCAGTGGGAACCAGCGTCACCTCCCTCTTTGGCATCCTGGAGCCTCATACATTCTCTATCCCCCCCATCCTGGCATCCAGGGAGCTGGACTTTCTGCCCAGCACTTGGAACCTTGAGAGAATAAAGGAAATCAGCTGCAGGACAGAAATTCCTCATGACCACAGCAACATCTCCAGAGCCCAGAGGCAGCTTGGAGAGTCCTCCCCGACCACCTTCCTCCCTTGGGTTCTGCCCTGTTGTCTGAGTCTCCATCTTTGGGTTCCCTGCCAAGACTATAAATTCCCCTAATGTTTTTCCCATGAATTCCTTCCCTGGCTAAGCTATTGAGGTCTTCTCTGATCCTCTCATGTCCTTTTCCTTGTTCTCCTTAGACCTCGTCCACCTCCACTCCTTCTATATCCCACCCGTGTGTGGAGCATCTGCAGGGACACTCCGACTCCTAGGTTGCTTCCTCTGCAAGATCTGGGGTGATATTTTCAGCTGCCTGAATAACTCCTCCACGTGCAGCCTTGATGATTGAAGATAAGGTTATGCCACCTCCCAAAGAACAGGTCAAAGACTTGGTAGGACATTCAGATTGTCTCGTTATCTGCTGCACTTCTAATTACAAATCAGAGACCGATCCATCTTATCTGCAGGTTTAAAATGAAGCTACTTCTGCACATCACTTTGTGGTCAGACGGAGGGGAACTCTCCACTTTTAAATTCAAAGTTGAATTGAATGAACGAATGAATGAATGAATGAATGAGTACTTGATGGAGACTTTCTCACCTCCCTGGCTGAGAAAAACTCCAACATCCACTCCAAACATGCAAGCAACTAAGTAAATAAGTACATTTCTGGTGGGGCTATCTGTTTGCTCTCCAAAGAAAGCAAACTCAGCCGAGCATGGTGGCTCATGCCTGTCATCTCAGCATTTTGGGAGGCCAAGGCGGGAGGATCACCTGAGGTCAGGGGTTCAAGACCAGCCTGGCCAACATGGTAAAAACCCGTCTCTACTAAAAATACAAAAATCAGCCGGGTGTGGTGGCAGACACCTGTAGTCCCAGCTATTCAGGAGGCTGAGGCAGGAGAATCACTTGAACCCAGAAGGCAGAGGTTGCAGTGTGGTGTGGTGGCGGGTGTCTGTAATCCCAGCTACTTGGGAGACTGAGGCAGGAGAATCGCTTGAACCCCAGAGGTGGAGGTTGCAGTGAGCCGAGATTGCGCCATTGCACGCCAGCCTGAGCGACAAGGGTGAAACTCTATCTGAAAAATAAAATAAAATAAAATGGAAAGCAAACTCTCCCTTCTCTGCATGGAAATAAACTTATCTTCTCCTTTTTGTTGCTTCTGAAAAATGAGACAAAATGAAGAGAAGAGAATGATATATTGTGATGTGAAAACACACACACACACATACACAAATGTCTCTCTTTGCTCTGCACCAATTACTAAATGAAAGCCAGTTTAGTGAATGTTTAAACTTCTCCACCCTAGAGGTTGAGCTCTCTGGGTATAGAAACCTCTCACTATGTTTCAGCTCCTCTGTCTCAAAAAAAACCCAAAAGATAGATGGATAGATAGATGATAGATGGATGGATGGATTAGATGGATGGATGGATAGACAGATAGATAGATAGACAGACAAACAGACAGACAGACAGACAGACAGACAGATAGATAGAATTGCCGGGCACGGTGGCTCATGCCTATAATCCCAGCACTTGGGCAGGTTGACGCGGGTGGATCACGAGGTCAGGAGATTGAGACCATCCTGGCCAACATGGTGAAACCCCGTCTCTACTAAAAATATAAAAATCAGCCAGGTGTGGTGGCAGGTGCCTGTAGTCCCAGCTACTCAGGAGGCTGAGGCAGGAGAATCACTTGAACCCAGAAGGCAGAGGTTGCAGTGAGCCAAGATCACACCACTGCACTCCAGCCTGGGCGACAGAGTGAGACTCAGTCTCAAAAAGAAAGAAAGAAAGAAAGAAAATCTACAGCAAAGTACCACAAACCACAGGGCTTAAACAACAGACATTGATTTCTCACACACATGAAGACTGGAGGTCCAAGATCAAAGTAGCAACATCTCAGCTCCTGGTGAGGACTCCCTTCCTGGCTTGCAGACGGCAACCTTCTTGCTGTGTCATTCCATGGTGCGGGGTGGAGAGAAAGAGACAGAGAGAGAGACAGAGAGAGAGGAAGCTCTGGTGTCCCTTTTATGGGGATACTAATCCCATTCGTGAGACTCTACCATCACGACCTCCTCACCTCCCAAAGACCCCCCACTAGTAACACTCTGACCTTGGGGTTCAGGGTTTCAACGTAGGACTTGGCAGGACAAAGCATTCATTCGGTCTGCAGAAAAAGATCCACAAAGCCCCTTTGGAACCTGGACTGGGACACAGCCGTGCATCTGGGGAGGCTCCACCTCCCAGGTTCAAGCGATTCTCCTGCCTCAGCCTCCCAAGTAGGTGGGACTACAGGTGCCCGCCACCATACCCCGCTAATTTTTTGTATTCTTAGTAGAGATGGAGTTTTACCACGTTGGCCAAGATGGTCTCGATCTCCTGACCTCATGATCCACTCACCTCGGCCTCCCAAAGTGCTGGGATGCCAGGCGTGAGCCACCGCGCCCGGCCAACCACAGATTTTTTCCAAAGACTGAAACCAACAAACAAAAAAAATCACCAAAATTCACAAAAGTATGTCTGTTACAACTTCACACTCACCTTTCATACTTTTCATTTTCATTATAAAACATTGACGAGTCGCTTTTTCTGCCTCCAACAAGCAGTAGAAACACAACAAAATACCACGAAAAGTCCACATGCGTCTACTATGAAAGCAGGAACATCTAACAACCTAAGGGCCCCTTTGTACACGAAAAAAGGCAAAAATTAACATTTCACGCTAGACCAGGACAGCACAAAGGGAATATGGCCTGGGGCCTTCATCTCTTCATCCTCACGAATTACCATGTGTGGTTGGAGACATATGTGTGGTTTGTCTGCCTCACGTGGGTGTCTGTAAAGAAACGTCTGTCCCTGCGTCCAGGGCCCCTTTGAGCCTCACGCCTCTCCCCCCTGCACAGGTAGCTCCACGGAGCCTTGTGGAATCAGCCGAGGCCGGACGTGTGGTTTATGAGGCCTCCAGGGCCCTCAGGGTCGGCCTGCAGCCTGGGCTGGACGATCGCTGAGTAACATTTGCAGCAGCAGCAGCAGCCTGAGGAAGGGGTCAATGTTTGCCACGCAGATGTGTATGTCTGTGTGTGGGTGTGTGTGTGTACAGGTGTGCGTGCATGGGCCTGTGTATGTGTGTGTCTGTGCAGGTGTGTATGAATGTCTGTGTGTATATGTCTGTGTGTGGGTGTGAATGTATGTGTACAAGCGTGTGTGTGCACCTGTGTGTGCGTGGGTGTGTATCTGTGTGTGTATGAATGTGTGTGTGTACAGATGTGTATGTCTGTGTGTAGGTGTGAATGTATGTGTACAGGCGTGTATGTGCACCTGTGTGGGGGGGGTGTGTCTGTGTGTGTGTGTGTACAGGTGTGTATGTCTGTGTGTAGGTGTGAATGTATGTGTACAGGCATGTGTGTGCACCTGTGTGTGGGGGGTGTGTCTGTGTGTGCATGTGAATGTATGTGTACAGGTGTGTGTGTGCATGTGCCTCTGTGTGTGTGTGTGCAGGTGTGTCTGTATATGTCTGTGGGTGTGAACGTGTACAGGCGTGTGTACCCGTGTGTGTGTGCATGTGTGTATGAATGTGTGTGTACAGGTGTGTGTCTGTGTGTAGGTGTGAATGTATGTGTACAGGCGTGTGTGTGCACCTGTGTGTGTGGGGGGCTGTGTCTGTGTGTGCATGTGAATGTATGTGTACAGGTGTGTGTGTGCATGTGCCTCTGTGTGTGTGTGTGCAGGTGTGTCTGTGTATATGTCTGTGGGTGTGAACGTGTACAGGCGTGTGTACCCGTGTGTGTGTGCGTGTATGAATGTGTGTGTACAGGTGTGTATGTCTGTGTGTGGGTGTGAATGGATGTGTACAGGCGTGTGTGTGCACCTGTGTTCAGGTGTATATGAATGTGTGTGTCCTGGTGTGTACGTGTGGGGTTGTGAATGTGTGTGTACAGGAGTGTGTGCGCCTGTGTGTGGTGCAGGTGTGTATGAATGTGTGTGTGGGTGCGTATGTCTGTGTGTGGGTGTGAATGTATGTGTATAGGAGTGTGTGTACGTGTGTGTGTGTGCAGGTGTGTATGAATGTATGTCTGTGTGTTGGTGTGAATGTGTGTGTACAGATGTGTGTGTAGGTGCGTACGAATGCATATGTGTGTCTGGGTGTGAATGTATGTGTACAGGCATCTGTGTGCCTGTGTGTGTGTGGGTGTGTATGTCTGTCTCTGTGTGCACAGGCCAGGGAAGCTCACACACAAACAGCTGTCTTCTTTGATTCATCTCTGCCCCCACCCTGGTGCGTTGTGCAGAGTTCATTGCACCCCCAAAATACTCAGTGCCCCGGCGTGAACCCTGAGTGGCCCAGCCTGGGCAGGTGCATGTCTCCAACCCGCCGTGTGGAACCCGCCACACTCCTGAAGGAAACGGTCTTCCCAGCTGAGCAGGCTTGAACCTGCTGCCCTAGAGTCCTGGGTCTTCCTATTGGGCTCCTTTCCAGGGTACCTCCTGGGGTCTCTGCACCCTCCTCCAACACCAGCTCTGGGGTCTGTGTGAAGGTCATAAAAACACCAACCCTCCCAGCACTTTGGGAGGCCGAGGTGGGTGGATCACCTGAGGTCAGGAGTTCGAGACCAGCCTGGCCAACACGGTGAAACCCCGTCTCTACTACAAATACAAAATTAGCCCGGTGCGGTGGCAGGTGCTTGTAATCCCAGCTATTCGGGAGGCTGAGGCAGGAGAATGACTTGGATCCAGGAGGCGGAGGTTGCAGTGAGCTGAGATCACGCCACTGCACTCCAGCCTGGGCAACAGAGTGAGACTCTGTCTCAAAAAAACAAAACAAATCAAAAACGCCAGCCCACCCAGGCAATGCCTGTTGCGCACCCAGGACTCTGCATTCCAGGCACCAGAGGCAGGAAGCTTGACCGAGCTGGCCAGGAGAGAAGCAAAGCTGCCCGTGTCGACCTGTCCTTCACTGCGGGAATGCAGGTGCTCAGGTACGCCACCGTTTGTCCCCAGCTTCCTGGCCAGCCGCGGGAACCCCCTGCTGCTCCCTTTCTTGGGGACAGTGATGGGGACCGGGTGCTTTTGCTCCCCTGAGACTGTGACTGTGTTTTGAAGCTGCCGCCAGGATGCCAGCGGCTCCGTCCCAGCAAACAGGCCACATAGCCGGGCGCGGTGGCTCACGCCTGTCATCCCAGCACTTTGGGAGGCCGAGGCGGGCTGATCCGGAGGTCAGGAGTTCGAGACCAGCCTGGCCAACATGGTGAAACCCCGTCTCTACTAAAAATACAAAAAATTAGCTGGGCGTGGCGGCGGGCGCCTGTAGTCCCAGCTACTCGGGAGGCTGAGGCAGGAGAATGGCTTGAACCCGGGAGGTGGAGGTTGCAGTGAGCCGAGATCACACCCCTGCACTCCAGCCTGGGCAACAGAGCGAGACTCCATCTCAAAAACTAAAAATAAAAATAAAAAAAACAGGCCACATGTGTGCACAGTGAGGCTCTCCAAGCCCATCGCTGTCCCAGGAAATGTTAACAGCTCCCCGAGCTCTGCTCCTCATCCAGGACCCCAGACCGACTTCTCCTCGACAGCCCTGGGACAGACACGACCGCGGCCTCCTCCTCCCCCTCCTCCCCTCTCCGCCTCTTCGGCAGAGGCCCCCACGTCCGCACGATCGGGAACAAACATCCTTTCTGATTCAGCATCACGTTACCTGCCAGTCCTGTGGCCTTTCCTCATCTGGTTGCACGTACCTCATATGCTTTGTGGTTAAATTATGCATTAAGGTCAATGTCAAAACACAGCAGCCCCGTAACCTGCAGGGAACTGGCTTTTACTCGTGATCACGGTGAAACGGGGGCCGCCTGTCAGCCAGCCGGGGTGGGCGCCCAGCGTGGGGGGCCCCCGTGCCGTGGCGTTGTCTACAAAGGCGGCCCGTCGTCTCCCAGGACGCACCCTTGATGGATTTACCCAGACAACGCGCCTCTCTTGAAAGGCGTCTGCCCTGCCTCTTCCATCTGAAACCTGTCAGCCTCACCTATAGACTCACGTCGGAAATCAAACAGCAGAGGCTGCGCGTGCCTGGGACGCTCCACGTGTCATGTCCTGACTTGTAGTTTCAGATCTTCTAAAGGAAAACGGTGTCAGAAGAAGGAAGGCCGGGAGGAGTGTGCTGTTCCGTGTTTGCTTTATCTTTTTTTACCCCTTAAAAAAAATAAAAATAAAAAAAAAATAAAAAGTTGCCGCATATTCCGGAAGCCGCCGTGGGCCTCGTGGTAGATGAAGCACGTCGGGGTGTTGAAGGAGGCGGCTCTGGGAGTGGGTGGGGGGTGGCGGGGGGTGGCGGGCCCCGGGGAGCTGCGGGAACCTCCTGGAAACTGCAGGAATTTGTGCAGGACGTATATTGATTGTGACTCTTGGGGGTTTTTCTTTCCTTTCTTTGGTTTCATTTCCTCCTTCCCTCCCTCCCTTCCTTCCTTCCCTGTCTCTGTCTCTGTCTGTGTCTCTGTCTCTCTGTCTCTCTGTTTCTCTGTCTCTGCCTCTCTCTGTGTCTCTCTGTCTCTCCATCTCTCTGTCTGTCTCTCTCTGTGTCTGTCTCTGTCTCTCTGTGTGTATCTGTCTCTCTGTCTCTGTCTCTCCATCTTTGTCTCTCTGTCTCTCTCTGTGTCTCTGTCTCTCTCTGTGTCTCTGTCTCTCTCCATCTCCATCTGTCTCTCTCCGTCTGCTGTCTCTGTGTCTCTGTCTCTCTGTGTGTATCTCTCTGTCTCTCTCTGTCTCTCTGTCTTTGTCTCTCTCTGTGTCTCTACGTCTCTCTGTATCTGTATCTCTCTGTCCCTCTCTGTCTCTCTCTGTCTCTCCATCTTTGTATCTCTCCCTCTGTCTCTGCCTCTCTGTCTTTCTGTCTCTGTCTCTGCCTCTCTCTGTGTCTCTCTGTCTCTCCATCTCTCTGTCTGTCTCTCTCTGTGTCTCTCTGTCTCTGTCTCTCTGTGTGTCTCTGTCTCTCTGTCTCTGTCTCTCCATCTTTGTCTCTCTGTCTCTCTCTGTGTCTGTCTCTCTCTGTGTCTCTGTCTCTCTCCATCTCCATCTCTCTCTCTCTCCGTCTGCTGTCTCTGTCTCTGTCTCTCTGTGTGTATCTCTCTGTCTCTCTCTGTCTCTCCGTCTTTGTCTCTCTCTGTGTCTCTACGTCTCTCTCTGTATCTGTATCTCTCTGTCCCTCTCTGTCTCTCTCTGTCTCTCCATCTTTGTATCTCTCCGTCTGTCTCTGCCTCTCTTTCTTTCTCTGTCTCTGCCTCTCTCTGTGTCTCTTTCTCTGTCTCTCCATCTCTCTTTGTCTCTCTGCGTCTGTCTCTCTTTCTCTCTCTCTATCTCTCTTTCTCTTTGTCTCTGTCTCTCTGCCTCTCTCTTTGTCTCTGTCTCTGTGTCTCTCTCTCTTTCTCTCTGAGCCAGTTCATCCTCCCCTGGTGCCTAGTTTTTAGGGGATTTTGAGCGTAATAAAAACTGATTCCTGGCCGGGCGCAGTGGCTCACACCTGTCATCCCAGCACTCTGGGAGGCTGAGGCAGGCGGATCCCCTGAGCTCATGAGTTCGAGACCAGCCTGACCAACATGGTGAAACCCCATCTCTACTAAAAATACAAAATCAGCCGGGCGTGCTGGCAGGTGCCTGTCATCCCAGCTACTCGGGAGGCTGAAGCAGGAGAATGGCTTGAACCCGGGAGGCGGAGGTTGCAGAGAGCCGAGATCACGCCCCTGCACTCCAGCCTGGGTGACAGAGCGAGACTCTATCTCCAAAAACAAAAAAGAGAGAGAGAGAGAGAGAGAGAGACAGGGTGTTGCCCTGTCACCCAGGCTGGAGTGCAGTGGCGCAATCACAGCTCACCGCCGCGTCCACCTCCCGGCCTCACACCATCCTGCGGTCTGGACGGGTCCCCGGGACACCCCTGTCTTTTCCCTCAGCTCTGCATTTTCCCAGTGAATTCTCCTCTTTCCTGGGGCCTCACCCACACCCGGGACCTGGGGCCACCGCTCCTGCCCATCCCGGCGCCGGGCACCCATGGCCGGCCGTGAGTTCTGGTCCTTCACTGGCAAGGAGGCACCTCCCAGGACCGTATACAAACCTGTAGGTACAAATGTCATCCGTCCTCAGCTCGGGGAGACACAGGTGCCTCTCACGGCGCTGACAGCCCCGGCACGTGTCGTGGGCTGGGTCAAGAATAGAAGCTCCTTCCCCTACTGAGAATGACCGAGAATCAGTGGTGTTTTATCCTGAATTTGATATTCAGAGTCGAATGAACTGTTTTTTTTTTTTTTTCTTCCCCCAGCTCAACTCTCATCTATTTATCTTAAGGCAGACGATCGCTGTGATTTTATAAGAAAGCGCTCCCAATCAAAGCGTACCTATGCGGAGGTAATTAATACAAAGATTGCTGAATTAAAGATGTGAGTCTCCGCTCTCGGGCGAGGGGCCCAGGGACCCCGTCTCCCGGGCCCAAATTATGCCAGAGACAGACCAATTAACACCCCGCGTCATCCTCTTTTATGTTAACTTCAATGACGGCTTCTCACCATTTTTAAAGTTATTTTCTTCTTCGCCATCTCTGCACATCAAAGAGCCAGGCCGGAGAGGCTCCCGCAGGTGAGATCGGTGCCAGGAGACCCCCCGGGAGGGGACGACCGCCGCCCCAGGAACCCCCACACGGATCACTGTAGGGTCCGCCTCGGGGAGCGAAGACCCTCAGGGAAAGGGCCCTTCTGAGGGGAAATCCTGGTCAGCTTATTATTACTATTATTATTATTATTATTATTATTATTATTATACTTTAAGTTTTAGGGTACATGTGGACAATGTGCAGGTTTGTTACATACGTATACATGTGCCATGTTGGTGTAGCATTAGGTATATCTCCTAACGCTATTCCTCCCCCTTCCCCCCACCCCACAACAGTCCCCGGTGTGTGATGTTCCCCTTCCTGTGTCCAAGTGTTCTCATGGTTCAATTCCCACCTATGAGTGAGAATATGTTTGGTTTTTAGTCCTTGCGATAGTTTACTGAGAATGATGATTTCCAATTCCATCCACGTCCCTACAAAGGACATGAACTCATCCTTTTTCATGGCTGCATAGTATTCCATGGTGTATATGTGCCACATTTTCTTCATCCAGTCTATCGTTGTTGGACATTTGGGTTGGTTCCAAGTCTTTGCTATTGTGGACAGTGCCGCAATAAACATACGTGTGCATGTGTCTTTATAGCAGCATGATTTATAGTCCTTTGGGTATATACCCAGCAATGGGATGGCTGGGTCAAATGGTATTTCTAGTTCTAGATCCCTGAGGAATCGCCACACTGACTTCCACAATGGTTGAACTAGTTGACAGTCCCACCAACAGTGTAAAAGTGTTCCTACTTCTCCACATCCTCTCCAGCACCTGTTGTTTCCTGGGGGAGAGGGGAGGGACAGCATTAGGAGACATACCCAATGTAAATGACGAGTTAATGGGTGCAGCACACCAGCATGGCACATGTATACGTATGTAACTAACCTGCGCTTTGTGCACATGTACCCTCGAACTTAAAGTATAATAATAAAAAAGTAAAAAAAAAAAAATGCCATTGACAAACCCAACTCCCATCGCGGCTGCCTCCCAACCTCAAAACGGCCGTCTCAAAGCACAAAATGAAACCGCCTCTGCCGTCGCCTCTGTCCTCCTCACCAATCGCCAGGTGGGAGAGGTTTCCACGGGGTCCGTCTCCTCGTCTCTTGAAGTCCCTTCACGCAGCTCGGCCGCCAAAAGCTCCCGAGTTTCAGCGTCTTGACCGGTGAACGGGAGAAAACAGAACGGCCCAAGGTGTCATCCCAGGTCGGCGGGCAGCTGGTGACATTTCGGCTCAAGCACGCTGAGTAAGACTCACCGCCACACCAGGTCACAGAAAGTGGAAACGAAGCCCGGGCTGGGCAGTGTACGCTGCTGCTACAATGGAAGAATGGAAGCTTCCTTCCTTCCTTCCTTCCCTCCCTCCTTCCTTCCTTTCGTCCTTCCCTCCCTCCTTCCCCTTCCTTCCTTCGTTCCATCACTCCTCCCTTCCTTTCTTCCTTTGTTCATTGCCTCCTTCTTCCTTCTTCATTGCCTTTGCAGCAATGAAGGGATCATCCCTTGCCAGGTGCCAGCCTCCCATATAGATTCTCTCCTTCCTTCTGAGCCCCTGTTGGTGTTTGACTAATCCATGGGTCCATGCCCATGCCAAGATCCCAAAGACAGGTGCCAGCGTGCAAGGGTCATAATCAAGCCACTTAAAGAGCTGTTGGGCCGGGCGCAGTGGCTGACGCCTGTCATCCCAGCACTTTGGGAGGCCGAGGCAGGCGGATCACGAGGTCAGGAGATCGAGACCATCCTGGCTAACACGGTGAAACCCGGTCTCTACTAAAAATACAAAAAAGTATCCGGGCGTGGTGGCGGGCACCTGTAGTCCCAGCTACTCGGGAGGCTGAGGCAGGAGAATGGTGTGAACTCGGGAGGCGGAGCTTGCAGTGAGCCGAGATGGCACCACCGCACTCCAGCCTGGGCGACAAGAGCACGACTTTGTCTCAAAAAAAAAAAAAAAAAAAAAAAAAAACAAAAAAAAAACAAGATTTCAGAGTGACCTGCTTGGAGAAGCCGGTATGAGCTCATGGGCAACTGTGTCTCTAAGTGCGGCCGTCCTCTTAATTCCTTAGTGCAGTGTGGTTCTCAGCCAGGGGACATCCTGCCCCCTCCCCGGACACACTCAGCAATATCAGGGGACATGTCTGCATGTCACAACATGGGGGTGAACTGGCATCTGCTGGGTGGAGCCCAGGGACGCTCCTCAGCACCCTACAGCGCCCAGGACGGCCCCACCACAGAGTCAACACCCTACAGCTCCCAGGACGGCCTCATCACAGAGACTCAACACCCTACAGCGCCCAGGACGGCCCCACCACAGAGTCAACACCCTACAGCTCCCAGGACGGCCTCATCACAGAGACTCAGCACCCTACAGCGCCCAGGACGGCCCCACCACAGAGTCAACACCCTACAGCTCCCAGGACGGTCTCATCACAGAGACTCAGCACCCTACAGCGCCCAGGATGGCCCCACCACAGAGTCAACACCCTACAGCTCCCAGGACGGTCTCATCACAGAGACTCAGCACCCTACAGCGCCCAGGACGGCCCCACCACAGAGTCAACACCCTACAGCTCCCAGGACGGCCTCATCACAGACACTCAACACCCTACAGGGCCCAGGACGGCCTCATCACAGAGACTCAGACTCAACACCCTACAGTGCCCAGGACGGCCTCATCACAGAGACTCAGCACCCTACAGTGTCCAGGACGGCCTCATCACAGAGACTTAACACCCTACAGGGCCCAGGACGGCCTCATCACAGAGACTCAGACTCAGCACCCTACAGTGTCCAGGACGGCCTCATCACAGAGACTCAGCATCCTACAGGGCCCAGGACGGCCTCATCACAGAGACTCAGACTCAACACCCTACAGAGCCCAGGACGGCTTCATCACAGAGACTCAGTACCCTACAGTACCCAGGACGGCCTCATCAAGAGAGTTAGCACCCTGCAGCACCCAGGGTGGCCCCAAGACAGAGAGTCCTCCAGTCCCAAACATCAGCAGTGCCAGAGCTGAGAAAGCTGCCTGGGCATGAGAGATTCTTTATCTATCATCTATCAATTATTGATTAATCAATTATCTATCTATTAATCAGCTATCCATTACTATCGGTCAATTATCTGACAACCAATCATCTGTCAATCATGCATCTATATCAATTACCTATCAACCAATCACTGATCAGTCATACATCTATATAAATTATCAATCATCTGTCAATCAATTCCCTATCAATCATGCATCTGTATCGCTTATGTATCAATTGTCTGTCAATAAATCATCTATCAATCATGCATCTATACCAATTATCTGTCAATTATCAACCATCTATTAATCATGCATCTATATCAATTATCAATCATCTGTCAACCAATCATCAATCATACATTTCTATTAATGTCTATCAATTATCTGTCAATCACCTATTAATCATGTGTCTATATCAATTATCTGTCAACCAATCATCTATCAATCATACATTTATATTAATGCCTATCAATTATCTGTCAATCACCTATTAATCATGCATCTATATCAATTATCTATCATCTGTCAACCAATCAATCATACATTTATATTAATGTCTATCATCTGTCAATCACCTATTAATCATGCATCTATATCAATATCTATCCATCAACTATCTGTCAACCAATCACCTATCAATCATACATGTATGAATCAACTGTGTATCCTATGGTTTGAATCAATGTGTCCTCCGAGTGAGAACATGTCCCCGACACCCCACAGGGCACAGGACGCCCCACGACGGAGAATCCTCCAGCCCCCGATGTCGGCAGATGTGAGGCTGAGAAACCAGCCTTCGTGAGAAGTCACCTGCCTGATCCCAAAATCCCTGCCGACAGCCACCTTCTCACCCTGGCGACAGAGGAATAGGACTTCGTGGCCACAACCCAGGACCCCACGACTGGGCATTAAACCGGCAGGCGAGGAGACACACGTGTGTTTAACACGAGGCTTTTCTTGAGGAGTCTCGGGCTCGTCCTGGACGTCAGCCGTGCGGGTCCCCTGTGAGATGAGCTATTTTCAGCTGAGACTCCCCAGGAAGGGGGCAGTGACCCCCTGCCTGGTCCAGGGTTCCCAGGGCCAGGCTGGAGGCTGGATTCTTTCCCAGGACCCCCCGAGTTTCAGGGGGAGAGACCCTCTCCTGCGTCCCCAGCCTCATACACACGAGCCCTTTTTTGTTTGTTTGAGATGGAGTCTCGCTCTGTCGCCCAGGCTGGAGTGCAGTGGTGCGATCTCAGCTCACTGCAACCTCCGCCTCCCGGGTTCATGCCATTCTCCTGCCTCAGCCTCCCGAGCAGCTGGGACTACAGGTGCCCGCCACCACACCCGGCTAATTTTTTTCTTGTATTTTTAGTAGAGACGGGGTTTCACCATGTTAGCCAGGCTGGTCTTGATCTCCTGACCTCAAGTGATCCACCCACCTCGGCCTCCCCAAGTGCTGGGATGACAGGCGTGAGCCACCGCGCCCGGCCAACAGGTGAGACATCTTTATGTGCACAGTTCCGGGGTAACAAGCACGCTCACACTTTTCTGCAACCATCCCCGTGATTTGTCTCCAAAATTCCACTTCTAAACCCGAAACTGCGACCCCCCCCTTCAACGACAGCTCCATTCGCCCTCCTCAGCCCCCGGCACCCACCGTTATACTTTCTGTCTCTGTGACTCTGGTGACTCGAGGGACCTCCTCGAAGTGGAATCACACAGGACTTGTCTTTCTGTGTCTGGCTGATTGGTCAATATTGTCAAGCTTCTTCCACATGGTAGCAGGTGTCAGAATAGCCTCCCTTGTTAAGGAGTCTCGCTCTGTTGCAGGCTGGAGTGCGATGGGGCAATCTCGTCTCACTGCAACCTCCGTGTCCCAGGTTCAAGCAATTCTCCTGCCTCAGCCTCCTGAGTAGCTGGGATTACAGGCACCTGCCACCACTCCCAGCTAATTTCTTTTGTATTTTAGTAGAGACGGGGTTTCAACATGTTGGCCAGGCTGGTCTCGAACTCCTGAGCTCAGGCAATCTGTCCGCCTCAGCCTCCCAAAGTGCTGGGATGACAGGCGTGAGCCACTGTGTCCAGCCTTTTTTTCTTTTTTTGAGATGGAGTTTCACTCTCGTTGCCCAGGCTGGAGTGCAATGGTGCGATCTCAGCTCACTGCAACCTCCACCTCCCAGGTTCAAGCAATTCTCCTGCCTCAACCTCCTGAGTAGCTGGAACTACAGGCACCTGCCACCACTCCCAGCCAATTTCTTTCGTATTTTAGTAGAGACGGGGTTTCGCCATGTTGCCCAGGCTGGTCTCGAACTCCTGACTTCTGGTGATCCACCCGCCTCGGCCTCCCAGAGTGCTGGGATGACAGGCGTGAGTCACTGCGTCCGGCCACTTCTTACATGATTTCTGCAAAACCCTCAGCAATAAAAAATAGGCCAGGCACAGTGGCTCACGCCCATCATTGCAGGACCCTGGATGGCCGAGGCAGGAGGATCGCTTGAGGTTAACAGTTCAAGACCAGCCTGGACAACACAGTGAGGCCCCATCTCTACAAAAACTGTAAAAATCGGCCCAGCGTGGTGGCGGGCACCTGTGGTCCCAGCTCCTCCGGAGGCTGAGGCAGGAGAATCGCTCGAGCCCAGGAGGTGGAGGCTGCGGTGAGCCGACATCACACCCAGACTCCAGCCTGGGTGACAGAGCGAGACCCTGATTTGAACAGGCTCTGAGGTTCTATGACTGGACAACAGCCTCGGGTCCCGGCCGCCACCATCCCAAGGGCCCCCCTCTCTGTCCTGGGCCGTTTTTGCAGCTCGACGAGTCAGGGTGACGCTTTTCCATGGATCTAAGTTCATGTGAGACAGCTGTAAACAAATGCTGGAGGGGTGACCTCGAGGGGTGCCTGTTTCCGTCCCTGCCTCACAGATGGGGAAACTGGGGTGCAAAGATGGTGAGACACGCCCCCCTCAACGAGGCCACAGAGCTGGCAGGAGGCTCAGCCAGGACACGGTGCAGATGCCAGGCTGTCCAGGAAGAAAGGAAGGAAGAGAGGCAGGGAGGGAGGAAAGGAAGGAGGGAGGAAAGGAGGGACGGAGGAAAGGAAGGAGGGAGGAAAGGAAGGGAGGGAGGAAACAGGCTGCAGTGAGCCGAGATCACACCCAGACTCCAGCCTGGGTGACAGACCCTGATTGGAAACTGTCCAAACGCTGAGCCGTCTAGACGTCGAGCCGAGGCCACTCAGGTCAGCAGCAGCACATGCTGTGTGCCCACGAAGACGATTATTCTAAGGGAGAATCTCAGGGAGGATGTTTGTGGACTTTTGTAGCCACTTAAACAATTTCTACAAAAGAAATAATAAAATAAAATAGGCCCGGTGCGGTGGCTCACACCCGTCATCCCGGCACGTTGGGAGGCTGAGGTGCTGGACGGCTTGATCCCAGGAGTTCAAGACCAGCCCAGGCAACATGGAGAAACCCCGTCTCTACAAAAAATACAAAAAAATACAAAAAAATGAGTTGGGCGTGGTGGCAGGTGCCTCTGGTCCCGGCTACTCGGGAGGCTGAGGCGGGAGGATCACTTGAGGCCACAGTAGCCGGAGGCTGCTCTGAGCCGAGATCATTCCCGCCGTGCTCCAGCCCCCGGATGACAGAATGAGACCCTGTCTAGAAAAGCAAACCACAAAAAAAATAAACTTTTTGAGGAAAACCCCAACAGACCTCCAGAGCCCGTGTGAGGAGGGGTGTCTGCAGGCAAAGCCGGGAATGGGAGTCTTTTGCCCAAGAGGCCCTGGCGGCCGCCTGCTGCGTCTACAGACACGGAAATGTGTCCTTGGCCTTTTCTGCACAGCTTGGGACCCGGGTCCGAGAAGCGGCTTCCTCCCTCGGAATCTTGCAAGTGTGGGAGGGAACGGGGCGGCTGAGGAGATGACGGTGCAAAGTGAAACGCGGCTGATTTTCCTCTCCTGGGCTAGACCATTGCTCACTCCCGACAGCTTCTGTTCTGTGACGGGAGCGTCAGAAACACAGTCGAGCAAAGGTTTCACGACGTCAGTTCCGAAGTAGCCGGTTACGGGGCCTGAACGGCACGGGGTTGGCAGCCGGGGGAGGGATGGGGCTTGAACCCGGTTTGGGATGAATGTAAAGACCTGAGCCCCGGCCCACGAGGCGGGAAGGCGGTCCCGGGGTTCGCAGCCCGGGGACCCACAAGGCTGAAGGCAGTGACGTGTTTCAAAACTCAGCAAAGGGTCCGACAACGGTCCACCGTTTCCGTAGCTGGCACTGCCATCCTGTGGCCGAAGAGAAAATATGTCATGGAAAACGCGGGGCCGGGGCGGCCGTCCTGTCTCTGGGGCGTCCGTGCTGTCTCTGGGGTGTCCGTCCTGTCTCTGGGGCGTCCGTCCTGTCTCTGGGGCGCCCGTCCTGTCTCTGGGGCGTCCGTCCTGTCTCTGGGGCGTCCGTGCTGTCTCTGGGGCGTCCGTCCTGTCTCTGGGGCGTCCGTGCTGTCTCTGGGGCCTCCATCCTGTCTCTGGGGCGTCCGTCCTGTCTCTGGGGCGTCCGTGCTGTCTCTGGGGTGTCCGTCCTGTCTCTGGGGCGTCCGTCCTGTCTCTGGGGCGTCCGTGCTGTCTCTGGGGCCTCCGTCCTGTCTCTGGGGCATCCGTGCTGTCTCTGGGGTCTCCGTCCTGTCTCTGGGGCGTCCGTCCTGTCTCTGGGGTCTCTGTGCTGTCTCTGGGGGCGTCCGTCCTGTCTCTGGGGCATCAGTCCTGTCTCTGGGGCGTCCGTCCTGTCTCTGGGGTCTCCGTGCTGTCTCTGGGGGCGTCCGTCCTGTCTCTGGGGCATCAGTCCTGTCTCTGGGGTGTCCGTCCTGTCTCTGGGGGTGTCCGTGCTGTCTCTGGGGTCTCCGTGCTGTCTCTGGGGCGTCCGTCCTGTCTCTGGGGCGTCCGTCCTGTCTCTGGGGTGTCCGTCCTGTCACCCGTGTGCCTTTCATGTCACTGGAGTGGCCGTCCTGATTCCAGATTCTGATCCCGGCACAGGGAGCATAACCTTGAGCCTGTCTGGGAGGGAAGGAGCCCAGCCCTGCCATAGTTGTACATTGCTTGCATGTGAGTCACGACTGTGGAAACTCCGAGATGGACCAGACAGTCTGTGTTTAGGGAACCATTGCTTTTCATGAGGGACGTGTGCGATCAATATTTTTAAGAGATATTCACTGAAGTACTATCAGCATGAAAATCATTTTCTAATGGGTTAAATATACATCTAGATCATATATATCTCTATATGCACAAATACCTCCACACCTGTATAAATGCATATATACATACAAGGGATGTGTCTGTGTGTCTGTGTGTGTGTGTGGAGTTAGAGCTAGAAAAGAGATATTCACTGAAATATTAGCAATGGAAATCATGTTCTAATGGCTTAAATATACGTATATATCATATATATCTATATATGCACAAACACCTCCACACCTGTATAAATGCGTATATACATACAAGCTGTGTGTGTGTGTGTGTGTGTGTGTGTGTGTGTGGAGAGAGAGAGAGTGAGAAGGAGAGACAGAGGCAATTTGGTTGAGAATTATGTCCCCCCCAAAAGACGTCTTGGCCAGACGCGGTGGCTCACACCTCTAATCCCAGCACTTTGGGAGACCAGAGCGAGAGGAGGCCTTGAGCCCAGGAGTTCAACACCAGCCTGGGCAACGTAGCAAAGACGTCATCTCTACAAAACATTAGAAAATTAGCCCGGCACATGCCTGTGGTCTCCGCTGCTCGGGAGGCTGAGGCGGGAGGACGGCTTGAGCCCAGGAGTTGGAGGCTGCTGTGAGCCGAGATGGCACCACTGCACTCCAGCCTGGGTGACAGAGCGAGACCCTGTCTTAAAAATAAATAAATAGAAAAGAAGAGCCTGAGGCAGAGGAGAGAGGCAGCTTGCAGCCTGGGACCCGCGTCTACACCGCCAACAGCCTCTAAGGCTCTACGACCGGACAACAGCCTCGGGTCCCGGCCGCCACCATCCCAAGGGCCCCCCTCTCTGTCCTGGGCCGTTTTTGCAGGTTGACGAGTCAGGGTGACGCTCTTCCATGGATCTAAGTTCATGTGAGACAGCTGTAAACAAATGCTGGAGGGGTGACCTCGAGGGGTGCCTGTTGCCGTCCCTGCGTCACAGATGGGGAAGCTGAGGTGCAAAGATGGTGAGACACGCACCCCGCCCCCCTCAACGAGGCCGCAGAGCTGGCAGGAGGCTCAGCCAGGACACGGTGCAGATGCCAGGCTGTCCACAAAGAAAGGCAGGGAGGGAGAGAGGGAGGAAATTGGAAGGAAGGAGGGAACGAAAGGACGGAGGGAGGGAGGAAAGAAGGAAGGAAGGAGGGAGGCAGGAAGATTCCGTGTGAATTCACGCCATGAACAAACACTCCCTGAGCCCATCCTCCACGGCCCGTTCTGCTCCAACCCCGGGATGAACCATGACCTCAGCTGACCGGGCCTTTGGGGGGTCCTGGTGTCCCCTCCCCCAACCCCGGGATAAACCATGACCTCAGCCGACCAGGCCTTTGGGGGGTCCTGGTGTCCCCTCCCCCAACCCCGGGATGAACCATGACCTCAGCCGACCAGGCCTTTGGGGGGTCCTGGTGTCCCCTCCCCCAACCCCGGGATGAACCATGACCTCAGCCGACCAGGCCTTTGGGGGGTCCTGGTGTCCCCTCCCCCTAGAATGGCTCAGGTGGGTTTTCCTCTGAGGTCAAGCCTGCATCCCGGGGACCCCGCCTCCGTGGGCAGCTGGTGGGATGGGCCGTCGCCGCCTCCCTGGAGAGCCGAGAATCCAGGGAGACACCCAACGTGAGGACGATGGTGACATCACGATGACAGTGAAGACCAGCCCTGCGGCCACCGCTCCAGCGACGGAAGCCAGGGACCCCCCCACCTCCATCCAAACCTTTCAGACGAGATTGGGTTGACTTGAGGCTGTGGCAAGGGGGTGTTTTCCTGGCTGATATGACAACACTTTGCACAGAGCCACCTCCAGGAATCGCCCCACAACTCCCGAGACCCACCGGCTCGTGCCTTTGGGGGCTCAGGAGAAGAGGGGCCCCCGGCACTCCGTTCACACGTGTGCGATGAGACACACCTGCCCCCCCACCCCCCACGTGGCTTCTAAACACGATGCACCCCCTCTGTCCCCACTGGAGTTTTCTCTGCATGCAGATGTGGCTTTCCTCTGCCTGGAACCCTCAGTACCGTCCCCAGCGGTCACCTAAGGTTCATCGGATGCAGGCGGGAAAGACATAAGCCCCAGAGGTGTTTTCCCTGTTTATTTTAGACAGTTTCTTTCTCTCACCCAGGCTGGAGTGCAGTGGTGCCATCTCAGCTCACTGCAACCTCTGCCTCCCGGGTTCAAGCGATTCTCCTGCCTCAGCCTCTCGACTAGCTGGGATTACAGGCGCCCGCCACCACACCCAGCTAATTTTTTGTATTTTTAGCAGAGGCGGGGGGGTTGCACCATGTTGACCAGGCTGGTCTCGAACTCTTGACCTCAGGTGATCCGCCCGCCTTGTCCTCCCAAAGTGCTGGGATGACAGGCGTGAACCACCGCACCCGGCCCCTCCCAGGTATTTATGCACCCACCGTCGACAGCCCTTGGTTGGGAGAGACTCTGGAGGGTGCGGTTAATTCTGTGGTTCTCCCAACCTACCACTCGGGAGGGCTCCATCACCCAGAGAGGCCCCTACGCACGCAAAGGAAGCTGGACTCGAGGTCTCCATGCTCTGAGCAAGAAAGAGAGCGGAGACACAGCTGCATACAGACCCCTTCCCTTTGTCCTTGTCATGGAGTATCTGAGCTCCCAATCAGCCCTGCAGGCTGCTGGGAAACCCTTCAACCCTCCACCTTGCCATCCTCCTCTCCACCCTAAGCCTGCCTCCCTGTCTCGGTTCTCGGAATACACAGAGGTTTTTCCCAGCTCAGAGTCTTTGCACACGCTGATCCTTCTTCCTGCATTGCTTTTCCCTGCGCACAGCCAGCTCCTCCTTCTTGCTTCTTTTCAGCACTTTTTTTTTTTTTTGGAGACGGAGTCTCGCTCTGTTGCCCAGGCTGGAGGGCAGTGGCACGATCTTGGCTCACTGCAACCTCTGCCTCCCGGGTTCAAGTGATTCTCCTGCCTCAGCCTCCCGAGTAGCTGGGACTACAGGTGCCCGCCACCATGCCCGGCTAATTTTTTGTATTTTTAGTAGAGATGGGGTTTCACCGTGTTAGCCAGGCTGGTCTCGAACTCTTGACCTCAGATGATCCACCCGCCTTGTCCTCCCAAAGTGCTGGGATGACTGGTGTGAGCCACCGCACGTGGCCTGCTTGTGATGAGTTCTTTTGGAGAAATGAATTCACGGGGTGTTGAGATGGGGAATAACAAGGGTACCAACTTTGGCTGCTCCTGGAGGTGTCTTTGAAGGGGTAATGATATTTTAAAAATGCTGAAGGGGCCAGGTACGGTGGCTCACGCCTGGAATCCCAGCACTTCGGGAGGCTGAGGTGGGAGGATGACTTGAGGCCAGGAGTTTGAGACCAGCCTGGGAAACCTAGCAAGACTCTGTCTTTATGAAAAAAAAAAAAAAAAATTAGCCAAACATGGTGACATGCACCTGCCATTCCAGCTACTCAGGAGGCTGAGGCAGGAGGATCCCTTGAACCCGGGAGTGGAGGTTGCAGTGAGCCGAGTTCGCCCATTGCACTCTAGCCTGGGCAATGAGAGCAAGACTCCATCTCAAAAAAAAAAAAAAAAAGGCCACGCACGGTGGCTCACGCCTGTCATCGCAGCACTTTGGGAGGCCGAGGTGGGTGGATCACCTGAGGTCAGGAGTTCGAGACCAGCCTGACTAACATAGTGAAACCCAGTCTCTACTAACAATACAAAATTACCCAGGAGTGGTGGTGGGCGCCTGTAATCCCAGCTACTCGGGAGGCTGAGGCAGGAGGATGCCTTGAACCCCGGAGCAGAGGTTGCAGTGAGCCGAGTTCGCCCACTGTACTCCAGCCTACACAGTAAGAGCAAGACTCTGTCTCAAAAAAAAAAAAAAAAATAGGCCAGGTGCGGTGGCTCATGCCTGTCATCCCAGCACTTTGGGAGGCTGAGGCGGGCAGATCATGAGGTTGGGAGTTCGAGACCAGCCTAACTAAGATAGTGAAACCCAGTCTCTACTAAAAATACAAAATTAGCCGGGCATGGTGGTGCACACGTGTAATCCCAGCTACTCGGGAGGCTGAGGCAGGAGGATGCCTTGAACCCGGAAGCAGAAGTTGCAGTGAGCCAAGATTGCACCATTGCACTCCAGCCTGGGCAATGAGAGCAAGACCATCTCAAAAAAAAAAAAAAAAAAAAGAAAAAGGCCAGACATGGCGGCTCACGCCTGTAATCCCAGCACTTTAAGAGGCCGAGATGGATGGATCACCTGAGGTCAGGAGTTCCAGACCAGGCTGACCAACATGGTGAAACCCCGTCTCTACTAAAAATACAAAATTACCCAGGCGTGGTGGCAGGTGCCTGTACTCCCAGCTACTCGGGAGACTGAGGCAGGAGGATGCCTTGAACCCGGAAGCAGAGGTTGCCGTGAGCCAAGATCACGCCATTGCTCTCCAGCCTGGGTAACAAGAGCAAGACTCTGTCTCAAAAAAAAAAAAAAAAAAAACTCATCACAAGCAGCAGTTAGATGCTATTTTCTTTGTCTACTCACTCCTGATCTCTGCACTAGAGAGGAGGGAACCTCACACACCCCACCACGTACCCAGCACCCGGAACAGCACTCACAGCTCCGTGGACACTCAACAAGCGTTCACTGAAAGCCCCACTCAGCCAGGGCAGGGCCGGGAGGCTGTGACAGAAAGGAGAAAGAAGACGCGCATTTGGGGACAGCTCCCCAGGGGCCCGTCCATCAGCCAGGACCACTTCCAGGCTGTGTTTTTCTTCCCCGTCTCCGAGGCCGAGCAGGTGATAAATCTTTCACCGAAGCCGGGGCTTTGCAGGACGGAGCCGGCTGCCACCTACGTGGTGTGGCTCTGGGGACCCCAGGAACTCCCCACACGCCGTCCGCGTCCAGAAATCCCCCTGCCCCACCCCAACCCGGCCGCAGGTGCCTCAAAGTCCTTCCTTTCTTCCTCAGGGTAAGAAATTAACGGCAGCTGTGAAAACACTCATTTTATCTGGGTGGCGAAATACATTAGACAGGGGCCCTGCCGTTAACACCTTCGCCCCAAGGAGTTTATCCGGATTCCCGTCAGGACCTGGGAGGTCTGGACAGAGAAGGCTCCGGGGTCCCAAGAACCAGGACAGACGGGAGGCGGGAGCAGGTGGGGGCTCTGAGAGTTTGCAGAGCGAAAGTGTTCTCACAAGGAGGGCGCTGGCGCAGGACCTCCAGCCAGGAATGCAGGGACGTCCCTTAGACGTTCTCCGACGGCCCCTCACGAGACCCTGACGTCCTGGCCTGTGTGCTGTCTGCAGCATGAAAACAGTTGTTTTTATTATTATTATTATTATTATTATTATTATTATATTATTTTTGAGACAGAGTTTTTGCTCTGTTGCCCAGCCTGGAGTGCAGGGGTGCGATCTCGGCTCACTGCAACCTCCGCCTCCCGGGTTCAAGCGATTCTCCTGCCTCAGCCTCTCCTGAGTAACTGGGATTGCAGGCACCTGCCACCACCACGCCCGGCTAATTTTGTATTTTTAGTAGAGACAGGGTTTCTCCATGTTGGTCAGGCTGGTCTCGAGCTCCCTACCTCATGATCCGCCCGCCTCGGCCTCCCGAAGCGCTGGGATGACAGGCGTGCACCACCATGCCCGGCTAAGTTGGTATTTTTAGTAGAGACAGGCTTTCTCCATGTTGGTCAGGCTGCTTTTGAGCTCCTGACCTCGTGATCCGCCCGCCTCGGCCTCCCAAAGTGCTCGGATGACAGGCGTGAGCCACCACGCCCGGCTAAGTTTGTATTTTCAGTAGAGATGGGGTTTCTCCATGTTGGCCAGGATGTTCTCGAGCTCCTGACCTCATGATCCACCCGCCTCGGCCTCCCGAAGCGCTGGGATGACAGGCGTGAGCCACCGTGCCCGGCCTCTGGTTTGCAATTGTGACCGAGCTGGTAAGAGGTGGGGGCCAAGGGTTCTCAATCTGTTTTTTAAATTTTTGTGTTTTGTTTTGTTTTGTTTTCGAGACAAGATCTTGCTCTGTCGCCCAGGCTGGAGTGCGGTGGTGAGATCACAGCTCGCTACAGCCTCCAACTCCTGGGCTAAAGCGATCCTCCCACCTCAGCCTCTTCAGGAGCCGGGGCGACAGGCACCCGTGTCACTACGCCCAGCTGATCTGTCTTTTATGATTTTTAAAGACACGGTCTCGTTACGTTACCCAGGCTGGGGGACTCAAACTCGTGGCCTCCAGCGACCCTCGTGCCTCGGCCTCCCGTAGTGCTGGGACTGCAGGTGTGAGCCACCACGCCTGGCCCAAAACAAAATTTACAGAGCAGGACAAGCGCGGTGGCTCACGCCTGTCATCCCAGCACTTTGGGAGGCGGAGGCGGGCGGATCACTGGAGGTCAGGAGCTTGAGACCGGCCTGGCCGATGTGGTGAAACCTCATGTCTACCTAAAAAAACACAAAAATTAGCCGGGCATGGTGGCGGGCGTCTGTCGTCCCAGCTACTCAGGAGGCTGAGGCAGGAGAATCGCTTGAACCTGGGAGGCGGAGGTTGCAGTGAGCCGAGATCACACCACTGCACTCCAGCCTGGGCCACAGAGTGAGACTACATCTCAAAAAGAAAAGGAAAAAGAAAGAAGGAAGGAAGGAAAGGAAGGGAAGGAAAGGAAAGGAGGGAGGGAAGGGAGGTAAGGGAGGGAGGGAAGGGAGGGAAGGAAGGAAGGAAGGGAAGGAAGGAAGGGAAGGAAGGAAGGGAAGGAAGGAAGGGAAGGAAGGAAGGGAAGGAAGGAAGGGAAGGAAGGAAGAGGGGCCGGGCGCGGTGGCTCCCACCCATAATCCCAGCACTCTGGGAGGCCGAGGCGGGCGGATCACCTGGGGTCAGGAGCTTGAGACCAGCCTGGCCAACACGGTGAAACCCCGTCTCTAGTAAATATACAAAAATTAGCCGGGCGTGGTGGCAGGCGCCTGTCGTCTCAGCTATTGGGAGGCTGAGGCAGGAGGATCGCTTGAACCCGGGAGGCGGAGGTTGCAGTGAGCTGAGATCGCACCATTGCACTCCAGCCTCGGCGACACAGAGAGACTCATCTCAAAAAATAAAAATAAAAGTTCCATGGGGAAATGAGCCAGAATATGTGTATCCCCAGCTGTTCTCTAAAGACTGAGGGTATTTGTGCTGTTAGGCGTCTCAAAGTTTTCTCGAATTAATTTATTTTTTTCCTTTATCATCTTCCAGAACTTTCTGCCAGCAGCCTGCGTGCATTTCTTTTGCAAGCAGAAGGCAGCCCTTTTTTTTTTAATGTTAGAATCAAAGAGCCGGTTTCTTTCTGTCTTTGTCAGGAGGATGCGGTACGGTGACCGGGCCCCAGGGCTGCACCGACCGCGTTTTGTGGGGACAGACGTGGGCAGAGTGGCTGAGATAGGAGGGGAACAGGTGCCCTCGGGCTGGGGCAGGGAGAGGGCACTGCCACGCATCGCCCTGATCATTCTATTCTGTCGCAGAGCCGTGGGCAGGACCCCCTCGGGCAGGTGAGAGCCCCAGGTGAGCCCCCCCCGCCTCACCTGGCATGCAGGCCGGGGAGGTGACCCCACCCGCAGGTCACAGACACGGGTGTTCTTACGGGAAGCCCGGAGCGTCCTGCGTGGCGAGGTGCCCGGGGAGGCGGCGGTGGGGGGTGGATCGGCAGAAACAAGTTGTGTTCTGAGGCGCAGCGCCTGTGATGTGGGAGCCGGGCGCCCGGGGTTTGCAGACGTTTCTCGGTAATGTTTGTGCAGAAGCAAAGATCGAGCTCCTGGCTGGAGACCGTGAGGCCACTATAGAGAGACCACGGATGCTGGCTGCCGGGAAGGTGGCAATTAGCAGGATTTATGGTGTTTGCACGGCTCCCTGCGGTGGGGCATCCTCTTGGAGGCGGCCCTGGGGAGCAGCGTGGGGTCCAGACGGTGTCTCCGGCCCGGCTTCAGAACAAGCCACGCGGCGTCCGGGAGGACCCGTTGTCAGAGGCGAATGAACCGCAGTGACTCCCTCTTGACTGACGGCTGATTCCTCGCCTGCAGACGTTTACGGTCAAGGGAACGAATGCGGCTCACGCCTGGAATCCCAGCGCTCTGGGAGGCCGAGGCGGGCGGATCACGAGGTCAGGAGTTCGAGACCAGCCTGGCCAACACGGTGAAACCCCGTCTCTACTAAAAACACAAAAATTAGCCGGGCGTGGTGGCGGGTGCCTGTAATCGCAGCTGCTCAGGAGGCTGAGGCGGGAGAATCACTTGAACCCGGGAGGTGGAGGTTGCGGTGAGCAGAGATGGCACCACTGCACTCCAGCCTGGGGACAGAGTGAGACTCCATCTCAGAAAAAAAAAAAAAAAGGAAGAAATTGATAATGTTTACTGGCACGGTGGCTCACGCCTGTAATCCCAGCACGTTGGAAGGCTGAGGTGGGTGGATCACATGAGGTTGGCAGTTCGAGGCCAGCCTGACCAACATGGAGAAACCCCGTCTCTACTAAAAAAAATACAAAATTAGCCGGGCGTGGTGGCGGGCGCCTGTCATCCCAGCTACTCGGGAGGCTGAGGCAGGAGAATTCCTTGAACCCGGGAGGCGGAGGTTGAGGTGAGCTGAGATCGCACCACTGCACTCCAGCCTGGGCAACAAGAGCGAAACTCCATCTCAAAAAAAAAAAAAAAGTATTTACTAAACAGCCCCAGACTTGGGAGTGTCCAGGTATCTTAATATCTGGAGAACAAAGGCATTTTCCTAAGTTTGCTCTAAACATAATACCAATTCTCGGCCGGGCGCGGTGTTTCACGCCTGTCATCCCAGCACTTTGGGAGGCCGAGGCGGGCGGATCAGGTAGTCAGGGGTTCGAGACCAGCCTGGCCAATATGGTAAAACCCGTGTCTATTAAAAGTACAACGATTAGCCGGGTGTGGCGGGTGCCTGTAGTCCCAGCTACTCAGGAGGCTGAGGCAGGAGAATGGCTTGAACCCGGGAGGTGGAGGTTGCAGTGAGCCGAGATCGCGCCACCGCACTCCAGCCTGGGCGACAGAGCGAGACTCCATCTCAAAAAATAATAACTATAATACTGATTCTTGCAAAATATAGTAATTAAGAAAATTAATCCTTTATCACGAACCTTTGTAGCAGAGCACGTGTACCCGTATAGACAATTCTTTCTTTCTTTTTTTTTTTTTTTTGAGACAGAGTCTCGCTCTGTCGCCCAGGCTGGAGTGCAGTGGCGCGATCTCAGCTCACTGCAACCTCCGCCTCCCGGGTTCACGCCATCCTCCTGCCTCGGTCTCCCGAGTAGCTGGGACTACAGGTGCCCACCACCACGTCCGGCTAATTTTTTGTATTTTTAGTAGAGATGGAGTTTCATCGTGCTGGCCAGGCTGGTCTCGATCTCCTGACCTCGTGATCCACCCGCCCTGGCCTCCCAAACTGCTGGGATGACAGGCGTGAAACACCGCGCCCGGCCCCATTTTACTTTCTAAATAAACTTGCTTTTATTTTGCACTGCAAACTTGCCGTGAATTCTTTCTTGCACGAGATCCAGGTACCCTCTCTTGGGGTCTCAATCCGGAGACCCCAAGATGGCGTTGGCTGCCCGGTGGTCCGGGACTCAGGGGTCCACACGGGCTCTTCTGTGGCAAAAGGGGGATACCGAAGGGACGTCCTCCCTGTCAGCCTCCTGGACAGCTCAGCGTGGGCACCCGGGGAGCCCAGAGCCGCAGCCCCACACCCACCTCCCCGCCCACCAGCTCCCTACATGCTCAGAAGCAGGAGGACGTGAGTTTGAATTTGGCGACGTATCACCCTCTTGTTCTCCAAACCCAACATCAGGGCTGGGAGCCGTACTGCACACCTGTAATCCCAGCACTTTGGGAGGCCGAGATGGGAGGATCGCTGGAGCCCAGAGTTTCAGAGCAGCGTGGGCAACATAGGGAGGCCCTATCTCTACAGAAAATACAAAATGAGGCTGGCACGGTGGTGCATGCCTGTGGTCCCAGCTACTCGGGAGGCTGAGGCAGGAGGATCGCTTGAGCCCAAGGATTGGAGGCTGCAGTGAGCCAAGATCATGCCACTGCACCCCAGCCTGGGCTACATAGGGAGACCCTATCTCTACAGAAAATACGAAATGAGGCTGGCACAGTGGTGCATGCCTGTGGTCCCAGCTACTCGGGAGGCTGAGGCAGGAGGATCGCTTGAGCCCAAGGATTGGAGGCTGCAGTGAGCCAAGATCATGCCACTGCACCCCAGCCTGGGCTACATAGGGAGACCCTATCTCTACAGAAAATACAAAATGAGGCTGGCACAGTGGTGCATGCCTGTGGTCCCAGCTACTCGGGAGGCTGAGGCAGGAGGATCGCTTGAGCCCAAGGATTGGAGGCTGCAGTGAGCCAAGATCATGCCACTGCACCCCAGCCTGGGCAACAGACCAAGACCCTGCCTCGAAAAAAAAGAAAAGAAAAACCACATCCTTGAAGGTGCCAGGAGGGACGTTTATTTGGACCTCACGGAACGCTCTCTCGTCTTGGGGATCTGGGGGTGGGGGGATGGCTTCAGCGTTCACCTCCGTGCCAGACGCAGCCCCGGGCACACGGTGAACAGTTCCTAGTGGGCTGGTGATGAAGGCCTTTCGCCAGGTCCCGTTAGGTCCTCTGAGAAGTCTCCAGGGCCCCAGGGGCAGGAACAGGCTTGAAGTATTTGTGGGCTTATAAAGGTTTCCACCTGCCCGTAAAACGACGTTTACGAGAGCCCACCTCCACCTAGCAGTCACGGCCGCCTCCCCTCCTCACCCCTCCGGCGGCTCCAAATCCCTGGATTATGGAAAACGGTGTGCGTGATCTGGACTCGGAGATCTGTTAGAAATACACACATTTGGGAAGAGAGGTCAGAAAGGCAGATTTAAGAATAAAGACCTTCCCTGGGGTGGGCAGGGGTGGGGGCAGTGTAAATGAAAGGCGGGATTTGGGCGGGCAGATACATCAAGCCCAGGTGTTCAAGATCACCATGGGCAACAGAGCAAGAGTCTGTCCCTACAAAAAAATTTAAAAATTAGCTGGGAGTGGTGGCACCTGTCTGTAGTCCCAGCTCCTCAGGAAGCTGAGGCAGGAGGATCACCTGAGCCCAGGAGGTGGACGCTGCAGTGAGCTGAGATTGCACCACTGCACTCCAGCCTGGGCCACAGAGCAAGAGCCTGTCCCTACAACAAAATTAAATATTGGCCAGGTGTGATGGTGTATGTCTGTAGTCCCAGCTCCTCAGGAGGCTGAGGTGGGAGGATCACCTGAGCCCAGGAGGTGGAGGCTGCAGTGAGCGGAGATTGCACCAGTGCACTCCAGCCTGGGCCACAGAGCAAGACCCTGTCTCTACAAAAAAAATTAAATATTGGCCAGGTGTGATGGTGTATGTCTGCAGTCCCAGCTCCTCAAGAGGCTGAGGCAGGAGAATCGCTTGAACCAGGAGGCGGAGGTTGCAGTGATCCGAGATCACACCACTGCACTCCAGCCTGGGTGACAGAGCGAGACTCCGTCTCAAAAACAAACAAACGAAAAATGGCTCACACGGTGAATTTTATGTTCTGTACGTCTTACGTGCCACGGTAAACAAACAGGAAAACAAGACTCAGAAAGCATTCATCAGCCACCACGTGAAAACCACCCCTTGATCCATTTTTATAATTAATTTCAGACAGTCAGGTATTTGGTTTAAGAGCTGTGGGAGTCCACGCTACCTGGGGTGCTCGGACGCTTAATTGCAAAATAATTAGAGAAAATTGGTGACTGCTTTCATCTCTGTTTCATCTTTCAGGGTGAAAAGTGAAAATCTAGACGCTTCCGGTTCTATTCTAATGATGTTTCATACGCGGCCGCCAAGGCACAAAGCAAGCTGACCGTTTTGTACCATTTGGACTTGACTTTTTTCTAAATGTCATAAGGGAAACTTAATTCCTTTTAATTAAATGTCTTTAAAAGCCCGTCCCTTTAGTCTTTGAGCTCCTCTTCTCGGTCTCCTCCCGCGCTGTGGAGGGTACTTCCATTTTCAATAAATCCCTTCATTCCTTCCTTGCAAAAAATAAAAATAAAATAGGGCCAGGTGAGGTGGCTCACACCTGTCATCCCAGCACTCTGGGAGGCAGAGGAGGGTGGATCACCTGAGGTCAGGAGTTCGAGACCAGCCTGACCAACATGGTGAAACCCCGTCTCTACTAAAAACACAAAATTAGCCGAGCGTGGTGGTGCACGCCTGTAATCTCAGCACTTTGGGAGACTGAGGCAGGAGAATCACTTGAACCCGGGAGGCGGAGGTTGCAGTGAGCCGAGATCCCGCCACCGCACTCCAGCCTGGGCAACAAGAGTGAAACTCCGCCTCAAAAATATTAATAATAAAATAAATAAAAAATAGGCCGGGCGCGGTGGCTCACGCCTGTAGTCCCAGCACTTTGGGAGGCCGAGGCTGGCGGATCACCTGAGGTCAGGAGTTCAAGAACAGCCTGGCCGACACGGCGAGACCCCATCTCCACTAAAAATACAAAAATTAGCTGGGCGTGGTGTGGGCACCTGTCATCCCAGCTACTCGGGAGGCTGAGGCAGGAGAATCCGTTGAACCCGGGAGGCGGAGGTTGCAGTGAGCCGAGATCACACCATTGCACTCCAGCCTGGGTAACAAGAGCAAAACTCCATCTCAAAAATGATAATAATAATAATAAAATAAAAAATAAAAGGTGCCATTTCCCCTGCTCCTTTTATTTTTGACATGCTTTTCAGCATGACTGTGTACAGCAGTCGGCCCCTGCCCTGGAGTCCAGCTGCACCTGCTCCTGCCCCAGCCCCGGCTGACCGAGGTCTGTTTACGTCTCCCCAGTATCACCCAGCAACGGGGACCTAAACACAGCTGAGCAGCAAAGACAAGGGCCCCCGGGTGGTAAAGACGCAGGTCCTCTTTCCGCAGATGGCCCTGAAAAAGACCCTATGCCCCAAGGACCCGGGGTCGGGGGAGGTTTCTCCTCTGCTCTGCACCCCACATCCCGAGCTCTCGGGCAGCTCCGAGCTCAGCCGTGGGTCCTGGAGGAAGGAGGGAGACGCTGTGTTACGGTTCCCCGCGGGTGGGAACCAGTGCCCTTCTAATTCGGAAGGTGGCACATTCCCCAGGCCTGAAGTCATGCTGGCCTGGAGGGGGGCTGCCATCCTGTCCGGGGGGCCTGGCTCGTCTTGGAAGGGCAGGCATTGTGGAGGCTGGGACTCCCGGCTTCTCCCCAGCTTCCTTCCTCCCTGACCAGCCCATCGGAAAAGCAATTCCTCCTGTAGACCTCAGAGCTCCAGCGTCTCCGGCATCCACCCACCCCGGGCCTTTGCAAGCCACCCTGACCGCCGATGCCAAGCGGGATGTCTAAATCGGGCGCGTGCATTCCTGCCACTAAGCGTGGCCCTCGGTTAATCCCTGGCAGGGGGTGACTGTCTTGGCCGTGGAATGTGTGGACGGAATGTTGGGGCCGGGTGAGCTGTTGAAAGCTCGTCCCCGGCGCCCACCCGGACTCCGCAGCTCCATGGACACTATTTCCAGGATGGGGGAGCGGACAGGGCCCCTTTCAACCTTCGGAATTCCTGGCGGGGCCTCCCAGCTGTGCTCGCCATGCTTATTTAAATCTCGCTGATTTAAAAGAAAATCCTTTTCCATCTTCTTCTGGGTGGCTTGAGGCTGTGCCTAGGGGGGTCCATGGTCACCGGCTGTATTTTCACAAACCATTGATTTTTTTTTTTCTTTTTGAGACAGACTTTCGCTGTCACCCACGATCTCAGCTCACTGCAACGTCCGCCTCCCAGGTTCAAGCAATTCTCCTGCCTTACTCTCCCGAGTAGCTGGGATAACAGGCACACACCATCACACCTGGCTAATTTTTTTTTTTGTATTTTTTTTTTTAGTAGAGATGAGGTTTTGCCATACTGGCAAGGCTGGTCTTGAACTCCTGGGCTCAAGCAATCCACCGGCCTCGGCCTCCCAAAGTGCTGGGATTACAGGCAAGACCCACTGCACCTGGCCTCTACAAACAATTTAAAAATAAAATCAGCCGAGCATGGTGGCTCACGCTCGTAGTCCCAACCACTCAGGAGGCCGATATGAGAGCATCGCTTGAGGCCAGGAGTTTGAAACCAGCCTGGACAATATTGCAAGACCCCCATCTCTCAAAAAACAAATTTAAAATTGGCCAGGCATGGTGGCGCACACCTGTAGTCCCAGCTACTCGGGAGGCTGATGCAGGAGGATTGGTGGAGCCCAGAGGGTTGAGGCTGCAAGGAGCTGAGATCCCAACACTGCACTCCAGCCTGGGCAACAGAGCAAGACCTCAGCTGAAAAAATAAAGACAAGTTTGATACCGACAGTGACAGCTGTGCTCAAATTTGTGGGTTCCTAGCCCTGGAGCAGGGTTTCAATTTTTTTCTTTGAGACAGTCTCAAAAAACCAAAGAAACAAAAAACCTCTGAGATGGTTATATTTCAATTTCTCTGAGATACAGGGTGTATTACCTTGGAACACTATTGTTGCCAACTTGATCTCCCACCTACGGTGAACAAAACTTTGCGTTTGAATCCAAAAACAGGCTAGGCAAGTATATTGAGACATTCATAAAAGCTCTTTGAATCGGCAATGGGAGTCATTGCAACTTTATTTATTTACTTTTTTTTTGGAGACGAGGTTTTGGTCTGTTGCCCAGGCTGGAGTGCAGTGGTGCGATCACAGCTAACTGCAGCCTCGACCTCCTAGGCTCAGGCAATCCTCCTGCCTCAGCCTCCTGAGTAGCTGGGACTATAGGTGTGCACCGCCACAGCTGGCTAATTTTTAAGTTTGTTTTTTTTTTTTGAGACGGAGTCTCGCTCTGTCGCCCAGCCTGGAGTGCAGTGGTGCCATCTCAGCTCACTGCAAGCTCGGCCTCCCGGGTTCACCCCATTCTCCTGCCTCAGCCTCCTGAGTAGCTGGGACTATAGGTGTGCACCACCACAGCTGGCTAATTTTTAAGTTTTTTTTTGTTTGTTTGCTTGTTTCTTTGTTTTGAGATGGAGTCTCGCTCTGTCGCCCAGGCTGGAGTGCAGTGGCGCGATCTCGGTTCACTGCAAGCTCCGCTTCCCGGGTTCACGCCATTCTCCTGCCTCAGCCTCCCGAGTAGCTGGGACTACAGGCGCCGCCACCACGCCCGGCTAATTTTTTTTGTATTTTTAGTAGAGACGGGGTTTCACCGTGTTAGCCAGGATGGTCTTGATCTCCTGACCTCGTGATCCACCCGCCTCGGCCTCCCAAAGTGCTGGGATTACAGGTGTGAGCCACCGCGCCCGGCCCCAAATTATTTATTTATTTATTTATTTATTTATTTATTTATTTATTTAGACACAGTCTCACTCTGCCACCGAGGCTGGAGTGCAATGGTGTGATCTCGGCTCACTGCAACCTCCGCCTCCCGGGTTCAAGCAATTCTCCTGCCTCAGCCTTCCGAGTAGCTGCAATTACAGGTGCCCACCACCGTGACCAGGTGATTTTTGTATTTTTAGTAGAGATGGGGTTTCACCATGTTGGCCAGGCTGGTCTCAAACTCCTGACCTCAGGTGATCCGCCCACCTCGGCCTCTCAAAGCGCTGGGATGACAGGTGTGAGCCAACATGCCCGGCCTAAAAGTAGCCACTTTTAACACTATAACTAAAGCAAGCTGCTTTGGGGCAGACATCAACAACATTCTTTTTTTTTTTTTTTGAGTCGGAGTTTCAGTCTTTGTCACCCAGGCTGGAGTGAAATGTCGCGATCTCAGCTCATTGCCACCTCGGCCTCTTGGGTTCAAGCAATTCTCCTGCCTCAGACTCCTGAGTAGCTGGGATTACAGGCACATGCCACCATGCCCAGGTGATTTTTGTATTTTTAGTAGAGACAGGGTTTCGACACGTTAGCCAGGCTGGTCTCGAACTCCTGACCTCGGGTGATCCGCCCGCCTCAGCCTCCCAAAGTGCTGGGATTACAGGCGCATGCCACCATGCCTAGGTGATTTTTGTATTTTTAGTAGAGACAGGGTTTCGCCATGTTGGCCAGGCTGGTCTCGAACTCCTGACCTCAGGGGATGCACCCGCCTCAGCCTCCCAAAGTGCTGGGATTACAGGCGTGAGCCACCGTGCCCAGCCTAAAAGTAGCTGCTTTTACCACTATGAGTAAAGCAGTTGGGCAAGTGTGGTCAGCAGATTCCCAGACATAAAATCCAGGACCCAGGCTCTTTTCCACAGCTCACCGTGGAGCCCATCGCAATGCCTGGGATCCACCTGGCCACCAGGTCCTTGCACCCCACAGTCACGACAGCTGCCCTGGGTCCCCGGGGTCATGGAATTCTCCAGATCTGCCAGTCCGCCTGAATTGGAGTAGCTCTTCCCAGAAAACCTCTGCAAACCCCAGCCGAGGCTCAACAGCCCGGCTGCCACGGGTGCCGAGAACCAGGCGTGCCCACGGAGGTGAGAGCAGGTAGGAGACAGAGCTGATGCTTGGATAGGACCCACACGTTCCTCCCACCGAGAGGTCCGAAGGCAGCCAGGCGCGGTGGCTCCCGCCTGTCATCCCAGCACTTTGGGAGGCCGAGGCGTGTGGATCACCTGAGGTCAAGAGTTCAAGACCAGCCTGGCCAACATGGAGAAACCCCATTTCTACTAAAAATACAAAATTACCCAGGTGTGGTGGCGGGCACCTGTAATCCCGGCTACTCAGGAGGCTGAGGCAGGAGAATCGTTTGAACCCGGGAGGCGGAGGTTTCAGTGAGCCGAGATCACACCACTGCACTCCAGCCTGGGTGACAGAGCAAGACTCCATCTCAAAAAAAAAAAAAAGCCTGAAGGCTCCCACTGAGTGTCCTGCTTTCAAGTTAGCTGCACCCCAGCCTGCTGCGGTGGCTCACGCCTGTCATCCCAGCACTATGGGAGGCGAAGGCGGGTGGATCACTTGAGGTCAGGAGTTTGAGACCAGACTGGCCAACATGGTGAAACCCCATCTCTACTAAAAATACAAAAATTAGCCCGGGCATGGTGGCAGGTGACTGTCATCCCAGCTACTCAGGAGGCTGAGGCAGGAGAATCGCTTGAACCTGGAAGCCGGAGGTTGCAGTGAGCCGAGATCGTGCCACTGCACTCCAGCCTGGGCGACAGAGCGAGACTCTGCCTCAAAAAAAAATAAAATAAAGTAAAACAAAAATAAAATAAAATGTATTCTGATGTCTGGACACCATGGTTCATACCCATAATCCCAGCAGTTTTGGAGGCTGGGACAGGAGGATCACTTGAGGCCAGGAGTTCAAAACCAGCCTGGGCATATAGGGAGAACCTCTCTCTACAAAAAAACAAACCAAAAAAACTTAACTGGGGATGGTGTTGTGCACCTACAGTCCAAGTGTACTAGTCTGTTCTCAGGCTGCTAATAAAGGCATAACGAAGATGGGGTAATTTATAAAGGAAAGAGGTTTAATGGACTCACATTTCCGCATGGCTGGGGAGGCCTCACAATCATGGCGGAAGACGAAGAAGGAGCAAAGTCACATCTTACATGGCGGCAGGCAAAAAAAGGGCGTATAGAGGGGTGCTCCCATTTATAAAACCATCAGATCTTGGCCGGGCACGGTGGCTCACGCCTGTCATCCCAGCACTTTGGGAGGCTGAGGAGGGTAGATCACCTGAGGTGAGGAGTTTGAGATCAACGTGGCCAACATGGTGAAACCTCGTTTCTATTAAAAATACAAAAAATTAGCCAGGTGTGGTGGCGGGTGCTTGTAATCCCAGCTACTTGGGAGGCAGAGGTTGCAGTGAGCCGAGATCATGATATTGCACTCCAGCCTGGGTGACAAGAGCGAGACTCTGTCTCAAAAAAAAAAAAAAAAAAAAAAATCAGATCTCATGAGACCTATTCACTACCACGAGAACAGTCTGGGGGAAACTGACCCTATGATTCAATTCTCTCCACCTGGCCCTGCCCTTGACACGTGGGGATGATAACCGTTCAAGGTAAACCTTGGGAGGGGACATAGCCAAACCATGTCACCCAGCTACTCAGGAAAAACCGCGTCACCCAGCTACTCGGGAGAAACCGCATCACCCAGCTACTCTGGAGAAACCGCGTCACCCAGCTACTCGGGAGAAGCCGCGTCACCCAGCTACTCGGGAGAAGCCGCGTCACCCAGCTACTCGGGAGAAACGGCGTCACCAGCTACTCCGGAGAAACGGCGTCACCAGCTACTCGGGAGAAACGGCGTCACCCAGCTACTCGGGAGAAACGGCGTCACCAGCTACTCTGGAGAAACGGCGTCACCAGCTACTCGGGAGAAACGGCGTCACCAGCTACTCGGGAGAAACGGCGTCACCAGCTACTCGGGAGAAACGGCGTCACCAGCTACTCGGGAGAAACGGCGTCATTCAGCTACTCGGGAGAAACGGCGTCACTCAGCTACTCTGGAGAAACGGCGTCACTCAGCTACTCGGGAGAAACGGCGTCACCAGCTACTCGGGAGAAACGGCGTCACCAGCTACTCCGGAGAAACAACATCACCCAGCTACTCGGGAGAAACGGCGTCACCAGCTACTCTGGAGAAACAGCGTCACCAGCTACTCTGGAGAAACGGCGTCACCAGCTACTCGGGAGAAACGGCGTCACCAGCTACTCGGGAGAAACGGCGTCACCAGCTACTCGGGAGAAACGGCGTCACCAGCTACTCGGGAGAAACGGCGTCACCAGCTACTCTGGAGAAACGGCGTCACTCAGCTACTCTGGAGAAACGGCGTCACCAGCTACTCGGGAGAAACGGCGTCACCAGCTACTCGGGAGAAACGGCGTCACCAGCTACTCGGGAGAAACGGCGTCACCAGCTACTCGGGAGAAACGGCGTCACCAGCTACTCGGGAGAAACGGCGTCACCAGCTACTCGGGAGAAACGGCGTCACCAGCTACTCTGGAGAAACGGCTTCACCCAGCTACTCGGGAGAAACGGCGTCACCAGCTACTCTGGAGAAACAGCGTCACCAGCTACTCGGGAGAAACGGCGTCACCAGCTACTCGGGAGAAACGGCGTCACCAGCTACTCGGGAGAAACGGCGTCACTCAGCTACTCGGGAGAAACAGCGTCACCAGCTACTCTGGAGAAACAGCGTCACCAGCTACTCGGGAGAAACGGCGTCACCAGCTACTCGGGAGAAACGGCGTCACCCAGCTACTCGGGAGAAACGGCGTCACCAGCTACTCGGGAGAAACGGCGTCACCAGCTACTCGGGAGAAACGGCGTCACTCAGCTACTCAGGAGAAATGGCGTCACCAGCTACTCGGGAGAAACGGCGTCACTCAGCTACTCGGGAGAAACGGCGTCACTCAGCTACTCGGGAGAAACGGCGTCACCCAGCTACTCGGGAGAAACAGCATCACCAGCTACTCGGGAGAAACAGCATCACCAGCTACTCGGGAGAAACGGCGTCACCAGCTACTCGGGAGAAACGGCGTCACTCAGCTACTCGGGAGAAACAGCGTCACCAGCTACTCGGGAGAAACGGCGTCACCAGCTACTCGGGAGAAACGGCGTCACTCAGCTACTCTGGAGAAACGGCGTCACCAGCTACTCGGGAGAAACGGCGTCACCAGCTACTCGGGAGAAACGGCGTCACCAGCTACTCGGGAGAAACGGCGTCACCAGCTACTCGGGAGAAACGGCGTCACCAGCTACTCTGGAGAAACGGCTTCACCCAGCTACTCGGGAGAAACAGCGTCACCAGCTACTCTGGAGAAACAGCGTCACCAGCTACTCTGGAGAAACAGCATCACCCAGCTACTCGGGAGAAACGGCATCACCAGCTACTCTGGAGAAACGGCATCACCAGCTACTCCGGAGAAACAGCGTCACCAGCTACTCCGGAGAAACAACATCACCCAGCTACTCGGGAGAAACAGCGTCACCCAGCTACTCGGGAGAAACGGCGTCACCCAGCTACTCGGGAGAAACGGCGTCACCAGCTACTCCGGAGAAACAACATCACCCAGCTACTCGGGAGAAACAGCGTCACCCAGCTACTCGGGAGAAACAGCGTCACCCAGCTACTCGGGAGAAACGGCGTCACCCAGCTACTCGGGAGAAACAGCATCCTCCAGCTACTCTGGAGAAGCCACGTCACCCAGAAACTCTGGAGAAGCCGCCTCACCCAGATACTCGGGAGAAACCGCGTCACCCAGCTACTCTGGAGAAACAGCGTCACCCAGCTACTCGGGAGAAACAGCATCCTCCAGCTACTCTGGAGAAGCCGCGTCACCCAGAAACTCTGGAGAAGCCGCGTCACCCAGATACTCGGGAGGAACCGCGTCACCCAGCTACTCTGGAGAAACAGCGTCACCCAGCTACTCGGGAGAAGCCACGTTGCCCGGCTACTTGGGGAGCTGAGGAGGGAGGATCCCTTGAGCCTGAGAGTCCAAGGCTACAGGAGCGAGACCCTGTCTCAAAAAAAAAAAAAAAAACAAATATAAGTAAAGCAATAAAATAGACTGTGGTGATGGTGGCACAAGTCTCTGCATACAGAAAGCCACGGGTTGGAAGAGTTTAAACGGACACATTGTCAGCTGTGTAAATTCTCTCTCTATACAGCTCTTTTCTGGAAAACCAGTGAATGTGACGCACCGTATTCATGGCTAAGGGGCCAAACTCACATGACCATTTGCAGAAATGCAGGAAAAGCATTTGAGCAAAGGCAGTGCCTTTTCGCGATAAAAATTCAGTCAACCCAGAAGGGGACAGAAAGTTCCTCAAGCCGCTGAAGATCCAGAAGACGGCCCTGGCCGGTGGGCCGCGATGAAGGTCGCTCTGGGCGCCGTCGGGTAAAGCGTGAGACGCACTCCCTGTCAGAATACAGTCCAGGAAGGAAGGGCTTCTCCGAGGCGTCAAAAGTCATGCGTTGCCCCGGCCTGGGTTAGGAACCATCAGTCTTGTCATCCCAGAGACTCTCCCAGCACCCGGGGAATAAATGAGACATTGGAACGGGCTGCAATCCCGCCCCGGCAGACGGTGCCGTTTGATTTCTCTTCCATCTACACGATGCGCGTCACATAAAAAGGTGACTGTGTGGCCGGGCGAGGTGGCTCATGCCTGTCATCCCAGCACTTTGGGAGGCCGAGGCGGGAGGATCACTCGAGGTCGGGAGTTCGAGACCAGCCTGGCCAACATGGTGAAACCGCGTCTCCACTAAAAATACAAAAAGTAGCCGGGCGTGGTGGCGGGTGCCTGTCATCCCAGCTACTCGGGAGGCTGAGGCAGGAGAATCGCTTGAACCCGGGAGGCGGAGGTTGCGGCGAGCCGAGATTGCACCTCTGCACTCCAGCCTGGGCGACAGAGCAAGACTCTGTCTCAAAAAAAAAAAAAAAAAAAAAAGGTAACTTTGTGACCCTGAATAAAATTAAAATGTCTAAAAAATATGAGCCAGGCTTGGTGGTGCATGCACGCTGAGGCAGGAGGATCTCTTGAACCCAGGAGGCGGAGTCTGCAGTGAGCCGAGATCACACAGGTGCGCTCCAAGCTGGGCAACAGAAGGAGACCCTGTCTCTAAAATAAAATAAAATAAAATAAATAAAATGAAATAAAATAAAAATAAATAATAATAAATTTAAATAAATTTAAATAACTATCTAAATGAATACATAAATAAATAAATGAATAAATTTAAATAAATTTAAATTTAAACAAATTTGATTATTTATTTATTATTATATATTTATTATATATTATTATTTATTAATTAAATTTATTAAATAAATTTAAATCGTTTTTTAAATTAAATTATAATTTCCCTCATGACATTTAAATTTAAATGAAAATGTCATGAGGGAAATTATAACTATATTTCATTTAAAATACGTTAACAAAGCAAATGTTATCACAGAGTATTTACAACAAAGCACTTTTGGTGACTTTAAAAGCAGATTACACAAACAATATCACAGTGTTTTAGATCCAATGGGGACTACAAATGTCCGTTAAGGGTTTTGTGGGGTTTGTTTTTTTTTTCGGTACGACATTAAAACAGATTTTGTCAAGAATTATTACCTCCTCGAACAAAAAGCACATTGTTGTCTCAGGGAAAAAAAAACACACAATTATGCTATTGAGTTTGTGGCTACAAAGATGTACTGTCATATAAAGTAATAAAAACGGGGAAAACAACATAAAATAAGAGTTAGACGGATTAAACGACTTCATAGGAACCTGAGGAAAAGGAAGCAAAGTCCCTTTACTGAGAGCGCTTTTAGGGACGCATAATCAATACTAAAGTTTATACATCCTGCCTCGGGACTTGATTTAAAAATTCTCCTATTTATTAAATAAGTTGACGTTGTTTTGAGATGTAATGAAATGGCCGCAGCAGGTGCGGAGGCCGATTTTTGAGGGGGGCAGGTGGAGCACGGCTGGCCTTGTGCAGCCCTCTGCTGAGTGTGCGTGATTTCTACTGCAAATGCTCACTGTCAAGACACGAACCATTCCCGTTTATCTCAAAGAGGACTTATTTAATAATTCCAGCATTGTGTCCTTTCCTTGAAAGAAAGGACACAAAGAAGTGCAGGGGTGGCCGGGTGCGGTGGCTTATGCCTATAATCCCAGCACTTTGGGAGGCTGAGGTGGGTGCATCCCCTGAGGTCAGGAGTTCGAGACCAGCCTGGCCAACAAGGTGAAACCCCCGTCTCTACTAAAAATACAAAAATTAGCCAGGCATGATGGTGCACACCTGTAATCCCAGCTACTCGGGAGGCTGAGGCAGGAGAATCGCTTGAACTGGGAGGTGGAGGTTGCGGTGAGCCGAGATCGTGCCACTGCATTCCAGCCTGGGAGACGGAGAGAGACGCCGTCTCAAAAAATAATAATAATAATAATTAGCTGGGCATGATGGCAGGTGCCTGTAATCCCAGCTACTCGGGAGGCTGAGGCAGGAGAATCGCTTGAACCAGAGAGGCGGAGGTTGTGGTGACCTGAGATCGTACCACTGCACTCCAGCCTGGGCAACAGCGCAAGACTCCATCTCAAAAAAAAAAAAAAAAAAAAAAAAAAGAAAAAGAAAAGAAAAGAAAAAAAAAGAAGTTCAGAGTTTGCAGACGTGAACCCTACATGACCCAAATGTCGTCCTTTCCGGAGAGAAATCGCGTGGCTATGATTTAGGACGATTTCTACTTCCAACCTTTAGGAAAATGACAAAGAGGAGGTTCAATGTCTGCGCTGGGGACCCCCCGAGCCTGTCCAGGTTGCACCGTCATTGCCCAGAGAATGCTCAGATTGCATTTCACAATGTGGTCCCAGGGGCCGACCTATTCCGTTGCAGGTGAGCGTAGAAGCATGAAGCTGTTCAATCTGCACACAGCACCTGACGGCCCTGGGGTTTTACGCCGGCAATGACCGTGCTGTGGTTCCCACCTTCCGGGGTTGAGGAAGGACCTGCCAGCCTTTACGCTTTGCCGCCCCAGCACGCAGGTGGCAACTGTGGCAGAGAAGGGAAAATGGGAGCCCAGGAGGTCTCCTAGGGAGAGCAGCGATCCGACTGTGGGTCCCAGGGCGGGCTCTGAATCTCAGCCCCACTGTCTCCAAGGGGCTTCCTCAGCTGGGAAGTGGGAACCACGGTGCCCCCTAAACGAGGCATATTCTTCACTCCAGCATCAGGTTCCTGCCAGGGACTCCAAGTCAGGAGGACAAGCTCCTGCGCGGCCTGCGTGGCCGCTCCCCTGTGCGGGCCCTCTCCTGAGTGGGGAGAAAGCTGCTTCCCCCAGTTCTTCCCTGGGCAACACCCCCTGCCAGCTGCAAGGACACACACGCACACACAGAACCACGTGCTCAGTCACAGGCTCACGCACTCACACGTACCCTCACACACATGCACACACATACAGTCACGTGCTCAATCACACACGCACTCACACATACCCTCACACACACACAAATAGCCACGTGCTCACACTCACACGTACCCTCACAGAGCCAAATGCTGAATCACACACACATACCCTCACACACACACCCTCACACACACACACATACTCATACGTTCACACTCACGCACTCACACATACCCTCACACACACATACTCAGTCACACATCAAAGCATTTTCATAGATAGCTTGTTTCTAGCTTTTATCATTGGATATTCTATGTTTCCTTACAAGCCTCGATGGACTCAGAAACGTCACTTTGGAGATTCTACAAAAAGAATGTTTCCAAGTTGGTGACTCAAAACATTTAAAGTGATCCTCCTATCTCCTTGTAGCTGGGCCTACAGGCAGGTGCCACCATGCCCGGCTAATTTAGTGTATTTTTTTTTTTTTTGCAGAGACTGGATCTTGCTGTGTTGTCCAGGCTGGTCTCAGACTCCTGAACTCAAGGAACCTACCCACCTCTACTTCCCAAAGTGCTGGGATGACAGGCTGGAGCCCCGACGCCCTTGTTTCATTTATCGAGGGAACAAACATGTATTAGGAAGCTACCGTGAAGACAGTTCCATGGTGTAATGGTGAACATTCTGGACTCTGAATGTGTCTGTCTGAAAGCTACCGTGTGACAGGTGCCATTCTATTTCCCGGGGTCCCTGTAGTGAGAGAAACAGACCAAGGAGAAACCTTCCTGTCCTCGGCGGCTCACGTTCTGATTGGTGGGGGCTGGGTGGGGCTGTGAGGGGTGGGTTAAACCCAGACAGCCAGCAGGCACACAATTCGCTGTCATAGTGTCAACATTCTTCTCCATAAAGGCTTTCTTCTGGCCGGGCACGGTGGCTCACGCCTGTCATCCCAGCACTATGGGAGGCCGAGGCGGGTGGATCACGAGTTCAGGAGATCGAGACCATCCTGGGTAACACAGTGAAACCCCGTCTCTACCAAAACTACAAAAAATGAGCCGGGCGTGGTGGCGGGCACCTGTCATCCCAGCTACTCGGGAGGCTGAGGCAGGAGGATGGCGTGAACCCGGGAGGCGGAGCTTGCAGTGAGCCCAGATTGCACCACTGCACTCCAGCCCAGGCGACAGAGCGGGACTCCGCCTCAAAAAACAAACAAACAAAAAAGAATACACGGTTCCATTAAACAAGCCAGCCTCTCTGAGACTCCCGGAGGTCAGCTTTGCAGGTTGCTAATTTAATACAGAAGAAGGGTGAAGGGCTTATGTTTTTATAAAATGTAATTTTATATATTTTCATATTTTAAAACTTTTTATAAAATACAATTTTACATATTGTCATATGTGTAAAAATGTTTTTACAAACTATAATTTTGTTTCTATATTTTAAAATTTTTTATAAAACATAATTTTATAAACTATATTTTTTAAAAAATTTATATTGTATTTTATATATATACACACATACACACATATATATACAGACACACACATATATACACACACACAGATATATACACACACACACATACACACACACACACACACACACACACATCTGCACCCAAATTTCCCCGTTCTTTAAGGATAGAAGACATGGTGGTGAGCACCTGTAATCCCAGCTACTTGGGAGACTGAGGCAGGAGAATGGCTTGAACCTGGGAGGCGGAGGTTGCAGTGAGCCAAGATCGCACCACTGCCCTCCAGCCTGGGTGACAAGAGCGAAACTCCGTCTCTTTAATATATATTAAAATGCATACATGGGCCAGGTGCAGTGGCTCACGCCTGTAATCCCAGCACTTTGGGAGGCTGAAGCAGGAGGATGGCTTAAGCCCAGGAGTTTGAGACCAGCCTGGGCAACATAGCGAGATCTCATTTCTAAAGAAATTTAAAAATTAGCTGGGTATGGTGGTGCACGCCTGTGGTCCCTGGTGCTCAGGAGGCTGAGGTGGGAGGATTGCTGGAGCCCAGGAGTTTGAGGCTGCAGTGAGCTGTGATCGTGCCATTGCACTCCAGTCTGAGTGACAGAGAAAGAGTCTGTCTCAAAAAGAAAAAAAAAAAATCTAATTTTCTGCCATGAGAAAGCAAGTTGCTATTGCAGACAGCCACCTCAATCATGCATCCTGGGCTTCTAACCCTGAACTGACAGGATTCACACACTCTCTCATATGCCGAAAGGGTCATGGCTTATAACAATCATGTAGGCGGCCGGGCGCGGTGGCTCACGCCTCTAATCCCAGCACTTTGGGAGGCCGAGGCGGGCGGATCACAAGTTCAGGAGATCTTGAGACCATCCGGGCTAACACGGTGAGACCCCCTGTCTCTACTAAACATACAAAAAATTAGCCGGGTGTTGGTGGCGGGCGCCTGTAGCCCCAGCTACTCTCTAGGAGGCTGAGGCTGGAGAATGGCGTGAACCCGGGAGGCAGAGCTTGCAGTCAGATGAGATGGGGCCACTGCTCTCCAGCCTGGGCGACACAGCGAGACTCCGTCTCAAAAAAAAAAAAAGCATGTAAGCAAGCCTAGGAATCCCTTAGTCTTCCTTCCTATAATAGCAAAATCGTACCAATTCCTCCCTCCCCCAGCTGCCCTCCAAAAATAGCGCCACTCAGCAGGCCCACGATCGAGTGACGGGCACAGAGGTGAGCCCCACAGATGCCGTCTGTACACTTTCCACGGGATGTTTTTAGAACGTGAAAGGCCGGGAATAGCCTCCCCTGCCCACACCCACAAGGCGCCCCAGGAGAGGAAGGTCCCGCAACACGTGGTCTACCTTCTTTTATTGTTGCTTTTCATTTATTTTTATTGTTTACATTTTTTGGTAGGGGCAGGGTCTTGCTAGGTGGCCCAGGTTGGTCTCGAACTCCAGGCCTCAAGCGATCCTCCTGCCTCGGCCTCCCACTGTGCTGGGATTGTGGGCATGAGCCGCCGCGCCTGGTCCTATGGTCTTTCATTCCAGGGCTGAGAGGGAGTTCAGGTGGCCCCTTGGCTCTGTGTCCGTGTGTAACTGTGGCCGGGCGCGGTGGCTCACGCCTGTCATCCCAGCACTTTGGGTGGCCGAGGCGAGCGGGTCATGAGGTCAGGAGTTCGAGACCAGCCTGGCCAACATGGAGAAACCCCGTCTCCACTAAAAATACAAAATTAGCCGGGCGCGGTGGCTCACGCCTGTCATCTCAGCACTTTGGGTGGCCGAGGCGAGCGGGTCATGAGGTCAGGAGTTCGAGACCAGCCTGGACAACATGGAGAAACCCCATCTCCACTAAAAATACAAAATTAGCCGGGCACGGTGGCTCACGCCTGTCATCTCAGCACTTTGGGTGGCCGAGGCGAGCGGGTCATGAGGTCAGGAGTTCGAGACCAGCCTGGACAACATGGAGAAACCCCATCTCCACTAAAAATACAAAGTTAGCCCGGCACGGTGGCTCACGCCTGTTATCTCAGCACTTTGGGTGGCTGAGGCGAGCGGATCACGAGGTCAGGAGTTCGAGACCAGCCTGGCCAACATGGAGAAACCCCATCTCCACTAAAAATACAAAATTAGCCAGGCACGGTGGCTCACGCCTGTTATCTCAGCACTTTGGGTGGCTGAGGCGAGCGGATCACGAGGTCAGGAGTTCGAGACCAGCCTGGCCAACATGGAGAAACCCCATCTCCACTAAAAATACAAAATTAGCCGGGCGTGGTGGCTCACGCCTGTCATCCCAGCTACTTGGGAGACTGAGGCAGGAGAATTGCTTGAACCCGGGAGGTGGAGGTTGCAGTGAGCTGAGATCGTGCCACTGCACTCCAGCCTGGGCAACAAGAGTGTAACTCTGTCTCAAAAAAATTTAAAAAAAAAATGCAAAAAAAGAAATCAAACTATACATAATATTGCATACAGACAGTCCCCAGCTTCCAATGGTGCAATTCAGGATTTTTTAACTTTATGCTGGAGAGAAAGCAGTATGCATTCAACAGAAAGTGTACTTGAAGGCCGGACGTGATGGCTCACGCCTGTAATCCCAGCACTTTGGGAGGCCAAGGTGGGCCGATCACTTGAGGTCAGGAGTTTGAGACCAGCCTGGCCAACACGGTGAAACCCCGTCTCTACTAAAAATACAAAAAATTAGCCGGGTGTGGTGGCGGGCGCCTGTAGTCCCAGCTACTCGGGAGGCTGAGGCAGGAGAATGGTGTGAACCCGGGAGGCGGAGCTTGCAGTGAGCCGAGATCGCACCACTGCACTCCAGCCTGGGCGACAGAGCGAGACTCCGTCTCAAAAAATAAATAAATAAATAAAATAAAATAACAAAACAAAATAAAGTAGGTCAGAAAGGCAACTGGAGTCCATAGCCCACGTTCTGTAACCCAGTTCTGACTCTGCTGTGCGCCCCGTGGTTAGAAAATGGCAAGTCAACAGAAACGTTCTCAAACCAGAGACCAAGGCACATCCCGAGGCATCCGTCTCACTAACAACTGCGGGGACGTGGGATCTGGGGGACATCCTGTCTCTGCCACTCAGAGCGCTGCTGCGTGCAAACAGGTACAAATGCCAGCAACTCTTCGAGAGCTTCCCACGTCATCCACGGACGGGCACGACCTCTTCCTCACCACCAACACCCACCCTATCCCATCTACCATAGTGTGCTTGCCACAGCGAAGATGATTCCATAAAACACCACTTGTGCTCTGAAACCACAGGGACCCACGTCTGCCTGGACCCGGAAAAACGGTGCAGAATATAGCAGGTTTCTGGCCGGGCGCGTTGGCTTACGCCTGTCATCCCGGCATTTTGGGAGGCCGAGGCGGGTGGATCGCTTGAGGTCAGGAGGTCGAGACCAGCCTGGCCAACATTATAGGTGTGAGCCACCGCCCCCAGCCTGGGACCTTATTTGGAAATAGCGTAGAGATGCTGAAACCCCATCTCTACAAGGAATACAAAATATTAGCCGGGCGTGGTGGCGGGTGCCTGTAGTCCCAGCTACTCGGGAGGCTGAGGCAGGAGAATCGCTTGAACCCGGGAGGCGGAGGTTGCTGTGAGCAGAGATAACACCACTGCACTCCAGCCTGGGTGACAGAGCAAGACTCCATTTCAAAAAAAAAAAAAAAAAAAACAAAAGAAGAAAAGAAAAAAAAAAGAGAGAGTTTTTGTCACGGAAACGCCTGACAGTGCCTTGAAGCTGGGGATTAAGAGTGAATTGCATAGTTGGGATTCTGCAGCCAGAAAGTCATCGCGGAGTTAACGCAGTGCCTGGCCGAGGCTTCCTGAAAGCTGCTGGTCCCTGACCTCTGGGGCACGAACAAGACATCTGAAAATAACTGGGGTTCCGTGCTGCCAAAACGGCACCGGACGTCAGCTGTTCTCCCCGGAGGCATTCCTTCCACACACGGGTTCCTTTGGAGGACAAAGGGAGCAGATGCTGCCGGCCGAGCCTACGGCCTCTTCAGTCCTGGAGGGTGTGGGGGGCAGGAGGAGAGGGCTGCGGTGTCTGGGGCAGCCTCGTCCGGCCACTTCTCAGCAAGACGTCCCTCTGTGCTGTTGAACAACCATGTCTGGACTTTTTTTTTTTTTTTGAGACGGAGTCTCGCTCTGTCGCCCAGGCTGGAGTGCAGTGGCACGATCTCGGCTCACTGCACGCTCCGTCTCCCGGGTTCACGCCATTCTCCTGCCTCGTCCTCCCGAGTAGCTGGGACTACAGGCGCCCGCCACCATGCCCGGCTATTTTTTTTTTTTTGTATTTTTAGTAGAGACGGGGTTTCACCATGTTGGCCAGGATGGTCTCAAACTCCTGACCTCGTGATCCGCCCGCCTCGGCCTCACAAAGTGTGGGATGACAGGCATGAGCCACTGCGCCCGGCCTATTTATTTTATTTTATGTGAGACAGGGTCTTGCTCTGTTGCCCAGGCTGGAATGCAATGGTGTGATCTCGGCTCACTGCAGCCTTGACCTCCTGGGCTCAAGTGATCCTCCCACCTCAGCCTCCCGAGTAGCTAGGACTACAGGTGCACACCACCATGCTGGGCTAATTTTTTTTGGGGGGGGGGTAGAGATGGCATCTCACTACGTTGCCCAGACTAGTTTCAAACTCCTGGGATCAAGTAATCCGCCTGCCTCAGCCTCCCGAGTAGCTGGGACTACAGCATGGGCCACCATGCCCAGCTAATTTTGCTTTTTGGTAGAGATGGGGTCTTGCTATGTTGCCCAAGCTCATCTCAAATTCCTAGGCTCCAGTGATCCTCTCACCTCAGCCTCCCAAAGTACTGGGATTACAGGCAGGAGCCATCCGGCCCGGCTTTTTTTTTTTTTTTTTTTTTTTCAGATGGCATCTCGCTCTGTTGCCCAGGCTGGAGTGCAGTGGTGCAATCTCGGCTCATTGCAACCTCCGCCTCCTGGGTTCAAGTGGTTCTCCTGCCTCAGCCTCCTGAGTAGCTGGGATTACAGGTGCCCACCACCCCACCCAGCTAATTTTGTATTTTTAGTAGAGACGGGGTTTCACCATGTTGGTCAGGCTGGTCACGAACTCCTGACCTTGTGATCCGCCTGCCTCAGCCTCCCAAAGCCCAGCCCTGATTTTTGAATACTCTCTGTACTTCCCAAGTTTTCTCCAATCAGCAACTACTCCTTTTACAAAGAGGAAAAAAACAGTTTTCTGTACTACAGTGCTGTAAATCACTACCCCTGGCTATCAGAAATACGTCCTTCTGGCCGGGCGCAGTGGCTCACGCCTGTAAATCCCAGCACTTTAGGAGGCCGAGGTGGGCGGCTCACGAGGTCAGGAGATCGAGACCATCCTGGCTAACACGGTGAAACCCCGTCTCTACTAAAAATACAAAAAAATTAGCCGGGCGTGGTGGCGGGCGCCTGTAGTCCCAGCTACTCAGGCGGCTGAGGCAGGAGAATGGCATGAACCCGGGAGGTGGAGCTTGCAGTGAGCCGAGATCGCGCCACTGCACTCCAGCCTGGGTGACAGAGCGAGACTCTGTCTCAAAAAAAGAAAAAAAAAAAGAAATACATCCTTCTGTCATTCAGAAAAATGTGCATTTCGGCCGGGCACGGTAACTCACGCCTGTAATCCCAGCACTGTGGGAGACTGAGGCAGGCGGATCACGAGGTCAGGAGATCGAGACCATCCTGGCTAACATGGTGAAACCCTGTCTCTATTAAAAATACAAAAAATTAGCCGGGCGTGGTGGCGGGTGCCTGTAGTCCCAGCTACTAGGGAGGCTGAGGCAGGAGAATGGCGTGAACCCGGGAGGCGGAGCTTGCAGTGAGCTGAGATCACGACACTGCATTCCAGCCTGGGCGACAGAGTGACAGTCTGTCTCAAAAAAAAAAAGAAAGAAAGAAAGAAAGAAATACGTCCTTCTGTCATTAAGAAAAATGTGCATTTCACCAACTACACTCTGAGTCAAATGTAGGTCTTACGCAGAAAAAAAAAAACAAAGCTTTTACCGAAATGGGTACCCAGGCTCCATTCTCAATTTGCTTAAAATTTATGCTGAGCGAAATAAAAGAAGGCGTCACATCTGACATGCTAAGACTTTTTGCCTCATTTCAGATTAGGAGGAAAATCCACCCCATAGCAAAAGTCCGATATCTATCGTTCTAGTTAAAGAATCACCTAGAGGCCAGCGCGGTGGCTCACGCCTGCAACATCCCAGCACTTTGGGAGACTGAGACGGGTGGATCACCTGAGGTCAGGAGTTCGAGACCAGCCCGGCCAACATGGTGAAACCCTGTCTCTACTAAAACTACAAAAATTAGCTGGGCATGCTGGTGGGTGACTGTAATCCCAGCTACTCGGGAGGCTGAGGCAGGAGAGTCACTTGAACCTGGGAGGCGGAGCTTGCAGTGAGCCGAGATTCTGCCACTATAGCACAGGCGAGATAGCGAGACTCCATCTCAAAAAAATAAATAAATAAAATAAAATAAAAGTGAACTGTTTCACAGTAGCTGGATTTCGTAACGGCCCAAAAGCAGAAACCACTCAAGTGTCCACCAGTGGATGGGTGGATTAGCACAATGTGGTCCATCCACATGGTGGAATAGTATGCAGCCATGAAAAGGAACGAGGCTGTGACACAGGCTGCAATGTGGATGAGCCTTGAGGATGTCACACTCCGTGAGAGAAGCCAGACACAAAAGGCCACATAGAGTAAGATTCCATTTCTAGGAAAGGTCCAGAACAGGCAAATCCATGGAGGCAGAAAGTGGATGGGTGGTTGCCAGGGGATGGGGAGGGGGACGAATGACTGTTAATGGGGACAGGGTTTACTTTTGGGGTGAAGAAAATGCTCCAGACCTTTTGTTGTTGTTGGTTTGTTTGTTTATTTTTGAGACCGGGTCTCGCTCTGTGGCCCAGCCTGGAGCGCAGTGGCGTGATCTCGGCTCACTGCAACCTCCGCCTCCCAGGCTCAAGTGATTCTCCTGCCTCAGCCTCCCAAGTATCTGGGATTACAGGCACCAGCCACCAAACCCAGCTAACTTCTGTATTTTTAGTAGAGATGGGGTTTCGTCATGTTGGCCAGGCTGGTTTTGAACTCCTGACCTCAGGTGATCCGCCCGCCTCGGCCTCCCAAAGTGCTGGGATGACAGGCGTGAACCACCATGCCCAGCGCAAGTGTTCCGGAACTAGACAGAGGTGGTGGTACGCCATTGTGGATGTTTTAAATGCCCCTGTTCACTTTAAAACGGTTCCTTTTATGTTATGTGGAATGTATCTCAATTACAAAATTAAAAACAGAGGCCTGGCACGGTCACTCATGGTGGTCATCTCCGCACTTTGGGAGGCCGAGACCAGTAGATTGCTTGAGCTCAGGAGTTTGAGACCAGCCTGGACAACATGTCAAAACCCCGTCTCTACAAAAAAAATTAGCCAGGTGTGGTGGCAGGTGCCTGTGGTCCCAGCTAATTGGGAGGCTGAGGTGGGAGGATCGCTTGAGCCTGGGAGGCGGAGGTTGCAGTGAGCTGAGATCGCACCACTGCACTCCAACCTGGTGACAGAGTGAGATCCTAGCTCAAAAAAAAAATTGGCCGGGCGCGGTGGCTCACGCCTGTCATCCCAGCACTTCGTGAGGCTGAGGCGGGCGGATCACAAGGCTAGGAGATCGAGACCATCCTGACTAACACGGTGAAATCCCACCTCTACTAAAAATACAAAAAATTAGCCGGGCGTGGTGGTGGGCACCTGTGGTCCCAGCTACTCGGGAGGCTGAGGCAGGAGAATGGCGTGAACCCGGGAGGTGGAGCTTGCAGTGAGCCGAGATTGTGCCACTGCAGTCCGGCCTGGGCAAAAGAGCAAGACTGTCTCAAAAAAAAAAAAAAAATTAAAAATATAAATCTTTCAAAACCCTAAACAACTGTCTACAGTGTGATGTTCTGGGTCGTGGATAAGAGGAAAGTACTTATTAAAAGGATTCAAGGCTGCGTGCGGTAGCTCACGCCTGTAATCCCAGCACTTTGGGAGGTCGAGGCAGGAGGATTGCTTGAGGCCAAGAGTTTGAGACCAGCCTGGGCAACATAGTCAGACCCCATCTCTAGAAAAAAATAAAAAAATTAGGCGGGCATGGCGGTGCATGCCTGCAGTCTCAGCTACTCGGGAGGCTGAGGGTGGAGGATCACTTGAGCCTAGGAGGTCAAGACAGCAGCTGTGATCGTACAACCGCACTCCAGCCTGGGTAACGGAGTGAGACCCTGTCTCGGAAGGAAGAGAGAAAGAGAGAGGAAGGAAGAGAGAAAGAGAGAGGAAGAAAGAGAGAAAGAGAGAGGAAGAAAGAGAGAGAAAAAGAAATCTCAGCTCCAAGTATTACCAAGAAAAATAAGAGATGACACATAGGAAAACCTGTTTCTAATGAGCTCAAGCACGGGCCAAGTTCAATCAGAGATATGCATGACATTTATTATTATCATGAACAACACCAAAATAGATGCAGTTAGGGGTGATACAAAATGCTGGCCAGGCGCGGTGACTCACATCTGTAATCCCAGCACTTTTCGGAGGCCGAGACGGGCAGATCTCCTGAGGTCGGGAGTTCGAGACCAGCCTGGCCAACGCGGCAAAACCCAGTCTCTACTAAAAATATAAAAGGTAGCCGGGCGTGGTGGCAGGTGCCTGTAATCCCAGCTACTTGGGAGGCTGAGGCAGGAGAATCGCTTGAACCCGGGAGGCGGCTCCAACCTGGGCGACAAGAGCAAAAACTACGTCTCAAAAAAAAAAAAATAGAGAGAAAAGAAAATGCCATCTGCGTGCTCTTTGCAAACATTTCCCCATCTGCGTGCTCTTTGCAAACATTTCCTCCCGAAAGTCTCCCGGAATGATAAAAGCAACCACACAGCCTGGCCACCTAGAATCTGGGTCCGCTTGTTCCAGGCTCAGAATCTTTTTCCTCTCAGCCAGTCTCATCTTCCGGGCTGTCAACAGCGTGTGCAGGGCCGCAGGATTTATAGGTAATGACATGCTTCTAATTCTCCATTACCTCCAAAGATTTCATCTTCCCCTTTTCTAAATCCTTCTTAGGAGATACTTGTCAGGTTCATCTGGCCCAGCAGCTTCTGACAAGGGGACCCCGCTCATCCCCGTCATCTCTGTGACTTCATGTAAATAGCGGCACGTGGCGGCCGCCTTTGGCCCTCGGCCCCGAATCCATTGCGGAGTCTCACTTCCATTAATTCTTAATTTGTGACCACGCTTCCTTTTCTGTTCTGTGTTTAAATGGAGATGTGATTAGTAAGGTAATAGGAGAAAGCCGGGGTCCTCACGATGCAACGTGCATTTCTGCGCCTTATAGAAAATTGGATAGGCGTCATTATTTCTTCCAGTAGCAGAGTGCATTCTGACATCTGATTGCTTGAACTGTGATATTTCCATACGCCATCCATCACCCCGGCCACGGCGGCACGCTGAATATTCAGATTAAATTGGAACTTTTTCCCTATGAATAAGGGATTTCATTCTATCCTATAAGATACACTGTCTCCGGGGAGAGGAAATTGAGTTGAAGGTTGCTGAAAATCGTATTATCCAAATACAGAGTTCTTTTCCTTATCATCAAAACCTGAAACACAGCCGTGGGGAACCGAGAGGTCAGGAGAGAATTCAATTAGAGAGGAAAATGGAAAAGGGAGCATTTTTCCACTTACGTTTTATTTTGCCAAGCAGGTGGCAGCGGGCGCCGCTCGGGACAAAAGGGGCGATGTGTGAAGGGTTTTTGGTTTCTGGAAGATGGATGAGGACACAGCCTCAAGGAGTTATGAAGAGGCAGGAAAACCTCTACAGCAAATGTTCCATCCTCTCCTTTGCCGGTTTTGGACGAGGTATCTGTGAGAGTTCCTGGCCTCTTACTGCCACAGTTACGGTGGTTTCTTTTTTTGGGAGGGAGTCTCGCTCTGTCACCCAGGCTGGAGTACAGCAGCGCGATCTCGGCTCACTGCAACCTCCGCCTCCACCGGGTTCAAGCGATTCTCCTGCCTCAGCCTCCCCAGTAGCTGGGATGACAGGTGCACGCCACCACATCTGGCTAATTTTTGGATTTTTAGTACAGATGGGGCTTCACCATATTGGCCAGGCTGGTCTCGAACTCCTGACCTTGTGATCCGCCCACCTCGGCCTCCCAAAGTGCTGGGATTATAGGAGTGAGCCACCACTCCCGGCCCACGGTTAGAGTCTAAACTGTGCACGCTGCCTGGAGTCCCCACCTCTCCTCACCTGAAATATGCACTCGGAAATGTGTTTCCAAAACCTGCAGAATGCAGACCCACACTACTTTCCTATTTATTTATTCATTTTGAGACAGAGTCTCGCTCTGTCGCCAGGCTGGAGTACAGGGGCATGATCTCTGTTCACTGCAAGCTCCGCCTCCCGGGTTCAAGTGATTCTCCTGCCTCAGCCTCCCGAGTTGCTAGGGTTACAGGTGCCCGCCACCACGCCCAGCTAATATTTGTATTTTTAGTAGAGACGGGGTTTCACCACGTTGGCCAGGCTGGTTTCGATCTCTTGACCTCGTGATCCACCCCTGTCGGCCTCCCAAAGTGCTGGGATGACACTGTGCTCGGCTGGGTTTTTTGTTTTTTTTTGTTTGTTTGTTTTGTTTGTTTGTTTTAAGTCATCGTGCGGAATGCAAGCGGCAGATATAAACTTGATCCCTCTTTGACCTCTCACTGCACGCACCTAGCTGGGAGCTTTGGGTCGGCGCAGGACCAGGGAGATCCTACTTGCCAGGTGCTTCCTCTGAGGCATCTCCAGGTCTGGAGCTTTAGTGTTCGATCAACCACCCAGGTCTGCGGGGCGAAGGCCGACTGAGATCCAGAGCATGTCATACAGTGGGTGAGTTTGCATTTCTGAGCAGCTGCAGGTGGGGCAGAGGCTGCAGAGGCTGTGGCCACACAGGAGACCCGGGCTCAGGTGGATGAAGGAAGGAGCTTCTCTCCCTCTACAACCGTTGTGGCTCCCTCCTTCCTCACCTCCCTGGGAAGCGCTGACCCAGCTCTTTGTTCCTGGACCTACATCCCACAGAGGAGCAGAGTCTTCCGGAATCTTCCTCGCTACTCTTCCCTCCCCATTCTCGCTTTTTATTTTATTTTTATTTTTATTTTTTCGAGAGGGAGTCTCGCTCTGCTGTCCAGGCTGGAGTGCAATGCTGTGATCTCGGCTCACTGCAACGTCTGTCTCCTGGGTTCAAGTGATTCTTCTGCCTCAGTCTCCCAAGTAGCTGGGATTACAGGCACCCGCCATCATGCCCAGCTAATTTTTCTATTTTTGTAAAGACGGGGTTTCACCATGTTGGCCAGGCTGGTCTCGAACTCCTGACCTCAGGTGATCTGCCTGCCTCAGCTTCCCAAAGTGCTGGGATGACAGGTGTGAGCCACCACGTCTGGCTAATTTTTGTATTTTTGTAGAGACGGGGTTTCAGCATGTTGGTCAGGCTGGTCTCGAACTCCTGACCTCAGGTGATCCTCCCACCTCAGCTTCCCAAAGTGCTGGGATAACAGGTGTGAGCCACGATATCTGGCTGCTTTTTAAAATTTAATGCTTTTAGGGACAGAGTCTTTCATTCCTGCCTCGGCTGGAGAGCGGTGGTGAGATCTCGGCTCACTGAAGCCTCAACCTCCCAGGCTCAAACGATCCTCCTACCTCAGCCTCCCGAGTAGCTGGGACCACAGGCACACGCCAGGATGCTCAGCTAATTTTTAAATATTCTCTAGAGATGGGGCTCGCCATGTTGCCAAGGCTGGTCTTGACCTCCTGGGCTTAAACAATCCTCCTGCCTCGGCCTCCCAAAGTGCTGGGATGACAGGTGTGAGCCACCATGCCTGGCTAATTTTTGTATTTTTGTAGAGACGGGGTTTCACCATGTTGGCCAGGCTGGTCTCGAACTCCTGACCTCAGGTGATCCACCACCTCGGCCTCCCAAAGTGCTGGGATGACAGGTGTGAGCCACCGTGCCTGGCTAATTTTTGTATTTTTGTAGAGACGGGGGTTTCACCATGTTGGCCAGGCTGGTCTTGAACCCCTGACCTCAGGTGATCCACCGTCTCGGCCTCCCAAAGTGCTGGGATGACAGGCATGAGCCACTGCAATCTCCCGGCCTGCCCTCACCTTTCTCTCCCCAGGACAATTCTGGTGGCCACCCACCACCCCTGCAAGACGGACAGACCCGAATGGGCAGGGCGTCCATCCGGCTGTGGAGCAGCTTGGATAATTGCAGCTGGCCACATCCCAGCAAACTCTGCAACACCTCAGGCCCTGCCAGCCTTGGGGGCCCGACAGCACCTCTTTGTTCTCCCAGAGCAAAGCCTGCACGGAGTGGGCCCCCGGGCCCCAGCGCAGACTGAAGGCGCATTCTGTTTCTGCCCTGAGTTGATTTCTGTCCTGTTGGCCCTGGGCCTCACTACACTGTGCCCCAGTAACCTGGCAGAGAAAGGCCTCTTGTGCAGGCATTCAAAGGAAACCCTTTCCCCTCAAAACTGCAGTGATGCTTCCAACAGTGACTCGCAGCTCATCGAAACACCCAGAATGAAAAGCACGTTTGTTCCTTGAAAAGACGTCTGTGTCCGATACATACTCAAACAGAGAACTGTATTAATATATTCACTTCCCTCCAGAAATCACAGCATCGCACACACACACAAACGGTTGCTTCCCAATTAGGAAAAATAACTTCACAGAATTCCTGCGTGATGGCGCTCTTCTGACCAAGTACACTCGGATTTTTATATCCAATCACGAAACACAAACTGAAATTCAAATCATTATGTACACAACACAAAACTATCGTTTATGAGTGATTTAAATCGGGTGCGGTGGCTCACGCCTGTAATCCCAACGCTTTGGGAGGCAGAGACAGAGGCAAAGGCAGGAAGATTGCTTGAGGCCAGGAGTGTGAGACCAGCAACACCTCGTCTCTATAAACAATAAAATTAAAAATGAGCCAGGCATGGTGGCGCATGCCTGTTGTCCCAGCTGCTTGGAAGGCTGAGGTGGGAGGATCGCTTGAGCCAGGAGATCAAGGCTGCACTCAGCTAAGATCGCAGCCTGGGTGACGGAGCAAAACCCTGTCTCATACGAACAAAAAGAGTTATTTAGGCCGGGCGTGGTAGCTCACGCCTGTAATCCCAGCACTTTGGGAGGCCGAGGCGGGTGGATCACTTGAGGTCAGGAGTTCGAGACCATCCTGGCTAATACGGTGAAACCCTGTCTCTACCAAAAATACAAAAATTAGCCAGGCGTGGTGGCGGGCGCCTGTAATCCCAGCTACTCGGGAGGCTGAGGCAGGAGGATCCCTTGAACCCGGGAGGCGGAGGTTACAGTGAGCTGAGATCTTGCCATCGCACTCCAGCCTGGGCGACAGAGCGAGACTCCAACTCAAAAAAAAAATAAAACTAAAAAAAGAGTTATTTTTTTTTTTTTTGAGACAAAGTCTGGCTCTGTCGCCCAGGCTGGAGTGCAATGGTGTGATCTCAGCTCACTGCAACCTCCACCTCCTGGGTTCAAGCAATTCTCCCGCCACAGCCTCCCGAGTAGCTGGGACTACAGGCACACGCTACTATGCCCGGCTAATTTTTCTATTTTTAGTAGAGATGGTGGGGGCGGTTTCACTATGCTGGCCAGGCTGGTCTCGAACTCCTGACTTCGTGATCTGCCCGCTTCAGCCTCCCAAAGTGCCGGGATTACAGACTTGAGCCACCGCGCCCGGCCAAGGGTTACTTATTGAGTCTGGCTCGATTTATGCAGCTCAGAAGTAGGAGAACCTGGCTCATAAAAGACCTTGAAATTACTCTCTAACAGGGTGCAACACCAGGTGAAACCCTATTTTGATAAAAAATGAATAAAAAGCGGGGCAAGATGTAAAGGAAACAGGTGCATGTGTGCCAGACAGATGATAATGCAGTGTTTTTATGGATACTGTTAAAAGCAGAAACAAAAACGACCATTGGGTAAAGTTATTTAACTAATGTCACCTCCCTGGACGTGGATGATTTTTGCAATTTTCAACGCACTTCACGCTCATCCCTGAACACCAACGTTTAAAGGGGTCCAACTCCTCCAACCTGTCTCTACTGTTTGATAAGCAAAGCTAAAGTAAACGGGGCCCTTTGGGTCCCAGGTAGCCCGCTGTTATTGAAAAGTTTGATCTTTTCCTCGCGCGCTCCCGTAGGACGCACGCTCGCTCCCGAGCTCGGCGGGCGCGCACCCCGCATGCTCGCTCGTTCCCGGTGCCTCCCACTGCGCAGGCGCACTCCCGTCCTCCAGCCCCACCCGCTCACACACCTCCCAGCCTCTGGCTTGCGCCCCGCGGGCAGCCATTGCGCACGCTCACCCGACCGGCCTCCCGAACTCCGCTCCTCCACCGCTATGCACGGCGCATGCTCCATGCGGAGGTTCCACCCTCTCCTCGCTCTGGCAGGCACGCATTGCGCATGCTCGCATTTCCGCAGCTCTAGGACTGCCACGCCGCCATGGGCCGCGCCTCTAAAAATCCTAAACGCAGAAAGAGCTCGGGCGGTACGGCCGCCACAGCCCCTCCCTCGTCCTCACCGCAGCCGCTCGGCCCCACCAAAGCCTCCTGCAAAAGCTCCGAGGGCCGCGGGGCGCGCGTGGCTAGCGGCGGCGTCGCCTCGTGATGACATCGTCGCGATGACGCGACGCAGTGACGTGAACGCGGGCGCCCTTGTTTGGGAGCGCGGCCGGCGCGCCCGTTTTGAAGCTGCCCTGAGCAGCGCGGGCCGGACCGCGCCCCCTCCTCGGTCCCCGCGCCCCGCGAGTCCGCGCAGTTCCCGAGGCGCGGGCCCTGTTCCCTGCGCCGCGCCCCCTCAGCGGGCCGTGCTCGCATCACCGAGGTCGGTCCGGGGCGGACCGAAGCCCCCGGGGCGGGGCGGGGCGCGGGCGTCCGGGGGCGCCGCGGGCCCAGCCCCCGCCATGCCGCCCGGCAAAGTGCTGCAGCCGGTCCTGAAGATGAAGGTGGACGAGCTGTTCCTGTACTGGCTCAGCGAGGCCAGCACGCAGCGGATGCTGCAGGACTGCCTGCGCCGGATCAAGGCGCCCGGGCGGGACCAGCCGACCCCGGGGGACGGGGAGCAGCCCGGGGCCTGGCCCACAGCCCCGCTCGCCGCCCCCCGGCCCAGCGGGCTCGAACCCCCGGGAACCCCCGGGCCGGGCCCTGCGCTGCCCCTGGGCGCCGCCTCCAGCCCCAGGAACGCGCCCCACGTTCGAGGCACCCGTAGATCCGCAGGGACGAGAGTAGTAAGTTACTCTTCCTTCTGCTAACAACTGCGCAGGTGGCTCTGGTCGCATAGTGGGCGTGTGGCTGCGCGATGGAGGCTGGTGGGCGAGCGTCAGACCCCAAAACGGTTTCATATTGAGTCTGTTCCCCGCCCCGACCCCCCCCACCACACACATACAGACAAGAAAGTCCCACGTACTGAACATTCCGTCATTGACAGTTGTTAACCTAAAAATCACACAATTTATAAAGGTAGAAAGGCTTCCTATTTTATTTTATTTTATTATTTTAATTTGTTTTAATTTTGAGACAGAGTTTTGCTCTGTTGCCCAGGCTGGAGTACGATGGCGCGATCTTGGCTCACTGCAACCTCTGCCTCCCAGGTTCAAGCGATTCTCCTGCCTCAGGCTCCCGAGGAGCTGGGACTTACAGGCACGTGCCACCACGCCTGGCTGATGTTGTATTTTTAGTAGAGACTGGGTTTCCCCCATGTGGGCCAGGCTGGTCTCGAACTCCTGACCTCAAGTGATCCTCCCGCCTTGGCCTCCCAAAGTGCTGGGATTTCAGACGTGAGTCACTGCGCCTGGTCCGTTTTTTATTTATTTTACAATTCTTTGGAGACAGGGTCTTGCTCTGTCTCCTAGGCTGGAGTGCAGTGGCGCAAACACAGTTGGACTTCCTGCCTCAGCCTCCCCAGTAGCTGGGATTACAGGCGTGCACCATCACGCCAGGCTAATTTTTGTTTATTTATTTATTTATTTATTTTTGCAGAGACGAGGTCTTGCTATGTTACCTAGAGTGCTCTGGAATTCCTGGGTCCAAGCAATCCTCCCGCTTCGGCCTCCCAAAATCCCACTGTATTTCTTAGAAGAAACGCCATTTATTTCATAGAAGGTGATTATACACCGCAGGTGAGAAGCGCAGCCTCTGGCTAATGTACCTGTAATCTCAGCTACCCGGGAGGCTGAGGCAGGAGAATCACTGGAACCCAGGAGGCAGAGGCTGCACTCCAGCCTGGGCACCAGAGCAAGACTCCATCTCAAAAAAAAAAAAAAAAAAAAAAAAAAGAAAACTAAAAACAAGCACTTGGAGGGAAGAAAAGATGAGACGGGAATTTATGCTGAGTGGGTTGGCCAAGTGTATATATTCAAGAAGTTATAGGAAGAGCTATGGATATTCACCAAGGGTGTCCTGACGCATGGGTATTGAACAAACATGCATGTTACCTACTCCCGAGTTCACCTTGGAGCGGAGACTTAACATTTAAATGCATTATGGTTAGGCCCCCTAGGTCAAAAGGTGAAGCAACTCTGCAGCCTCTGTCAACCGGCCAGAACCAGTCCGTGGTGAGTAGTTACCAGGATAAAGTGATTGCAATCAGTTTTTTTTTTTTTTTTTTTTTTTTGAGACAGATTCTCACTCTCACCCAGGCTGAGATGCAATGGTGCAATCTCAGCTCACTGCAACCTCCGCCTCCCGGGTTCAAGCGATTCTCCTCCCTCAGCCTCCCGAGTAGCTGTGATTACAGGCGCACACCACCACCCCCGGCTAATTTTTGTATTTTTAGTAGAGGCAGGCTTTCACCTTGTTGGCTAGACTGGTCTCAAACTCCTGACCTCAGGTGATCCACCCGCCTCAGCCTCTCAAAGTGCTGGGATGACAGGCGTGAGCCACCACACCTGGCCTGGAATCAGTCTTTTCCCAGTCAAAGCTGTAGTTACGGCTGGTGGAACAGAGGGGTCTGTTCATCAGGATCTGACAGGAAGCTGCAGGTGTTTTAATATTGTTTATATTGGTCAGGCATGGTGACTCACGCCTGTGATTCCAGCATTTGGGAGTTGGAGGCAGGCAGATCACTTGAGTTCAGGAGTTCGAGACCAGCCTGGGCAACATGGCGAAACCCCATCTCTGCTAAAAATACACAAATTAGCCAGGCGTGGTGGCGCACCTGAAGTCTCAGCTACTCAGGAGGCTGAGGCAGGAGAAATGCTTGAAGCTGGGAGTCGGAGATTACTGTGAGCTGAGATTGCACCACTGCTCACCAGCCTGAGCAACAGAGGAAGGCCCTGTCTCAAAAAAAAAAAAAAAGTATATATATATATATAGAGAGAGAGAGAGAGAGAGAGTCTTCTTGCGTGCGCGAGCTTGAGGCCAAGATAAGCAATAGAGAAAAAGAAAAACATCCTTTATTTACTTCTTGAATCTCAAAAACGAGTTTCTGCAGAGGTCTCTAGTGAATAACCTAAAAGGACATTTAGCTGCTGGAGAAAAAGAAATGCTTTGGCAGTTGGAACTGTAGTTTATTCTTTAAGTGTAGGCGGTGTGTGACTTAACCCTCACCTCAGGTGGCCCTTGGTCTTGTTTGCCACAGAGTCTGTTCTGTCAGTCTTACGATGTTGATTTTAACCTTTTTGCTGGTTGGTTGTGTTTAAACTGCCAAAGCAGGAGGGGTATAATAAGGTGTGTCCAAACTCCCATCCAGTCATGACTGGGAACTTAGTTGTTTTTTTGTTTTTTTGGTTTTTTTTTTTTTTTTTTTTTTTTTTTTTTGAGACGGAGTCTCGCTCTGTCCCCCAGGCTGGAGTGCAGTGGCGCGATCTCGGCTCACTGCAAGCTCCGCCTCCCGGGTTCACGCCATTCTCCTGCCTCAGCCTCCCAAGTAGCTGGGACTACAGGCGCCCGCCACCACGCCCGGCTAATTTTTTTGTATTTTTAGTAGAGACGGGGTTTCACCGTGTTAGCCGGGATGGTCTTGATCTCCTGACCTCGTGATCCGCCCGCCTCGGCCTCCCAAAGTTTTGGGATTACAGGTGTGAGCCACCGTGCCCGCCGACAGCCGTGTATTTTTAAAAATGCTTTCTGTCGTTTTATACTATGCAGTTTAAAGCGATAAAACATTGCTTCCAGATGTTATAGAAACACGTATGGCTGGTGCGTCTGGTGTCCCGAGAATACTACGGAAGCCTGAAATATTCAGAATGTTCCGTCGGAACTTGTTTATACCATTTGAAAATTTTCAGCTGAACACCAGCTTTCCATCAGCAGCACTAATAAGCATGTCACAAAGTGATATTTACGTAGCACCACAGTTTTCCAGCCAAAATGGACCAGCCTCTCTACTTGCTGAGTGAGAGGTGGGTGGCAATCTGAGGTGAGCTCCTTGCGTTCTAAATTACCGGTGGTTGTCCGATGTCTTCTGATGGATCTAGAACATTTTCCAAAAGTACGTGTCGATGAAAATGTGAACTAGAGCTAGAGGCAGCTTGGAGACCGTCTGGCTCAGGCCCTCCAGATCCCGATCCAGGAGGGGACTCAGGGCCCCAGGACGCATCTCTTGAGCTCCGGCCCAGTGCACTTTCCCAGTGAGCTGCAAAACCTGAAGCACCTTAGGAACTCTTGCCCAAATCCCTCATTTACTGAGGAGGTTGAGAGGAGGGCCAGGACTCAAGAAGCATGTGCTAGTAATGATGGTTCCCCTCCATGACTTGCTTTCTCAGTGGGATCGCTAATGAGCTGCCATTTTGTCCTTAAACGTGTTGAATGACAGCCAGACGCTAAGGTAAATGCTTGAATTGTGTGACTTTGCAAGAATTCTCCTAGGGCTGGGACTATTGTGACTTTGCATGAATTCTCCTAGGGCTGGGAATATTGACGGAAGGTCAGGTCTGTGCAAACGAGGCCATTTGGGTGCATGTGAGAGGATGATATATTCTGTAAATCAGGCAAGAAGCCTCTAACAAGTGGAAATTAAGTTCCAAAGGTGTTCAAAGCAGGGAGACATCATTTCTCTCCTGGAGAAAGTTTTGAGGAGGAAGTGAGTAGTGGAACTTGAGAAATGCACTGAGTTTATTGGGTATAGGGGGCAGGACCAAGGGAGGCGGTGAAAATGAGACCAGGCTCAGTCGCTCACACCTGAATTCCTAGCACTTTGGGAGGCTGAGGTGGACGGATCACCTGAGGTCAGGAGTTCGAGATCAACCTGGCCAACATGGTGAAACCCTGTCTCTACTAAAAATACAAAAATTAGCTGGGTGTGGTGGTGGGCACCTGTAATCCCAGCTACTCTGGAGGCTGAGGCAGGAGAATCACTTGAACCTGGGAGGCGGAGATTGCAGTGAGCTGAAATTGTGCCACTGCACTCCAGCCTGGGTGACAAGAGTGAGACACTCTGTCTCAAAAAAAAAAAAAAAAGAAAAAAAAAGATGAGATGTTCAGGTCACGTTGAGGGACTGGAGTGGTCTGACCGGAGAAGCAGAAGGAAGGATGCGTGTGGACCGTGGGCATGGCGGCCAGGGTGTGCAGGGTGCAGGATTCTGCACTTAGGAGATGGCAAGAATTTTCAAAAAGCAGTGACTGACCTTGTTTGGGACTAAAAGTTTACCTTAAACATGTCTACGTGTTTGGAACCTATGGCTTACTTCAGCTGAATCTCAAGAAGTGAATAACTTAGAAAGATGTGTCTGTTCATTGGGACAAAAAAGATGAGCTTGGGCTGGGCACGGTGGCTCATGCCTGTGATCCCAGCACTTTGGGAGGCCGAGGCGGGCGGATCACAAGGTCAGGAGATAGAGACCATCTTGGCTAACACAGTGAAACCCTGTCTCTACTAAAGATACAGAAAATTAGCCGGGCGTGGTGGCGGGTGCCTGTAGTCCCAGCTACTCCGGAGGCTGAGGCAGGAGAATGGCATGAACCTGGGTGGCAGAGCTTGCAGTGAGCTGAGATCGCGCCACTGCACTCCAGCCTGGGTGACAGAGCAAGACTCTGTCTCAAAAAAAAAAAAAAAAAAAAAAAGATGAGCTTGTTCCTGTCCATCCCATATACAGAATACGCGAGGCCACGTTAACAGTGAAGGATGCAGTTCCATGCTACAAACTCTGGCTGGGGAGGGGCGATGCTGGGGTCAGAGGAAGAGATTTTCATAAATAAAGCAGCTTTTTCTCACCCACACATGTACAGAATGGAGTATGAGCTGTCAGGAGGGTTCACGCTAGGTCCATTGAACTCCCCAGCCAAGGGTGAAAGGAACGGCATTGTTTTACGTTACCTACGCCTTCATCGTTACTGAGCAGAGAGATTGCATTCTGTGTTTGAAAGGGGTGCTTGCAGTGGCTCCTTCCCGTCTTTGGGGAAGAGAAACTGGTACAAATTAGAAAATGTGAGCATTGGCCGGGTGCAGTGGCTCAATCCCAGCACTTTGGGAGGCCAAGGAGGGAGGATCCCTTGAGGCCAGGAGTTTGAGCCCAGCCTGGGCAACATAGCGAGACTCCCCCATCTCTGTAAAATAGTAAAATCAGCCAGGCATGGTGGTTCATGCCTGAAGTCTCAGCTGCTTGTGAGGCTGAGGCAGGAAGATCCCAGGAGTTCGAGGCTGCAGTGAGCTATGTTTGTGCCAGTGCACTCCCGCCGGGGCAACAAAGTGAGACTCTGTCTCTAAAAAAAAAAAAAAGAAAGAAAACGCCAGTATCGATGGGCTGATGCTGCAAGCCAGGGTGCTTCTGCTAGGGGGGACCCTAAATGCATCTTTAAAGTAAGTTCTTACAAGGGGAATTAAGAACCTCATGTGGATGAGCTGCTTTTTTTTTTTTTTTTTTTTTTTTTGAGATGGAGTTTCACTCTTGTTGCCCAGGCTGCAGTGCAATGACGCAATTTCGGCTCACTACAACCTCCACCTCCTGCAGTTCAAGTGAGTCTCCTGCCTCAGCCTCCCGAGTAGCTGGGATTACAGGCACCCGCCACCACGCCCGGCTAGTTTTGTATTTTTAGTAGAGATGGGGTTTCACTATGTTGGTCAGGCTGGTCTTGAACTCCTGACCTCAGGTGATCCACCCGCCCCAGCCTCCCAGAGTGCTGGGATGACAGACGAGGGCAACCACACCCGGCCAGTACTGCACGATTTTGATTGCATTTCCCTGCGGCCTGGTGACGCCGAGGAATTTTCAGGTGCTTATTTGCCATTCATGTGGTTCCCACTGTCGAGCGTCTGTTCAGGTCGTGTGTTTGCTTTTTAAATTGGGTTATGTTATCACTGAGTTGCGAGAGCTCTTTACATACAACTGTTGGCAAGTCCTTGGTAAGACAATGTGGTGTGTGCATATGTCTCTTGAGTCTGGCTTGCTTTTTGTTTTCTTCAGTGTCTCAAAGAGCAAAAGTGTTTAGTTTTTCAACTTTTTTCTTTTATGACTCTTATTTTTTGTGTCTTATTACAAAATGTTTGCATACCACAAGGTGTCAAATATTTTCTCCTATTTATCTTGAGAAAGCAGTGTGGTTTTAGGTTTGCGTTTCGGCCTGTGATCCAGTTCAGGTCAGTTTTTCTGCGTGGTATGAGGTGAGGTATCTGGATGACCCCAGCACCGTATATTGAACAGTCTTTTCTCCCCCCGTGGAATTGTGTTGTTGAAAGTCAGTTGAGTACGTACGTCTGTTTTATTATTATTTCCATCCCATTGCTGTATGTGCATCCCCTCACCTTCATGGCACTTTCCAGATTAGTGTAACTTTCTAGCAAATTTTGAAAGCAGATACTGTGAGTCCAAGCCTGTTCTTTAAAAATTGCTTTCCAGCAAGAAAAGCCTGTTGGAATTTTGATTGGGATTGCTTTGAATCTGTGGATCAATTTAGGATAATTGATACCTTAACAGTATTTTCCAATCCACAAACAAAGGACTTTCCATTCATTTAGGTTTTGTTCAGCAACGTTGTGTACTTCCCCGGGTACACCTCTTGCACCTCCTTGATTAAGTTTCTATCTGTTTATTTAGTTCTTCTCTAATTTCTGGAAGCTACTCAGTTTTGGTGTCCACCTAACCTGTGATTTTTATCAGACCGGGTGCCAGCATTCTAGAACATTAGAACAGGGTATTTGGAGATAAACACGGGCGTGCGTGTGCATCACACACACAGGTGCATACACACAAACACACAGGTGCATACACACACACAGGTGCATATGCACAAACACAGGTGCATACACACATAGGTGCATACACACATAGGTGCATACACAGGTACATACACACATAGGTGCATACACACAGGTGCATAACAGGTGCATACACACGCATACACACATACATAGGTCCATACACACAGATACATACACACAGGTGCATACACATACATAGGTCCATACACACACACACACATAGGTGCATACACACAGGTGCATACACAGGTGCATACACACGCATACACACATACATAGGTCCATACACACAGGTACATGCACACATAGGTGCATACACACACATAGGTGCATACACACAGGTGCACACACAGGTGCATACACACACACGTAGGTGCATACACACACACAGGTGCATACACACAAACACACAGGTGCATACACACACACAGGTGCATGTACATACAGGTGTGGTTATCTTAACGTTTCATTAGAAGTTCTTAACAAACATGTTGTAAGACAAAAGCACCTAGAACCCTCAGGGCAGGAGCTCAGGGTTTCTGAAGGTTTCGTGCGGGAGCCTTGAGCTTGCCCAGGGACTGTAGCTTTTGTACAGGTGCGTGCCTGTCTGCGTTCAGTTCTCACTGCCTTCGTAACAACGACCTATTCACGTTTTCATAGTGGGCACCGATGAGAGTCTCGTTGTGAGGAGGAAGGAAGGTGTCGAAAACCCTTCTTGCAACCTCCGAGAATCTGCAACCATGGAAACTGTGTAAAGAGCTTCATCCCTCCCTCCCCTTCTGTTGACAGAGAGAACCATGCCGTTTCCTGAGATGAGGTGGACGGGTTTTGAATCCGCTGGAGCCTGTCCTCTCAGGGCCTTTGAAACAGGGAGGAAGCCGTGCTCTGCAGACGGCACCTGCAGGGTGAGGACAGGATTCTGGGCCATCTTCCTGTCTCATAGGCTTGCCTGTTACTAGCTATGCTTTTAGCTTTGGATGTTCAGAAAAACTTTTTCTCACAAAGGGCAGGTCGCCTTCGTAAGCCTTTCAAATCTGGGATTTCAGAAAAGCCATTATGTTTGCTCATGGAAGACACATTTTTATCCTAAAACAAGCCGTCTGAACAAATGTATGTTTAGTGAGAATGAAAAGTGAAGAGATTTTTATGAAAATTTTGCATAAAGGTCTTCTGGGCATTTTAGGAGCCTTTAGAGGTTGATGGTAAGATTGTGTCCCGACAGCAGAGGGACGGTGGAGATTCGGGTGCCGTGAGGGGCTTCATCGGCCCAGATGGCAATGTTGTCTCTTCAGAGTAGGAATTTGGGGGGAACAGGCTGAAAACAGGCCTCGCAGATTCCGTGCTGGCCTGTGGTGCAAAAACAATGCTATGACGGCCCCGTCCCTGTACACAGTAGTGTATAGACAGCCCTGTGGTGGTCCTGTCAAGTGTGGACGGCCCGTCCCTGTACACAGTAGTGTATAGACAGCCCCATGGCGGCCCCACTGTAGACGGCCCGTCCCTGCATACAGTAGTGTATAGACAGCCCCATGGTGGCCCCACTGGGTGTGGATGGCCCGTCCCTGTACACAGTAGTGTATAGACAGCCCCACGGCGGACCCACTGGGTGTGGACGGCCCGTCCCTGCATACAGTAGTGTATAGACAGCCCCATGGTGGCCCCACTGGGTGTGGACGGCCCGTCCCTGTACACAGTAGTGTATAGACAGCCCCATGGTGGCCCCACTGGGTGTGGACGGCCCGTCCCTGTACACAGTAGTGTATAGACAGCCCCATGGCGGCCCCACTGGGTGTGGACGGCCCGTCCCTGCATACAGTAGTGTATAGACAGCCCCATGGCGGCCCCACTGTAGACGGCCCGTCCCTGTACACAGTAGTGTATAGACAGCCCCATGGTGGCCCCACTGGGTGTGGACGGCCCGTCCCTGTACACAGTAGTGTATAGACAGCCCCATGGCGGCCCCACTGTGGACGGCCCGTCCCTGTACACAGTAGTGTATAGACAGCCCCATGGTGGCCCCACTGGGTGTGGACGGCCCGTCCCTGTACACAGTAGTGTATAGACAGCCCCATGGCGGCCCCACTGTGGACGGCCCGTCCCTGCATACAGTAGTGTATAGACAGCCCCATGGCGGCCCCACTGGGTGTGGACGGCCCGTCCCTGTACACAGTAGTGTATAGACAGCCCCATGGCGGCCCCACTGTGGACGGCCCGTCCCTGCATACAGTAGTGTATAGACAGCCCCATGGTGGCCCCACTGGGTGTGGACGGCCCGTCCCTGTACACAGTAGTGTATAGACAGCCCCATGGCGGCCCCACTGTGGACGGCCCGTCCCTGCATACAGTAGTGTATAGACAGCCCCATGGTGGCCCCACTGGGTGTGGACGGCCCGTCCCTGTACACAGTAGTGTATAGACAGCCCCATGGCGGCCCCACTGGGTGTGGACGGCCCGTCCCTGCATACAGTAGTGTATAGACAGCCCCATGGCGGCCCCACTGGGTGTGGACGGCCCGTCCCTGCATACAGTAGTGTATAGACAGCCCCATGGCGGCCCCACTGGGTGTGGACGGCCCGTCCCTGCATACAGTAGTGTATAGACAGCCCCATGGCGGCCCCACTGTGGACGGCCCGTCCCTGTATACAGTAGTGTATAGACAGCCCCATGGCGGCCCCACTGTGGACGGCCCGTCCCTGTACACAGTAGTGTATAGACAGCCCCATGGTGGCCCCACTGGGTGTGGACGGCCCGTCCCTGTACACAGTAGTGTATAGACAGCCCCATGGTGGCCCCACTGGGTGTGGATGGCCCGTCCCTGCATACAGTAGTGTATAGACAGCCCCATGGCGGCCCCACTGGGTGTGGACGGCCCGTCCCTGCATACAGTAGTGTATAGACAGCCCCATGGCGGCCCCACTGGGTGTGGACGGCCCGTCCCTGCATACAGTAGTGTATAGACAGCCCCATGGCGGCCCCACTGTGGACGGCCCGTCCCTGTACACGGTAGTGGATGGCCCCATGGGGGCTCTGTCGAGTGTGGACAGCCCTGTCCCTCCCCCATCCGGTGTAGACAGCCCTGTGGCTGCACTGGGGGCGGGTGGTGCGGGTTCTGCATCGGGACAGGACGCAAGGGCTCCAGGGGGGCAGTGGGACTGCATCCAGAGGTGGTTCGAGGGCTCCAGGTCAGAGTCTAAATCTCTGCCTATGTGTGCACTTCAGGATTTTGAGGCTGTTTTCCAAAAGTCTTTTTTTTTTTTTTTTCCTTTTTGAGACGAAGTCTCGCTCTTGTCCCCCAGGCTGCAGTGCAGTGGCGCAATCTCGGCTCACTGCAACCTCTGCCTTCTGAGTTCAAGCGATTCTTCTCCCTCAGCCTCCCAAGTAGCTGGGATGACAGGCACCCGCCACCATGCCCAGCTAATTTTGTATTTTTAGTAGAGACAGGGTTTCACCATGTTGGCCTGGCTGGTCTCGAACTCCTGACCTCATGATCTGCCTGCCTTGACCTCCCAAAGTGCTGGGATTACAGGCATGAGCCACTGTGCCTGGCTGTGTTCCAAAAGTCTTGTACGGAAAGAGGAAACCTGGCAGTAAAGTCCACAGGGGTGTGTGTCACCCGCCGTGGCAGGACAGGGCGTGTGTCACCTGGCGTGGCAGGACAGGGCATGTTGCCTGAGTGTGAGGATCGCGCCCGTTGGCTCGCTTCCCCCGCATTTTGGGTTTGATCTTTGACTTTCGGAGGGAGATCACAGGAGGTTGGCTCCCAATCTGGTTCCCCTAGCTGCGTTTGGGAGGCCGTCCGTGTGTAGTGCTGATATGAACTGAAGGGGCGGCACCTCTGCCCTGTGAGTTTGCGCCCCACATCGTGGGTGACTGGGCGGCACCTCTGTCCTGTGAGTTTGCGCCCCGCATCGTGGGTGACGGGACGGCACCTCTGCCCTGTGAGTTTGTGCCCCACATCATGGGTTACTGGGCCGCACCTCTGCCCTGTGAGTTTGCATCCTGCATCGTGGGTGACTGGGCGGCACCTCTGCCCTGTGAGTTTGCATCCTGCATCGTGGGTGACTGGGCAGCACCTCTGCCCTGTGAGTTTGCGCCCCGCATCGTGGGTGACTGGGCGGCACCTCTGCCCTGTGAGTTTGCGCCCCGCATCGTGGGTTACTGGGTGCACTTGTTTAAATCGTCTCCTGGTGGTTTGAGCACATTCCCTCTGGTGCTGTCTTAAAGCTTCCCTTTGGAGACTTACCGGGGGTCAGAGGCCGACTTCTGAATCCTCAAGGACAGTAAGGAAGTGAGAAGGATGGAGGGATCCGAGGATGGCTGGAGAAGGGAAGGAGGTGGAAGAGAAGGAAGTGGAGAGGGGCGTACCCCTAAGAAGAGTTGGAAGGGGCCTTGCGGGTGGGGGGCTGTGGTGGGCGTCAGAGGTGGTGTGGAAGGTTGCAGGAGAAGAAAAGGCCAGTCTGAGATGGCTGCAGACTTCTGGTTCCAAGTCTAGGACACTCGGAAAAAGGAAAACGATGGAGACAGGAAACAGATCGGGGCTTGCGGGGGTTGGGTGCGTCAGTGCCACACAGACGTTTTTCAGGGCAGGGAAACTCCTCTGCGTGACCCCACAGTGGTAGATCCGTGTCATCCTGCGTTTTTCCAGACTCAACAGAGCGTGCGGCAGCGGGAGAGCCCAGTGCACGCTGTTGACTCGGGGTGATAGTGACCCGTCCAAGGAGGTTTATTGACTGTAACAGATGCAGGCGGTCACGCAGGACCTTCCTGATCGGGGACCCGGGAGGCTTTCTGCTGACAGCGTTCAGCCTGGCAGGGATGTGGCCAGTTTCTGACCCTCAGCCCGAAGGTATCCTGTCTCCTTCCCGGTGGGATCGAGGTGCAGGCCCCCGGAATGTCAGCTCACCCTCATTTAAAGTTGCCCGTCCCCCTTTTCCACCGCCCCTCTTTTCTTGTTCTAAATACGATTGCAAACAAGCGCAGTTATCACAGTGAGCAGTGGCAGAGAAGACGAGATCCTGGATGCCCACTGCAGCTTAGCTGTATTCTAGAAACTCCTGAAGTTTGGGGAGGGGCGGAGATGCCGGCGCGCTTTGATGCCGGGCTGCCGGGATGTCTGGGCTGCCGTGCGTGTTTGTGGAGGCGCAGCTGCACCTGGCGTGCCCTGTGCTCTGGAGGGGCAAGCCGGAGTCGGCACCGAGCCTGCAGCCAGCTCTGGTGTTGTCGTGGAGGGGGGGGACCTCACTTCTCGCGGGGAGCGCCTTCGCCTGGGTCCCCGAGGCCGTCCCCAGGCTCTCTTCTCGGGGACCTGTTGATGCGCGTTCCGCCCAGGCTCTCCTCTCGGGGACCTGTTGATGCGCGTTCCGCCCAGGCTCTCCTCTCGGGGACCTGTTGATGCGCGCTCCAGGGCGAGCCACGTGACGGCTGCCGCGGTGCAGAAAGCGCCCCCTTGCCCGGCCGGACGGCCCAGCCCGGAGCGAACGGGGAGAGGAGAGAAGAGGACCGGAGGGAGCGGAGGGCAGTGCAGGGAGCGGAGAAGGAGGAGAGGAGAGCAGCGCCGGGAGCAGCCGGGTCTGCACAGTCGCGGGTCGGGAGAGGCGGCCGCCCCCACCCCCGGCGCCATGCGCCCTCCTCAGCCTGAGGAATGCGCGCGGCGCGGGCCCCGGCCCCAGAGCGCCTGGCGGGCGACGCATGGAGCGCGCTGAGCCCGGGCCACGCCTGCAGCGCCCCGCCGGCCCCGGCCCGGCCCTGCCCCGAGAGCGCGGCGCCCGGCCCGGCCCGCGGAGAGCCCTGCGCGCCGGCGGCATGCGACTCCGCGAGCGCTCGCTGCGCCAGGACCCCGACCTGCGCCAGGAGCTGGCCTCACTGGCCCGCGGCTGCGACTTCGTGCTGCCCTCTCGGTTCAAGAAGCGGCTGAAGGCCTTCCAGCAGGTCAGCCCCGCGCGCCCCGCGGCTGCCCGACACCGGGCGAGGCCTCCCGGCCCGGCGAGCCCTGCCCTCCCGGCCCCGCGTGGGCCCCCGCTCGCCGCTGCTGGCCGTGCACCCGTTGTTGCGTGGCGGGGCCCAAACGCCAGATTTACAGGGCCAGTTGTGGGCGCAGGGGACCCGCTCGGGCCGCACGCCGCCGAAAACCGGGTGCTGCTCTGTGGGAAGCGGTGCCAAGCTTGTTAGGAAAACCGGGCTTTGAAAAGAGCACTCGCTCCTTTCCCGGGAGTTTTGGCTGTGAGTGCGCGCCTTGCTGTGATCAACCAAGGCGGGTGAGAGCCGTCAGCGCCTGGGAGTGTTCGCTGCAGACAGATTTTTAATTTAAATATACCTTGCATTGCTGGTAATAAACATCGGGAAACTCCTTCACCCTTCGTAAAGGCGTCGGGTGGGTGAAACTTTCCCGGCGTTATTGCAATACCCAGCATTCCTTCCCACTGGCTAACTTAAGAGTCGGTTGAGATATCACTCACATACCGGACTATTTATGCAGCGTGGTTTTATTCAGTAACTCAGTGGCTTTGAAATTTATTTATTTATATTTATTTATTTGAGACGAAGCCTCTCTGTTTCCCAGGCTGGAGTGCAGCGGCGCTATCTCGGCTCACTGCAACCTCCACCTCCTGGGTTCAAGTGATTTTCCTGCTTCAGCCTCCCGAGTAGGGCTAATTTTTGCATTTTTAGTAGGGACGGGGTTTCACCATGTTGGCCAGGCTGGTCTTGAACTCCTGACCTCAGGTGATCGCCCACCTGGGCCTTCCAAAGTGCTGGGAGTAGGGGCGTGAGCCTCCACCCCAGCTGGCTTTGAAATTTAATCTCAGTTCTCATAAGTGCTCAGGGAAGTAAAATTTGTGTCTGTACCCCGTGTATATTGTATGAGTTAGTTTTACGAGTACCATGTGATTTAAACGTGTAAGAGTCTTCCTGTGACAATCCCAGTATAATTTGAGAATTTAGGGTTTGGCTGCGGCCGAATCTGATCCGAATTTCATCCAGACAGGGTGTGCGTGGCGGGCGCCTCACACCCACGTGGCACATCAGACGCGCTTTTCAAACTCAGTTCCAGGAGTCTGGAACTAGTGGCCTAACATCAAGGTGAACCAAGGCATCCTGCTTGAAGGGGGAGGAAGACCCACTTCTTTCTGTTGATATTTTAATTGAAATTTTTTCTGTAAGATCTCACATCAACTTTTGCACTCCTTCGGAGTTTTTGACCTCTGTCTTCCAGGTTTTGACATTTTGCCTGTAAGTGGGTAAGGGCGAGGCTGGTGTCTTTAAAATCCTCTTAACCTGCGAAGAGCGAGATCAGCCTCGTGCGGGATTTGCTCTAGATGGTGGGAGGTGCTGGGCGGTGCGGGCTCGCTGGTCGCAGAGTCAATGAGGTGATTAGCTCGCACGTGGCTGGATGAGGAAGCCCTTCAGCCCTGCAGTGGGGCCCTGGCTCTTCTGTGGGGGGCTGTGGTGACGATGCACCTGTGAGGACTGTTTATTTTTAAAAAGTCAGTTTCTGGGAAATCATGAATTCCGTTTACAGAAGTTTGCTTCATTTTACAGAAAATAGGTTTCCACGTTTTTAGGGAGTGAGGACAGACGTGTGAAATGCATGTTGTCTGAGGGGTGGTGGAGGAATTACAGGCATATTTGGGGGTATTTGTGGGGGTGGTGTTGGGGGAGAAGGGGACGTTTCCTGGCTGCTTTCACTCCGCGCATGAGTGTGGGCTCTGTCTGTTGGGTCCACCCCACTTGGACACACCCTCAGGGTTGTCAGGGAGCACCCGTGTTGGAGCCACTGGACGTGTTGGGGTGCCGCACCTCCGCCTTCGGACGCTCCCGGCCGGGCAGCACGGTACTGTTTTCAGGGGTCCTCTGACGGGCACAGCCTTCCACGGCCAACGTTGGCCGCACCCACGAGCCCCTGGCGGGTGCTCCTGAGCTTGATCTTCTGACTGTGCGACGTCCCACCTGGGCTTCTGTTCCCACTAACCCCCTGGCGGGTGCTGCCTGCCCCGATGGTGAACCCAAGCTCCTCCTCCTCCCTGCCACTGCCCACTTCCCTGTCACCGGCATCCTTGACAAACCAAACTCGGGGGGTGGGGGCGTTCAGCGACCGCCGGCCTTGGGAACGGAACAGCATGCGTTCACGCCGTGGGTCCGGGGAGGCTCCCGTGTGACGATGGCGTGTTACACGTACTCTCACCGTGGGTCCGGGGAGGCTCCCGTGTGACGATGGCGTGTTACACGGCTCATGCTCTCACTGTAGGACCCAGCATGTACCTGGAGTGGGGCCGTGCAGCTGCTTGGCTGAGCTCTTCTTGCCGGAGCCACTGCCTGCGCCTCCTGCCCAGGGATTCTCGGGCCTTCTGTCCCCGGGCAACAGCAGGACAGCTCAGACCTTGTTCCCAGCCCAGGACAGCTGTGCTGCCTAGCCTGGCCCTCCCCGCCTGGGGAGTGACTCTCCCGCTCCCCACACACTGACTCAGCACACAGACGCCCCTCTTCACCTGTCCTGGTCACACAGACACTGTCCGGCGTCCCCACGGGGTCCTTCGGGTGGACGCACAGACCCTACACGGCACCACGCATGGCTGAAAGCGCCGTCCCCTACGCGGCAGCCCCGCTGTACTTGGAACTGACTTCAGCGTGGTGACAGCCTGGGCTCTGGGCGTCCCTGACGCACCTCCTGCTCTCACCGCCAGGGCACGTGCCGTTCCCCTCCCAAGGCCAGTGGTCACCAAAACCCTTGCAGCCTTTGGTTTGGCCAGGACGCTGCCCAGGATGCCACTCCCTGGGCAGTGGCAGGGAGAAGGCAGGGCTTGGGTTCCCCACCTGGCAGGGAGCTGCAGCAAGGGGGGTTAACGGGAAACAGAAGCCCGGGTGGGAACGTCCACACAGAAGACCAAGCTCAGGAGCATCCGCCAGGGGCTTGTGGACGCAGGGAGGGTGCCGGATCCTCCCCTCGCTGTGTTGCGCGGCATCCACCGTCACCCCTTGGCTGGTGGACAGAATGATCCCCACGTCCCCCAGCCCAGCCTTCCGAGCTCTGTGGAGACTCACGCCTCGCTGCAGCCGTGGCTGCAGGCGCCAGTGCCTGGGCTGCAGGTGTGGGTGCAGGCCCCAGCCGACGTCTCTCAGCGTCCGTTGAGGCCCGGTTGCTCGGCTGCAGTCATGTGTCTGAGTGAATGTTAGCCCACGTGAGCTCTGGCCTACTCAGACACCTGCACCTGCTGCGTTTCTGTGTTGACCCCTCCACACCAGTTCTCCCTCTTTGCTAGAGAGGGGATTTTTAAACCCACACGTGGGGCCTCTCATCTCCGTGTTCGGCTCCTCTGTGTAAACACCGACCTTTTTGACTCCTGTGTTTAGCCGTCCAGCGTGCGGTTTGCAGGTGTAGCTGGCAGCCCTCTACCAGCCCTCTCAGAGGGTCCCTGGGAGTCAAGTGCTGGGCCGAGAAGAATGCTCAGAGCTTGCAGCAGGCCCTGCCTTCCAGGGGGTGGCCGTCATCTGGGTGGGCGAGGGGCTCAGCTGGAATCCATGAGTGTGCGTCCCGGCCAAACCCCCCGTCCCTGATTCCATACCACAGCCTCCCGTGCTTCCGCCTCCCGCTGCAGAGTGGGGGCCGCTGCAGAGCGGGGGCTCCTGGGGGCACGGCTGTGCGTTGCAGCCCGTACTGAGCGTCCCTTCCGCCGGCCCCCTGCTGCTCCGGCACCTCCTCTGTGGCTTTGATCGTGGTGTCCGGTCCTGCTGCCGTGGGGGCGAGGGTCATTTCTGCTGGTCACCGCGCCCTGCCTGCTGTGCGCACCCTCTGCACATGCGGGGGTCTGCCCGAGGCTGGTGTCGCGAGAGGATGTGTCACGGTGCACGTGGCCTGTGTTCTCGGGGTACACTCACCTGCACCCATCAAGCGCACGCACTTCTACGCAAAAACAGGCAGCCTCAGTGTTAGGCTCAGCCTTTGTTTTTGGTCGTATATGGACGTGTTTTGCAAAACTGTGGGTGTACTCTGGAAGGGCGACACATGTATCTGTGACTTCTGGAATTGTGATGAGTCAGGGAGCTGCCTTCTCAGTGCCCTCAACAGAAATAGCTTGTTGGGAGTCAGGGTGTCGCCTTTATCAGTGCGCTTTGGGTGACGGGCTCTTTACGAAGTTCTTTTTAAAGTACACGTACTGAGGAGGATTTAAAGTGGATGACCTGGCCGCCACAGGCCCCTCTGGTTTGTCTGAACTTTTTAATGAACAGGCGGCTGGCTTTAGAATTCTTCTTCCACATACATGCAGCTGTTTTTGCTCCTTCTGTGTTTACCGTAGATGCCTGGCCTCACCGGCTACGTTTGGGGCAGGGCAGCAGTCCCTGTGATTCCTTCAGAACCCCCTGAGACCTGCAGCTCAGCCCGAGAGGTGGCCAGTTCCCAAGTGAGCTGTGTGTGTTGAAAAGAATGTGTGCTCTGCAGCTGTGCTGGGGCCGAGTCTATTTCTGTCCATGAGATTAAGCTTGTAAATCTTCTGTGCCCGCATGGGGTGGTTGTGTTGTTTGTTCCATCTCTCGTCTATTAGTGCCCATGGTGGGTGGTCCCGGCTTTCCCCCCGTCGGTGCCCAGGGTGGGTGGTCCTGGCCTTCCCCCGGTCGGTGCCCAAGGTGGGTGGTCCCGGCCTTCCCCCCGTCAGTGCCCGGGGTGGGTGGTCCCGGCCTTCCCCGTGTCGGTGCCCAAGGTGGGTGGTCCCGGCCTTCCCCCCGTCGGTGCCCAAGGTGGGTGGTCCCGGCCTTCCCCCCGTCGGTGCCCAGGGTGGGTGGTCCCGGCCTTCCCCCGGTCGGTGCCCAGGGTGGGTGGTCCCGGCCTTCCCCCCGTCGGTGCCCAGGGTGGGTGGTCCCGGCCTTCCCCCGGTCGGTGCCCGGGGTGGGTGGTCCCGGCCTTCCCCCCGTCGGTGCCCGGGGTGGGTGGTCCCGTCCTTCCCCCCGTCGGTGCCCAAGGTGGGTGGTCCCGGCCTTCCCCCCGTCGGTGCCCGGGGTGGGTGGTCCCGGCCTTCCCCCCCGTCAGTGCCCGGGGTGGGTGGTCCCGGCCTTCCCCGTGTCGGTGCCCAAGGTGGGTGGTCCCGGCCTTCCCCCCGTCGGTGCCCGGGGTGGGTGGTCCCGGCCTTCCCCGTGTCGGTGCCCAAGGTGGGTGGTCCCGGCCTTCCCCCCGTCGGTGCCCAAGGTGGGTGGTCCCGGCCTTCCCCGTGTCTGTGCCCGGGGTGGGTGGTCCCGGCCTTCCCCCCGTCAGTGCCCGGGGTGGGTGATCCCGGCCTTCCCCCCGTCAGTGCCCAAGGTGGGTGGTCCCGGCCTTCCCCGTGTCTGTGCCCAGGGTGGGTGGTCCCGGCCTTCCCTGTGTCTGTGCCCGGGGTGGGTGGGCTCCGCCTTGCCTAGCGGGCTCAGTTTGTGTCCAGTGGTGTTTACTTGATCAGTGCCGAGGCTGCGTTGTCAGGCATGGATAAAGTTAGCATCAGCCTGTCTTCCCCTGACTGACCTCTTCAGCGTTCCTTGGTGGCCTGTCTGTCTCCAGGTCTGTCCATCACCTTGTGTCACTTCATGGATGTTAATACAGCGACACCAGCTTTCTCTACTGTCTGCCTGCTCTTTTTCCATCTCAAAAAAAAATGTGTAGCCTCTGGGTCCTTAAGTCACATATATCTCCTGTCTTTCTGTCCTCTGTGTCTCCCATGTACGTGAATGCTGTTTTCTTTCTGCAGTCAGACCTTTGTCTTGTAACTAGAGCACTCGGTGCATTGAGGTCGATGTTGCCTGCTCATCCGTGTGATGGACTGTGACCGTCTCATCCTGCACCTCTGTCTCCTGCTCTTTTTCAGCTTGGTCGCCTTTTCTCTCGTTTGGAGTACACGCTTCCTACTAGCTCACTGTTTATCCTACAAATGTCAATGGCTGGCCGGGCACGGGGCCTCACACCTGTGATCCCAGCGCCTTGGGAGGCTGAGGCAGGAGAATCGCTGGAGGCCAGGAGTTCAAGACCAGCCAGCACAACATAGCGAGACCCCGTCTCTATAAAGAAAAAAAAAAGGAACGTCGACTAAATTTTTCAAAGCCCAATATTAATCAGTATCTTTTCCTCCAACTCACAAACCGTCTCACACTCATCCAGTCAGCATGTCACTGACAGGCTGTTGTATTGACTTTTTTTTTTTAATTGAACATACGTTGTTTTCACTGATTTATGTTTTTTAAATTGAACATACATTGTTATCACTGATTTATGTGGTCAGCTGCCGAGGTTTTCCCACTCATTACCGCTGACCTGCTCTTCATCCCTTCTTTCAATTCCAACCTTCCCTTTGGGAGCTCTTGGCTTCTCCCTGCTGCATTTCCTCAGCTTTTGCCCCGTAGAGTGTCTGTTAATGGGGTGCATGCTCTGTAAATTTGGGGCTAAAAATGTCCAAGTATTCATCTCACTTTTTTTTTTTTGAGACAGAGTCTCACTCTGTCACCCAGGCTGGAGGACAGTGGTGCGACCTCAGCTCACCGCACCCTCCGCCTCCCGGGTTTAAGCGATTCTCCTGCCTCAGCCTCTCAAGTAGCTGGGATTACAGGCATGCGCCACCACACCTGGTTAATCGTTTGTTTTGTTTTGAGACAGAGTCTCACTCTGTCGCCCAGGCTGGAGTGCAGTAGTGCGATCTCAGCTCACTGCAACCTCTGCCTCCTGTGTTGAAGCGATTCTCCTGCCTCAGCCTCTCAAGTAGCTGGGATTACAGGCATGCGCCACCACACCTGGTTAATCGTTTGTTTTGTTTTGAGACAGAGTCTCACTCTGTCGCCCAGGCTGGAGTGCAGTGGTGCGATCTCAGCTCACTGCAACCTCTGCCTCCTGTGTTGAAGCGATTCTCCTGCCTCAGCCTCCCGAGTAGCTGGGAGTACAGGCACCCTCCACCACACCTGGTTAATCGTTTGTTTTGTTTTGAGACAGAGTCTCACTCTGTCGCCCAGGCTGGAGTGCAGTAGTGCGATCTCAGCTCACTGCACCCTCCGCCTCCTGTGTTGAAGCGATTCTCCTGCCTCAGCCTCTCGAGTAGCTGGGAGTACAGGCACCCTCCACCACACCTGGTTAATCGTTTGTTTTGTTTTGAGACAGAGTCTCACTCTGTCGCCCAGGCTGGAGTGCAGTAGTGCGATCTCAGCTCACTGCACCCTCCGCCTCCTGTGTTGAAGCGATTCTCCTGCCTCAGCCTCTCGAGTAGCTGGGAGTACAGGCATGCGCCACCACACCTGGTTAATCGTTTGTTTTGTTTTGAGACAGAGTCTCACTCTGTCGCCCAGGCTGGAGTGCAGTAGTGCGATCTCAGCTCACTGCAACCTCTGCCTCCTGTGTTGAAGCGATTCTCCTGCCTCAGCCTCTCAAGTAGCTGGGATTACAGGCATGTGCCACCACACCTGGTTAATCGTTTGTTTTGTTTTGAGACAGAGTCTCACTCTGTCGCCCAGGCTGGAGTGCAGTGGTGCGATCTCAGCTCACTGCAACCTCCGCCTCCTGTGTTGAAGCGATTCTCCTGCCTCAGCCTCCCGAGTAGCTGGGATTACAGGCATGCGCCACCACACCTGGTTAATCGTTTGTTTTGTTTTGAGACAGAGTCTCACTCTGTCGCCCAGGCTGGAGTGCAGTGGTGCGATCTCAGCTCACTGCAACCTCCGCCTCCTGTGTTGAAGCGATTCTCCTGCCTCAGCCTCTCCAGTAGCTGGGATTACAGGCATGCGCCACCACACCTGGTTAATCGTTTGTTTTGTTTTGAGACAGAGTCTCACTCTGTCGCCCAGGCTGGAGTGCAGTAGTGCGATCTCAGCTCACTGCAACCTCCGCCTCCTGTGTTGAAGCGATTCTCCTGCCTCAGCCTCCCGAGTAGCTGGGATTACAGGCATGCGCCACCACACCTGGTTAATCGTTTGTTTTGTTTTGAGACAGAGTCTCACTCTGTCGCCCAGGCTGGAGTGCAGTAGTGCGATCTCAGCTCACTGCAACCTCCGCCTCCTGTGTTGAAGCGATTCTCCTGCCTCAGCCTCTCGAGTAGCTGGGAGTACAGGCATGCGCCACCACACCTGGTTAATCGTTTGTTTTGTTTTGAGACAGAGTCTCACTCTGTCGCCCAGGCTGGAGTGCAGTGGTGCGATCTCAGCTCACTGCACCCTCCGCCTCCTGTGTTGAAGCGATTCTCCTGCCTCAGCCTCTCGAGTAGCTGGGAGTACAGGCATGCGCCACCACACCTGGTTAATCGTTTGTTTTGTTTTGAGACAGAGTCTCACTCTGTCGCCCAGGCTGGAGTGCAGTAGTGCGATCTCAGCTCACTGCAACCTCCGCCTCCTGTGTTGAAGCGATTCTCCTGCCTCAGCCTCTCAAGTAGCTGGGATTACAGGCATGCGCCACCACACCTGGTTAATCGTTTGTTTTGTTTTGAGACAGAGTCTCACTCTGTCGCCCAGGCTGGAGTGCAGTGGTGCGATCTCAGCTCACTGCAACCTCCGCCTCCTGTGTTGAAGCGATTCTCCTGCCTCAGCCTCTCCAGTAGCTGGGATTACAGGCATGCGCCACCACACCTGGTTAATCGTTTGTTTTGTTTTGAGACAGAGTCTCACTCTGTCGCCCAGGCTGGAGTGCAGTGGTGCGATCTCAGCTCACTGCAACCTCCGCCTCCTGTGTTGAAGCGATTCTCCTGCCTCAGCCTCCCGAGTAGCTGGGAGTACAGGCATGCGCCACCACACCTGGTTAATCGTTTGTTTTGTTTTGAGACAGAGTCTCACTCTGTCGCCCAGGCTGGAGTGCAGTGGTGCGATCTCAGCTCACTGCAACCTCCGCCTCCTGTGTTGAAGCGATTCTCCTGCCTCAGCCTCCCGAGTAGCTGGGAGTACAGGCACCCTCCACCACACCCGGCTAATTTTTTTTATACTCTTTTTGTTTTTTGTTTTCTGTTTTTTTTTTTTTGTTTTTTTTTTTTTTAGTAGAGATGAAGTTTTGCCATGTTGCCCAGGCTGGTCTTGAACTCCTCAGCTCAGACAGTCTGTCCCCCTCAGCCTCCTTTCAAAGCGCCAGGATTGCAGGCACGAGCCCGGCCGGTTTGAGGGTTTTCGCAGCATCCTGGTGACCGTGAGTTTGGTTTGCAAACCTGCAGGAGAGTCGGCTGTAGCCGTCAGTTCTCGGGGGAGAACTCCCCCCTGCCCAGCTCGTACCAGCAGCTCCAGGTGAAGGCTGCTACTTTCATTCCTGGGGCCGGAGGCGCGCTGGGGATTTACTTGGAGCTCATTCTTCCCACTGAAGGTGACGCGTTCTGGGAGCTTCCCCGGAGGACCCTGCGTTTTGCCTCCTCTTCCCCAGAGCTCTGCAAGGCTGTGAGAGATTTCGGGTGAGCCCGCTCGGCCCACGCTTCTGAAGGCAGAGCCTGTTCAGGCTCCACGGGCTTCCCCGGGTTCTTCCTTCCAGGCAGCTGTGGCCTGAGGTGTCCTCCTTTCCTGCCAGCCTGTGGGCGCCGTCTAGAAGACGTTTGTCAACTATTCTGTCCAGGGTTCTTGGCAGTTTTCATCAGGAAGGTTGGTTTGTGTACCCAGGTCATTGCTATATTGCCAAACACAGGAGCCCGAGAGCTCACTGCAGAATATTCGCGGGGTCAGTTCCGTACCCCAAATAGCAGAGCTGTGTGAACCCAGCGTGATGAAGGAGGAAGAGCCGCAGGCTCCACAGTGGGACCCCCACAGCGAGAGACGGGAAGGCGCCGCTGCGGGAATGCGTTGTGGGCTCGGGAAGATGCACTGTGGGATCGCGGGCTTGGGGAGATGCATTGTGGGATGGTGGGCACAGGGAGATGACTGTGGGATGGTGGGCTCGGGGAGATGCATTGTGGGATTGCGGGCACGGGGAGATGCATTGTGGGATCGTGGACTCATGGAGATGCACTGCGGGATCGCGGGCTCGGGGAGATGCACTGCGGGATCGCGGGCTCGGGGAGATGCATTGTGGGATGCTGGGCTCGGGGAGATGCATTGTGGGATGGTGGGCTCGGGGAGATGCATTGTGGGATCGCGGGCTCGGGGAGATGCACTGTGGGATTGCGGGCTCGGGGAGATGCACTGTGGGATGGTGGGCTCGGAGAGATGCACTGCGGGATGGTGGGCTCGGGGAGATGCACTGTGGGATGGTGGGCTCGGGGAGATGCACTGCGGGATCGTGGGCTCGGGGAGATGCACTGCGGGATCATGGGCTCGGGGAGATGCACTGTGGGATCGCGGGCTCGGGGAGATGCAGGGACCTCCTGCCCCAGGACACAGAGGTCACGTTCTGAATCACAGGGAAGGGGTGTGCCCTTAGGTAAAGCTGTGCTGAAGGAGCACTCAGTCGGCAGCTACTGCGGGAAGCCTGCTCTGCCCCAGGTCACGGAGGCGGCCTCTGTTCCTCCTACATGGGGATCAGAGAAAAACAACTGAGTCTCACCGTGGGTGAGGGTCCTGCAGCGACAGCAGGGTGGGCACAGTTGAGGCGCTGTCAGTGGGACCCTTGTGACCTGGGGTGAGGGTCCTGTGGGAGTAGCAGGGTGGGGACAGTTGGGGCGCTGTGGGACCCTTGTGACCTGCGGTGAGGATACTGTGGCAGTAGCAGGGTGGGGACAGTTGGGGTGCTGTCTGTGGGACCCTTGTGACCTGGGGTGAGGGTCCTGTGGGAGTAGCAGGGCGGGCTGTTTTCTCTGTGTGGACACTGGAGCTTGGACCCAGTCCTGGATTGATCCAGGCAGTCAGGATTGTGGGTGCAAAGGCCCTGAGCTGTGGTCCACTGGTATGCGGACTTCCTCCCTGGACCCCTCCTCCATGGCAGTTGGTTGAGGAGGACACAGCCCCGTCCCCTGAGTAGTTGATGGAGGAGGAGGAGGACGCAGCCCCATTCCCTAGGTAGTTGGTCAAGGAGGACACAGCCCTGTCCCCTGAGTAGTTGATGGGGGAGGACGAAGCCTCGTCCCGAGTAGTTGATGGGGAAGGACACAGCCCCGTTCCCTGGGTAGTTGGAGGAGGAGGAGGACGCAGCCCCGTCCCTTCAGTAGTTGATGGTGGGGGAGGACGCAGCACCGTCCCTTGGGCAGTTGATGGAGGAGGACGCAGTACGGTTGCTGATGCTGTTAACTGTTTCAGATGGTGTTTTAACATCACGGGATGAGATCAAATGTCCACCTCGCAGGTTGTGTAGAGATGCAAGCAGGAGACTCTTGAGTGAGTGTTCTGGGGCCTGCAGATATACTGGGTGAGGAGAGTGCTGGTGCTGAGTGGGGCCAAGAGCCCGTGGGCGTGGGCTGTGCACCGGGTGAGGGGCTGAGGCGTGTCCGCAGCAGTACCTGGTGGTCGACCCCTTCTCCTGGCTGTGTGGTTGCCTGCCCTGCCTCTGCCTCTCAGAATGTGAGTCTTCCGGGCTCCAGGGACAGGGTTGCCTGTGGACGGCACCTGTGCCTCTCCACGTCTGAGCTCTCAGGCGTCTGGGGTGCGTGGCTGCCCTTTTCCCCAGGTCCCTGCCAGGTGTGGTGGGGTCAGTGGTGTGGCTCATGGGAATCGGGAGTGGGTCCTGGCTGGGCTCTCAGGTGCCTGGGGCACGTAGCTGCCCTTGTCCCCAGGGCCCTGCTCGGTGTGATGGGGGCTCAGTGGCGCAGAGCCGCCACCCAGAGTGGGGTCCATGGCAGCATGGTGTGGCCTCCTGGGTGAAGGTGGGCCCTGCAGTGGAGTACGTGTGTGGTCCCCCGCAGGGATTGCAGTGTGTCCTCTCCCGGCTGGGATCAGGTGGCCTCAGCACTGTCGGCCCTAGAGAGGCCCCGTGTGTTGTCCGGGTGAAGAAGGCGTTCGATGCTCCCAGGTTCTAACTGAGCGCTGTCTGTCGACTCTTCAGGTTCAGACACGGAAAGAAGAGCCTCTGCCCCCGGCCACGAGCCAAAGCATTCCGACCTTCTACTTCCCCAGAGGACGCCCGCAGGACTCCGTCAACGTGGATGCCGTCATCAGCAAGATCGAGAGCACCTTCGCCCGGTTCCCCCACGAGAGGGCCACCATGGATGACATGGGCCTGGTGGCCAAGGTACGTGTCACGCGTGGGACGTGGAGCAGCCGAGGTGGTACTGCGGGCATGTGAGGGTGAGGCGGAGCGGCCGTGGTGGGTGCGTGTCACACGAGCGTGAGTGAGGCGGCACGGCCGAGGAGGGTGCGTTTCACACGTGTGCGGGAGCGGCCCAGGTTTTCTCTGAGGTTATAGTTGTGGTCTGAGGTTTGCTGTCTGGTTGCTGCTGTGTGAATTCTTAAGCATCTGAAATGCGAGTGGGAATTCCGTCTGCATTCTCATCCTGATGCTGTGAAGAGCGCAGGCCCGCCCTGTGCCACCCTCCCCTTCTCTCCCCTCCGGGGCCAGTGGCGCCAGCTCTCGTGGCTCTCGGAGGCCGTTCTGCACCCTCCTGGCCTTGCCCCTTTCTGCCCGAGGAGCGGCCATCCCAGGCTGGGCAGCTGTGGACCCGTCTCCTGGCAGCAGCCCCATGGGCCCATTTCTAGACTCACCCTGAGTGCTGCGGCGCGGCGTGCATCATTCGCCGCCTGCTTTCCTTCTCAGCTGCATGCTCTCCAGGCTGACCGCCTGGACGCCCACAGATGGAGCACACTCAGTTTAGTGTCTGTCCGTTACCAAGGCAAGGCCTACACCAGAGATGCGTGTCTGGACCCCTGGTGGGTGGTTGTGTTTCCAGGGACCTGTGCCCGCATCTCCAGCCTCCTACCCTCCAGGTGGAGTCGCTGGCCAGTGGATGCTCCCACCCCTCCAAGTCAGAGCCCCAGAGCCTCGGTGCACGGTACATGTGAGCCCCTCACGGTGAGACCCCTGCCCCCCAGCCCTCTCCAGCTCTGCAGCTGTGAAGGGGGTCCTCGGGAGTGAGCAGGTTTTTGTTTTTTGGGTTTGCTTGTTTGAGACAAAGTCTTGCTCTGTCACCCAGGCTGGAGTGCAGTGGTGTAATCTCGGCTCACTGCAACCTCCACCTTCTGGGTTCAAGTGATTCTCCTGCCTCAGCCTCCCAAGTAGCTGGGACTATAGGCATGCACCACCATGCCTGGCTAATTTTTATATTTTTAGTAGACATGGGGTTTCACCATATTGGCCAGGCTGGTCTTGAACTCCTGACTTCAAGTGATCCGCCTGCCTCGGCCTCCCAAAGTGCTGGGATTACAGGCATGAGCCACTGCACCTGGCCGGGTTTTGTTTTTTTAACTTATTAATACAGTCTATTAAATGAGTTGGTTTTGGGATGTTAAACCAACCTTGCATTCCTGGGATAAATTCCGCATGGTCGCTGTGTCTCATCTTTTTTATATGTTGCTGGATTCCAATAATTTTGCAACTGGATTCACAGAGAAGACAGTGCTTGGTAGTTTTCTTGTGAGTCCTTTGTCTGGTTTTGGTTTTAGGGCAATACGGGTCTGAAAGAACACATTAAGTGTCCCCGCCCTTTTTCTATTAGGGATTGTGTTTTTAAAGTATTTTAAAAAGTTTTGTTTTATAAATATGTAAAAACCTCCATGGTTACAAAGTGAGCACTAACAAACTAGACACATTCAGGTAAGTCCAGGTTCTGTCCCTGTCTGTGCTGTTTCTACCCCAGAGGTAATAGTTTCCATAGCTTTGGTTTATCCTCTTATTGTTATTTTAGCTTTTAATATGAGCAATTATGTACAAATATGTGTATGAGTATGAACATACATACTTCTTGCATTTCTTAGAGAAAAATTAGCATGCTGTTGTACACTTGCATATTTGTTTTTGCTAAGTCACTCCGTATTTGTAGAGGTGTCCCTGTCTTGTACGGCAGTGTGGGGCCATGAAAGGACCAGATAAGTCACAACCATGCAAAACCATCTTCCAGTAAAAATTAGGATCATTCTATAATCATTTTTGTTGAAATATTAGAAACTTTCTTACAGTCGGTTGCAAACATGTAGTGAATGAAAAGAACTAATATTTACCTAGTATGCTGTAACTTAAAACACCAGAAGCATTAAGAATTGTTTCATCTCTCAGTAAAAACTTGCCAAAAGTAGTTACAGCAGTGCCATCTCCTTGTCCCGTGTGGAGTGAGCACCTGCTCCGTGCCCTGGCAGACTCACTCGACTTAACACGCCTTGCTCAGCTTCCGCGTTTTATCCTTGGTGCTCTTGAAGTTGTGGGGTATCTCTGAGAGTTCCTTCACTGGGAGGTCTCTTTGCTGGCATTCCGTCTGCTGGGACACCTTCATCCTTTTCAGTACAGCCTCCGTTGTGTGGAGAACTCACCCTCGCGGAGTGCGCCCGGCCCCACCCACAGGGTCTCTGCGCGCCTCGGGCTGGGTCAGACACCTCTTTTGCAGCTCACGCGCTGCGTCCGCTTCGGGTCCTACAAAGCCGCTCGCGCAGCCCAGTGAGGTTCCTGCATGGGACCCATGTATTCCCCTCAGTGCTTCCCCGCCACGATGCCCCTCCCCGGCCGCGGTGCTTCCCCGCCAGGGCGCCGCCCCGCCCTCCCCTACCCCCGCCGCGGTGCTTCCCCGCCAGGGCGCCCGTCCCCACGGTGCTTCCCCGCCACAGCGCCCCTCCCCACGCGGTGCTTCATCCCCACGGTGCTTCTCCCCAACGGCGCCTCCCCCCACCGTGGTGCCGCCCCCCACAGCGGCCACCCCCCCTCCGCGGTGCTTCCCCGCCTCGGCGCCTGGTTCTCATGTGCGCGTTTCATGTCATTTTCCTTCCAGGACTCAGTTCTCGGTGTCACCTCGCTTCCACGCACAGCGGCACTGGCCTTGGTGGCCGTCTAAGGTAGTGAGGCTTTAAGACTTGAAAGAACCTGGTCCGTTGGCTGGATGTCACGTTTGGTGGTAAAAAGCAAGTTTTGTCGTTGTCTTCGACGCCCCAGAGAAGCAGGGTGACCTGGGTGTGACCCAGCGGGGCAGGGGAGAGCTCTGAGACTGAAGTTGTGTCGCTTGCAGCGTCTGCACCGCTGGGAGTCCGAGAGACACCTCCACAGGCCCCACTGTGCCTGCACGCACCGACCCGGCCCTGCAGGCGGAGAGCATGGTGCTCGAGCACCCACCGTGACTGTGGGCAGAGGCCAGCAGGGTGTGCGCTGTCGCGACTTAATCCACCTGCGCTGTGGCGGCAGAACCCTGTGAGCGTCCCGCGTGTGTGGGGGCCGCAGGCAAACTTCAGCTTCCCCGCCAAGGCTGCTGAGCCTGTCTCGGTGGCGCCCAGCTCGCCGCCACCTGCAGATGTCCGTCCACGTCTCCATCGTGTGCCTTTGGGACGGTTTTCTGTGAGCCGGGCCCCCGGCCCAGGGGACGAACGAGTAGGGGTGTCACTGCCGTTTCGAGTTCTCCCCGTCGCGTGAGTGACTGAATGAGGGCCTGGAGTCACAGCTCCACACGCGTGTTGTCAGGCGGGTGGACTTTGGCCGGCGGCTGCTTGAGAACTCACGTCTGAGGGGACTTTGAGTTTGATGAGGGGGGTCCCCCCGTGGATCTTAGCCGTGGCCGTGCAGCGAGGTCCGTGTGTGCCTTCTCCTGGCCCGGTTCTTCCTGTCTGTGTGAGTCAGGGCTGATCTCATACATCATTTCCTCCCTTTCATCATTGTCACTCCTCTGTGTTTTCTCTGAAGCCGTTTGAGACAGAGTCATCAGCTCCTTCACCTCCACCAAACTCCACCCCCTCAGCTGCCCCCACAGGAAAACACACTTTTCTCTTTGTTAATTTCCTTCAAACGTTGTTGGCTAATTCAGGGTTTTCATTTATGGAGACTATTTTGATGATTTACATTTTTTCTAAAAATTTTTTGCGTAACTTAGAAATTTCTTGCTCTAAAGCTTTTCCTTGTCTTGTACGATTTACAAAATCTTGATCGTATCTGCATCATACATAGACACTTTCTTGACAGAATCATTTATTTCCGGTTCCTTTCTTGATCCGTCATGCTACACACTAACGTATATCTCTTTCAGTAAAGCAGCTGTCAGTGTTACAGATTATTTCAGTTCTTTCTCTCATGAATATCTATGGTCATCTTTTTTACATACACTTCCTTCTGTCATTTTTTTTAGTTTATTGAATAGTTTTTTGTTTGGCCAGCTGTATTGTCATATAATTACACACCCTAAGATTCACCAATTTTAAGTGTACAATTTGATCCATTTTGGTAAAGCACACACCTGGGTATCCATCCTCATAGGCAGGACCGGCCGTTTGTCACCTGCCGCGGGTGTCCCACGTGCCTCCTTTTGCACCTCATCATTCCCCTCTTTTCTCCCTGGCCCGGGCCAGCTGCAGATGTGCTTCCGGTCGCTGTAGCTTTGCCTCTCTTAGAATTTCACATGAGGACTCTTGGAGCATTTTGTCTGTGGTTTCTAACTTCTTCCTGGCAGCATCTTTATTTTAAATTTTATTTTGAATGGACAAGTAATATTTGTGTATACAGGGTACAGCAAGATGTTTCGCTATGTGTGTGTGTTGAGGACTGATTAAGTCCTGTGGTGTGGATACTGTGGGGCTCGCTGTGTGGCTGGCGAAGGCGTGGTTACCGTGGGGCTCGCTGTGTGGCTGGCGGGGTGTGGATACTGTGGGGCTCGCTGTGTGGCTGGCCAAGGCGTGGTTACCGTGGGGCTCCCGTGTGGCTGGCCAGGGTGTGGATACTGTGGGGCTCACTATGTGTCCCTGGCCGTATGGGCAGTTTCTTTTCTATCACTGAGTAGCTTCTGCTGTGTGTGTGCTCCATCTCTCCCCTGTTCCAGGGTTGATAGACGTCTGGTTGCTTTGGTTTTTGCTTCTTGTGAGTAAAGCTGCTGTGTGTCTGTGCACTGATTTACGCAGACATGCTTGCATTTTCCTGAGGTGATTAATACCGCAGAGGTGAGCTCTGCCTCATCTGGTGGCCACATGTTTAGTTTTGTAAGAAGCTATAAAACTGCTTCCAGGGCCCAGGAGTGGTGGCTCACTCCACTAATCCCAGCACTTCGGGAGGCTGAGGTAGGCAGATCACCTGAGGTCAGGAGTTCGAGGCCAGCCTGGCCAACATGATGAAACCACATCTCTACTAAAAATACAAAAATTAGCCAGGTATGGTGGCGGGCACCTGTCATTCCAGCTACTCGGGAGGCTGAGACAGGAAAATCGCTTGAACCTGGGAGGTGGAGGTTGCAGTGAGCCAAGATCGCACCACTGCACTCCAGCCTGGGCGACTGAGCAAGACTGTGTCTCTACGCAAAAAAACAAAAAACAAAAAACCCTGCTTCCGGGGTGGCCCTGAGTGACGCATTTCCAGGCAGCAGCGTTGACCCCTGCGGGCACGTGGCCACACGCTTTGCCTTTAGCCGTTCTGTGCGTGTGCAGGCGTCCCGTCCTGGCTGCACTCCTCATTTCCCTGATGTACGTGTTGACCACCTTACGTGTTTCTTTCTCATCAGTTTGCCTTTTTTTCATTTTGGGGCAGCTGTGTTGAGATATAACTGATGTGGGATGCATGGTGCGTGTGGAAGGTACAATTCAATGAGCTTTGACGTCTGTACCCACCCATGAAACTATCCACAGCACCAAGACAATAGGCGTCCCTGCATCCTTGCGCTTGAGCGGGCACGTGCGCTGGACTTTTCTCTGCTGCTTTCTGACGCGCACCTGCCCTCATCCCACGCTACCTCAGGCCTCCTTTCTGTCAATATAGATTAGCCGGAATTTTCTGGAATTTTATGTAAACAGAATCAGACAGCAGGCACTTTTTTTTATTATGGGAAAATTCACACAACAGAATTCACCACCGTAACCATTTGGAGCACAGAACTCGGAGACGTTTGTGGCATATACAGCACGGTGTTCCATGTGCGTGTGTGGAGGGCCGGATCGCGTGGTGTTCCGTGTGCGCGTGCAGTTCCACTTCCGGCTTTCTGGGGAACCTGCACGCTGTCTTCCCGAGTGGCTGCACCGTTGTTCGTTCCCACCGTGTGAATTTTAGAGCCGGTCCCTCCGTTGCTACGACAGCCTGCTGGGATTACATGGGCATCCTGTTGACTCCAGATGAACTTGGAAGAATCTTGACCATATTGAGGCTTCCGTCTCATGAACGCGGTCCAGCTCTCCCTTATTTCAGGCATCTTTCACTTCTTTCAGTACGCCTTGTAGTTTGGTCTTGTTCACGGTTCATCACATTGATACCCAAGCATTTCCTGTTTCTGATGACACTGTACGTGGTATTTTTTTACTTTAATATGATTGTCAATTGTGAATGTTGAGAAGCACTGTTAGGTTTTATATGTGGACTTTGCATTTTCTGACCAAGTTTAACTCAGTCATCGGCTCTACCAGCTCAACCTTTAAGTCCGGCAGAGTCTCTAACGCACGGTCAGGTCATCTTCAGGTGAGCACAGTTCAGCCTTTCTCTTCTCGTCTGCATCGGTGTCTCCTCCCTGACTTTCTGTACACAGGCTCGGCCTGCCAGTGCAGTGCTGGAGAGCCGTGGAGAGCACGCCCCTTCCCGCCTCGGGCTCAAGTCGTCCGTGACGCAGCGGCCCTGCCTGGCGTCCTTCATCAGACTCAGGAGGCCCCTTCCCTTTTGGTTTCTTGTTTGCTGGGAGCTCTTGTGTTTTTTTTGAGACAGGTTCTCATTCTGCCCCCGGGCTGGAGTGCAGTGGCATGATCTCAGCTCACTGCAGCCTCGACCTCCTGGGCTCCAGTGATCCACCCACCTCAGCCCTCCCGAGTAGCCGTGACTACTGGCACCCGCCACCACACCTGGCTGATTTTTTCTTTTTTGGTAGAGACAGGGTTCTGCTATGTTGCCCAGGCTGGTCTGGAACTCCTGGGCTGGAAGGATCCTCTTGCCTCAGCCTCTCATGGTGCTGGGATGATGACAGGCATGAGCCATCACGCCTGGCCTCAGTTTACTTTTTAAAATTATAAAAGTGCCTTGAAGTTTGTCCGGGATGCTAAATGTGTATTTCTGCGTGTATTGAGAGGGCAGTGAGGTTTTCCTTTGGTCCTGTAAAAGGTGAATGGACCTGACTGACGTCTGAGTGTGAAGGCAGCCCCGGTCCTTGGGTGAGCCCCCGGTCCCTGTTCCACCGCAGCGTGCATTGCCCGGCCACGCAGGGGTAGCGTCTGTGGTCATGAAGGACTGGTCTTGACCTGACTGACGTCTGAGTGTGAAGGCAGCCCCGGTGTTTGGGTGAGCCCCTGGTGTTTGGGTGAGCCCCCAGTGTTTGGGTGAGCCCCCGGTCCCTGGGTGAGCCCCCGGTCCCTGGGTGAGCCCCCGGTGTTTGGGTGAGCCCCTAGTCCCTGGGTGAGCCCCCGGTGTTTGGGTGAGCCCCCAGTCTTTGGGTGAGCCCCCTGTGTTTGGGCGAGCCCCTGGTCCCTGGGTGAGCCCCGGTCTTTGGGCGAGCCCCGGTCTTTGGGTGAGCCCCTGGTCCCTGGGCGAGCCCCTGCTCCCTGGGTGAGCCCCGGTCTTTGGATGAGCCCTGGTCTTTGGGTGAGCCCTGGTCTTTGGGTGAGCCCCTGCTCCCTGGGTGAGCCCCCGGTCCCTGGGCGAGCCCCAGTCTTTGGGTGAGCCCCCGGTCTTTGGGTGAGCCCTGGTCTTTGGGTGAGCCCCCGGTCCCTGGGCGAGCCCCGGTCTTTGGGCGAGCCCCTGCTCCTTGGGTGAGCCCCAGTCTTTGGGTGAGCCCCGGTCTTTGGGTGAGCCCCCGGTCTTTGGGTGAGCCCCCAGCCCCCGGTCCCTGGTCCACCACACAGTGTCACACTTCTCCTATGTGTTGGGTCCACATTGCCAGGCCTCGCAGGGGTTGCGTCTGCGCTCGTGAAGGACTGGCCTGCGGTCTCCTTTTCTTGTGATAGCTTGGTCTGGTTTAGCATCGGGGGGATGCTGGCCTCGGAGAGTTGCTTGGAAAATGTCCTTTAGAATTCACTTTTCTGGAGCCATTTGTTTAGAATGGGTGTTATTTTTATTTGAATGTTTGGTAGAACTCATCAGTGAAGCCATTTGGGATAGTTTTCTCTGTGGGAAGGTTTTTAATGACAGCATGAATTGTTTCAATAAACACAGGCTGTCTGTATCATCTTTTCTCTTTTTTTTTTGGAGACAGAGTCTTGCTCTGTCACCCAAGCTGGAGTGCAATGGCACCATCTCACCTCACTGCAACCTCCGCCTCCTGGGTTCAAGCCATTCTCCTGCCTCAGCCTCCTGGGTAGCTGGGATTACAGGCATGCGCCACCACACCCGGCTAATTTGTGTATTTTTAGGAGAGATGGGGTTTCACCATGTTGGCCATGCTGGTCTCGAACTCTTGACCTCGGGTGATCCACCCGCCTTGGCGTCTCAAAGTGCTGGGATGACAGGCCTGAGCCACCGCACCCGGCCACTGCCACCCACTTTTAGACCATCGGATCTCACAAGAACTCAGGATTACGAGACCAGCAAGGGGGCTGTCCACCCTCATCACCCAGTCACCCCCCAGCAGAGCCCTGCTCCAACACTCAGGATCACAGTTCCCCGTGAGACTTGGGTGGGGGCTCCGAGCCACAGCCCACCACTGGTTCATGTGACCCTGAAGACTCCTCCGGCTCCGCGATGTCACTCGCTCACATAGCTTGGCAGCGTTTTCACATCTTTACGTGTCTGCAGATCGTCCTCTTGTCCCGTCACCCGCCGAGGAACGCGTGCTGAACTTGCCGGCCGTGGTTGTGGCGTCCTCCTTTCTCCTCTCACACCTGTCGGTTGGTGTCGGCGTGCCCTGTGCGACTGTAGACGCTCGGGACTTTGTCTGCCTCGCGAGTCCCCCTCAGCAGCACCATCACGTGGGCCTTGGGGCCGGCGGTGTTTCCTGCTCAGGGAGCTACTCTGAGGTCAGCAGAGCCATAATGGAATAGGGTTCAGCAGTACACAGGCAGACGATCCACACAGAGCAAGGTGGGCAGACGATCCACACAGAGCAAGGTGTGTGAGTCCCACACGCATGTGCTGAGCGAGGGAAGCCAGGTCTAAAAGTCCGCAGATGGCCGGGTCCCGTTGCCGTGTCCTGGAAAAGGTGAACTGGAGCCACGGGGAGGAGGCCTGGGGGCCGTCGCCGTAGCGGACTGCGGAGGGGCCGAAGGGACTGTCAGGGCTGGCGGCCTCGTTCCCTGTCCTGGCCGTGCGGGTGGGCGTGCCGCCGCGTTGCCGGGCCCCACAAGGAGTCGGTCTTTCTGTGTGTCGATCACGAAAAGACTTTTAAAAGTCAGATCAGGGTATCTGATGTTTTATTCCCTTTCCCATAAGGATTTTGTGACATTCAGGTAAAACTGCTTTCCTTTGTATCTTTTGCATTTTAGAGTTGATTATCTCCATTTACTTTAGGATTATTTTAAATTATGAGCTAATTCATTTGGAGGTAATTTTCGGGTTTGGTGTGGTGGGGGGACTGTGTGCCCAGCACTCTCCCGCTCAGTTCTCATCCCCCAGACGCCGGGGGTGCAGCTGTCTCTGGTTGCAGTGTCATCCCTGTAGTCCCAGCACTTTGAGAGGCCAAGGCGGGAGGATGGCTTGCGGCCAAGGGTTCCAGACCAGCCTCGGCAACATAGTGAGACTTCACTGTAGAAATTAAAAAAATTACCCAGGCATGATAGCGCGCACCTGTGGTCCCAGCTACTTGGGAGGCTAAGGTGGGAGGATTGCTTGAGCCCGTGAAGTTGAGACTGCACTGAGCTGTGATCACACACTGCACTCCAGCCTGGGCAACAGCAAGACCGTGTCTCGAAAAACAAGTAGAATAAAAATGGATCACGCTGTGATCACACACTGCACTCCAGCCTGGGCAACAGCAAGACCGTGTCTCGAAAAACAAGTAGAATAAAAATGGATCACGCTGTGATCACACACTGCACTCCAGCCTGGGCAACAGCAAGACCGTGTCTCGAAAAACAAGTAGAATAAAAATGGATCACGCTGTGATCACACACTGCACTCCAGCCTGCAGGTCTGGACACATGAGACGCTATATCCTGCACGGCTGGATAGATCTGATGCTCCATCCCTGCCACCGGGTCATGACGGTGTGTCTTGCACGCGGTGAGGAGCACAGATGTGAAGGCTCACACATCCCCCCATCCCTGGGTGTTGAGCGCTTGGGGTTTGAAACCTGCACGGCCTGTGAGCCAGAATGGTCTCATGAGGTCAAAAGCGTGGGACTAGCACTAGCCCAAGGACCCGGTGCTGCACCCGGCTCGTTCCCTCCCACCGCACCGGGACGCCCTTCCAGGTGGCCAGGGCTGAGCTCCGTCAGGATCCTCATCACGGGAGCCGGCACGTGCCTGTGCGTCCTGCGGGGCCCGGCCCCTCCAGCCGCACACGGCTGCCTTCAAGTCATCCACAGGTGCGCCAGCCGGAGCGCGTCCTTTCCCATAGCAGCACTGCAATCCCCGCTGTGGCGCGCAGCCCCCTCTGCAGTCCCCCACGCCCCCCCGTGGTCACTCCCGCCCTGCACCTGTCAGGACGACTCTGCCACAGTTTATTCCTCCAGTCCCTGCTCTGGCGTCCGGCTCCTCTCGCCTGGGGCACCGTGAACCAAGCAGCCGACGTCCCCATCTGTGCAGGCTCTCACGGGCACGGGCCCTCTTCCCACTGGTGTGCTTCTGGGAGGACAGATGTCCTGGCCGGGCCACGGGGCTTTACGCTCAGCCGCCCCGTGGGCCGCTTTCCCGGCAGCTGCGTGGCGTCCCAGTTCCCCCAGCAACGCGGAGGACACCCAGCTGCCTGGCAGCCTCGCGGGACCTGGCGTCTTCAGTCCTTTTTGTCTCAGCCGCGCGTGTCATGTTCTTGTTGCCACCTCTCCATGCCCTGTGAACCCTGCCCTCGCCGGCGCCAGTGCTGGGCGCTTCCCCTTGTCTACGGCCACCGTGCACCCCTCTCCGGAGGGCAGTGCATGTCCACTCGGTCGTGTTCGGGCCTCTTTCTCACTGATGCTTAAAATTCTGCCTCTGAGTCCCTCGTCAGAATCTCGCCTTGCAGAGACATTTCTCCCTCTGTGTCATGTCCTGTCATGGTGTTCACCGTGCCGGTAGCTGACCCTGAGTCCTGCGCTGGGGCGGTGCAGCGGTGCTCCCTTCCTTCAGGGAGCGCACGTGTGGCCCGTGAAAGAAACCTTGGCCGCGGCAGAGCCGTGCAGCGTCCCTCGTTTCCTTCCAGGAGGGGCCGCTGTTTGGCCTTTCACCCTTCGGGCTGGGATCCCCTGGTATTCAGTTTGTGTGAAGTGTCTTTGCCTGTGGATATTCCACGGGGCTCTGTCCCAACTCACTTCCTTCCCTTGCTCTCTTAGGCCACCGGTGCCCGACAGAGACTGACTGAGTCTTCATTACTCTGACTTTACAGGAAGGGTTGAAACCGGGCAGTGGGACTCATATCCACCAACTTGGTCCCCCTGTGAGTTCTTTTGTGTTCCCTGGTAAGTTTTCACATGAGCCTGTCCGTGTATACTACAAACCCCAAAACAACAGGCCCTCGGTGCATGTGGATGGGGATTGCTGGACTCTGTGGGTGGGGATCGCGTGGACTCTGGGTCAACAGAGTCGTCTGGAGGAAACTGCAGTCTGTGAACTCAGCAGTGAGGTCCACCTCACCACGTTGAGGTCGTCTTTGATTTCACCCAGCCGTGCCCTGCAGTTTGCTTTGTAGACACTGTGTGTGATTTTTGTTCCATTTTTCGTAGGTTGATTTTTCATGCTCTTGATAGATGGCATTATTGAAGATTTTATTTTTAGTTGTTTGTTGCCAGTATATTGAAATAATTTATTTTTGCATATAGTCCTTGGATCCAGCAACTTTGCTGAAGATACTTATTAATTCCCGTATTTGGTAAGCATTTGGATTGTCTACACAGTGTGTTGCTTGTGAATCATGACGGTTCTGCCTCTTCTTACCCGTCGTCGTATCTTTCGGTCTTTCCCTTGCCTGCTGCCCTGGCTCGGCCGTCCAGGCGGCCTTGGTGGTGACACTGTCCTCTTGTTCCCAGCACAGGGAAGAAGTGTTCATGTGTCATCGCTGTCTGAGCAGCTGGGGTGTTTCGTAGAGGCCCTTTGTCTGAGCATTCAGGCTGCTGTCAAGAAACACCATAGCCCGGGCAGCTTGTCACCAGCAAGACATTTACTGTTCACAGGTCTGCAGGCTGGAAGATCTCGGTGTGGCAGAGTGGTGCCTGGTTCATCGACGGCGCCTTCCCGCTGCGTCCTCACGGGGTGGAAGGGGTGAGGGAGCTCTCTGGGGTCCCTCAGAAGGGGACTCATCGCATTCATGAGGCCCCACCTCCCAACACCATCGCCTCGGGGGAGAGGATTTCAGCACGTGGATCTTGGGGACCCAGGCATTCAGGCCATAGCACCCTTTATGAGAATAAGAGTGTCCCTCCTGATTCTGGTTTCCTGGTCTATTATTATTATTAGATATTCCTGTTCTATTATTGCCGAGTTGGACTTGCTACTGTGTGTTCTGTGTGGGATTTCTGCCTCTGCTCTCCAGTGATAACTGGCCTGTGACTTCCTGTGTCCCTGACCGCGTCCAGGCTGTGCCAGCCTCGGAACAGGCACTGGGAAACGCCCCTCGTTTTTCTTCTCCAGGGGAACGCATGTGTGATTTCTTCCTTCAATGTTTGGTCGACTCATGGGAGCAGCCTTTGGGGGCTGGAATTTTCTTGGTGGGACAGTTTTAAATTATGGACACAATTTCTTGCAGAAACAGCTCTTTCAGATTTTCTATTGTAGTTTATTTTTTGACTTGTTCATCGGGGAGTCTGTTTCAGCAGTCATCTGACTTACAGGCATAAAGTGATTCATGAGCATCCACTATCTGATGTTTGTAGGATCTGTAGTTACAGCTGACATGGCTAATCTGTATTTGCTCTTTTTTTGAGACAGAGTCTCTCTCTGTCACCCAGGCTGGAGTGCAGTGGTGTGATCGTGGCTTACTGCAACCTCCACCTCCCAGGATCAAGTGATTCTCCTGCCTCAGCCTCCCGAGTAGCTGGGATTACAGGCGCCCGCCACCATGCCAGGCTAATTTTTGTGTTTTTAGTAGAGACGAGGTTTCACCATGTTGGCCAGGCTGGTCTCGAACTCCTGACCTCAGGTGATCCACCCCCCTCGGCCTCCTAAAGTGCTGGGATTACAGGCATGAGCCACCACGCCCAGCCAGCCAGGGTTAATTAATTTTTAAGAAATCTTTCAAATCATCGAGTTTTGATTTTGTTGATTTTCTGTTACTATTTACTTTGCGTTCCATCTCTGCCATGTATTTGTTCCTTTGGGGTAGAAGTGTAGACGATCGATTTTAAACTTTCCTTCCTCACGCGTGTATTTAAGGCTGTGAACCTGCCATGGGTCGCTGCTGTAGGTGCGTCCCACACATTCCATGAGATGTTTCTGTCGCCGTCCGATTCACCGCGTTGCCTGGCTGACGGGGCCATTTATTCCCGTACTTACTGGTTCTTAGTACGTGCCGCTTGATTTCCAGACGCTGGGGATGCAGCCGCCTCTGGTTACAGTGCCCACGCGTGGTCTGTGGTCAGGGGATACTGCGTGCCCGGCACTCCCACGCTCAGCTCTCATGACTGATTGAAGGCTGGAGCGAAAGCCACGTTGAGTTTGCAGATGCCCAGACAGGCCGCGCTGAGCGTGCTGTGTCTTTCTGCAGCAGAGGGTCTCTGGGCGGCGTCGGTCAGGCGCGAGGTACGCAGCAGGAGCGCCGGCGTCCAGGCCCTGCTGACTGCCCACTCCTGCCCTCTCTGCCCCAGGCCTGCGGCTGCCCCCTCTACTGGAAGGGGCCGCTCTTCTATGGCGCCGGCGGGGAGCGCACGGGCTCCGTGTCCGTCCACAAGTTCGTCGCCATGTGGAGAAAGTGAGTCCTGGGCTGGGCAGGGGGCTGTGTCGGGAGGGCGGAGGCGTCCCCGGGTCCCCGTGGTGCCAGGACGGGTGCCCCCTGAGGCTGCCGCAGTGAGAGGAGAAACCCTTGTACGGGCACAGGCCTGGCCGTCGTGTGTGGCCACCTGCCACGCACCACGTGGAACACCACACACGTGTTCCACCCTGCGTCTGCGGGGTCGAAAGCCACCCCCCTGTGAGGGTGGTGCCCAGTCATCCTGTCCTTCCAGAATCCTCCAGAACTGCCACGACGACGCGGCCAAGTTCGTCCATCTGCTCATGAGCCCCGGCTGCAACTACCTGGTGCAGGAGGACTTTGTCCCCTTCTTGCAGGTGAGAGCCTGCGTCTACACCACAGGCCTTATCCTTCACGGGAGGGCCCGCGTCTACACCGCATGCCTCATGGGAGGGCCGGCGTCTACACCACACGCCTCATCCCTCACGGGAGGGTCCGCGTCTACACCGCACACCTCATGGGAGGGCCCGCGTCTACACCACATGCCTCATCCCTCATGGGAGGGTCCGCGTCTACACCGCACACCTCATCGCTCACGGGAGGGTCCGCGTCTACACTGCACACCTCACGGGAGGGCCCGCGTCTACACCACATGCCTCATCCCTCACGGGAGGGCCGGCGTCTACACCATACGCCTCATCCCTCACGGGAGGGCCGGCGTCTACACCGCACACCTCATCGCTCACGGGAGGGTCCGCGTCTGCAGCGTCCACACCGCACACCTCACGGGAGGGCCGGCGTCTACACCACGCGCCTCGTGTCTTCCCACCCGCAGGACGTGGTGAACACGCACCCGGGGCTGTCGTTCCTGAAGGAGGCGTCCGAGTTCCACTCGCGCTACATCACCACGGTGGGTCCCCAGCGGAGGGGCCGTCGGTTCCAGCGCGGGGCGCGGGTGTTTCTGCAGCGGCCGCCGCGGGGCTTCTGCGGACGGGGCGGGCGGGGCCCGGGGTTCCTGAGCTTCCGGAGGAGGCGGCCGCGCTCTGGGAGAGTCTCCACCCGCCCGGGAGCCCGGTGTTGGGGGGACTCTGGTTTTCCGGGGTGGCCGCACCCCCTTCCCACCTGTCCTGGGCCCGTGTAGCTCCGGGGCGTCCCCGGCCAGACCCTCCCCGCTTTCCGCGGCCTGGGGCGGCGCCTCCCGCAGGGCCCTTCCCTCTGCCCCCGCCTGTGCCCTGGCGGCCCCGTGCGGCTGAGACCAAGGGCGCGCCCCTCTCCCGGCTCCCGGTCTCCGTGCGGGGCGAGGCTCCTGGGGGTCTCTGCGCACCCACCGCACTGACAGCGCCCCCGCAGGTCATCCAGCGGATCTTCTACGCCGTGAACCGGTCCTGGTCCGGCAGGATCACCTGCGCCGAGCTGCGGAGGAGCTCCTTCCTGCAGGTGCGGAGCGGCCCCCTGTCCCCTGCCCCCTGCCTTGTCCCTACCCCTCCTACCTCCACTCCCTTCCCTTCCCTCCTCCCCCCTCCCTCCTCCCCTCCCACCCCCTCTCCCACCCCCACCCCCACCCCCACCTCCACCGCGCTCCCAGCCCACCCCCAGGCCTGTGAGCACTGGAACCCCGCCGCCTGCGGTTGGGGGTCCACGGTTGATCTAGGAGGCGGGTGGGGCCGTACTGGGCACCACCCTGAGGGGGAGCCGAGCCCTGACTCCCCCAGAGCTGCCCCCACCCCCACACCCGCCTAGGGAGCCACCCCCATGCTGGAGCTCCCCCCACCGCAGAGTTGCCCCCACTCGGAGTGCCCCCCGGCCCCAGCTGCCCAGTCCCCCCCACCCACGGAGCGGCCCCGACCCTCCCAGCCTTCCCTGCCCCGCCCGCAGCCAGGCGGACTTGGGGCATCCCCGCAGAGGCCCCGCGCTCAGGCCGCCTGGGTCCTTTGGCAGAATGTGGCGCTGCTGGAGGAGGAGGCGGACATCAACCAGCTGACCGAATTCTTCTCGTACGAGCATTTCTACGTCATCTACTGCAAGTTCTGGGAGCTGGACACGGACCACGACCTGCTCATCGACGCGGACGACCTGGCGCGGCACAATGACCACGGTGCGTGGGGGCACAGGGGCGGGCGGGCCGCGCGGACACCGAGCACACCCTTCTCTCAGGGCCTGCGGGTCTGCAGCTGCCTCTCCTTCCGCACTCCCAGCTCTGTGTCTGCAGCTGCCTCTCCTTCGCACTCGCCGCTCTGTGTCTGCAGCTGCCTCTCCTTCCCCAGTCGCTGCCCCGTGTCTGGGTCCCCGCGTGCGCCTCTGCCCGAGGCCTCTGCCTGGGGGCGTCTACAGGGTCAGTGTGGGCCGCTGGTCCTGAAGCTCCTGGCCCGAGGGCCAGCAGCGCTGTGGGGCTTCCTTGTTAACACCCGAGCAAGGGCGGGCAGGCCACACGCCTTCCCTCAGGAGCTCCAGGTTCCAGCCCCCAAGGCCTGGAGCAGTTTCCATCCAATCCCGGGCTAGGTGGAGCCCCAGGCTTAGCGGTCGTTCATATACCTCCGCGGGAGCCGGTGCCGCCCAGGTGTCCTCACAGCAGCCACTGCCTCCCGGCCCCTCTAAGAGTCATCCACACTTGCAGGAACTCAAAGCGGCCTGTGGCCTGTGGGGCTTGAGTTTTCTAAAGGATTCCTTTAAGTGTGCTTTTTACCCCAAAAAACCATATGACCAAGACTGTTTCCGAATTACGGTGGCATCTGTTGTGTGTGGTCGACTCATAATACGCCTGGTTCCCCGAACGTGAGCTGCACCCGTCTGCGTCTCCCGGGGCTGGTCCTGGGTCGCGTGGCCGCAGTAGATCCCTGCGTCGGACGCGCACCTGAGCAGACGTAGCATTCCCTGGATTTGTCCTGCGCTCAGTTCAGGGAGCCACCTGCGCCCTGGGCCCCTAACTAGCCACGAGGAGAGCACAGCTCCACAGCGCCGGCCCGTGTGGCCTGGGCCAGCACCTGCACAGCTGGGAATCGGCCCAGAACCAGGCGCTCACTGTCCCTGTGAACCCCCGGCCCGGCGCGGCCCCAGCTTTCCGCGTTCCTCTGGAGCCCACTCTCGGTCCCAGGGCAGGATGCCGTGTGCGGCCGGGCTGCGCTGTTTCTCACGCACTGCGGCCTGAAGCGGGGGGCGGCACCTTGGCTCGTGCGTCCCAGGGACACCGGTGACCGCAGGGATGGCCGCCCAGGCTGCGGGACCTTCTCGTGGCCCAAGCTGACGGCGACGGTGCTTTCACTCCTGCCTCCCGTTGGTGAGGTCTCCCTCCCGCCTCCCGTTGGTGAGGTCTCACTCCGGCCTCCCGTTGGTGAGGTCTCACTCCCGCCTCTCCTTGGTGAGGTCTCACTCCGGCCTCCCGTTGGTGAGGTCTCAATCCCGCCTCCCGTTGCTGAGGTCTCACTCCCGCCTCCCGTTGGTGAGGTCTCCCTCCCGCCTCCCGTTGCTGAGGTCTCCCTCCCGCCTCCCGTTGGTGAGGTCTCACTCCCGCCTCCCGTTGGTGAGGTCTCCCTCCCGCCTCCCGTTGGCGACGTCTCCCTCCCGCCTCCCGTTGGCGACGTCTCCCTCCCGCCTCTCCTTGGCGACGTCTCCCTCCCGCCTCCCGTTGCTGAGGTCTCCCTCCCGCCTCCCGTTGCTGAGGTCTCCCTCCCGCCTCCCGTTGCTGAGGTCTCCCTCCCGCCTCTCCTTGGTGAGGTCTCCCTCCCGCCTCCCGTTGCTGAGGTCTCACTCCCGCGTCTCCTTGGTGAGGTCTCCCTACCGCCTCCCGTTGCTGAGGTCTCACTCCCGCGTCTCCTTGGTGAGGTCTCCCTCCCCCCCTCCCGTTGCTGAGGTCTCACTCCCGCGTCTCCTTGGTGAGGTCTCACTCCCGCCTCCCGTTGCTGAGGTCTCACTCCCGCCTCCCGTTGGCGAGGTCTCCCTCCCGCCTCCCGTTGGCGAGGTCTCACTCCCGCCTCCCGTTGGCGAGGTCTCACTCCCGCCTCCCGTTGGCGAGGTCTCACTCCCGCCTCCCGTTGGCGAGGTCTCACTCCCGCCTCCCGTTGGCGAGGTCTCACTCCCGCCTCCCGTTGGCGAGGTCTCCCTCCCGCCTCCCGTTGGCGAGGTCTCCCTCCCGCCTCCCGTTGGCGAGGTCTCCCTCCCGCCTCCCGTTGGCGAGGTCTCCCTCCCGCCTCCCGTTGGCGAGGTCTCCCTCCCGCCTCCCGTTGGCGAGGTCTCCCTCCCGCCTCCCGTTGGCGAGGTCTCCCTCCCGCCTCCCGTTGGCGAGGTCTCCCTCCCGCCTCCCGTTGGCGAGGTCTCCCTCCCGCCTCCCGTTGGCGAGGTCTCCCTCCCGCCTCCCGTTGGCGAGGTCTCCCTCCCGCCTCCCGTTGGCGAGGTCTCCCTCCCGCCTCCCGTTGGCGAGGTCTCCCTCCCGCCTCCCGTTGGCGAGGTCTCCCTCCCGCCTCCCGTTGGCGAGGTCTCCCTCCCGCCTCCCGTTGGCGAGGTCTCCCTCCCGCCTCCCGTTGGCGAGGTCTCACTCCCGCCTCTCCTTGGCGAGGTCTCACTCCCGCCTCCCGTTGCTGAGGTCTCACTCCCGCCTCCCGTTGCTGAGGTCTCACTCCCGCCTCCCGTTGGCGAGGTCTCACTCCCGCCTCCCGTTGGCGAGGTCTCACTCCCGCCTCTCCTTGGCGAGGTCTCCCTCCCGCCTCCCGTTGCTGAGGTCTCCCTCCCGCCTCCCGTTGCTGAGGTCTCCCTCCCGCCTCCCGTTGCTGAGGTCTCCCTCCCGCCTCCCGTTGCTGAGGTCTCCCTCCCGCCTCCCGTTGCTGAGGTCTCCCTCCCGCCTCCCGTTGGCGAGGTCTCACTCCCGCCTCCCGTTGGCGAGGTCTCACTCCCGCCTCCCGTTGGCGAGGTCTCACTCCCGCCTCCCGTTGGCGAGGTCTCACTCCCGCCTCCCGTTGGCGAGGTCTCACTCCCGCCTCCCGTTGGCGAGGTCTCACTCCCGCCTCCCGTTGGCGAGGTCTCACTCCCGCCTCCCGTTGGCGAGGTCTCACTCCCGCCTCCCGTTGGCGAGGTCTCCCTCCCGCCTCCCGTTGGCGAGGTCTCCCTCCCGCCTCCCGTTGGCGAGGTCTCCCTCCCGCCTCCCGTTGCTGAGGTCTCCCTCCCGCCTCCCGTTGCTGAGGTCTCCCTCCCGCCTCCCGTTGCTGAGGTCTCACTCCCGCCTCCCGTTGCTGAGGTCTCACTCCCGCCTCCCGTTGCTGAGGTCTCACTCCCGCCTCCCGTTGCTGAGGTCTCACTCCCGCCTCCCGTTGCTGAGGTCTCACTCCCGTCTCCCGTTGGTGAACCTTTGGTTGAAACGTGTTTGTTTCCGTGATCACACTCGAGGTCTCTCTCTCCGTCTGAAAGCTGTACCTTTGAGGCCTGAATATTCTGCTCTTTACAAGTCGGTCTTGGAGCCGCGGTCAGCTTTGCGCTCTGTGGATTTCATGCTGGACTTGGCTCTGCTCGACGGGAAAGCGTGGTGGGCCCCTAGGATGGGCCGTGCAGGGGCATCGGGGCCCCGGGGCTCTCCCAGACCCAGGCGTCCTCTCAGCTTTTCGGTCCCCACCGCATCCAGTCTCGGCTCCGGGGGGTGGTGACGTCGGGGCCGAGGCACGGTGCGGGCTGCCCATCAACCGCATTCCTTTCCAGCCCTTTCTACCAAGATGATAGACAGGATCTTCTCAGGAGCAGTCACACGGTACGTACGGCTCAGGCGCCTGACGGCAGCCATTGCCCCTGCGAGGACCCCGGTCCCTCTCCTCATCGTTGCCTGACGTGAGCTTTTTGTGCCCCGACAGCGAGTGGTTGTCACCCCAGGCCCTGGCGAGGGGGGCACGTGTCTCTGTCACGTGAATCCCTAGTGGGGGGGGGTGGCACAAGACTGTCACGCGAAGTCTGAGGAAGGGGGTGGCCCAGGCCCCAGGTCGGGGGTTCTTGTCGGGCGCTGGGCCTGAGTGAGCAGTAACGAAGGTGCACTCCTGACCCTGCCTGGATCTGGGGAAAACCCTCTGGCCACGGGGCCTCCACCTCCTCCCCGGAGAGGCAGGAGGAGGGGCAGGAGGGGGGCAGGAGGAGGGCCGGGCCCGGGGGGCTCCCCTCACCGAGGCGCGTGGACAGGGGCTCCGTTCCTGTGAAGCTCTCCCTGACATGCATCTTCGTCTCTCCATCCTGGCTTTCGATCTAGAGGCAGAAAAGTGCAGAAGGAAGGGAAGATCAGCTATGCCGACTTTGTCTGGTTTTTGATCTCTGAGGAAGACAAAAAAACACCGACCAGGTGGGTTCCTGCTGCGGCATGCGTTTGTCCCAGTGGAGGGGCCGGGAGCCGCCCATGTGACATGTGTCCCCAGGCGGATGCCTGCACGCCTGGTGGGGGCTGCACGGCACAGGGGGACATGTGCACGCCCGGTGGGGGCTGCACGGCACAGGGGGACATGTGCACGCCTGGTGGGGGCTGCACGGCACAGGGGGACGCGTGCGCGCCCGGTGGGGGCGGCAGGGGGCAGGGGATGCCTGCACGCCCGGTGGGGGCTGCAAGGCACAGCGGGGACGCGTGCACCCCCGGTGGGGGCTGCCTCAGGGGCTGCAGGTCACGGGCTGGGAGGGCCCAGGGCAGGGGCTGACAGAGCTCGCCGTGCCGCAGCATCGAGTACTGGTTCCGCTGCATGGACCTGGACGGGGACGGCGCCCTGTCCATGTTCGAGCTCGAGTACTTCTACGAGGAGCAGTGCCGAAGGCTGGACAGCATGGCCATCGAGGCCCTGCCCTTCCAGGACTGCCTCTGCCAGATGCTGGACCTGGTCAAGCCGAGGACTGAAGGTGATGCCCCGTGAGGGCATGGCCCAGGGTGAGGGGACGGACGGGCGAGAGGACGGCCCAGGGTGAGGGGACGGACGGGCGAGAGGACGGCCCAGGGAGAGGGGACGGATGACAGCCCAGGGAGAGGGGACGGACGGGAGGGAGGACGGCCCAGGGAGAGGGGACGGACGGGAGGGAGGACGGCCCAGGGTGAGGGGACGGACGGGAGGGGGGACGGCCCAGGGTGAGGGGACGGACGGGAGGGGGGACGGCCCAGGGTGAGGGGACGGACGGGAGGGGGGACGGCCCAGGGTGAGGGGACAGACGGGAGGGGGGACGGACCAGGGTGAGGGGACGTCCCTGTGAGGCGCTGTCCTACTGAGTTTGTGAGGAGGGCCAGCACCACAGGTGCCTAGTCTCACAGTGCAAGAACCTCCTATTCGGGGCGTCGACACCCCCCGAGGGGTGACCTAGAGAACCTAGGGCCGGAGCTCACCGGGGACGTTGGCACTGGGCTGAGGGAGCAGTTGCCACGTTCGTGCTGATGCCGCACAAGGCGGTCCTCCCCTCACCCCCCCCCCCCCCGTCTCCTCCCCTCTCACCCCGCCCCCCCCGTCTCCTCCCTTCTCACCCCCCCCGGCTCCTCCCCCCCTCTCGCCCCCCCCATCTCCTCCCCTCTCACCCCCCCCATCTCCTCCCCTCTCACCCCCCCATCTCCTCCCCTCTCACCCCCCCCATCTCCTCCCCTCTCACCCCCCCCATCTCCTCCCCTCTCACCCCCCCCATCTCCTCCCCTCTCACCCCCCCGGCTCCTCCCCTCTCACCCCCCCGGCTCCTCCCCTCTCACCCCCCCGGCTCCTCCCCTCTCACCCCCCCCAGCTCCTCCCCTCTCACCCCCCCCCGGCTCCTCCCCTCTCACCCCCCCCCGGCTCCTCCCCTCTCACCCCCCCCCGGCTCCTCCCCTCTCACCCCCTCCGGCTCCTCCCTTCTCACCCCCCCCGGCTCCTCCCCTCTCACCCCCCCCGGCTCCTCCCCTCTCACCCCCCCCGGCTCCTCCCCTCTCACCCCCCCCCCGGCTCCTCCCCTCTCACCCCCCCCCGGCTCCTCCCCTCTCACCCCCCCCCGGCTCCTCCCCTCTCACCCCCCCGGCTCCTCCCCTCTCACCCCCCCGGCTCCTCCCCTCTCATCCCCCCCCGGCTCCTCCCCTCTCACCCCCCCCGGCTCCTCCCCTCTCACCCCCCCCCGGCTCCTCCCCTCTCACCCCCCCCGGCTCCTCCCCTCTCACCCCCCCGGCTCCTCCCCTCTCACCCCCCCCCGGCTCCTCCCCTCACCCCTGTTCCCCCCACACCATCTCCCCAGCTCCTCCCACCCACCCCCGTGCCCTCTAAGGCAAAGGGGAGCCCCACCGTCCACGCCGCCTGGCTTCCTTCTGCATCTCAGAATCCAGCTCTGGGACTTTCACTTTGGAAATGGCTCTGAGGCCCGGGCACCGCCCTGCAGCCCTGCCCCCCCCGGCCATGGGGCGCCTCCTGCTGCTCAGTGTCCCCGGGACACCCTCTGGCCTCTGCCTGCACGGGGAGCTCCGTTCTCTGTAATTTCAGATCCAGCAGCGCCCCTGCTGGCCGCGCCTCCCTGCGCTAGTCCCAGTCCACGCATCCTTGGGGCACCGGTGGCCCCTAGTCGCCTCCGCATCACGGCCTCCCACGCCTCAGTCCCCACCCAGAACCAGGACACTCGCGTGTCCGCCTTTCACGTCAAACACGTGGCGTGAGAGCCCGGAGCTTCGTGCCGCGTCCTTAAGCACGTGTGACAGGACGCGCGCACCCCACACCCAGGCCCCGAAGGTGAGACCGGGCTCACGCGCCTTGGACGCACTCCCCTCCCCGCAGGGAAGATCACGCTGCAGGACCTGAAGCGCTGCAAGCTGGCTAACGTCTTCTTCGACACCTTCTTCAACATCGAGAAGTACCTCGACCACGAGCAGAAAGAGCAGATCTCCCTGCTCAGGGTGAGTGCGGCGGGCACGCGGGCCGGGCCGCGCCACGCCGTGTACGTAACCCGTGTGCTTCCTCCAGGACGGTGACAGCGGCGGCCCCGAGCTCTCGGACTGGGAGAAGTACGCGGCCGAGGAGTACGACATCCTGGTGGCCGAGGAGACTGCGGGAGAGCCCTGGGAGGACGGGTGAGTGGGGAGGACGGGTGAGTGGGGGGACGGGTCAGTGGGAGGACGGGTGAGTGGGGAGGACGGGTGAGTGGGAGGACGGGTGTGTGTGCAGCCGGGGGATGCGGGGTCAGTCAGGTGGGGTGCGCGGACACAGAGGGGCGGGGTGAGACCTGACACGGGGCCGGTGAGGTAAGGACAGCCGATGACAGGGCCGGGCCTCGGTGCAGTCTGCCCGTCATTCCCCGCGTGGGGTTCTGTGATCCTGGGCGCGAGGCTTCGCACATCAGGCCCAGCACGGGGAGGCCGAGTCGTGTTTCGCCAACGACGTCTGTCCTTATCCCACGGCTGGCACCTGCTGGGCAGGCTGCAGGGCCCGTGGCCATTCCAGCCTCCGCTTCGGCCTTCCAGCCTTGGAGGCCCTGAGAGGCCCTGGGCTGGTTGCTTTCTCACGGAGCGTGAGGGTTCTTCGTGTCTTCAGCATACAAACCCTTTATTTGCGACGTGTTCGCCTTTTTCCCAGTTTGTGACGTATGTTTTCACCCCCTCTTCACGTGGTGTCTCAGAGATGTTCTGAATTTGGAGGAGGAGACACTGACTGGTTATTTTTACAGCGGTGTTTCTGGTGTCATATCTAAGAATTCATTTCTGAATCCAAAGCCACGAAGATTTTCCTCTGCGATGTTTTGTGTTTTGGTCTGGGGTCCTCTTGAGTAACCTTCCCTGTGGGGTGTGAAGCTCGGATTGAGGTTCCCCTTGTGGTACGTGGGTGTCCGGGTGTCCGACTGTCCCAGCATCAGCTTTGCAGGCCGCAGCGTTGCCTCGGCGTCGTGACTGTGCCGTGTGCGGGCTCCGTTCCGGAACCTTCCTCCGTCCCACTGCTGCACGCGTCTGTCCGTTCCCGCGGCAGAGCTGGCTGTGGTGAGAAGCCTCCGACTTGGGCGCCGTGTGGAACTGTCGGGGCCATTCTGGTGTTGGGCTGCCTGTGTGTGAATCTTAGACTCAGCCCGTCCTTGCTCTGCCGTCCTGTGGGAACGTGTGTTGGACTCTGACGTGGTGGTGAGTGCTGGTCCCGGGACCACGTGGACTGTGGCCCCCACCGGCCTCCCGTGGTGCACGCTGGAGCGACGTGGTCACTTTTGCCATCCCGTGCTGAGCTTCTCAGTTCTGCTTCTGTCCCGCGCTACGTTGGCTATTCTGGTTTCTTTGCCTTTGTATGAAAACACATAAGAATAGGCTCCTTCTGGCCGGGCGCGGTGGCTCACGCCTGTCATCCCAGCACTTTGGGAGGCTGAGGAGGGCGGATCACGAGGTCAGGAGATCGAGACCATCCTGGCCAACATGGTGAAACCCCGTCTCTACTAAACAAAAAAAAAATTAGCCAGGCGTGGTGGCGGGCGCCTGTAGTCCCAGCTACTCGGGAGGCTGAGGCAAGAGAATGGCGTGAATCTGGGAGGCGGAGCTTGCAGTGAGCCGAGATCGCGCCACCACACTCCAGCCTGGGTGACAGAGCGAGACTCCGTCTCCAAAAAAAAAAAGCCAGGGATGGTGGCACACGTCTGTAATCCCAGCTACTCGGGAGGTGCAGGTTGCAGTGAGCCAAGATCGCGCCACTGCACTCCAGCCCGGGCAACGAGAGCAAAACTCCATTTCCAAAACAAAAACAAACAATCTGAACTTTTGAGTGAGATCTCGCTGAGTGAATGGATCCCTGTGGGCCCAGCTGCCGCCTTCATAACCGCAGGAGGCCCAGTCCATGGGCGCCGTCCGTGTCTCTCGGCAGGATTTTTGTAGCTTTCCGTGTACGCTTGATGCGAATGTTGTGAGACTTCTGAGTGTTTCCTGATGTTTTCCTGTTGTCAGCGGTGCTTTTAAGGTTCCCGTTTCCAGTTGTTCGTTGGTAGCATATAGAATTTATTGACCTTGTGTTTTGCACCTTCATGAAACTCACTTACTGGATCTCAAAGCTCTGTCGGTTCTTTGGGGTTTTCTGCGTGGACAGCCCATGTCTGTCAGTGGGTCCGTCTCTCGTCTTCCTTTTCACCTCTCTGTGTACGTTACTTCCTTTCTCTTGCCTGCTGCATGGCCTGGAACCCGCAGGGAGATGTGGTGGATGTCAGGGCAGACCACGGCCAGCCTTGAGTGAGCCCTGCTGGTTTGTGTGCCGTCCTCGTTCCCAGTCCTGGGGGACGTCTCCCCTCACGCAGCGGTAAGCACGCTCATTGGCGAGGATGTTCTCCCTCTTCCTGGTCTGCGGGGGCTTTCTCGCAGTGGGGGCCGAATTTCTCAGATGCTTTCGCTCCGTGGTTCCTCTGTGTGTCCATACAGCGAGTTACACCGAGTCATTTTCAGCCAGCCTCGTGTTCCCAGGATAGATCTTGCCGAGTCATGTGTTATCCTCACATATTACTGGATTCTCTTTGCAGAGATTATCTGTAGTATTTTATTATTTTTTTGGAGACAGGGTCTGGCTGTGTCACGCAGGCTGGAGGGCATTGGCGCAATCTCAGCTCACTGCACCCTCCACCTGCTGGGCTTAAGGAATCCTCGCACCTGAGCCCCCCGAGTAGCTGGGCTTCCAGGCACGCACCACCACACCCGGCTACTTTTTTGTATTTTTTTGTAGAGATGGGGTTTCACCGTGTTGCCCAGGTTGGTCTTGGATGCCTGAGCTCGAGGGTTCTCCCCGCCTCGGTCCCCCAACGTGCCGGAATTACAGGTGTGAGCCCCTGCCCAGCCTTGAGTGAGCTTTGCTGGTTTGTGTGTTTCGGAAACTTGCCCGTTCCCATCAGTGGGTTATTGTTGGTATTTCCTGCTCGTGACTCTGATGTCTGCAGAATCCAGTGATAGCGTCTCTCACGCTCCTGATACTGACTTTGTGTGTGATCAGTGAGGCGAGGGGCCGACGAGGTTCACTCCTCTTCCCAGGGAACCACGGGTGTTTCTCCCCTTTGTTCTGCTGTTTTCCTTGAGTATCTTCAGGCAGCGACGTGGGCCATGGACACCGCAGCCCGCGGCCTTCTGATTTTGGTGCAGCTCAAAATACTTTCTGGTTACCGTTGGGTTCCCGACCCATGGGTTCCATGGACGTGCATTTTAACCCCTGCTCCCCCATCAGCCGCCCCGTCCGATTCCTGCCAAGCAGCACAGGGCCCCTGCGGCCCACCCTGGGCCGTCTGTCCTGTGTGTCCGTCCTCCTCGTGGTCATTGTTTGCACGGTGGCTCTGACCTGGCAGCCAACCTCTGGGTCCCCACAACTTCCCAGTCTCTGCCTTCTCCTGTCGGACACCCTAAGGCAGCTGTGGCCCCCAGACCTAGCCTGGATGGGTGTGCGCCTGTCCCCACCACCGTCTGTCACCTCTGCTCCCCACCTGACCAGTGTCCACCCCCACGGCTGCCCGGCTTTGTGTCTGCGGCACAGCCAGCAGCACGCTGGGGTCGACTGCCTTCACCGTGTCCACGCCTGCTCCGGCAGTGGGAGCTCAGGTCCGTGGGGGTGACCGCGGGGAGCTCAGTGCCAGGCTGTCGGGGGCGTCTTGGAAAGCAGAGGTGTCCCCACAGGATCTCTGAGAGTCTGTGTGGTCCGTGGCCGCGCTGGGTTCCCCGGAGCAGCGCCCGACGTCACTGCCGAGACCTTAAGGGAAGGCGCGCGTCCAGTCCTCGCACTGCTGCGTGTTCTGGTCAGAACGGAAGTGGTAGCCTCCACTGGGAGCTTCTGTGCTTTGGGAGAATGTGTCTAAACTGTGGTCCTGTTTGTTCTCCAGTCCTGTGTGGACACCACGACCCAGTTGTAAACACAGGTCCCGTGCAGCTCGCTTTGGGGAAGAGGCGCGCCCGCCCAGGTCCTCTGTGTGTAGCTCACGCCCGGGGCTCCGTCCCGTCCTGGGTGGGTTTTCACCTGCACCGCAGGCCCCTCCCCCGGGAGCATTCGTGGAGCCGGCGTCCTCAGCCAGGAGCGCGTTGCTGGCTCAGCGGCTGGAGCTCAAGGTCGGCTCAGGGGACTGTCTCGTGCTGGAGGTTGGCGGCCGAGCAGCCTGTGTTTCCCGGAAAACGGCCCAGGGCCTGCTCCGCGCTGCTGGCCACGTCTTCGCCATCCCCTCGTTGCAGGTTCGAGGCCGAGCTCAGCCCTGTGGAGCAGAAGCTGAGTGCGCTGCGCTCCCCGCTGGCCCAGAGGCCCTTCTTCGAGGCGCCCTCACCGCTGGGCGCCGTGGACCTGTACGAGTACGCATGCGGGGACGAGGACCTGGAGCCGCTGTGACGCCGCCCGCGAGAACGCCGCCGCGGGGCCGCTCCCCACGTGCCACCACCGGGCCACCGCGGCTCGTGTAAAAACTGTTGTGGAAAATGAGTGCGTTTGTACGGAATGATAAACTTTTATTTATTCACAGAAGCGTGTTGATTGCCGCTGTGGGTTCGTGGCTGGACCTGCCCAGAGCTCTGTGCCAGGGGGACACGTAGGGCCGCGCGTGAATGGGACGGGTTCCCACACGGACACCCTCTGGCGCTTGCCGTTCCCGACCCAGCCTGGGTTCCGGGGCCTGCGTCTGTGGAAAGGGTCCGTGTGCGCACAACGGTGACCGGCGGCTCCCGGGCGCCTCAGTCCTGGACAGGAGCCTCCACCACAGGCTGTGTGAATGTTTTGTGTAAACGTACAAAACCGTTTCTGGCGATCACGCTTGTACGTTTGGAGGATTTTCAGTCACGGGCTCGGCTCCCTCAGCCACAGCGTGGCTCCGTCCAGGATTTACAAGCGTCAGTGCTGGAGGGGGACCGCAGCCACGCCAGACGCCTCGGGGTGCAGCCTGGGCCTCTCTGCGGGGCCCCTCCCCAGCCAGGGGGACCCCACCCTCGGGGCCGTTCCCTCCCGGAGCCACGGACCCAGGCCCCGTTCCACAAACGACCCCAGAAGGAAGGAGCCCGCGCCAGAGTGGGGACGTCCACAGCTGGGGGACACCTAAATGAGGGGGGTCGGAGGCCCCACCAGGAGGAGCTCCCTGTGCAGGGGAGGCCACAAGCACCCCAGGGGCACCCGACGTGGATGAGCCCAGGCCCAGCTGTGCTCCCTCTGCACGCAGGTGAGGGTCACAGGTGGTGACCATGGGAACAACCCCGTCCTCACACACGACAAAACTCTCCCCCAGGAAACGGAGGTGGCAGCGTCCACGCGGCAGGGCAGGGCCAAGCCGGGACCACCCCGAGAGCAGCATACGCACCCCGTTCATCCACCGGCAGCCGTCGCTGTGAAGGAGGCGGACGCACAGGGTGGTCCCGTGACCCCTGAGGAGAGACTGCGGGGGCTCCAGGTGGTGGGTAGACGAGGCAGCACCTCCCGGGGGAATGCTGCTGTCCCCAAGGTGTCCTCAGTGTCACCAGGTGCTCCCCTGAATTCCCGGATGCCCCCACCTGGGTCTGCGAAGGGTCAGGACCCCCAACAACAGGACAGGTGCAGGGCAGGAGGTTCTGCCGCAGGGAAATGACACTGGGAGCCACGGCCCGCAGGGCCCACCCTGCCCTCAGCTCCGGGGAGCCCGTCTGGGAGACCATGTCCGCCCCACACCACCTCCGGACACCACCCCCCAACACACACACACCTATGAGCCGGAGCCCATGGTCATGGGAGGGCTCTGACCAGCGCCCTCAGCCTCCCCACACTGACACTGGGAGCCCCCCCAATTAGGGTTCAAGGCTGAGACATGAGAGGCCTCCCTGGGGCCGTGAAAGACAGCGTCCCCCACCCACGACGCTGGTGAGGCCCCTGCACAGCCACTGAGCATCCTCCGACATCCCTGTACCCAATGCATTCCCCCAAGTGCCCCGTCCTTCCCCAGCCACAACCCCAGATGCCCCGGGCAGTGCCGGGGCCGGGCGTGCACACCGACACCTTTGCCGGAGAAGTGGGGGGGTCCTGTCGGGGGTCCTCGTGGACGGCGGCGCTGCGGGGAGACCCAGAGCCCAGCAGTCATGCCCTCCACGTGTTCTGGGGGTCCATTCCCCCGAGGGCTCACGTGTGCAGGGGGCCAGGGACCCCACAAAACAAGCACTCGGGGCACCCTGACCGTGGCCAGCGTCCCGCCAGAAGCCAGGATGTTCCAGGGCTCAGCGCCTCACCCTCTGAATGACAATCGTGGGTCCCCCGCACTTCGTGGCCGTCACCCCTTGGAGATCCCCGAGCAGGGACCCGACCCAGCCCACCCCTCCCCTCCCTCACGGGGTGCCTTCGTGTCAGAACCAAGAGTGTTCACAGGGGCAGCCCCGGGTCCACCCAGGAGCAGCAGCATGAGCTCTGTTCCGGGAGGACCATGAAAGGTGCCAGCCACAGCCCTGAGGTCCCGGGGCACCTCCTCACGGGACAAGACACAGCTGCTCAAGGCGCAGCAGGGGTGACCGCCGGCACCAGACCGGCATCCACAGCGCTGTCCTGAGGGGCGGCAGGGACAGTGATGGCAAGACGGGCTACCCAGAATAAGGGGACCCAGCCTGGTGGGGGGGACGGGGCCCGGAGAGCCATGAGACGGGGGAGACAGAGGAGATGGAGAGGGGGAGATGGGGGAGAACTGGGGGGCCTCAGATACAGGGGATGAGGCAAAGCCGGACCCAGCCATGGCCTGCAGCCCTGAGGTCCCGGGGCGCCTCCTCGTGGGACAGGACACAGCTCCTCGAGGTGGAGCCGAGGTGACGGGGAGCAGAGGTGACGGGCACCACAGGTTCCCAGCACTGGCACCAGACCGGCACCGAGAGCCCCGCCCAGAACAAGGGGGGACCCAGCCTGCGGAGGGACGGGGTCTGGACAGCCACGAGACGGAGGAGACGGAGAAGGGAGAGATGGAGGAAATGGAGACGGGCAAGACGGAGGGGAGGGAGGAGATGGAGAAAGGGGAGTTGGGGGAGAACGGGCGGGCATCAGATGCAGGAATGAGGCAGAGCCAGACCCAGCCGCGCTCAGCAGTTCCTAGAGAAGACACGGCTCCCGGGGGAGCGGGAGGCCTTTATGACTCAGAGCCGGGGAAGGAGCAGAGGCCGGAGGTCGTCCCCAGCACGGTGCCCACGGGCCGCCCTGCCCAGGCCGAGGGGTCGGACCCCACACGGCACAGAAGCCCCGTCTGCCGCAGCCCCGAGACACACATCCTGTGGCTGACAGCGGTGCGGCCCCTGGGCCGGCGCAGACCCCACGTGGCACAGACGGCCCCGCTGGGTCTCAAGCCTGCAGACAAGGCCACGCACCCGGCAAGACGCTGCTGCGTGGCTACAGCAGAGGGGCCTCGAACCACGTTCCCCATGACCCACGGGCAGACCCTGGCACAGCAGGGATCCCTGCGCCCTGGCGCCGTGTAGAAGTCACAGCTCCCCCAGCCTTGGCTGCCGCACACGCCACTCAGAGCCTGGGGAGCAGCCGTTCGGGTCTCGGTGAAACAGCGGCCCCAGGACGTGTCTGCGCAGCTCCTAGGCGGGGGCTGCCCCGGGTCTTCCGCACGGGGGCCTGGCCGTCGGCTGCAGCCTCCCCCGGCCCCGTGTCCTCACCATGGCGTAGCTGTCTCCACCCCGGTATCAGCTCCCGCAGCAGCCCCGGCCGCCACGAGTGGGTCCTGACCACAAGGAGGGGGGTCCTGACCACAAGGCGGGGGGTCCTGCCCGCCTCTGCCCCAGAGAACAGCCCCTCTGCGGGGACAGGGCCACCCCATCTCCCTAGCGCGGCGCTGCCTGACCTCACGGAGCAGCCATGGGGGGGACGAGGCCCCGTCGGGGGGGACGACCCCAGTGGTGCAGGGATAGGAGGTCCCGCTTGGACAAGCCCCCCACAGGCCTCCCCACAACAGGGCTTCTAGGCCCCGTCTCTCAGCCCCCAACACACAGGCCCTTGCCCCGCAACCAGGACGGGCCTGAGCGGTACCTACGGCCGACAGCCCACAGGTGCGACCACAGGGGGACGCGACCACAGGGGGACGCGACCACAGGGGGACGCGACAGCCCCTCCCCCAGGTCACAGAGGCCCCCGAGCCCCCATCCTCCTCGCCAGGGCCTCGGCCCCCAGGCACTCACACAAACCTTGCAGGAGACTCAGAGAAGTGGGGCTTAGGGAGGCAGCCCCCTAGCTATAGCGATTCCAGAAAGGCAGACTCTATGCTGTGCCTGTTTTCTGTTTGTCGCCCAGGCTGGACTGCCATGGTGCGATCTCGGCTCACTGCAGCCTCTGCCTTCTGGGTTCAAGCGATTCTCCTGCCTCAGCCTCCCGCGTAGCTGGGATCACAGGCGCCCGCCACCACCACGCCCGGCTAATTTTTGTATTTTCAGTTGAGACGGGGTTTCTCCATGTTGGCCAGGATGGTCTCAAACAACTGACCTCAAGTGATCCACCCGCCTCGGCCTCCCAAAATGCTGGGATGACAGGTGTGAGCCACCGCGCCCGGCCTTTTTTTAATAGAAAACTGGGGTCCCACCAGGCACAGGGGCTCACGCCTGTCATCCCAGCACTTTGGGAGGCCGAGGCAGGCGGATCACGAGGTCAGGAGTTAGAGACCAGCCTGGCCAACATGGTGAAACCCCGTCTCTACTAAAAATACAAAAAATTAGCCGGGCGTGGTGGCGGGCGCCTGTGATCCCAGCTACTCGGGAGGCTGAGGCAGGAGAATGGCATGAACCCGGGAGGCGGAGCTTGCAGGGAGCCGAGATCACACCACTGCACTCCAGGCTGGGCGACAGAGCGAGACTCCGTCTCAAAAAATAAATAAATGTACCATGGAAACCTGCCCCGTCCTCACCTCACCCAATGTCAGAGTCAGGGACACAGGGCATAGCCCACAGGGTAGGATGACAGGATGTCCACCCAGGCCCTGACCCTCCTGACCGCCCCTCATCCAGGGGTACCCCGACCTTTTAGGACTATGACGTGCCCTGAACACCGGGGATGTGGGGTGCCCCAATCCTTTAGGACTACGGGGTACTCTAAACATGACAGCCATGGGGTGCCCTGACCCTTTAGGACTATAGGGTGCCCAGAACATGACGGCCGGAGGGTACCCCAACCTTTTAGGGCTGCGGGACACACTTCTTAAGACTACAGCTCGGCCTACAGGAGTCCAGGGGACGCCAGGCCTATGTGGGGAGGGGGCAGAGGCAGAAAAGCGATGGGGGAGGTGCGGGGCATCGGCTGTCCCTGCCCTGAAGGGACGGATGGGGCCGCCAGGTAGGCGTGCGGCCAGGACCACCCAAGGACTCAAGGGAGAGATGGGACGGGGAGAGGGGGAGGGGGGGACGGGGAGAGGGGGAGGGGGGGACGGGGAGAGGGGGAGGGGGGGACGGGGAGAGGGGGAGGGGGGGACGGGGAGAGGGGGAGGGGGGGACGGGGAGAGGGGGAGGGGGGGACGGGGAGAGGGGGAGGGGGGGACGGGGAGAGGGGGAGGGGGGGACGGGGAGAGGGGGAGGGGGGGACGGGGAGAGGGGGAGGGGGGACGGGGAGAGGGGGGACGGGGAGAGAGGGAGGGGGGACGGGGAGAGTAGGGGGGACGGGGAGAGGAGGGGGGACGGGGAGAGAGGAGGGGGGACGGGGAGAGAGGAGGGGGGACGGGGAGAGAGGAGAGGGGGACGGGGAGAGAGGAGAGGGGGACGGGGAGAGAGGGAGGGGGGCGGGGAGAGAGGGAGGGGGGCGGGGAGAGAGGAGAGGGGAGGGGGAGGGGGGAGGGGGAGAGAGGAGGAGGAGGGGGAGGGGGAGAGAGGGGGGGAGGGGGAGAGAGGAGGGGGAGGGGGGAGAGAGGAGGGGGAGGGGGGAGGGGAGAGGTGGGGCGGAGAGGGGAGGGGGGCAGGGAGGGGGGGCAGGGAGAGGGGAGGGCAGGGAGAGGGGAGGGGGGCGGGGAGGGGGGAGGGGGAGAGGGGAGGGGGGCGGGGAGGGGGGAGGGGGAGAGGGGAGGGGGACGGGGAGGGGGGGCGGGGAGAGGGGAGGGGGGATGGGGGGGCGGGGAGAGGGGAGGGGGGACGGGGAGAGAGGGAGGGGGGACGGGGAGAGAGGGAGGGGGGACGGGGAGAGGGGAGGGGGGACGGGGAGAGGGGAGGGGGGACGGGGAGAGGGGAGGGGGGACGGGGGGGCGGGGAGAGGGGAGGGGGGACGGGGAGAGAGGGAGGGGGGACGGGGAGAGAGGGAGGGGGGACGGGGAGAGAGGGAGGGGGGACGGGGAGAGAGGGAGGGGGGACGGGGAGAGGGGAGGGGGGACGGGGAGAGGGGAGGGGGGACGGGGAGAGGGGAGGGGGGACGGGGGGGCGGGGAGAGGGGAGGGGGGACGGGGAGAGAGGGAGGGGGGACGGGGAGAGAGGGAGGGGGGACGGGGAGAGGGGAGGGGGACGGGGAGAGGGGAGGGGGGCGGGGAGAGGGGAGGGGGGGCGGGGAGAGGGGAGGGGGGGCAGGGAGAGAGGAGGGGAACAGGATGGGGGGGCGGGGACAGGTGCCGGAACCAGGGTCACACGTGGAAGGCCAGGACCCTGGGTCAGGGCGGGGTGGGAAGACCCGGGGTCACACGTGGGGCGGCCTCCTGACTGCAGCGTGGCCTTCAGTCGCGCTGTCACCAGCCTGTGGGACCCCTGGGGTGCAGAGAGGGAGCCAAGCCTCGGGGGCCCAGCCCGGATGCCGCCGACTCCCACCCGCCAGCCTCGCCGAGAGCCCACTGACGTGATCACTCCACAGAGATCCCATCCCGGGGTTCCGGGGCCCGTGCAGGAGAAACGCAGGTGCAGGGCCTCGTGCCCACACCGCCGGCATCTGTGCTCCACAACCAAACTCCTAGAGCCGTCATCATCCCTGGGCTGCAGCGCTGGCCGGCGACGACTCCCCGACCACCTCGCTGGGGTCACATGTCCCCGTGGGTAGAAAATCCAGTGACGGATGTAGACAAAGAGCCCTCTGCACGCCTGGAAGCCCAGCGCCTTCGGAGGCCGAGGTGGGGGGATCACCTGAGCTCAGGAGTTTGAGACCAGCCTGGGCAACGTGGCAAAACCTCGTCTCTAGGAAAAATTTAACAATCAGACGGACACGGTGGTGCGCACCTGTGATCCCAGCTACTCGGGAGGCTGAGGCAGGAGAATGGCTTGAACCCGGGAGGCAGAGGTTGCAGTGAGCCGAGATCGCCCCATTGCACTCCAGCCTGGGGGACAGAGCAAGACCCTGTTTCAAAAAAAAACCATTTAGCCATTTGCATGATGAGGACCAAGAGAATAAAAATGAAATCTCAGCAACTCACTCTCCAATTCCTGTAGGAAAATGAAATGAGAAACATACGCATGTAAAGTATTTAGTATTTCCTGCAGTTTAAGAAATAGAATCCGGGGCCGGGGCACGGTGGCTCACGCCTGTCATCCCAGCACTTTGGGAGGCCGAGGTGGGTGGATCACCTGAGGTCAGGAGTTCGAGACCAGCCTGGCCAACATGGTGAAATCCCGTCTCTACTAAAACTACAAATACTAGCTGGGTAGTGGTGGAGCATGCCTGTAATTCTAGCTTCTCAGGAGGCTGAGGCAGTAGAATCACTTGAACCTGGGAGGCGGAGGTTGCAGTGAGCCAAGATCGTGCCATTGCACTCCAGCCTGGGTGACAGAACAAGACTTCGTCTCAAAAAAAATAAATAAAAACAATGCTCATCTTTGTACGATCTAATTGTCAGTCATTTTTATTTCCTTCTGCGTTTGCTTTCAGGAGAACTTACCACCATTTTCCTGGCCACCGTCTTCCAAAACAGACGACGGCTTCACCATATCATGAAGAGATTTTCCTCTAACACACGAGAAAAACAAACTTGCAAACTGGTTATAAAACAGCCACCCCCTTGGCCGGGTGTGGTGGCGGACGCCTGTAATCCCAGCTACTCAGGAGACTGAGGCAGGAGAATAGCTTGAACCCGGGAGGCGGAGGTTGCAGTGAGCCAAGGTTGTGCCATTGCACTCCGGCCTGGGCAACAAGAGCAAAACTCCGTCTCAAAAAAACAAAACAAAACAAAACAAAAAACAAACTTGCAAACCTATTATAAAACAGCAACCCCCTGGCTGGGCACGGGGGCTCACGCCTGTAATCCCAGCACTTTGGGAGGCCGAGGCGGGTGGATCACCTGAGTTCGGGAGTTTGAGACCAGCCTGGCCAGCACGGAAAAACCCCTATCTCTACTAAAAATACAAAATTAACCAGGCATGGTGGCAGGTGCCTATAATCCCAGCTACTCGAGAGGCTGAGGCAGGAGAATCCCTTGAACCCCGGAGGCAGAGGCTGCAGTGAGCCGAGATCTTGCCATTGCACTCCAGCCTGGGGAACAAGAGCAAAACTCCACCTCAAAAAAAAAGAAAAACAAAAACAAAAACAAACTTGCAAACCTGTTATAAAACAGCCACCCCCTTGGCCTGACGTCGTGCCTCACGCCTGTAATCCCAGCACTTTGGGAGGCTGAGGCAGGCGGATCCCTTGAGCTCAGGATTTTGAGACCAGCCTGGCCAACGTGGTAAAACGCTGTCTCTACCAAAAATACAAAAGTTAGCCAGGTGTGGTGGTGCATGTTTGTAATCCAAGCTAGCTGGAGGGCTGGGGCAGAAGGATCACTTGAACCTGGAAGGCAGAGTTTGCAGTGAGCCGAGATCGCGCCACTACACTCCAGCCTGGGCGAGCGAGCGACACTCTGTCTCAAAAAAACAGACAACGGTCACTCCCAACCAACTCACATTAAACCCTTCTCTCAAGGGCTATGGATAAACAGTTTGAATTTTAAGAACACAAGCTGCCATGAGACATTTTAAATGTTTTTGTCAGCAAAGGGCAGAAAGTTATAAAACTCAATGACAGGAAATTGCAAACATATAAGATTATAGTAGGTAAAATATCAACCCAATCTTTTTTTTTTTTTTTTGAGACAGAGTCTGGCTCTGTCACCCAGGCTGGAGTGCAGTGCTGCAATCTCAGCTCACTGCAAGCTCCGCCTCCTGGGTTCACGCCATTCTCCCGCCTCAGCCTCCTGAGCAGCTGGGACTACAGGCACCTTCCACCACACCCAGCTAATTTTTTGTATTTTTAGTAGAGACGGGGTTTCACCGAATTAGCCAGGATGGTCTCGATCTCCTGACCTCGTGATCCACCCACCTCAGCCTCCCAAAGTGCTGGGATGACAGGCGTGAGCCACCGTGCCCGGTTTTTTTTTTTTTTTAAACACTTGTGAAGGTGCACAGGTAAATGATCAGATTTTTTTTTTTTTAAGATGGAGCCTCGCCCTGTCACCCAGGCTGGAGTACAGCAGCATGGTCTCAGCTCACTGCAACCTCTGCCTCCCGGGTTCAAGCAATTCTCCCACCTCAGCCTCCAGAGCAGCTGGGATTACAGGCACCTGCCACAACGCCCCGCTAATTTTTTGTATTTTTAGTAGAGACAGGTTCTCACTATGTTGGCCAGGTTGGTCTCGAACTCCTGACCTCAGGTGATCCACCTACCTCGGCCTCCCAAAGTGCTGGGATGACAGGCATGAGCCACCGTGCCCAGCGTAGATTTATTGGATTCTAAAATGCACAATTCTCTGTGTCTGGGTGTTTCTGAAACCAAGGTCATCTCACCATCCACAGGAATCTTTAATAGCTTTTTCCCCCCAACAGTTATTACCATCCATGGTATATGAAAGTCAAGAAAACAGGAAACTCTCAAAACCAAGTTCCGAAAGCCCTGGTGCTTCTGCTAAGCTGGCTGCGGCCTCCTGTGTGTTTCGAATACCAGCCACACTGTGGCAGCCGCATCTCACCAGGCAGGCCTCCATAACGGCTTCAGTACCGACTGAGTGGCAAAGTTACATATAAAAACCTGAAAGAGGCCGGGCGCGGTGGCTCACGCCTGTCATCCCAGCACTTTGGGAGGCCGAGGTGGGCGGATCACCTGAGGTCGGGAGTTCAAGACCAGCCTGACCAACATGGAGAAACCCCGTCTCTACTAAAAATACAGAATTTAGCCAGGCATGGTGGCAGCTGCCTGTAATCCCAGCTACTCGGGAGGCTGAGGCAGGAGAATCACTTGAACCCGGGAACCCGGGAGGCAGAGGTTTCCGTGAGCTGAGATCATACCACTACAGTCCAGCCTGGGTGACAGAGCGAGACTCTGTTTCAAAAAAAAAAAAAAGAAAAGAAAAAAAAATTGTTACAGAGAAGAGGGTCTCGCTATGCTGGCCAGGCTGGTCTCGAACCCCTGAGCTGAGGCAACCCTCCTGCGCTGGTATCCCACAGTGCTGGGATGACAGGCCTGAGCCACCGCCCCCGGCCATCTATGGCTTTTTATCTCCAACGTGAGGCAAGGAAGAGGCACAGCTCAGGAGCGAGCTGAGTCGACGGCAGATGGCGCCCAGGTCCCGAGCCAGCTGTGTCTGCAATGCGGCCACCTGCACGTCCCCTCTCATCCCAGAGCTCACCCTCCGGAGCCATCATCCCCCCAACACGCAGGGCTCACCCTCCAAAGGGCCCCTGGCGGGGTCAGGGCCTGCGTGGTGGTCCGTGGACTCGCTTACCGACCCTCCTTCTGCGCGGCCTCCTGAAGCCCTTGGATGGCTTGGAGGGCACGGGGACCAGGTACTAAAGGATAATCATGGCTACACACACGTCCCTGAGCTCACCACCTGAGGACGCCCTCATTCCGTCTCTATGAACAGGGCAGACGGAACCCAGGAGCCCAGGAGATTGATGGTTACACACACACACACACACACACACAACGTCCCTGAGCTCACCACCTGGGGACGCCCTCATTCCATCCCTATGAACAGGGCAGACGGAACCCAGGAGCCCAGGAGATTGATGGTTACACACACACACACACACACACACGTCCCTGAGCTCACCACCTGGGGACGCCCTCATTCTGTCTCTATGAACAGGGCAGACGGAACCCAGGAGCCCAGGAGATTGACGGCTACACACACACACACACACACACACACACACACACACACACACAACGTCCCTGAGCTCACCACCTGGGGACGCCCTCATTCTGTCTCTATGAACAGGGCAGACGGAACCCAGGAGCCCAGGAGATTGACGGCTACACACACACACACACACACACACACACACACACACACACACACGTCCCTGAGCTCACCACCTGGGGACGCCCTCATTCCGTCTCTCAGTCTATTAACAGGGAATACTGAGCCTGGGAGACTGTCGGCTACACACACACACCCAAGCTCACCACCTGGGGACACCCAATGCTCCTCCCCCAGCACCTTCGAAGCTCTCATTCCGTCTCTCAGTCTATTAACAGGGAAGACGGAGCCCGGGAGAGGCCTCGTCCCGCGCTGCCCCGGCGAATCTGGGTCCCGATTCTGAGTTCAGTGGTGTTAGAAATAATAGGGTATGTGCCCCCTTCAGGGTGAATATAGCTAACCCCATTTACCCAGGCTGTGCACGTCACAATTCCACTCGTGGTGTAGCTGGGACCACAGGCACCCACACACCACACCCGGCTAATTTTTAAATTTTTTTTTTGTAGATATGGGTTCTTACCATGTTGCCCATGCTGGTGTCAAACTCCTGGGCTCAAGCGATCCTCCCACCTCAGCCTCCCGAGTAGCTGGGACCACAGAAGGTCCATCCCACACCCCCACCCCACCGTCAAGCTCTCGCTTTAGGGCCCAGGCTGGAGTGCAGTGGTACAATCTCAGCTCCCAGGCTGGAGTGCAGTGGTACAATCTCAGCTCACTGCAACCTCCACCTCCCAGGTTCAAGCAATTCTCCTACCTCAGCCTCTGGAGTAGCTGGGACTACAGGTGTGTGCCACCACGCCCGGCTAATTTTTGCACATTTAGTAGAGTCAGTGTTTCTCCATGTTGGCCAGGCTGGTCTCAAATGCCTGACCTCAGGTGATCCACCCACCTCGGCCTCCCAAAGTGCTGGAATGACAGGCGTGAGCCACCGTGCCTGATCTCAGACACCTTTTGGTGCTTCTTGTTTGAGATGGGGTCTCACTCTGTCACCCAGGCTGGAGCACAGTGCTGCAATCTAAGCTCACTGCAGCCTCCACCTCCTGGGCTCAGGTGATCCTCCCACCTCAGCGTCCCGAGCAGCTGGGACCACAGGCACCCACCACCACACCAGGCTAATTTTTCTTTCTTTCTTTCTTTTTTTTTTTTTTTGTAGATAATAGGGTCTTACCATATTGCCCATGCTGGCGTCAAACTCCTGGGCTCAAGCAATCCTCCCACCTCAGCGTCCCGAGCAGCTGGGACCACAGGCACCCACCACCACACCAGGCTAATTTTTCTTTCTTTTTTTTTTTTTTTTTTTTTTTTTGTAGATAATAGGGTCTTACCATATTGCCCATGCTGGCGTCAAACTCCTGGGCTCAAGCAATCCTCCCACCTCAGCGTCCCGAGCAGCTGGGACCACAGGCACCCACCACCACGCCCGGCTTTTCTTTTTTTTTTTTTTTTTTGTAGATAATGGGGTCTTACCATATTGCCCATGCTGGTGTCAAACTCCTGGGCTCAAGCAATCCTCCCACCTCAGCGTCCCGAGCAGCTGGGACCACAGGCACCCACCACCACACCAGGCTAATTTTTCTTTCTTTTTTTTTTTTTTTTTTTTTTGTAGATAATAGGGTCTTACCATATTGCCCATGCTGGCGTCAAACTCCTGGGCTCAAGCAATCCTCCCACCTCAGCGTCCCGAGCAGCTGGGACCACAGGCACCCACCACCACACCAGGCTAATTTTTCTTTCTTTTTTTTTTTTTTTTTTTTTGTAGATAATAGGGTCTTACCATATTGCCCATGCTGGTGTCAAACTCCTGGGCTCAAGCAATCCTCCCACCTCAGCGTCCCGAGCAGCTGGGACCACAGGCACCCACCACCACGCCCGGCTTTTCTTTTTTTTTTTTTTTTGTAGATAATGGGGTCTTACCATATTGCCCATGCTGGTGTCAAACTCCTGGGCTCAAGCAATCCTCCCACCTCAGCGTCCCGAGCAGCTGGGACCACAGGCACCCACCACCACGCCCGGCTTTTCTTTTTTTTTTTTTTTTGTAGATAATGGGGTCTTACCATATTGCCCATGCTGGTGTCAAACTCCTGGGCTCAAGCAATCCTCCCACCTCAGCGTCCCGAGCAGCTGGGACCACAGGCACCCACCACCACGCCCGGCTTTTCTTTTTTTTTTTTTTTTTTGTAGATAATGGGGTCTTACCATATTGCCCATGCTGGTGTCAAACTCCTGGGCTCAAGCAATCCTCCCACCTCAGCGTCCCGAGCAGCTGGGACCACAGGCACCCACCACCACGCCCGGCTAATTTTTCTTTTCTTTTTTTTTTTTTTTTTTTGTAGATAATGGGGTCTTACCATATTGCCCATGCTGGTGTCAAACTCCTGGGCTCAAGCAATCCTCCCACCTCAGCGTCCCGAGTAGCTGGGACCACAGGCACCCACCACCATGCCACACTAAAATTTTTTTTTTGGGGGGGAGGGTAGAGAAGGGGTCTTACCATGTTGCCCAGGCTGGTGTCAAACTCCTGGGCTCAAGCGATCCTCCCACCTCAGCCTCCCGACATGTAAACGGTGGCTACATTTCCGCACAATCCCCGCGGTCTCCCTCATTCTGTTTTACAACTACTCCCACATAAAGTAACGTAGAAAGACGAGCCCCGTTATTCCCTTAGAAGGTAGACTGGAGCTTGCAGGAAGCTGTAGGATAAACATTCAGAGGCCAACTGAGATAAAACGAAACACCCAGGTGATTTTAAGCTAATCAAGAGCCCCTTTCACGTGGGTGATTTTAAACTAATCAAGAGCCTCTTTCACGCAGGTGATTTTAAACTAATCACGTTCTCCCTTCACAGAACTAAAAAGGGAGGTTAATTTACACAAACGCGCAGGCTACAGCCACCCGTCCTGCCTAGGGACTTCGGGCCAAAAATGCCACCTGTCACACCTCCAATCCAGGCGCTGCAGGGCTGTTAGGAGGGGAATTAGCAGCTGGGATACCCCGATCCTACAAGGAGGGGGGTTAGCAACCCCTCCTGAAATACCAAAAAGGCCTCGGCTTCCTGCAGACGCTTAAGGAACATGCCAATCACAACCGATTTCCTGAAAAACGCAAGAAATCCTGGTGAGGGCTGGGGTTGCAGGACGCTCTGCACACCACGGGTAACAGTTTTGGGGTAGCTTCTCTGAGACCGGCTGCCTCTTACTGTCCCCTGGACCAGGGGGGCGCCGCTCTCATCCTCCTGGCATCTCCCAGGCCCCTGCCCCACTCAGAGCTCCACCGCAGGGGCTCCCGAGGCTGGACTCAGACCCGCTGGATCCCATCCAGGCCCCCAAGGCAGCAGTGGAGACCCTCAAGGCTGGACTCCAGCCCCTAATGTAGACTCAGGGACCCCTGGGATGGATGGGTTCGAACCCCCAAAGCTGACTTCAGGACCCTCAGAGCTGGACTCCACCCTCCAAGGCAGCATTCGGGACCCTCACGGCTGGACTCGAGGCCCACGGCAGACATGAAGACCCCTGGGAGGCGTCCGGGACCCCCAGGACTGAATTTGAGGCCCCCAGGCAGACGTGGGGGCCCCTGGGCGGTGGTCAGGACGCCTGGGGCTGGACCCAACCCCCAAGGCAGACGAGGAGAACCCCCGGGCGGCATCCGGGCCCCCCAGGGCTGGACTCAAGCCCCCAAGGCTAGACGTGGGGACCCACCTGGGCGGCGACCGGGACCCCCAGAGCAGGTCTCAAGCCCCAAAGGCAGACGTGGGGGCTCCTCGGCGACGTCCAGGACCCCCAGGGCTGGACTCAAGCCCCCAAGGCTAGACACGGTGACTCCGGGGTGGCGTCCGAGACTCCCACGGGGGAACTCCAGTCTCCAAGGTAGACGTGAGGACCCCCGGGCGGCATCGGGGACCCCCAGGGCGGGACTCGAGCCCCCAAGGCAGACGCGGGGATGCCGAGGCGGCGTCCAGGACCCCCAGGGCGGGACTCGGGCCCCCAAGGCAGACGCGGGGACGCCGAGGCGGCGTCCAGGACCCCCATGGCTGGACTCGAGCCCCCAAAGCAGACATGGGGACCCCCTGGGTGGCGTCCGGGACCCTGAGAGCTGGACTCGAGCCCCCAGGGCAGACGTGGGGACTCCGGGGCAGCTTCCGGGGCCCCCACGGCGGCTCTCCAGGTTCCAGGGCAGACGTGGAGACCCCTGGGCGACGTCACGGACGCCCAGGGCGGGACTCGAGCCCCCAAGGCAGACGTAGGGACCCCTGGGCGCCGTTCTCGATCCCCGGGGCTGGAGTCAAGCCCCCGAGGCGGCGTTCCGGACTCTCGCAATCAGACTTGGACTCCACCCAGCGCGGAACGGGGTAGGACGGGAGCGAGGACGAGGTGAGTGAAGGCAGCGCTGCCGCCGCCGCCGCCGCCGCCGAGGCTCGGGGTCCTGGCGCCTACCGGGCCGGCGGCTGCACCGCGGGATGGGTCTGCCAGGAGCCGCCCACGCCGAACAAGAAGCGGCCCGGTCCCGCCTCCCCCGCCGGCAGCGCGTGCCAATCACCAGCACCTGATGCGGGGCGACCAATGAGGAGCACGCCCTGCCGGGGCGCGGCGCTAGGGAGCCCGCCCCGGCCGCACGCCAATCACCAGCACGTGACAAGGGATGACCAATGAGGATCACGCCCTATGCTGCGGAGAGGCGCTGGTGAGCACGCCCCAGCTGCACGCCAATCACTAGCACGTGACGCCGGATGACCAATGAGGAGCACGGCCTGTGCCGGGGAGAGGCGCTGGTGAGCCAGCCCCGGCCGCACGCCAATCACGAGCACGTGATGAGGAGCGGCCTGTGGGCAGCCCCCGCCCCAACGTTCAGCCTCCAGACGCGCCATGTGGGCCCTGCGGGCCGCCGTACGCCCGGGGCTGCGGCTCTCCCGCGTGGGCCGCGGCCGCTCGGCTCCGCGGGCAGCCGCGCCGTCCTGCCCCGCGCGCGCGCTAGCCGCTGTCGGCCGCAGGAGCCCCGGGAATCTGGAGGGGCCGTGGGGCGGAGGGCGGGGCCTGCGGGCGGACGGCGGCCGAAGCCGCACGGGAGACGACGAGGAGGAGCCGGAAGATGCGGACGAGAACGCCGAGGAGGAGCTGCTGCGGGGAGAGCCTCTGCTGCCGGCGGGGACCCAGCGCGTGTGTCTGGTTCACCCTGACGTCAAGTGGGGCCCGGGGAAGTCGCAGATGACTCGAGGTGACCGCGGCAGGGCTTTCGGGGGAGAAACAGGAGCTGGAGACCTGGGGGCGGGGCTCTGAGGGGAGGGGGCTCATAGGTGGAGATTCAGGGGCGGGGCTCTGAAGGGACGATCTCATAGGTGGAGATTCAGGGGCGGGGTTCTGTGGGGAGAATCTCATAGGTGGAGGCGCAAGGGCGGGGCTCTGCAGGAAGGATTTCATAGGTGGAGATTCAGGGGCGGGACTCGGGAGAATCATAGCTGGCGATGCAAGGGCGGGGCTCTGGGGAGGCTCATAGGTAGAGATTCAGGGACGGGGCTCTGACCTGAGAATCTCATAGGTGGAGACCCAGGGCGGGGCTTTGAGGGGAAGAGCTCAGGTGGCGACGTAGGGGCGGGGCTTCAGGGGGCCAGGCTCTAAGGAGAGGGTCTGATGGTTGGAGATGCCAGGGCGTGGCGCTGAGGGGCGGGGCTCTGAGGGGAAGAGCTTATGGATGGTGATGCGGGGGCGGGGCTCTGAAGGGAGGATCTCATAGGTGGAGGTGCATGGGTGGGGTTCGGGGGAGGAGCCCATGGGTGAAAGGGCGGGGCTTATGGGGAAGAGGGGAGGATATCATTGGTGGAGGTGCGTGGGCGGGGCTTCGGGGGAGGGGCCTATGGGGTAAAAGTGCGGGGGCGGAGCTTATGGGGTGGAGTCCGTGGGATGGGGTGGGGCCCGTGGGGTCCGTGGGGTGGGGTGGGGTGGGGTGGGGTGGGGTGGGGTTGGGTGGGCCGGGGCGGTTCTCGCCGATGGGACCTACGTTTCTCTTGCTCTGGGTTAGAGGTAGGCACGGTGTGTTTGAGGTCAGGGAAGGGAGGGCGTCCAGCGGACCAATCTGTGTCTAGTCCCACCCCCCACCCCCCAGGAGGAAATGCAAATGAATAAGTCGCTGCACGTGTCAGAGTCTCATAAAGGTTGATTTTTCCCTTGGAAGCTCCTGTAGTCGATGAGTGGTTTTTCTTTACGGGTGTTTTCCAAAATGGCTAATTCCTGGAACAGATGAAGCCCCGAACTGCTCAGAACAGCGCGCAGACCTCTTGCCTCTCTACTCCCCAAACCTGCCGGTGGTTCCTCAGTAATCCCCTGAGCACCCGCAGCTCCCGGGTTCCCTGCTGCGCCCGCCTGGAGCCCAAATTCCATGTAAGGCAGGGTCGCCCTCGTGTCCCGCTGTGGCTCCGGTGTCCTTCTCCCGTCAGATTCCTACTTAGAGGCCCTGGGGGGACGAAGTCATATCGGGGGACAAACGGCGGCTCAAGGTGCCTTCTCCGGGGAGATTGTCTCAAGGGCAGGAGGAGGCCTCCCCGGGCAGGTGTGGACGGGGGCCCCGGGCAGAAGCGTCTCTCACGGTGGCCCTTGTGTCCCCGCAGCCGAGTGGCAGGTGGCGGAGGCCACAGCGCTGGTGCACACGCTGGACGGCTGGTCCGTGGTGCAGACAATGGTCGTGTCCACCAAAACGCCGGACAGGAAGCTCATCTTTGGCAAAGGGAACTTTGAGCACCTGACAGGTGGGTCCGTCCAGACCTGCTCCTTCCCCAAACCTCCTTTCCTGTCCGCCGCTACCGAAAACATCCAACCGAGACATGCTGAAGTACGGGGGTCTTGCGGGGCCAGAGGGGAAGCGGCCTCTCGGATTGCCCAGGTGAGCTGGGAGCACACGCCAGTAGGAGTCGGAGGACGGTGAGGCTTTATCTGTGTCGAGATTCACACCGGGCCCTGGAGAGACTTAAACTGGTAAAGATTAGGTCGGGGCAGTTTATAGAGTCCAACAAACAGGGTAGGCGGTGGACCGGCTGTAACCCCACCTGCCCCTGCAGGCCCCAGCCAAATCCTCCTCCTGGGTGACCCCCACCCCACCAGCAGTCTCTTAGGGTGGGGTCCAGCATGCGATCCTTGCGCTTCCCAGGTTTCTGACCATCCCGCTTCCAGTAGAGTTGGGAAGACGCTACTCACTTGCCCAGGTGGGGGTCGGCTGCCCTGGGTCACCTGCCCAGGTGGGGGTCAGCTTTCCTGCCTGACTCAGATGCATCTCACCCCTGCTGGGATGTGTTCACCCTGTGTGTGTGTGTGTGTGTGTGTGTCCCCAATGGGATGTGTCCACGGTGCATGTGTGTGTGTGTCTGTCCCTGTCGGGATGTATTTACTGTGTGTGTGTCTGTGTGTGTGTCTGCGTGTGTATGTGTTTGTGTCCCTGCTGGGATGTGTTTACTGTGTTTGTGTGTGTCTCTGTGTATGTGTCTGTGTGTGTGTCTGTCCCTGTCGGGATGTATTTACTGTGTGTGTGTGTGTGTGTGTCTGCGTGTGTATGTGTTTGTGTCCCTGCCGGGATGTGTTTACTGTGTTTGTGTGTGTCTCTGTGTATGTGTCTGTGTGTGTGTCTGTCCCTGTCGGGATGTATTTACTGTGTGTGTGTGTGTGTGTCTGCGTGTGTATGTGTTTGTGTCCCTGCCGGGATGTGTTTACTGTGTTTGTGTGTGTCTCTGTGTATGTGTCTGTGTGTGTGTCTGTCCCTGTCGGGATGTATTTACTGTGTGTGTGTGTGTGTGTCTGCATGTGTATGTGTTTGTGTCCCTGCCGGGATGTGTTTACTGTGTGTGTGTGTGTGTGTCTGCGTGTGTATGTGTTTGTGTCCCTGCTGGGATGTGTTTACTGTGTTTGTGTGTGTCTCTGTGTATGTGTCTGTGTGTGTGTCTGTCCCTGTCGGGATGTATTTACTGTGTGTGTGTGTGTGTGTGTATGTGTTTGTGTCCCTGCCGGGATGTGTTTACTGTGTTTGTGTGTGTCTCTGTGTGTCTGTCTGTGTGTCTGTGTCTGTCCCTGTCGGGATGTATTTACTGTGTGTGTGTGTGTGTGTGTGTGTGTGTGTGTCTGCGTGTGTATGTGTTTGTGTCCCTGCCGGGATGTGTTCACCGTATGCATGTCTATGTCTTTGAGACACACACTCCTAGAGACACACCCCCTCCCACGCTGACTTCCTGGATCCCGGGTCTCGTGCTCAGGAAGTCGGGGATGCCTGTGAAGTGAGCTCTCCGCGGTGCATCCCACAAAGGGTATGGTGGGCTCATCCCACAGTCCACGGGTGTGGACGGCCAGCCTCTGACGGGACCCCCTCTTTCTGTTAGAAAAGATCCGAGGGTCTCCAGACATCACGTGCGTCTTCCTGAACGTGGAGAGGATGGCTGCCCCGACCAAGGTACCACAGGATGTGGCTTGCTGTGTTTGTCCCCGCACTCCACGCGATGAAGGAGGGGACGCCACGGCGTCCGGCCAGGCGGGGGACAGATGGGGACAGATGGGGACACGGTGGGGTTAAGGCATTAGAGACGTCCTCCTTCCTCTCACATTGGCCACCAGGGCCCGGCCTTCCCCCGTGGCTTCTCAGTTGCTCTCTCCTTTTGCAGAAAGAACTGGAAGCCGCCTGGGGCGTGGAGGTGTTTGACCGCTTCACGGTCGTCCTGCACATCTTCCGCTGTAACGCCCGCACGAAGGAGGCCCGGCTTCAGGTGGCCCTGGCGGAGATGCCGCTGCACAGGTATCGTGGGGCCCCTGGGCCGCGCCGAGCGTCACGTCCACTCCCGGAACCCCTCCGTTCTGTAGTCACCTGTAGGGCGTTCTGGGGGTGCGTGAGGAAGAAAAGCACCATGGGGGCCGGGCGCGGTGGCTCACGCCTGTCATCCCAGCACTTTGGGAGGCCGAGGTGGGCGGATCACGAGGTCACGAGATCGAGACCATCCTGGCCAACACGGTGAAACCCCGTCTGTACTAAAAATACAAGAAAAAAATTAGCCGGGCGTGGTGGCGGGCGCCTGAAATCCCAGCTACTCAGGAGGCTGAGGCAGGAGAATGGCGTGAACCCCAGAGGTGGAGCTTGCAGTGAGCCGAGATCACGCCACTGCACTCCAGCCTGGGTGACAGAGCGAGACTCCGTCTAAAAAAAAAAAAAAAGAAGAAAAGCACCGTGTGGGCTCTCTCTCCGGGGCCCGTTGCCCCCACTGCCTGCCCCCGGCTCCCCACTAGGCAGGTCCCCTCGGCCCGGGACACGCGTCACTCACAGTGTGTGAGCTACACGCGGAGCGGGGCCGCAACAGCGGCTCCTCCCTTCGGCCCAGAGGCCCAGCTCAGTGCCCCCTTCACCTTCACCTCGACCTCTGCCGGGAGGGAGACAGCGTCCGCAGAGACCGAGCCACTCCCGTTCCCACACCAGGTCGAACTTGAAAAGGGACGTCGCCCACCTGTACCGAGGAGTCGGCTCGCGCTACATCATGGGGTCAGGTAACTCGGGCCGGGCGCGGCGTCCCAGAGGGTCCTCGGAATGCGGTTGTCAGCGGCAGCCACCCTTCTCAGCCCTGGAAGATTCCAACAGGGTGGGGTCCAGCTGGGGTCTCCGTCTCCTGGTAGCATTTGAGGACATAGGAGACCCTCAGCCCTGGAAGATTCCAACAGGGTGGGGGCTGGCTGGGGGCTCCGTCTGGTAGCATTTGAGGAGATAGGAGATGCTGGTGGTTTTTGGAGGTTTTGCCTAAATCAGTAGCCACAAACTGGGGATTTAAACAGCAGAGATCTATGCTCTCCCCTCCTGGACACCAAAACTCTGAGATCAAGGTGAGGACAGGGCTGCGCTCCCTCCAGGGGCTCCTTCTGCCTCTCCCAGCTCCTGGGGGCTCCAGGCATCCCTGGGTTTGTGGCCGCGTCACTCCAGTCTCTGCCTCCGTCTCCACGTGGCCTCCTCCTCTGTGTCTGTGTCTCCTCTTCTGTCTCTTACAAGGACACATGTCATTGCATTTATGGCCCGCCCTAATCCAGAATCGTCGCATCTCTAGATACTTCAGTTATGACAAACACCTTATTTTCAAATAAGGTCCCATTGACCAGTTCTGGGAATTAGGATGTGGACAGATCTTTTAGGAGGACCACAGTTCAATCCGCTACACTTGTATCCACTTCCCTCTGGAGGCTCTAGGGCAGGGTCCTTCCTGCCTCTCCCAGCTCCTGGGGGCTCCAGGCGTCCCAGGCTTGTGGCCTCGTCACTCCGGTCTCTGCTTCTTAGAAGGACACAGGTCGTTGCCTTAGGGCCCACCCTAACCTAGGGTGATATTTTGAGACCCTACAAAGACCATATTTCCAAATCAGGTCCCATTCCCAGGTTCTGGGACTTCGGATGTGAAAGGGGCCCCACTGAGCCCGCTCACGATGACGTCCTGGGCCGTGTCCCGCTCGGAGGCCTCCGTAGTGATCTGGCCTTTACTTTCTCCCCGAGTCACGGGAAGCCCTCGTTGACCTCACAGGGTGGACACCCGGAGGCGAGATCCCGTTCCGCCGAGCAGAGCCCTTTCTCATGGAACAGGACGTGTCGGGGCCGCTGCTGGGGAAAGCAGCCGGGCCCCCAGATGCTGGAGCGGGAGCAGGCCCCGGGCCCCCGCAGACCCTCCGCGGCACCGCCCGCACTTGTGCCTTTCCCGGCGTGGCTCACCGCCTCACCATCTCGGGTGTCTTTTAGGAGAATCCTTCATGCAGCTGCAGCAGCGTCTCCTGAGAGAGAAGGAGGCCAAGATCAGGAAGGCCTTGGACAGGCTTCGCAAGAAGAGGCACCTGCTCCGCCGGCAGCGGACGAGGCGGGAGTTCCCCGTGATCTCCGTGGTGGGGTACACCAACTGCGGTGAGCACGCGCCCAGGGGAGGGGCCTTCCGCGGTCTCCGTGTCACCGGTGAGGACTCGCCCGGGGGAGGGCAGGGGGTCCCTGTCGTCTCAGTGGTGCCGTACGACAGCTGCGGTGAGCACGTGCCCAGGAGAGGGGGTTCCCATGGTCGCCGTGTGGGGTACACCAGCTGCTGTGAGAGCTCACCCAGGAGACGGGTTTCCTGTGGTCTCTGTGTGGGGTACAGCAGCCAAGGTGAGGATGTCATCTACCCCATCCTCCCATCCAGAGCTTTACCACCCTGTCTATACCACAATCTCCCCTCCATCTACACCATCCTCCTGTCTAGACCATCCCCACTGCCCTATCTATACCACCACCCTGTCTACACAATCCACCCATCTACACCATCACCTCTCCTCTGTCTATACCATCCTCCTGTCTACACCAGCACCACTACCCCATCTATACCACCACCCCGTCTACATAATCCACCCGTGTACACCACAATGTTCCCTTTGTCTGCACCGTCCTCCTGTCTACACTGGCACCACTGCCCCAGCTATACCACCACCCCGTCTACATAATCCACCCGTGTACACCACAATGTCCCCTTCGTCTGCACCGTCCTCCTGTCTACACTGGCACCACTGCCCCATCTATACCACCACCCGTCTATACAATCCACCCATCTGTCTACACCATCGCCTCTCCTCTGTCTACACCATCCTTCTGTCAACACCGGCACCACTGCCGTATCTATATCCACCCATCTACACCATCACCTCCCCTGTGTCTACACCATCCTCCCATCCACACCAGCACCACCACCCCACCTACACCATCCCACCATCTACGCCATTGCCAAATCTACACAGACGACCTCACTCCCATCCACGCCTTCACACGCACACCCGTCCACACCACCATCTCCCCCGTGTCCGCACGGCGGCCCCGCTCCATCGGCCCGAGAACAGCGACGGTGGCTTTGTCCCACGCGTCGGGTCTGGCCCGGGGTGCCCGAGGAGCTCAGGGACCGTGTAGCCCGGGGTGCGGCCCCCCAGAGGGTGCCGTGGTCTCCATTTGGAGGGCCTGGCTGCGGCGCTAGGAGTTGGGACGCAGGGATCTCTGCAGCGCCCTGACCTCCACGCCCTCCTAGGAAAGACCACGCTGATCAAGGCACTGACGGGCGATGCCGCCATCCAGCCACGGGACCAGCTGTTTGCCACGCTGGACGTCACGGCCCACGCGGGCACGCTGCCCTCACGCATGACCGTCCTGTACGTGGACACCATCGGCTTCCTCTCCCAGCTGCCGCACGGCCTCATCGAGTCCTTCTCCGCCACCCTGGAAGACGTGGCCCACTCGGTGAGCGTGGGACGGCCGGGGATCGGGTGCTCGGACACCCATTCGGCACGGGGGCTGGGCACTCAGACACACACAGCCAGGGGTCGGGCCCTCGGACACCCACTCAGCCCAGGGGCCGGGCCCTCGGACACCCACTCAGCCCAGGGGCCAGGCCCTCGGACACCCACTGGGCACGGGGACCAGGCACTCAGACACACACAAAGCCAGGGGCCGGGCCCTCAGACACCCACCCAACTCGGGGCCGGAACAACAACTGCCTCCTGGGGCTCAGACTTAGTGTCCCCCAAGCCTCCCACGTCCCCGGGCGAGAGGCTGAGCGGTTGCCCCAGCCTCACCGACACTCAGGGCCATGTTCTTGCCGCCGTGAGCCCGTGTAGAAATAGGAAGTCGGCCGTCAGTCCTCTCCCGGCTTATGTGCCTGAACACATAAGCGTGTTCCCGGGTGCACCTGCTCCACGTCACAGACCCCTGACAGACAGAGTGACCGTTCGTGTCACAGACGTGCGGGCAGTGGCGGACACAGCACGGTGATGCCTGAGGATCGATGAACACCGAGACCCTGGAAACACCTGTGGGGTCCTGAGGCTGTCACTGCAAAAGGGGCCACAAATGGGGGCCAGAAACCACAGGAACCAGCTCTACCACAGTTCCAGAAAGCGGGAGCTGACCACAGACTCTAGGGGAGGGTCCTTCCTGCCTCTCCCAGCTCCTGGGGGCTCCAGGCGTCCCTGGGCTTGAGGCCGCATCACTCCAGTCTCTGCCTCTGTCTGTGGCCTTCTCCTCTGTGTCTGTGTCTCCTCTTCTGTCTCTTAGAAGGACAGTAGTCATTAGATTTAGGGTCCACCCTAATCCAGGATGATCTCATTTCAGATCTTCCACTTAATCACATCTGCAGAGACCCTGTTTCCAAATAATGTCCCATTCACAGGTTCCAGATGATCAATACATGGACAGGTCTTTTGTGGGGGGCCACAGTTCAGTTCACTTCAGTTGGATCCAGTTCCTTCTGGAGGCTCTAGGGGAGGGTCCTTCCTGCCTCTCCCAGCTCCTGGGGGCTCCAGGCGTCCCTGGGCTTGTGGCCGCATCACTCCAGTCTCTGCCTCTGTCTGTGGCCTCCTCCTCTGTGTCTGTGTCTCCTCTTCTGTCTCTTAGAAGGACACCTGTCATTAGATTTAGGGTCCACCCTAATCCAGGATGATCTCATCTCCAGATCTTCCACTTAATCACATCTGCAGAGACCCTGTTTCCAAATAATGTCCCATTCACAGGTTCCAGATGATCAATACATGGACAGGTCTTTTGTGGGGGGCCACAGTTCAGTTCACTTCAGTTGGATCCAGTTCCTTCTGGAGGCTCTAGGGGAGGGTCCTTCCTGCCTCTCCCAGCTCCTGGGGGCTCCAGGCGTCCCTGGGCTTGTGGCCGCATCACTCCAGTCTCTGCCTCTGTCTGTGGCCTTCTTCTCTGTGTCTGTGTCTCCTCTTCTGTCTCTTAGAAGGACAGTAGTCATTAGATTTAGGGTCCACCCTAATCCAGGATGATCTCATTTCAGATCTTCCACTTAATCACATCTGCAGAGACCCTGTTTCCAAATAATGTCCCATTCACAGGTTCCAGATGATCAATACATGGACAGGTCTTTTGTGGGGGGCCACAGTTCAGTTCACTTCAGTTGGATCCAGTTCCTTCTGGAGGCTCTAGGTGAGGGTCCTTCCTGCCTCTCCCAGCTCCTGGGGGCTCCAGGCGTCCCTGGGCTTGTGGCCGCACCACTCCAGTCTCTGCCTCCATCTCCACGTGGCCTTCTCTGTGTCTGTGTCTCCTAGGACACCTGTCATTGCATTTAGGGGCCACCTAGATAAATCCAGGGTAACCTCATCTTAACTACATCTGCAAAAACTCCATTTCCAAGCAAGGTCCCCTTCTCTTCTGTGTCTGCCCCACATCTCTTTCTTTCTGTCGTAAACATACCGGTCGGTCGTTGGATTTAAGGCCCACTCTGCTCCACCCTGACCTCATCTTCACCAGCTGCATCCGCAGAGATCTTAATTCTGGGTAGGGTCCCATTCTGAGGCTGCTGGTGGATGTGGATTTGGGGGCGGGGTGCTGTTTGGCTCCGGAACTGCCCCCGGCCGTAGGGTGCTGAGTGAGCTGCACACTCCATCCGTACCGTAGACTTTCCAAGTGCATGAAGAGCACGGGGAAATATTGTCAAGCAACAAGGCAGGAAAACAAGGTGTGAGATTGTCACATTCAGGCTACGGCTTTGTTTTTTGCCCTGAGGGAGAAGCAGCAAATGTCCCAAAGAACGGACGCGGCTGCCACCTCCTTGAGGAGATGGGACTGAACCCCGCCCGGAGCCTGGACTCCGCTTTCGACTCCTCCCGACAATAAATTATGGACCGGGTGTGGTGGCTCACGCCTGCAATCCCAGCACTTTGGGAGGTTGAGGCGGGTGGATCACTTCAGGTCAGGAGATCGAGACCACGGCGAAATCCCGTCTCTACTAAAAATATAAAAAATTAGCCAGGCATGGTGGCGGGTGCCTGTAGTCCCAGCTACTCAAGAGAGGCTGAGGCAGGAGAATGGCTGAACCCGGGAGGCGGAGCTTGCAGTGAGCTGAGATCGCGCCACTGCACTCCAGCCTGTGTGACAGAGCGAGACTCGTCTCAAAAAAAAAAAAAAAAAAAAAGTAAAACTTTCCTGGGATGAAATTATTTTTTTTGTTTTTACTTTTCTTCTTTAGAGACAGGGTCTCGCTCTGTCACCCAGACTGAACCGCAGTGGTATGATCTCGGCTCACTGCAGCCTCGACCTCCTGGGCTCAAGTGATCCTCCCACCTCAGCCTCCTGAGTAGCTGAGACCACAGACACGCACAACCAGGCCATGGCTAATTTTTGTACTTTCTGTAGAAACGGCCTCACTCTCTTGCCCAGGCTGGTCTCAAACTTCTGGGCTCAAGCCACCTCCCAAAGTGCCTCAGTTACAGGAAAAATATTATTTGTATTAAGTGCATCCAAACAAACAAAAAGTAGACGTGGATACCCCGGTAGTATAAGTTGGAGAATTACACACGGCTTTATTTTTTTTTCCCTGTGTTTTTCAAATTTTGTGTAAGGAGCCTGCCTGTAAGATTTTTTTTGAACGTGAGAAAAAAAGCATCCTTTAAAGAGGAAATAATTCCGCTGTTAAAAGACATTTCACAGGAGGATGAAGCCGCCCTAAAGCTTTGAATGAAGACCCCCTGGGTGGGTGGGTGGTGGTTGGGTGCTCATATATGGCACCCCCTTGCGTGTGGGTCTGGGGGTGCGGAGCTGCTGCCTGTGGCTTGGAAGGTTGGGTAAGTGCAGCCGGGTGGGCTCGCGTCCACTGTTGGTCTAGGAGCCCCCGTCCTGGGGTGTCCGAGGGGCCTGCACACAGGCGTACCTCCCATGCCCAGCCTGTCGTTGGGAGCTCGTGTGAGCCCCTCTCCTGGGCCTGTCTGCAAGCTTGGGGTCAGGGACCAGAGGCTCCGCAGCTCTGACCCCACGGCCCGGCCCACAGGATCTCATCTTGCACGTGAGGGACGTCAGCCACCCCGAGGCGGAGCTCCAGAAATGCAGCGTTCTGTCCACGCTGCGTGGCCTGCAGCTGCCCGCCCCGCTCCTGGACTCCATGGTGGAGGTTCACAACAAGGTGGACCTCGTGCCCGGGTGAGTCCGGCCCTGGGGTCCGCAAGCGTCTCCTTCCCCTGCACGCGCTGGAGCCGGGTGGGGAGATGCCCCGTCTCCTCGTGTGAACCGCAGCGGTGGCAGTCAGGACACAGGGAGTGGCCCCAGACTGTGCCCCGTGGGCAGTGGACTCCTGGGGACCCTGATTTCGTCCGGCCGCCCCGACGCTGAGCGGGGCCTGTGACATCCCCACCCTTGCAGGTACAGCCCCACGGAACCGAACGTCGTGCCCGTGTCTGCCCTGCGGGGCCACGGGCTCCAGGAGCTGAAAGCTGAGCTCGATGCGGCGGTTTTGAAGGCGACGGGGAGACAGATCCTCACTCTCCGTGTGAGGCTCGCAGGGGCGCAGCTCAGGTGAGCGGCCTGCAGGGGCAGGAGACGGGATGGTGCTTTGGATGCCTGTCTCTGGCTCTGAAACGGGCTCTTCGTGGGTGCACAAGGAGCTGTGAGATCCCCGAGAGCTTTAGGATGTACAGACGAGATGAATGGGTTTGCATCAAATGTACATTTGTGACTGTGCATACAAGAGGTGCCTAATCTGCGCTTGAGAGTCAAAATCTACATTTGTGACTGTGCATACAACAGGTGCCTAATCTGTGCTGACAGTCAAAATGTACATTTCTGACTGCATACAACGGGTGCCTAATCTGTGCTTGACAGTAAAAATACATTTCTGACTGCATACAACAGTTGCCTAATCTGTGCTTGACAGTCAAAATGTACATTTCTGACTGCATACAACAGGTGCCTAATCTGTGCTGACAGTCAAAATGTACATTTCTGACTGCATACAACAGGTGCCTAATCTGTGCTGACAGTCAAAATGTACATTTCTGACTGCATACAACAGGTGCCTAATCTGTGCTGACACTCAAAATATACATTTCTGACTGTGGATACAACAGGTGCCTAATTATGCTGACAGTGAAAATGTACATTTCTGACCATACAACAGGTGCCTAATCTGTGCTTGACAGCCAAAATGTACATTTCTGTGCATACAACAGGTGCCTAATCTGCACTGACAGTCAAAATGTACATTTCTGACTGCATACAACAGGTGCCTAATCTGTGCTGACAGTCAAAATGTACATTTCTGACTGCATACAACAGGTGCCTAATCTGTGCTTGACAGTAAAAATACATTTCTGACTGCATACAACAGTTGCCTAATCTGTGCTGACAAAATGTACATTTCTGACTGTGCATACAACAGGTGCCTAATGTGTGCTGACACTCAATGTACATTTCTGACTGTGGATACAACAGGTGCCTAATTATGCTGACAGTGAAAATGTACATTTCTGACCATACAACAGGTGCCTAATCTGTGCTTGACAGCCAAAATGTACATTTCTGTGCATACAACAGGTGCCTAATCTGCACTGACAGTCAAAATGTACATTTCTGACTGTGCATACAACAGGTGCCTAATCTGTGCTGACAGTCAAAATGTACATTTCTGACTGCATACAACAGGTGCCTAATCTGCGCTTGACAGTCAAAATGTACATTTCTGACTGCATACAACAGGTGCCTAATCTGCACTTGACAGTCAAAATACATTTCTGACTGTGCGCACAACAGGTGCCTAATCTGTGCTGCCAGTCAAGGGGTACAGGTCTCCCTACCAATAAGAAAGCAAGCTCCAGCTGGATGCCGTGGCACAGGCCTGTAACCCCAAGACTTTGGGAGGCCGAGGCAGGAGGATTGCTTGAGCTGAGAGGAGTTTGAGGCCAGGCTGGGCAACATGGTGAGACCCCATCTCTACAAAGAATAAAAAGTTACCACCCCAGGTGGGGTGGCTCACACCTGTAATCCCAACACGTTGGGAGGCCGAGGTGGGCGGACCACAAGGTCAGGAGATCGAGACCAGCCTGGCTAACACGGTGAAACCCCGTCTCTAATAAAAATACAAAAAATTAGCCGGGCGCAGTGGCGGGCACCTGTAGTCCCAGCTACTCGGGAGGCTAAGGCCGGAGAATTGCTGGAACCCAGGAGGCCGAGGTTGCAGTGAGCCAAGATCGTGCCACTGCACCCCAGCCTGGCGACAGAGCGAGACTCTGTCTCAAAAAAAAAAATAAAAAATAAAAAGCCGGGCGCAGTGGCTCATGCCTGTCATCCCAGCACTTTGGGAGGCCGAGGCGGGTGGATCACGAAGTCAGGAGATCGAGACCATCCTGGCTAACACGGTGAAACCCCGTCTCTACTAAAAACACAAAAAATTAGCCAGGTGTGGTGGCATGCACCTGTAGTCCCAGCTACTCGGGAGGCTGAGGCAGGAGAATCACTTGAACCCGGGAGGTGGAGCTTGCAGTGAGCTGAGATCGCGCCACTGCACTCCAGCCTACGCGACAGAGTGAGACTCCGTCTCAAAAAAAAAAAAAAACAAAAGGAAACAGGACGGTCTGATGAATGGTTTGAGCTAAGCTCTTTTTAGCGTAATTATTTATCATGAAACTAAGCAAATACTTACGGGTTCTGCTTGTCTCCATACAACGCGCATCTGTGCCCAGCTGGCTGTATAAGGAGGCCACAGTTCAGGAGGTGGACGTGATCCCTGAGGACGGGGCGGCCGACGTGAGGGTCATCATCAGCAACTCAGCCTACGGCAAATTCCGGAAGCTCTTTCCAGGATGAACGGACGCCCACAGAGGCCTGCGGGGTGGGGGCATCGCTGCCTGGGGAGCTGAGGCGTTACCGCTGTGTTGGGGGCAGCTTGGTGTCAGGTGCAGCAGGGTCCTCCTTGTCTGGTTCTGCACCCGTCTCGCTCCCAGCCATTTGCTGGGATGACCGTGCAGGCCGGTGACACGGCCGCACCTGCCCCAAAGCGGGCCGCCCGAGCGTCCACTCCAAGCCTGAGCATCCACACAATTCCAGTGGGCCCTCGGTGCCTGCTGTGAACTGCTTTCCCTCGGAATGTTTCCGTAACAGGACATTAAACCTTTGATTTTACTTCCGTGAGCAGCATTTCCAGTTCCTCCTGCACCTGCCGTGAGCCGTGGCCCTGGTGGGCACCGACGGCCCCTCCGCCCGGCTGTCTGTGTTCACAGATGGTCTCGTTTCCCATGGTGGTGTCGGGGAAATGACGAAAAATCAGGTTTCCCGGCAGCACAGAGAACCCTTCCACAAAAGTAGAAGGGAAAGCAAATAGTTTTACTAAAGAAGCAGCTTCAAACCAGACCGTGAGGACGGGCACGGTGGCTCACGCCTGTAATCCCAGCACTTTGAGAGGCTGAGGTGGGTGGATCACGAGGTCAGGAGATCCAGACCATCCTGGCTAACATGGTGAAACCCCACCTCTGCTAAAAATACAAAAAATTAGCCGGGGGTGGTGGCGGGCGCCTGTAGTCCCAGCTACTCGGGAGGCTGAGGCAGGAGGATGGCATGAACCCGGGAGGCGGAGGTTGCAGTGAGCCAAGATCGCGCCACTGCACTCCAGCCTGGAAGACAGAGCGAGACTCCGTCTCAAAACAAACAAACCAGACGGTGATGTGTCACAGACCATCCACTAAGAGATGCAGAGAGAGAATTTCACCTGCGTGTGGCCAGGCTGTGCAGCCGTTACACGCACATTAGCCGTCTCCATCAACGGGAAAACAAAATGCCTTGTATGTTTTGAGACAGAATCTCGCTCTGTCACCCAGGCTGGAGTACAGTGGTGCGATCTCAGTTCACTGCAACCTCTGCCTCTTGAGTTCAGACAGTTCTCCTGCCTCAACCTCCCAAGTAGCTGGGATTACAGGCGCCCGCCACCACGCCCGGCTAATTTTTTGCATTTTTAGTAGAGATGGGTTTTCAGCATGTCGGTCAGGCTGGTCTCAAACTCCTGACCTCAGGTGATCCACCCAACTCGGCCTCCCAAAGTGCTGGGATTACAGGCGGAGCCACTGTGCCCGGCCTGAATTAACTTTTTTTTTTTTTTTTAGACGGAATGAGTGTCACTCTGTCATCCAGGCTGGAGTGCAGTGGTGCAGTCTCGGCTCACTGCAAGCTCCGCCTCCCGGGTTCACACCATTCTCCTGCCTCAGCCTCTTGAGTAGCTGGGACTACAGGCCCCCACCACCATGCCTGGCTAATTTTTTATATTTTTAGTATTCTTATATATTTATAATTTATATATTATTTTTGTATATTTAGTAATTTTTTGTATTTTCACCATGTCGGTCAGGCTGGTCTCGAACTCTTGACCTTGTGATCCGCCCACCTCGGCCTCCCAAAGTGCTGGGATTACAGGCGTGAGCCACCGCACCCGGCCTCCTGAATTAACATTTTCTAAAGATGCTTCTGGCGTGCTATCCTGAAAGCTGCCAGAGGTGTCTTGGCTGCATTGGTGGTAATAAAATTCATACTCATATTTGACTTTAATGATGTTCATTTATTTAAACGATCTGTATGAATTCGGTGATTTTGTGGATACGCCCCTGACAGACAAGGATTCACAGCCGACGGAAGTCAGGGAGGCTCCCTGCAAATTCTTCATCTCCGCGGGGCCTGCCCGAGCCCTGATCCTGCAGAGCCGTGGGGCTGAGGTAGCCGCCGGTTGTGGTCCAGGAGTGCGTCTTTCTGGATGCGGGGCACCTTCATTTCACCGTAGCAACCGGGTACCAAAAGTAGAAGCGGATTTTTGGAAAATGAGTCATTAGGTCCCAAAGAGAACCTATTGCAACATGGACTCCATAACGTTCTTGAGGATCATCCTGAGAAACTGATGTCTCTCGTTAGACAAAAATGCACGATTTGCTTGGGAAAGGGGAGTAAAAATGGTGCTGGCATCCATTGGCTGGCTGGGAACTTGAACCAGCAGCTCCAACAAGCGACATGTAGAAAATGAGGTATAGGCCGGGCGCGGTGGCTCACGCCTGTCATCCCAGCACTTTGGGAGGCCGAGGCGGGTGGATCACCTGAGGTCAGGAGATCGAGACCAGCCTGGCCAACATGGTGAAACCCCGTCTCTGCTAAACACACAAAAATTATCCGGGCGTGGTGGCGGGCGCCTGCAATCCCAGCTACTTGGGAGGCTGAGGCAGGAGAATTTGCTGGAACCCGGGAGGTGGAGGTTGCAGTGAGCCAGGATCACACTACTACACTCCAGCCTCGGCAACGAGAGCGAAACTCCGTCTCAAAACATAAATAAAAATACAAATACAAAATTAACCAGGCACGGTGGCACGCGCCTGTAATCTCAGCTCCTCGGGAGGCTGAGGCAGGAGAATCACTTGAACCCGGGAGGCAGAGGTTGCAGTGAGCTGAGATCGTGCCATTGCACTCCAGCCTGAACAACAAGAGGGAAAATCCATCTCAAAAAAACAAAAAAAAGTATTTGCAGGATCTGCGTCTGAAACTAGGACCGTTCACGCTTCAGAGGCAGAAAGAAACCTGTGCAGAAAACCGGTGTGCGAGTCTCCCACACGGACTGGGGGCGCCTTCCGTGGGGGGGGGGTCTCCCTTGTACCTGTAGGACTTTAATTCACGGAGGTGACCGGGACTAGCACAGAGAGGCCACTGAAAGAAGAAATTACTCCTGACCCTTCCCGAGAGAAGACGCTGCCACACCACGCAGGGCACAAGCGGATACCTGGGTTTGGCTCGGGAGGCAGGAATGAATGAGGGAACAGCCCAGGCCACAGCCTTCAAGGGGCTTCGGCAGAACCGGGCAACAGGACTAGGGAACGGCTGAGGATTGACAACTTTTGAACACTTCAGTAGCACTCCGGGCTGGGGGGCTGGCTCTACTGGGCTGGGACCCAGCCAGGAATGATTTAGGGCCAGGGAAATACTGGCTTGAGGCCAGGTGCGGTGGCTCACGCCTGTGATCCCAGCACTTTGGGAGGCCAATGCGGATGGATCACCTGAGGTCGGGAGTTCAAGACCAGCCTGGGCAACATGGTGAAACCCCATCTCTGCTAAAAATACAAAAGTTAGCCAGGCGCGGTGGCGGGCGCCTGTAATCCCAGCTACTCAGGAGGCTGAGGCACAAGAATTGCTTGAACCTGGGAGGCAGAGGTTGCAGTGAGCTGAGACTGCGCCACTGCACTCCAGCCTGGGCGACAGAGCGAGACTCCATCTCAAACATAATACTCCTCCTACTACTACTAAATAATTAGCTGGGCATGGTGGTGTACACCTATACTCCCAGTTACTTGGGAAGCTGAGGCGGGAGAATTGCTTCAGCCCAGGCGTTGAAGGTTACAGTGAGCTATGACTGTGCCCCTACTACACACCAGCCTGAGCAACAGAGCCAGACCCCATCTCTACAAAAAAAATTAGCTGTGGGTGTGGTGGCTGACACCTGAGGTCCTGGCTATGGCAGAGGTTGAGGTGGGAGGATCAGTTGAGCCCAGGAGTTTGAGACCACCCTGGACAACATAGCCAGACCACGTCTCTACAAAAAAATAAAATTACCTGGGCATGGTGGTGCCTGCCTGTGATCCTGGCCACTCTGGAAGCTAAGGTGGGAGGATCACTGGAGCCCAGGAATTTGAGACCAGACTGTGCCATGTGGTGAAACCCTGACTCTACCAAAAATACAAAAATTAGCCAGCAGTGGGGGTGTGTCCCTGGAGCCCCAGCTACACGGGAGGCTGAGCTGAGAGGATCGCTTGAGCCCAGGAGGTTGAGGCTGCAGTGAGCTATGACTGTACCACTGCCCTCCAGCCTGGGTGACAGAAAAAGACCCTGTCCCTAAACATAATTTAAAGAAATATCGGCGGCTGGGCACAGTGGCTCATGCCTGTCATCCCAGCACTTTGGGAGGTCGAGGCGGGCAGATCACCTGAGGTCAGAAGTTTGAGAACGGCCTGACCAACGCGGAGAAACCCCGTCTCTACTAAATATATGAAATTAGTCGGGTGTGGTGGCACATGCCTGTCATCCCAGCTACTCGGGAGGCGGAGGCAGGAGAATTGCTTGAACCAGGGAGGCGGAGGTTGCGGTGAGCCGAGATCTCGCCGTTGCACTCCAGCCTGGGTGACAGAGTGAGACTCCTCAAAAAATATATATATACACATATATATATATACACATACACACGCACGTATATATGTATACGTGTGTATATACACGCATACACACATATACATGTATACATACACGTATACACGCATACACACATATACATGTATAAACACATATACATGTACACATACACATATACATGCATACACATATACATGTATGCATACACGTATACACATATGCACACATATACATATATACACACATACACACATATACACACACACACACACATATACACATGTATAAACATACATACATATATACACACCGATATATACACATATATACACACAGACACATAAACACACATATATACACACACATATATATCTATAGGCTTGGTGTGAGAACTAGCTGAGGGGTTGGCTGACAGGGGAGGCCGGCTCCTAAGTGGGCTGTCACTGTGTTTAGTAATTAGTGAGCTGTGGGAGGATAGTGTCTCCCTGGGTCTGTAAGGGCTCCAGACGCCACAGCAAGGAGAATACAGAAATAAGAAAACATATTATGGGCTGCCATGGTGGTTCTTGACTGTCATCCCAGCACTCTGGGAGGCTGAGGTGGGAGGATCACTTGAGGCCAGGAGTTCAAGACCAACCTGGCCAACATAGAGAGACCCCATCTTTTTTTTTTTTTTTTTTTTTGAGATGGAGTCTCGCTCTGTCGCCCAGGCTGGAGTGCAGTGGCACGATCTCAGCTCAATGCAACCTCCACCTCCCGGGTTCACGCCATTCTCCTGCCTCAGCCTCCTGAGTAGCTGGCACTACAGGTGCCCATCACGCACCCAGGTAGTTTTTGTGTTTTTAATAGAGACGGGGTTTCACCATGTTGGTCAGGCTGGTCTCGAACTCCTGACCTCATGTTCCACCCGCCTTCGCCTCCCAAAGTGCTGGGATGACAGGCGTGAGTCACTGCACACTCGGCTGTTTTTTTTTCTTTTGAGATGGAGTCTCGGTCTATCATTCAGACTGGAGTGCAGTGGCACGATGTCAGCTCAATGCAACCTCCATCTCCCGGCTTCAAGCAGTTCTCCTGCCTGAGCCTCCCGAGTAACTGGGACTACAGGCGCCTGCCACACACCCAGCTAAGTTTTGTATTTTTAGTAGAGATGGGATTTCACCATGTTGGTCAGGCTGCTCTCAAGCTCCTGACCTCATGATCCACCCACCTCGGCCTCCCAAAGTGCTGGGAAGACAGGCGAAGTCACCACGCCCAGCCACCCCATCTCTATTTTAAAGAAAATGAAAACGTATTATCATCGGTCCTATGATCACCAACATTTGGCCCAAACAAAGTCACAATACTTGGAAATTCGGGGGTGAAACTGCAGCCGCCGCGTCCCGAACTTCAGAAGGGTCCCGTCAGCACCACAGCAGCTTCTGATTGAGCGCGATGACGTCACTGACGAAGCCGTCTGCGCCGATGAAGTCCCCCGCGATGATGTTGGTGCACCGTGAACCCGGCCCCGGGCACTGCTCTCGGACCCACGCGCTCAGCCGCGGAAGGTTGGGCAGCGTCATCTTCTCCAGGGACTCGGACGGGTGCGCCAGAACGTACTGCAGGTTCTCCGTGAGGTTGATGCCGGCCACGAACAACCCTCCTGCAACGGTGAGGGTGGGGAGAGGTTACACGGTCACGGGCCTCACCCGCCTGTTTCTCCCTCCTAGTCACATTATTAGAGGTTCGCATCTCAGGAATTAAGAGTTGAAAGCACCATGTCCAACAAGGAAATTGGGTGAGCTTTGCTTATAAAGCGTGGTGGGCAGTAGACAACCCCAAAGATGCTCACGTCGTAACACCGTGTGGGAGACAGAATAATGTCCCCAAAGATGTCCACATCCTAATCCCCATGTGATAGACAGAATAATGGCCCCAAAGATGTCCACGTCCTAATCCCCATGTGATAGACAGAATAATGTCCCCAAAGATGTCCACGTCCTAATCCCCATGTGATAGACAGGATAATGGCCCCAAAGATGTCCACGTCCTGATCCCCATGTGATAGACAGAATAATGTCCCCAAAGATGTCCACGTCCTAATCCCCATGTGGGAGACAGAATAATGTCCCCAAAGATGTCCACGTCGTAATCCCCATGTGATAGACAGAATAATGGCCCCAAAGATGTCCACGTCCTAATCCCCATGTGATAGACAGAATAATGTCCCCAAAGATGTCCACGTCCTAATCCCCATGTGGGAGACAGAATAATGTCCCCAAAGATGTCCACGTCCTAATCCCCATGTGATAGACAGAATAATGTCCCCAAAGATGTCCACGTCCTAATCCCCATGTGATAGACAGAATAATGTCCCCAAAGATGTCCACGTCCTAATCCCCATGTGATAGACAGAATAATGGCCCCAAAGATGTCCACGTCCTAATCCCCATGTGGGAGACAGAATAATGTCCCCAAAGATGTCCACGTCCTAATCCCCATGTGATAGACAGAATAATGTCCCCAAAGATGTCCACGTCCTAATCCCCATGTGGGAGACAGAATAATGTCCCCAAAGATGTCCACGTCCTAATCCCCATGTGATAGACAGAATAATGTCCCCAAAGATGTCCACGTCCTAATCCCCATGTGATAGACAGAATAATGTCCCCAAAGATGTCCACGTCCTAATCCCCATGTGATAGACAGAATAATGTCCCCAAAGATGTCCACGTCCTAATCCCCATGTGGGAGACAGAATAATGTCCCCAAAGATGTCCACGTCCTAATCCCCATGTGATAGACAGAATAATGTCCCCAAAGATGTCCACGTCCTAATCCCCATGTGATAGACAGAATAATGTCCCCAAAGATGTCCACGTCCTAATCCCCATGTGATAGACAGAATAATGTCCCCAAAGATGTCCACGTCCTAATCCCCATGTGATAGACAGAATAATGGCCCCAAAGATGTCCACGTCCTAATCCCCATGTGATAGACAGAATAACAGCCCCAAAGATGTCCACGTCCTAATCCCCATGTGGGAGACAGAATAATGTCCCCAAAGATGTCCACGTCCTAATCCCCATGTGATAGACAGAATAATGTCCCCAAAGATGTCCACGTCCTAATCCCCATGTGGGAGACAGAATAACAGCCCCAAAGATGTCCACGTCCTAATCCCCATGTGATAGACAGAATAATGTCCCCAAAGATGTCCACGTCCTAATCCCCATGTGGGAGACAGAATAACAGCCCCAAAGATGTCCACGTCCTAATCCCCATGTGGGAGACAGAATAATGTCCCCAAAGATGTCCACGTCCTAATCCCCATGTGGGAGACAGAATAATGGCCCCAAAGATGTCCACGTCCTAATCCCCATGTGGGAGACAGAATAATGGCCCCAAAGATGTCCACGTCCTAATCCCCATGTGATAGACAGGATAATGTCCCCAAAGATGTCCACGTCCTGATCCCCATGTGATAGACAGAATAATGTCCCCAAAGATGTCCACGTCCTAATCCCCATGTGATAGACAGAATAATGTCCCCAAAGATGTCCACGTCCTAATCCCCATGTGATAGACAGAATAATGGCCCCAAAGATGTCCACGTCCTAATCCCCATGTGATAGACAGAATAATGTCCCCAAAGATGTCCACGTCCTGATCCCCATGTGGGAGACAGAATAATGTCCCCAAAGATGTCCACGTCCTAATCCCCATGTGATAGACAGGATAATGTCCCCAAAGATGTCCACGTCCTAATCCCCATGTGATAGACAGAATAATGTCCCCAAAGATGTCCACGTCCTAATCCCCATGTGATAGACAGAATAATGGCCCCAAAGATGTCCACGTCCTAATCCCCATGTGGGAGACAGAATAATGTCCCCAAAGATGTCCACGTCCTAATCCCCATGAGGTAGACAGGATAATGGCCCCAAAGATGTCCACGTCCTAATCCCATGTGGGAGACAGAATAATATGGCCCCAAACTTGTCCACATTCTTATCCCCCATGTGATAGACAGGAAGAATGCTGTTGTCTTGGGCACTAAGTCTGTGCCATCTCTTATGAGGCTTATAGAGAGGGTTGACGTTGACCAGTGATTCTCAAAGTGGGGTCCCTGCAATAGTTAGAAATGCAAATTTGGGGGCTCCACCTACATCTGCTGAGCCGGAATCTCCTGCAAGCCATATTTGAAGAAGCTCCCCCAGAGGTAGGTTCCAGTGCCCCTGTGTTGACCAGCTGGACTGATTCCACAGCCAGAGACGGCAAAGGCAACAGACGTTTATGGCCAAGTTCTCTCAGTGGTTTTTAACACGTATTTCTAGGCTGGGCACGGTGGCTCATGCCTGTCATCCCAGCACGTTGAGAGGTTGAGGCCGGTGGATCATGAGGTCAGGAGTTCAAGACCAGCCTGACCAACACGCTGAAACCCTTTCTCTAGTAAAAACACATCCAAAAATTAGCTCAGCATGGTGGTACGTGCCCGTAATCCCAGCTACTCGGGAGGCTGAGGCAGGAGAATCACTTGAATCCAGGAGGTGGAGGTTGCAGTGAGCCGAGATCACGCCATTGCACTCCAGCCTGGGTGACAGAGCAAGACTCTGTCTCAAAAACAAAACAAAACAAACAAAAAAAGGCCGGGCACAGTGGCTCAAGCCTGTAATCCCACCACTTTGGGAGGCCAAGGCGGGCAGATCACCTGAGGTCGGGAGTTCGAGACCAGCCTGATCAACATGGAGAAACCCCATCTCTACTAAAAATAAAAATTAGCCGGGCGTGGTGGGAGGCTGAGGCGGGAGAATTGCTCGAACCCAGGAGGCGAAGGCTGCAGTGAGCCAAGATTGCGCCATTGCACTCTAGCCTGGGCAACAAGAGCAAAACTCTGTCTCAAAAAACAAACACACAAACAAAAAAATTTTCCGCCTGGCACCGTGGCTCACGCCTGTCATCCCAGCACTTTGGGAGACTGAGACGGGCAGATCATGAGGTCAGGAGTTCGAGACCAGCCCGACCAACATGGTGAAACCCTGTCTCTACTAAAAATACAAAAAAAAATTAGCCGGGTGTGGTGGCGGGCGCCTGTAGTCCCAGCTACTCAGGAGGCTGAGGCAGGAGAATGGCTTGAACCCGGGAGACGGAGGTTGCAGTGAGCCGAGATCGCGCCACTGCACTCCGACCGGGGCAACAAGAGTGAGACTCCACCTCAAAAAAAAAAAAAAGACATTTCTGAAGTCTCTAAACCTCGTTCCTGTGTGAGGGCAAGAGACCAAGTTGAAAAAACCTGCTCCTTTGCCCGGCCCGTGACTGGGTTTCATGCTGCCCCTGTGGGAAGCAGCCCTCGCGGCCGTGAAGATCACCTTGAGAGAACCCAGCCGCAGGCTGCAGGACCGAGACGGCCCCACCTGCCACCGTCCCCGCGGGGAGGACCTTCCTCCCTCCCTCCCTCAGGCTCCTGCCTCCGGAGGACACGGGGCCGTGGCTGCCGACGCTGTCTGCACCTCACACCCCGTCGGTGGCTTTTTTACAAAAATTGTGGTGAAATTCACGTACAAAAAAGTTACCTTTTTTTTTTTTTCCCAAGATGGAGTCTCGCTCTGTTGCCCAGGCTGGAGTGCTGTGGCGCGATTTCGGCTCACGGCAGCCTCCGCCCCCGGGTTCAAGCAATTCTCCTGCCTCAGCCTCCCGAGGAGCTGGGATTACAGGTGCACACAACCACGCCCAGCTAAATCTTTTTGTATTTTTACTAGAGATGGGGTTTCACCAGACTGGTCGCAAACTCCTGATCTCAATTAATCCACCTGCCTCGGCCTCCCAAAGTGGTGGGATTACAGGCGTGAGCCACTGCACCGAAATTCACGATTTTAAATTGCACAACTCGGCTGGGAATGGTGGTTCAAGCAGATCGCTTGACCCCAGAAGTTTGATTTTGTCTTGTTTTGTTTTGAGACAGAGTCTCGCTCTGTTGCCCAGGCTGGAGTACACTGGCTCGATCTCGGCCCACTGCAACCTCCGCCTTCCTGGTTCAAGTGATTCCCCTGCCTCAGCCTCCTGAGTAGCTGGGATTATAGGCGCGCATCACCATGCCTGGCTAATTTTTCTCTTTTTTGTTTTGTTTTGAGATGGAGTCTTGCTCCTGTCGCCCAGGCTGGAGTGCAGTGGCGCGACCATGGATCACAGCAACCTCCGCCTCCTGGATTCAAGCATTTCTCCTGCCTCAGCCTCCCAAGTAGATGGGATTACAGGTGCCTATTTTTTTTTTTTTTTTGAGACAGAGTTCCACTCTGTCGCCCAGGCTGGAGTTCAGTGGCGTGATCTCGGCTCACTGCAAGCTCCGCCTCCCGAGTTCACACCATTCTCCTACCTCAGCCTCCGGAGTAGCTGGGATTACAGGCGCCCGCCACCACGCCCGGCTAATTTTTTGTATTTTTAGTAGAGACGGGGTTTCTCCATGTTAGCCGGGATGGTCTCGATCTCCTGACCTCATGATCCGCCCGCCTCGGCCTCCCGAAGTGCTGGGATTACAGGCGTGAGCCACCGCGCCCGGCCTGTGCCCGCTAATTTTTGTATTTTTGCTAGAGAAGAGGTTTCGCCATGTTGGCCAGGCTGGTCTCCAAACTCCTGACCTCAGGTGATCCACCCACCTTGGCCTCCCAAAGTGCTGTGATCACAGGTGTGAGCCACCGCACCTGGCTGACACCAGGAGTTTGAGACCAGCCTGGCCAACACAGTGAGACCCCTTCTCTAATCAAAGAATTAACTAAAAAAAATAAAGTGGATTCACGTTGTGCAACTCCGACCTCTCCCTAGTTCCAGAACATTCTCATCGTCCTAAAAGGAGAGACCCTGTTTCCATGAAGCAGTCAGTCCTCATTTCCCCTCCGCAGCCCCCGGCAACCACAAATCCTCTTTCTGTCTCTGGATTGGCATGTTCTGGGCATTTCCTGTAAATGGATTCACACACTACGTGTCCTTTTGTGTCTGGCTTCTCTCACTGAGCGTGATGTCTTAAGGTTTGTGCCCGCTGCATCCTTGTCAGAGCCTCGTTCTTTTTCATGGCTGTGTAATATTCCACCGCGTGGATGGACCACACCTTGTTGATCCCTCCCCCCGCCAATGTACATGGACTGCTTTCTCCCTGGGTGCTTCTTAAGTAGAGACAGGGTTTCATCACATTGGTCAGGCCGGTCTCGAACTCCCGACCTCAGGTGATCTGCCCGCCTCAGCCTCCCAAAGTGCTAGGATGACAGGCATGAACCACTGCGCCCGGCCGCTAAGTTTTATTTCTAGTAAAGTTGGGGTCTCACTATGTTGGCCAGGCTGGTCTCAAACTCCCGACCTCAGGTGATCCACCCGCCTCGGCCTCCCGAAGTGCTGGGATTACAGGTACAGGGATTACCACGCCCAGCTCATGGATTCCTTTTAAATTGTTTTCACGTAAAAGTGAAGGCAAGTCCATGTGGACCCGGCCTGCCGCAGGGCGTCACGGGAGGCTGTGTGGAATCTACCCCCACGAGGGGCGACCTGGTACCTGGGCGGCCGCAGCTCTTCATGGTCTCCAGGTATCGGATGAGGGCCTCGGTCTTCACCCTGTTTCCCCACCAGTAGGGGACTCCTGGCCACAGCTCGTGGTGCCGGCGCAAGGAGCTCTCGTCTTCATAGGAGACGATGACCTGTTGGCCCCGGGACCACAGCTGCCGCAGTGTCGGCACCTCCTGCAAAGGACCAGAGTTAAGGGGTGCAGGGGAGAGAGGAGAGCCGGGGGCACCTGGGAGAGCGGAGGGCTGGGAAGTCGGGACACCGGCCCAACACGAGTATAAACCAAAAATGAAATTCTGGCCGGGCGCAGTGGCTGACGCCTGTAATCCCAGCACTTTGGGAGGCCGAGGTGGGTGGATCACCTGAGGTCAGGAGTTTGAGACCAGCCCGGGCAACATGGTGAAACCCCATCTCTACTAAAAATACAAAAATTGGCCGGGTGCGGTGGTGCACGCCTGTCATCCCGGCTAGTCAGAAGGCTGAGGTAGGAGAATCGTTTGAACCTGGGAGGCAGAGGTTGCGGTGAGCCGAGGTTTCGCTATTGCACTCCAGCCTGGGAGACAGACCGAGACTCCCTCTCAAATAAATAAATAAATTAAGTATGGCCAGGTGCAGGGGCTCATGCCTGTAATCCCAGCACTTTGGGAGGACACGGCGGGAGGATCACTCGAGGCCAGGAATTCGAGCCTGGGCTGCACAGGGTGACCCTGTCTCTATTTTTATATATTTATTTATTTTTATTTTTTATTTTTTGAGACGGATCTCGCTCTGTCTCCCAGGCTGGAATGCAGTGGCGCGATCTCGGCTCACTGCAACCTCCACCCCCCGGGTTCACACCATTCTCCTGCCTCAGCCTCCCGAGTAGCTGGGACTACAGGCGCCCGCCACCACGCCCGGCTAATTGTTTGTATTTTGTGTTAGTAGAGACGGGGTTTCACCGTGTTAGCCAGGATGGTCTCGATGTCCTGACCTCATGATCCGCCCGCCTCGGCCTCCCAAAGTCCTGGGATGACAGGTGTGAGCCACTGCGTCCGGCACACCCACCGCCACACCCAGATAATTTTGGTATTTTTAGTAGAGACGGGGTTTCACCATGTTGGCCAGGATAGTCTCAATCTCTTGACCTCGTGATCCGCCCGCCTCGGCCTCCCAAAGTCCTGGGATGACAAGCGTGAGCCACCACACCCAGCCTAATTGTTGTATTTTTAGTAGACACCAGGTTTCACCATGTTGGCCAGGATAGTCTCGATCTCTTGACCTCGTGATCCACCCGCCTCGGCCTCCCAAAGTGCTGGGATGACAGGCGTGAGCCACCGCGCCCGGCTGACGCTGCACACATTTCTAAACCCGTCAAGGGAAGCAGATCTCACCAGGAGCCACCCCACCGGGTCAGCCAGGGCCCCCCACACTGCGGGAGAGCAGGCAGCCCCCGTTCGACGGCTTCACCTGCTACAGGAATCATGGCAGCACCCACACCCAGGGCACAGCAAATGGAGTCTGAGGCTGACGATGCCCCTGCCCCGGGAGAGACGTGCGGATATCCTTCCCCTCCTCACCCCACGAGGACACAGCATGTCCCCGAAGATGTTCTTGATACAGGCGACCAGGTACTCGTGCAGGTCCTCGCTCAGCCCCTCGAAGTTTCTGCAGGCCAGGATGACCACCTCGCGTGGATGCCGCTCCAGCCACTCCGAGATTTCCGTGAGTGTGTCCTGGGGAGGGGGGTGCTGGGCTGAGTCCTGCACGACTCCAACACCACAGGGAAGGCGGGGTGTGGCGGCTCACGCCTGTCATCCCAGCAATTTGGGAGGCCGAGGCGGGTGGATCACCTGAGGTTAGGAGTTTGAGACCAGCCTAGCCAACATGGTGAAACCCCGTATCTACTAAAAATACAAAAATTAGCTGGGCGTGGTGTCCGGCGTCTGTAATCCCAGCTACTTGGAAGGCTGAGGCAGGAGAATTGCCTGAACCCAGGAGGCAGAGGTTGCAGTGAGCTGAGATTGCACCACTGCACTCCAGCCTGGGCGACACAGCAAGACTCCATCTCCAAAAAAAAAAAGCAAAAAAAAAAGAAATCTCCGTAACGGATTGGCGGGGTCAGTGTCTCCTGTCTGGTGTATAGGTGACGTCACCCTTCCATTAAAGACCGGGCGTTTCCTGTCCACATCTGCATGTGGCTGTTTCATCCCCACGGGAGCTTGGCCACCTCCCGCCGTCCCCCTTGCTTCCCACCTCAGCCCGGCCGCACCTGCACCAGCGCCCGGCCGCCTCCCGCTGTCCCCCTTGCTTCCCACCTCAGCCCGGCCGCACCTGCACCAGTGCCCGGCCGCCTCCCGCTGTCCCCCTTGCTTCCCACCTCAGCCCGGCCGCACCTGCACCAGTGCCCGGCCGCCTCCCACTCTCCCCATTGCGTCCCACCTCAGCCCGGCCGCACCTCCACCAGCGCCGTTGTGTACACCATATGGACAAAGTGCAGGTTCTTCTCCGAGCCCTCCAGCATGTGGGCTATCCGCAGGTCCAGGTACCGCACCCCGGCATCCAGCTGCTCTGTGACGTCCAGTGCCTGTGGACAGAGGCTGCTGTCATGTCTGCCTGGCTGAGCGCCGCGTCTGGGGGGCTCAGGAATGGGCTGTGGGGTTGGCCCACCCGCATGTCCTGCTGCCCACTGGGACGTGGATGTCGTAACAACAGCTGTTTGTATGTGCTGGGAGCGCTGCAGCCACGGGGACCTGCATTTGGAAAACCTCATCTCCGGGGACCTGGCCTTTTTTTTTTTTTTTTGAGACGGAGTCTCGCTCTGTCACCCAGGCTGGAGTGCAGTGGTGCAATCTGGGCTCACTGCAAGCTCCGCCTCCCGGGTTCATGCCGTTCTCCTGCCTCAGCCTCCCCAGTAGCTGGGACTGCAGGCGCCCGCCACCGCGCCCAGCTAATTTTGTTTTGTATTTTTAGTAGAGATGTGGTTTCAACATGTTAGCCAGGACGGTCTCGATCTCCTGACCTCGTGATCCACCCACCTTGGCCTCCCAAAGTGCTGGGATTACAGGCGTGAGCCACCGCGCCCGGCCTCTACTAAAAATTTTAAAAATCAGCCTGGGTGTGGTGGTGTACACCTGTAGTCCCAGCTGCCCGGGAGGCTGAGGAAGGAGGATCCTTTGATCCTGGGAGGCCCAGGCTGCAGGAAGCTGAGATCGCACCACCGCACTCCAGTCTGGGTGAGAGAGCGAGACTCCATCTCTAAAGGAATGAATGAATGTGATTATTAGGGAGAAAGGGGCCTGTCTCCCTGTTTCCCAGGGACTAGCAGATGCCTGACTGCAAACTGCAGACCCGCCTCAGGTCCTAAAGACACGAGAAATGAGTCCTTGTCTGTCTTGAGTGCAGGCATGAAAGGGGTTGTCTCGGCCGGGCGCGGTGGCTGACGCCTGTAATCCCAGCACTTTGGGAGGCTGAGGCGGGTGGATCACGAGGTCAGGAGTTCGAGACCATCCTGGCTAACACAGTGAAACCCTGACTCTACTCAAAATACCAAAAATTAGCCGGGCGTGGTCGCGGGAGCCTGTAGTCCCAGCTACTCAGGAGGCTGAGACAGGAGAATGGCGTGAACCCGGGAGGCGGAGCTTGCAGTGAGCCGAGATGGCACCAACTGCACTCCAGCCTGGGCGGCAGTGAGACTCCGTCTCAAAAAAAAAAAAAAGAAAAAGAAAGAAAAAGAAAGGTGTTGTCTCTGCTGGGATGCAACAGGGCGAGACCCTCTCCCTCTGCAGCTCTCAGTGGAGGCCTGCGATGCTCACGGCATTAGCTTTACGCCATTTAATAAAATGCTGGGCCGGGCGCGGTGGCTCACGCCTGTAATCCCAGCACTTTCGGAGGCTGGGGCGGGCAGATCATGAGGTCAGGAGATCAAGACCATCCTGACTAACACGGTAAAACCCCATCTCTACTAAAAATACAAAAAATTAGCCAGGTGTGGTGACAGGTGCCTGTAGACCCAGGTACTTAGGAGGATGAGGCAGGAGAATCGCTTGAACCCAGGCAGCGGAGGTTGCAGTGAGCCGAGATCACGCCACTGCACTCCAGCCCGGGTAAGAAGAGTGAGACCCTGTCTCAAAAAATAAATAAATAAAAACACTGTTCCCCTCTCTTCCACCTCTGGGGAGGGGTTCTGGGTGGGCAGCAGGTTTTGTTTTAATCCTGTCTCCGCAGCTGGGATAGGAACCTGCCTCCTGAGCCCACAGGGCACCACTCAAACCCTACCTGGGTGAGGGGCCATTTCAGCACCACGGGGCCGTGGGCCCCACATAGCTGACAGGCCAGGTCAGCAGCACGGGGCACAGACCGTACCTGGGTGACGGACCATTTCAGCACGACAGGGCGCGTGATGCAGGGCAAGGCCTTGTTCAGCAGCTGCAGCAGCCGGGACTCCTCGTGCGAAATGGGGGACTTCTTGTTCAGGCAGTACGTCATCGTGTCGTGGCTCCCTGAGAGCAAAGCACACACGCGGACATGTCACCACGAGTCCGTCCCCGCCACCTGCTGTGAGTCGCTCCACAGCCCGCCTACAGCACAGGCTGCTGCCCGCCCACAGCACAGGCACAGGTATGGCGGGAGGGGTGCACGCTGACCCCCAAAACTCACGTCCACTGGAACCTGGGAACACGACCCGTGTTGAAACAGGGTCTCTGCAGATATCATTAGGTTGAAATGAGATCATCCTGGAGTAGGGCGGGCCCCCAAATCCAGTGACAGGTGTCCGTCTAAGACACAAGAGGAGGAGACAGACACAGAGGAGGAGGCCTCGTGGAGACGGAGGCAGAGACTGGAGTGATGCGGCCACAAGCCCAGGGATGCCTGGAGCCCCCAGGAGCTGGGAGAGGCAGGAAGGATCCCCCACTCTAGAGCCTCTAGAAGGAACTGAATACAATTTCAATGACTTGAGTGGTGATCCCCAAAAGAGCTGTTCAAGTCCTAACCCCCTGCCCAGAACCTGTGAATGGGATCCTGTTTGGAAATAGGGTCTTTACACATGCTCTCAAAATGCTCAAGATGAAGTCATCTTGGCTTTGTGCTGGGTCCTAAATGCAATGACAGGTGTCCTTAGGAGACACAGACCCAGAGGAGGAGGCCACGTGGAGATGGAGGCAGAGACTGGAGTGATGCGGCCACAAGCCCAGGGATGCCTGGAGCCCCCAGGAGCTGGGAGAGGCAGGAAGGACCCTCCCCTAGAGCCTCAGGAGGACGTGTGGTCCTGCCCATATCTTGACTTCAGATTTCTGTATCTAGAACTGGGAGAGAGTAAATTTCTGTTCTTTGCCGCCTCCTGACGTGTGCTCACTTGTTATGGTAACCGCAAGAAACACAGACCTTTGTAGAGTTTGACTGATGGCTGACGTTTGCATTTCCTGCCTATGACACGTAGTTGTTATTTCTTAAATATAGATATAAATATATCTATATTTAAGATATATATATTTAAGATATATATGACATATATCTATATATAAACATATATAGTATCTATATCTATAAACAAAGATATATAGTATCTATATCCATAAACATATATAGTATCTATATCTATATATAAACATATATAGTATCTATATCTATATATAAACATATATAGTATCTATATCTATATATAAACATATATAGTATCTATATCTATATATAAACATATATAGTATCTATATCTATATATAAACATATATAGTATCTATATCTATATATAAACATATATAGTATATATTCTATATATAAACATATATAGTGTATATATATCTATATATAAACATATATTAGTATATATTTACATAAATACATATTTTTGCATAAATATGTATTTATATAAATATATAAAATATATATCCACATATTATGTTTATAAATATAATATATAAATGTACTTATGTATCATATATTTATATAAATATATGATATATATTTTATATTTTACATTTACTTATTTATATATTATATATAAATATAAATATGTATGTTTATATATAAATATGTACACTTACATATAAATGTGTGTGTGTATATACATATTTGCAGAGATGGGGCCTCACTATGTTGCCCAGGCTGCTCTCAAACTCCTAAACTCAAGTGATCCTCCTGCCTTGGCTTCCCAAAGTGCTGGGATTACAGGCGTGAGCCACCACGCCCGGCCTTCCCCCTTTAAATCCCCTGAGGAACGTGAAGCCCCTTTACATCCTCTGAGGAACGTGGACCCCCTTTAAATCCCCAGACCCCGAGAGGCATTGGAACGAAGCCACAGTCACCTGCTCCCCCGATCTTGAGCTAAGGTGTTAAGGAAGGAGACCAGTACTTCTCCTGCTGCCCCCTACCCCCACCTTGCCTAGTTTATAAGACAGGAGAAAGCAAAAGGTTGGAAAGAAACAGAAGTAAGATAAATAGCCAGACAACCTTGGCACCACCACCCAGCCCTGGGAGTTAAAATAATATCAATCCATAACCTAAACCACTTCTGTTATCTGTAAATGCCAGACGTTGTATGAAAAAGCGTTACAAAACTTTCTGTTCTGTTAGCTGACACATGTAGCCCCCAGTCACGTTCCCCACACTTGCTTGATTTATCACGACCCCTTCACGTGGACCCCTCAGAGTTGTAAGCCTTTAAAAAGGCCAAGAATTTCTTTTTTAAGGAGCTCGGCTCTTAAGATGTGAGTCTGCCGAAGCTCCCGGCCAAAGAAACCTCTTCTTTCTTTAATCCGGTGTCTGAGTTTTGTCTGCGGCTGGTCCTGCTACAGTATCACCCCTGGAAGCTACTTACTAGGTCAGCTCTAGACTGACAGATGCCCCGCATCTCTACAAATTAACCTAAGATGTCGGGTGCAATAGCTCATGTCTGCAATGCCAGCACTTTGGGAGGCCGAGGCAGGTGGATTGCCTGAGGTCGGGAGTTCGAGACCAGCTTGACCAACATGGTGAAACCCCATCTCTGCTAAAAATACAAAAATCAGCCAGGCATAGTGGAGCGTGCCTGTAATCCCAGCTACTCGGGAGGCTGAGGCAGGAGAATCGCTTGAACCCAGGAGGCAGAGGTTGCGATGAGCTGAGGTGGAGCCACTGCACTCGAGCCTGGGCGATAAGAGCAAAACTCCGTCTCAAAAAAAAAAAATTAACCTCAGGATGTCACACTGGGGCACCATAACTCATTCCCTACATTGCAAGGAAGAACGCGATCAGTGCTCGATGCCACTTCAGTAACCCACATGAATTCCTGAAAAACAGCTTTCATCATCACCCCCTCTCCTGATGTGCACTTTCTTTAGAAGCTCCCGTCTCGACGTTGTTCTCCACAGCCACTTCCTAAGGCGAGTTGGAGGGTTTCCTGGGCTGCAGTCCTCAAATGTGGCTCAAGGAAACCCCCTACTTATATTAATTTTGTCTAAGTTTATTTCCTTAGGTTGACAATACGTATCTGTGTGCATGTGTATGTGTGTCCGTATGCCTATATGTGAGTGTGCATGTGTGTGCCTGTGTTTAAACATGTACCTGTGTTCCTGTGTGCATGGACGTGTGTCTACGTGTGTGCATGTGTGTACACGCGTGTGCATGTGCATGTGTGCCTGTGTACACGTGTGCATATGTGCATTCATGTATGTCTATGTGAATAGGTGCAAATGTGTACATGTGTATGTCTGTGTGCATGCATGTACGTGTGTACACGTGTATACATGCATTGCATAGACGTGTCTCTGCGTGCATAGGTGCAAATGTTTATGTGTGCACGTGTGTCTGTGCATGTACATGTCTACACCTGTGTATATCTGCAGGTGTATATATGTGTGCATAGGTGCAAATATATATATACATGTGTGCATGTGTGTACATGTGTACACGTGTGCATGTGCATGTGTACACACCCGCACATGTGCATGCATGTGTATGTGCATCCATGTGTGTATGAGCCTATGTGCATGTATACATGTGTGCATTAGTATGTGCCTACATCCATGTATACATGTGCCTGCATGTGTGTACACCTGTGTGTGTGCATGTATATGCATCCATGTGCATATGTGTGGGGATGTGCATGTGTGCATGCATGTATGTGTGTGCGCATGCATGTGTGTGTGTATGTATGTGTCTGTGTGTGCCTGCATGTGTGCCTATGTGCACCTATGTATGTGATATGGCTCGGCTGTGTCCCCACCCAAATCTCATCTTGAATTGTAGCTCCCATAATTCCCATCTGTCATGGGAGGGACCTGGTGGGAGGTCACCGAATCACGGGGCGGGTCTTTCCCATGCTGTTCTCGTGATCGTGAATAAGTCTCACGAGATCTGATGGTTGTACAAAGGGCAGTTCTCCAGCACACGCTCTGTTGGCTGCCACCATGTAACATGTGACTTTGCTCCGCATTCACCTTCTGCCGTGATTGTGAGGCCTCCCCAGCCAGGTGGAACTGAGTCCATTAAACCTCTTTTATAAATTACCCAGTCTCGGGTATGTCTTTGTTAGCAGCGTGAGAACAGACCAACACAGTATGCACATGCGTATGTGTGCAGATGTGCATGTGTGTGTGCAGATGTGCATGTGTGTGTGCAGATGTGCGTGTGCAGATGTGCATGTGTGCGTGTGTGCGTGTGTGCGTGTGTGCATGTATGCCTGTGTATGTGTGCACATGTGTGCATGCCTGTGTGTATGCATGTCTGTGCATGTCCATGACTATGTACATATGTGTATGCACACACGTGTGCACTGTGTGTATGTGTGTGTCCACATCAGTGTGCTTTCTAGGATTTCCCTACACCCAGGATTGCTCCTACAGCCAGCGTCCCCACTGGGGAATGCAGACGCCACAGCTCCCGCCCCACCCTGCCGTCACCTGGGATAGAGGCAACGGCCCCTGCCCCACCCCAACCTCACCTGGGATGGAGAGGTGGTGGAGGGGCACATCCCAGAGCCGGGGACACAGTGCCGACATCCAGTCCTCGTTGGCATTTCTGCAGTGCAGCCTCGAGAAGCTGTTGGAAGCGCTCACCTGCCCACCCATCAGAGGTGAGCCCTGGGCAACCTGAGGAAGGAGAAGAGGAAAAGAGGTTTTTTACGGTGACTTCAGGTCAGGAGTTCGAGACCAGCCTGGCCAACTTGACAAAACCCCATCTCTACTAAAAATACAAAAATTAGCTGGGCGTGGTGGTGGGCACCTGTGGCACCTGTCATCCCAGCTACTCGGGAGGCTGAGGCAGGAGAATCGCTTGAACCCGGGAGGTGGAGGTTACAGTGAGCGGAGATCCCGCCACTGCACTCCAGGCTGGGCAACAAGAGTGAAACTCCATATCCAAAAAAGAAAAAAAAAAAAGAGAGAGAGAGAGAGGAAAAGGGGTCCTTGGAAGCATTTTTTGCAGCTCCAAAAAATGTTTCTTGTCTAGCGTGAAAGCCCTGGCTCTTAGACCCGGCTTGGCAACCTTTAATATGCAAATGCGAGCCTTTAGCTGGTCCAGCCCACATGGCGATTCCCACCGTTGCCCTCTTGCCCTCGCCCCCACCCGTGCCTGACACCAAGGCCGCCCCCACCCGGGCCTGACACCAAGGCCGCCCCCACCCGGGCCTGGCAACACGGCCGCCCCCACCCGGGCCTGGCACCACGGCCGCCCCCACCCGGGCCTGACACCAAGGCCGCCCCCACCCGGGCCTGACACCACGGCCGCCCCCACTACCCTCAGGCGTGTGGAACATCATGGCGCCCTACATTTGCATATTACGGAACTGGGGTGGGCGGGCCAGGTTTTTCGCGGGCTACGTGAATGACAGGCCTGGTCAGACCAATCCCCTCAGCGCTATGCAAATGAGTCACGCCTCCTCCAGGCACCGTATAACACGGGCTGGTCTCCTGCCTGGGGTTTGGAGCCCCCGTCCCTCTGTCTCAGTCCAGGGGAGCCACTTCTTTCTGCCTTCTCGCCTTGGTTTTTTTTTTTTTGAGACGCAGTTTCGCTCTTGTTGCCCAGGCTGCAGTGAAATGGCGCGATCTCGGCTCACCGCAACCTCCGCGGTGCTGGGATTACAGGCGTGAGCCACTGCCCGGACCTCCCTTCTTTCCTATTAAACTCTCCGCTCCTTAAAACCACTCCACGTGTGTCCGTGTCGCCTACACACACACACACACACACACATACACACATAACAGAATATATACATATATACATATTATATACATAACATATATATAACATATATAATATATACATATAATATATATTATACATATAATATATACATATATAATATATATATAATATATATATAACATACATGTATAACATATATACATATATAATATAGACATATATAACACATACATAACATATATACATATATACATCACTATATATACATATATAAGTATATATATATAATATACTGTTGAAAATAAGGGAAGTGACCCTTTCCATAAGGACATTTTAGACAACTTGTAAATTCTTTCTCTGCCTCTGAAGTGTATATAACTTTTTTGGTTGGTCTTTTTTTTTTTTTTTTGACACAGTTTCCCTCTCGTTGCCCAGGCTGGACTGCAATGGCGCGATCGCGGCTCACTGCAACCTCCGCCTCCCAGGTTCAAGCAATTCTCCTGCCTCAGCCTCCAGAGTAGCTGGGATTACAGGCGCCCGCCACCACACCTGCTTAATTTTTGTATTTTTGGTAGAGACGGGGTTTCACTATCTTGGTCAGGCTAGTCTTGAACTCCTGACCTCAGGTGATCTGCCTGCCTCGGCCTCCCAAAGTGCTGGGATTACTGGCGTGAGCCACGGTGCCCAGCTGTATGTACGGTTTTTTTTTTGTTTTGTTTTGTTTTTTTTAAAGACAGGGTTTCACTCTTGTTACCCAGGCTGGAGTGCAATGATGCAATCTCGGCTCACTGCAACCTCCGCCTCCCAGGTTCAAGCAATTCTCCTGCCTCAGCCTCCAGAGTAGCTGGGATTACAGGCGTCCGCCACCACGCCCGGCAATGTATGTAAGATTTTTAATCATTTAGATTAAAACTGATTAGATTAAAATCATTAGATCTAATTGATTTAATCAAATCAATTAGAATTGTTGATCTTGAGCCCAGAAATCAGCCTGTTGACAGTTTCACATCTGAGGAATGTTTCCTGGTGGACCTGAGGCCTCCTCTTAGAAATGAGACCTGGAGGGGCCGGGCACGGTGGCTCACGCCTGTCATCCCATCACTTTGGGAGGCTGAGGTGGGTGGATCACCTGAGGTCAGGGGTTCGAGACCAGCCTGGCCAACATGGTGAAACCCCATTTCTACTAAAAGTACAAAAAGTAGCCGGCCGTGGTGGCGCACGCCTGTAATCCCAGCTACTCAGGAGGCTGAGGCTTGAACCCGGGAGGCGGGGGCTGTAGTGAGCCACAATCACACCATTGCACTCCAGCCTGGGTGACAAAGTGAGACTCTGTCTCAAGAAAAAAGAAATGGGACAGAGAGGAAGGGAAGAAGCCCCGGCCTCCTGGAGAAGAGACAAACTTCAGCTGCCTGCAAACTGCAAACCCACCTTGAGTCCCACACGCAGGGGGAGTTCGGAATTCGAATTGTTGGTCTCGAGCCCAGAATGAAAGGCCTGGTCTCCCTGGGCCGCAAGAAAGGACGAGATCCTCTCGGTCTGCAGCTCCTGGCGGCTGCCCGCGTTGGCTTCACAAGGTTCTGTAATAATCCTGCTGCCTTCTCTTCCACACTGAGGCCAGGCTTCCCAGGTGGCTGCAGATTTTGTTCTTATTTACATCTTCCCAAAAGCCTTCCTCCCAGACCCTAAGCCAACACCAGCTACATGAACTCAGATCTTCCCTGCTGCCCGGAAGGAGGGAGGGAGGGAGGGAGGGAGGGAGGGTCCCGGGAGCCTGCTGGGCCCAGGAGGAGGAGCCCATTCTTTATCAGCCCGGGGGATGTCAGCTCAGCCTCTTTCTCCAAGAGAAGCAACCACACCTGTACCGCGGCTCCGGGTCCCCAGGAGGGAGCTGGCCCCTTCTCTGCAGCCAGCTGGAAAAGGCCCAGGACGGCTTCCCCTCCCCCTGCACGCCCCCCGCTCCGCCTGCACGGCCCCCCCTCCCCCTGCACGGCCCCCCTCCGCCTGCACGGCCCCCCCTCCCCCTGCACGGCCTCCCCTCCCCCTGCACGGCCTCCCTTCCCCCTGCACGGCCCCCCTCCCCCTGCACGGCCTCCCCTCCCCCTGCACGGCCTCCCCTCCCCCTGCACGGCCTCCCCTCCCCCTGCACGGCCCCCCTTCCCCCTGCACGGCCTCCCCTCCCCCTGCACGGCCTCCGCTGCCCCCTGCACGTACCCCCCTCCGCCTGCACGGCCTCCCTTCCCCCTGCACGGCCTCCCTTCCCCCTGCACGGCCTCCCCTCCCCCTGCACGGCCTCCCCTCCCCCTGCACGGCCTCCCCTCCCCCTGCACGGCCTCCCCTCCCCCTGCACGTCTTCCCCTCCGCCTGCACGGCCTCCCTTCCCCCTGCACGGCCTCCCTTCCCCCTGCACGGCCCCCCTTCCCCCTGCACGGCCTCCCCTCCCCCTGCACGGCCTCCCTTCCCCCTGCACGGCCTCCGCTGCCCCCTGCACGTACCCCCCTCCGCCTGCACGGCCTCCCTTCCCCCTGCACGGCCTCCCTTCCCCCTGCACGGCCCCCCTTCCCCCTGCACGGCCTCCCCTCCCCCTGCACGGCCTCCGCTGCCCCCTGCACGTACCCCCCTCCGCCTGCACGGCCTCCCTTCCCCCTGCACGGCCTCCCCTCCTCCTGCACGGCCTCCCCTCCCCCTGCACGTCTTCCCCTCTGCCTGCACGGCCTCCCTTCCCCCTGCACGGCCTCCCTTCCCCCTGCACGGCCCCCCTTCCCCCTGCACGGCCTCCCCTCCCCCTGCACGGCCTCCCTTCCCCCTGCACGGCCTCCCCTCCTCCTGCACGGCCTCCCCTCTGCCTGCAGGGCTGTGCAGTGATCTGCCTGGAGCATCCCAGCAGGGCCGCTGTGAGCCTCCGGATGCCCAGGGTCCCGGGGCCGCGGGGTGGAGGGGAGGTTAAAATGCAGGTCTGGGCGGGGCCCGCTGGCTCACGCCTGTAATTCGAGCACTTCAACACTTTGGGAGGCCGAGGCGGGCGGATCACCTGAGGTCAGGAGTTCGAAACCGGCCTGGCCAACATGGCAAAACCCCATCACTGGTAAAAATACAAAAATCATTTAGCCGTGCTGGCGCGCGCCTGTAGTCCCAGCTACTGGGAGGCTGAGGCAGGAGAATCGCTTGAACCCGGGAGGCGGAGGTTGCAGTGAGCCGAGATCGCGCCATTGCACTCCAGCCTGGGAGACAGAGTGAGACTCCCGTTCAAAAACAAAAAACCTTCGTCTCCACATCCTCTTATCTTAATGCAGATATTCCTTTCTACTAATAACTCTTTTTTTCTTCTTTTTTTTTTTTTCAGAGACAGGGTCTCGCTCTGTTGCGCAGACTGGTGTGCAGTGTCATGATCTCAGCTTACTGCAGCCTCCGCCTCCTGGATTCAAGCTATTCGCCTGCCTCAGCCTCCAGCACAGCTGGGATTACAAGCACTTGCCACCATTCCCAGCTAATTTTTTGTATTTTTGGTAGCAACGGGGGTCTCACCATGTTGGCCAGGCTGGTCTCGAACTCCTGACTTCAGGTGATCCGCCCGCCTTGGCTTCCCAAAGTGCTGGGATGACAGGCGTGAGCCACCGTGCCCGGCCTAATAATAACTCTTTCAACCAATTGCCAGTCAGAAAATTTTAAAATCTACCTTATGACCTGGAAGCCCGCCTCACCACCAGTGGAGCAGTCCCACCTTCACCGATTGAACCTGTCAGGCCTCTGAGCCGAAGCTCAGCCATTATCACCCCTGTGACTTGCACATATACGTCCAGGTGGCCTGCAGGAGCCAAGAAGTCTGGAGCAGCCAAGGAAAAACCACAGAGAAGTAAAACAGCCAGTTCCTGCCTTAACTGGTTAACTAAAATTACAACATTTTACTATCGTGAGTTCTCCCTGCCCTACCTTAGCCGATCAATCGACTTTGTGCCGTTCGTCCTCTGGACAATGAGTCTTATGATCTGTGCACCACGCACCTTGCAATCCCTCCTCTGCTGACAATAGATAACCACCTTTTGCTGTAATTTTCCATTACCTACCCAACTCCTATTGAGCCACCCCTCCCCCATCTCCCTTCGCTGACTCTCTCTTCGGACTCAGCCCACTTGCACCCAAGTGAATGAACCGCTTTATCGCTCACACAAAGCCTGTTCGGGGGTCTCTTCGCACCGACGCGCTTGACAGAACCAAGGTTCGTCTTACACGTATGGATTCATGTCTGACGTTTCCTTAAAATGCATAATACCAAGATGTCCTCCGACCACCTAGGGCACAGGTCGTCAGGACCTCCTGAGGCTCGGTCACAGGCGCGTCCTCAACCTTAGCAAAACACACTTTTTTTTTTTTTTTTTTGAGACGGAGTCTTGCTCTGTCTCCCAGGCTGGAGTGCAGTGGTGCAATCTCGGCTCACTGCAACCTCCGCTTCCCAGGTTCAAGCAATTCTCCTATCTCAGCCTCCCAAGTAGCTGGGACTACAGGCGCCCACCACCACACCCAGGTAATTTCTGTATTTTTAGTAGAGACAGGGTTTCACCTTGTTGGTCAGGCTGGTCTTGAACTCCTGACGTCAGGTGATCTGCCCGCCTTGGCCTCCCAAAGTGCTGGGATGACAGGCGTGAGCCACCGTGCCCGGCCAGCAAAACACACTTTCTAAATGTCCTGAGACCTGTCTCAGATACTTTTTGGTTCAGAAGACTCGAGGAAATCAGTGTCTCCTAGGACAGGCTGGACCCAAAGCTGTACACTCACATCCTCTGTGTCATGACGGATTCCATCCATTCCGGCTACTGTCATACTCCCTCCCTCCCATCACAGTCCCTTCCCCCGTCACAGTCCCTCCCCTCCCGTCACCTTCATCATATCCCAGGTCCCCTGACCACTGAGGGGTGTCCCCTCCTGTCCCCACGTCCCCCGACCCCTCCCCTCACATCCCAAGTCCCCTGACCACTGAGGGGTGTCCACTCCTGTCCCCACACCTGTCCCCATGTCCTCCTGAGCCCTCCCTCACATCCCAGGTCCCCTGACCACTGAGGGGTGTCCGCTCCTATCCCCACACCTGTCCCCACATTCCCCCTGACCCCTCCCCTCACATCCCAGGTCCCCTGACCACTGAGGGGTGTCCCCTCCTATCCCCACACCTGTCCCCACGTTCCCCCTGACCCCTCCCCTCACATCCCAGGTCCCCTGACCACTGAGGGGTGTCCACTCCTGTCCCCACACCTGTCCCCATGTCCTCCTGAGCCCTCCCCTCACATCCCAGGTCCCCTGACCACTGAGGGGTGTCCACTCCTGTCCCCACGTGCCCTGACCCCTCCCCTCACATCCCAGGTCCCCTGACCACTGAGGGGTGTCCACTCCTGTCCCCACGTGCCCTGACCCCTCCCCTCACATCCCAGGTCCCCTGACCACTGAGGGGTGTCCACTCCTGTCCCCACACCTGTCCCCATGTCCTCCTGAGCCCTCCCCTCACATCCCAGGTCCCCTGACCACTGAGGGGTGTCCACTCCTGTCCCCACGTGCCCTGACCCCTCCCCTCACATCCCAGGTCCCCTGACCACTGAGGGGTGTCCACTCCTGTCCCCACACCTGTCCCCATGTCCTCCTGAGCCCTCCCCTCACATCCCAGGTCCCCTGACCACTGAGGGGTGTCCACTCCTGTCCCCACGTGCCCTGACCCCTCCCCTCACATCCCAGGTCCCCTGACCACTGAGGGGTGTCCCCTCCTGTCCCCACACCTGTCCCCACGTTCCCCAACCCCTCCCCTCACATCCCAGGTCCCCTGACCACTGAGGGGTGTCCCCTCCTATCCCCACATCTGTCCCCACGTTCCCCCTGACCCCTCCCCTCACATCCCAAGTCCCCTGACCACTGAGGGGCGCCCCCTCCTGTCCCCAGGTCCCCCGACGCCTTCCCCACACATGACAAAGTGGAGCAGGAAGGAGCCCCGGGGGCGGCCCCCACTCCCAGCCACCTCTGCCATCTCGTCCGGACGGCACAGCGGAGTGGGGTCTGGAGGCCGTCCCACGGAGCACTGACCCTTCCTGGGGGAGGTCCTCTCCACCCTGGCCTTCACGGTCGCGGCGGGACAGCGCAGATGACGGACGGGCCCAGACGCCCGGTGACCCGCCAGGCGGGGTGAGACACCTACACCTTCCCGCCCGCTGAGTCCTCGGGAGACTCACGTCCCAGAGGCGTGAGTGGCCGTGACGCGCACATTCAACGCACGGGGTGAATGGTTGCTGGGTGAATCAACGGAAGGACAGGGGTGCTCAGATCCCAGCATTCCCAGTGCCCCAACATCCCCACCGTCCCAGCTGTCCCGACCCGTCCCCACGCAGGCCCCGGCGGCAGGGTGAGGACGTCCAACCGGCCAAGCAAGTCGTGGCCCCCGGGCTCATTTCATAACCGTCCTGGGCTGTTTCCACACTGGCTCCGCGGCTCTGACCCGGCAGAGAATTCACGGTCTGCAAGGGGTGCAGGCCGCCTGTGGCTGCCAACGTCCAGGCCACAGATCCCAGGCGACCCTCCCCCTGAACCCCCTGCCCGTGCCCCCAGCTAAGGGTCCCAGGAGGAGGAGAAGGAGCCTCAATGACGGAAGCGCGGGTTCCTGATTCCCAGCCCACAACAGGCACAGACGGCACCCGCCACGTCCCCCGTAGGGGACTTGCCATCAGGAGAACGGGGTAGACACACTCACCTTCCAGCCGCTGGAATCCCAGAGCTCCTGGCAGCTCCCGCCGGGTCTCTGCGGGACACTCTTCCTAAAACACACCCAGTCCGCTGCGATTGGCTGTGGCGCGGACACTCCTGCCACCAGGAGGAGGGACAGCCCGCCCCCGCCACGGATCTGTCCCCACCGCAGGAGCGGGACCGGCTGGGCTGCAAACACCGCCCTGAACTCCCACGGGGACCCCACAGACCAGGACTGGGGACCGGAAGACCCCTCCCAGGGGACCCCACGGTGTGTCCCAACAAGGTGTCCCCGGGGTCCCCCGGTCAGGGGCTTAGAGACAGCAAGGACGTCCCAGAGGTGTGTGCCCACGGGTTCTCTGTGGTCAGAGGGGCCCTTGCAGGGGACATTGAGGTGTCTGACTGACGGGCCCCACTCGGGCCACTGGCCGCGGCTGCGGTGGGTCTCCCGGAGCCCCCAGGACGGGGTGAACAGGTGCTTTCATCTCGGCCCTGGGGTCAACGCATGGGGCCGGCAGTCCCAAGCCTGCAGGCTCTGAGCGCCTTGGCCAGCAAACCCACCGGGATCTTCCCCCTGCAGGTTCCGACCTCTCCCGCCCCGCGTGGCCCGGACCCTGGGCAGCCCGTGCCGCCTCCGTCGGTGGAAGTGGCTCCTCCCAGCGCAGCCCACGCCTGCGATCTCCCCCCCCGAGCCAACCTGGAGCTGACCAGGAGCCCAGGTCAGGGGTCTGTCCAGGGCCCCGTTCCTGCCTCCTCCTGGCTGCTTCCGGTCCACCCCGCAGGTGCTCCCCACGCACCCCGCTGTCTCCCACCCCGGGCTGGACTCCAGGACAGGGCCAGTGTGGGCTTCAGAGAGTGCACGGAACGTTTGGGGGCCGCAGTGGACGGCTCAAAGGGCTGCCTTGGGATCCCATGTTCCCGGGTGGAATTCTCCCGCATAGCCACGGCTGGGGCTTCTCTCCCTGCACCCCATTTCTGTCCCGGCTCCCTGTTTCCTCCCTCACCCCAGCTGTGGGGTACCTTGAGGGCGGCTGCTGTCCTGGCACAGGGACATCTGGTCGGCCTACAAGCCACAGGCCACCGGCCTCTCCGCCTCTTTCCATCCTAACTCAGGCCCCGTCACCTCCCCACACTCCGCCCTCCCCCCTGCTCCTCCTCCCCCTCCTCCTTCCTCCCCCTGCTCCTTCTCCATCCTCTCCCTCCTTCTTCCTGTCCATTGAGACTCCCCCTCTCTGCCCAAAGCCCCCTGTGGCTTCCTCTTGGCCCATCTGTTTCCTCCCTCCCCCTCCTCCCTCCTCCTCCTCCCTCCTCCCTTCACTGAGGCCCTGCGGGGACACCAGCCTCCTGGTTCCCGCCTCCTTCCACAGCCCTGGGAGAGTCTATAAAATGACCTGTGCCCTGGTGTGGCACGGGAGCAGGAAGCGGCTTCCACGCCTCCTCCCACAGTCACAGGGCCCGGCCCTTCCTCCCGCTGTGCCCCAGAGTCATGAGGACCAGAGGTCACAGGGCCCGGCCCTTCCTCTGTGTCCTGGTGTGATGTGGACTGTGGTCACAGGGCCCGGCCCTTCCTCTGTGTCCTGGTGTGATGTGGACTGTGGTCACAGGGCCCGGCCCTTCCTCCGTGTCCTGGTGTGATGTGGACTGTGGTCATGAGGCCCGGCCCTTCCTCTGTGTCCTGGTGTGATGTGGACTGTGGTCACAGGGCCCGGCCCTTCCTCTGTGTCCTGGTGTGATGTGGACTGTGGTCACGGGGCCCGGCCCTTCCTCTGTGTCCTGGTGTGATGTGGACTGTGGTCATGAGGCCTGGCCCTTCCTCTGTGTCCTGGTGTGATGTGGACTGTGGTCACAGGGCCCGGCCCTTCCTCTGTGTCCTGGTGTGATGTGGACTGTGGTCACAGGGCCCGGCCCTTCCTCCGTGTCCTGGTGTGATGTGGACTGTGGTCATGAGGCCCGGCCCTTCCTCTGTGTCCTGGTGTGATGTGGACTGTGGTCACAGGGCCCGGCCCTTCCTCCGTGTCCTGGTGTGATGTGGACTGTGGTCACAGGGCCCGGCCCTTCCTCTGTGTCCTGGTGTGATGTGGACTGTGGTCATGAGGCCTGGCCCTTCCTCTGTGTCCTGGTGTGATGTGGACTGTGGTCACGGGGCCCGGCCCTTCCTCTGTGTCCTGGTGTGATGTGGACTGTGGTCACGGGGCCCGGCCCTTCCTCTGTGTCCTGGTGTGATGTGGACTGTGGTCACGGGGCCCGGCCCTTCCTCTGTGTCCTGGTGTGATGTGGACTGTGGTCACGGGGCCCGGCCCTTCCTCTGTGTCCTGGTGTGATCTGGACTGTGGTCACGGGGCCCGGCCCTTCCTCTGTGTCCTGGTGTGATCTGGACTGTGGTCACGAGGCCCGGCCCTTCCTCTGTGTCCTGGTGTGATGTGGACTGTGGTCACAGGGCCCGGCCCTTCCTCTGTGTCCTGGTGTGATCTGGACTGTGGTCACAGGGCCCGGCCCTTCCTCTGTGTCCTGGTGTGATCTGGACTGTGGTCATGAGGCCTGGCCCTTCCTCCGTGTCCTGGTGTGATGTGGACTGTGGTCACAGGGCCCGGCCCTTCCTCTGTGTCCTGGTGTGATGTGGACTGTGGTCACAGGGCCCGGCCCTTCCTCCCGCTGTGCCCCAGAGTCATGAGGACCAGAGGTCACAGGGCCCGGCCCTTCCTCTGTGTCCTGGTGTGATGTGGACTGTGGTCACAGGGCCCGGCCCTTCCTCTGTGTCCTGGTGTGATGTGGACTGTGGTCACAGGGCCCGGCCCTTCCTCTGTGTCCTGGTGTGATGTGGACTGTGGTCACGGGGCCCGGCCCTTCCTCTGTGTCCTGGTGTGATGTGGACTGTGGTCACGGGGCCCGGCCCTTCCTCTGTGTCCTGGTGTGATGTGGACTGTGGTCACGGGGCCCGGCCCTTCCTCTGTGTCCTGGTGTGATCTGGACTGTGGTCACGGGGCCCGGCCCTTCCTCTGTGTCCTGGTGTGATCTGGACTGTGGTCACGAGGCCCGGCCCTTCCTCTGTGTCCTGGTGTGATGTGGACTGTGGTCACAGGGCCCGGCCCTTCCTCTGTGTCCTGGTGTGATGTGGACTGTGGTCACGGGGCCCGGCCCTTCCTCTGTGTCCTGGTGTGATGTGGACTGTGGTCACGGGGCCCGGCCCTTCCTCTGTGTCCTGGTGTGATGTGGACTGTGGTCATGGGGCCCGGCCCTTCCTCTGTGTCCTGGTGTGATGTGGACTGTGGTCATGAGGCCCGGCCCTTCCTCTGTGTCCTGGTGTGATGTGGACTGTGGTCACAGGGCCTGGCCCTTCCTCTGTGTCCTGGTGTGATGTGGACTGTGGTCATGAGGCCTGGCCCTTCCTCCGTGTCCTGGTGTGATGTGGACTGTGGTCACAGGGCCTGGCCCTTCCTCTGTGTCCTGGTGTGATGTGGACTGTGGTCACAGGGCCCGGCCCTTCCTCTGTCCTGGTGTGATGTGGACTGTGGTCACAGGGCCCGGCCCTTCCTCTGTGTCCTGGTGTGATGTGGACTGTGGTCACAGGGCCCGGCCCTTCCTCTGTGTCCTGGTGTGATGTGGACTGTGGTCATGAGGCCTGGCCCTTCCTCTGTGTCCTGGTGTGATGTGGACTGTGGTCACAGGGCCCGGCCCTTCCTCTGTGTCCTGGTGTGATGTGGACTGTGGTCACAGGGCCCGGCCCTTCCTCTGTGTCCTGGTGTGATGTGGACTGTGGTCATGAGGCCTGGCCCTTCCTCTGTGTCCTGGTGTGATGTGGACTGTGGTCATGAGGCCTGGCCCTTCCTCTGTGTCCTGGTGTGATGTGGACTGTGGTCACAGGGCCCGGCCCTTCCTCTGTGTCCTGGTGTGATGTGGACTGTGGTCACAGGGCCCGGCCCTTCCTCTGTGTCCTGGTGTGATCTGGACTGTGGTCATGAGGCCCGGCCCTTCCTCTGTGTCCTGGTGTGATGTGGACTGTGGTCACAGGGCCCGGCCCTTCCTCTGTGTCCTGGTGTGATGTGGACTGTGGTCACGGGGCCCGGCCCTTCCTCTGTGTCCTGGTGTGATGTGGACTGTGGTCACGGGGCCCGGCCCTTCCTCCGTGTCCTGGTGTGATGTGGACTGTGGTCACAGGGCCCGGCCCTTCCTCCGTGTCCTGGTGTGATGTGGACTGTGGTCATGAGGCCCGGCCCTTCCTCTGTGTCCTGGTGTGATGTGGACTGTGGTCACAGGGCCTGGCCCTTCCTCTGTGTCCTGGTGTGATGTGGACTGTGGTCATGAGGCCCGGCCCTTCCTCTGTGTCCTGGTGTGATGTGGACTGTGGTCACAGGGCCCGGCCCTTCCTCTGTGTCCTGGTGTGATGTGGACTGTGGTCATGAGGCCCGGCCCTTCCTCTGTGTCCTGGTGTGATGTGGACTGTGGTCATGAGGCCCGGCCCTTCCTCTGTGTCCTGGTGTGATGTGGACTGTGGTCACAGGGCCCGGCCCTTCCTCCGTGTCCTGGTGTGATGTGGACTGTGGTCACAGGGCCCGGCCCTTCCTCTGTGTCCTGGTGTGATGTGGACTGTGGTCACAGGGCCCGGCCCTTCCTCCGTGTCCTGGTGTGATGTGGACTGTGGTCACAGGGCCCGGCCCTTCCTCTGTGTCCTGGTGTGATGTGGACTGTGGTCATGAGGCCCGGCCCTTCCTCTGTGTCCTGGTGTGATGTGGACTGTGGTCACAGGGCCCGGCCCTTCCTCTGTGTCCTGGTGTGATGTGGACTGTGGTCACAGGGCCCGGCCCTTCCTCTGTGTCCTGGTGTGATGTGGACTGTGGTCATGAGGCCCGGCCCTTCCTCTGTGTCCTGGTGTGATGTGGACTGTGGTCACAGGGCCCGGCCCTTCCTCTGTGTCCTGGTGTGATGTGGACTGTGGTCACAGGGCCCGGCCCTTCCTCTGTGTCCTGGTGTGATGTGGACTGTGGTCACAGGGCCCGGCCCTTCCTCTGTGTCCTGGTGTGATGTGGACTGTGGTCACAGGGCCTGGCCCTTCCTCCCGCTGTGCCCCAGGGTCATGAGGACCGGAGGTCACAGTGCCCGGCCCTTCCTCTGTCCTGGTGTGATGTGGACTGTGGTCTCGGGGCCCAGCCCTTCCTCCCTCTGTGTCCTGGGCGGCCAGGTGTGGGCTGGACACGAGGGGAGGACATCACGTGGGCTGAGGGACGTGTCGTCCGTGCCTCGGTGCTGCCTGTGTTCTGCGAGCCGAGGGTTGTGAAGGGTGCTTGAGTGAAGTGGGCCAAGTGTGAGCCCCTGTAAATGGCTGTGACTTCCCTGTTGACCGTGCCCTTGTGTCCGACAAGGGGTGTTTGCAAACCCCTCCCAAGGCCGGGCACGGAAGCCCTTGGTCCAGCTGCTTCCTGGAATGGAAAACCCTCTCCTGCACTAGAAAATCCCATGACCCCGCGTTTGAGTTTCGAATATTTAGCATGGGGAGCACCCCTCCAATGGCTAGGAGAGACACCAGGCGGAGATAAAGGTTTGACTATTTACCAGTCCTGCATCCACGGCCGGCCTGCAGGCCCCACCCAGGCGGAGGTAAGGATTTGATTATTTATGGATCCCGGGTGCTGCAGGCCCCACCCAGGCGGAGGTAAGGATTTGATTATTTATGGGTCCCGGGTCCTGCAGGTCCCACGCAGGCGGAGGTAAGGATTTGATTATTTATGGGTCCCGGGTGCTGCAGGCCCCGCCCAGGCGGAGGTAAGGATTTGATTATTTATGGGTCCCGGGTGCTGCAGGCCCCACCCAGGCGGAGGTAAGGATTTGATTATTTATGGGTCCCGGGTGCTGCAGGCCCCACCCAGGCGGAGGTAAGGATTTGATTATTTATGGGTCCCGGGTGCTGCAGGCCCCGCCCAGGCGGAGGTAAGGGTTTGATTATTTATGGGTCCCGGGTGCTGCAGGTCCCACGCAGGCGGAGGTAAGGATTTGATTATTTATGGGTCCCGGGTGCTGCAGGCCCCACCCAGGCGGAGGTAAGGATTTGATTATTTATGGGTCCCGGGTGCTGCAGGTCCCACGCAGGCGGAGGTAAGGATTTGATTATTTATGGGTCCCGGGTGCTGCAGGCCCCACCCAGGCGGAGGTAAGGATTTGATTATTTATGGGTCCCGGGTGCTGCAGGCCCCGCCCAGGCGGAGGTAAGGATTTGATTATTTATGGGTCCCGGGCGCTGCAGGCCCCACCCAGGCGGAGGTAAGGATTTGATTATTTATGGATCCCGGGTGCTGCAGGCCCCACCCAGGCGGAGGTAAGGATTTGATTATTTATGGGTCCCGGGTCCTGCAGGCCCCGCCCAGGCGGAGGTAAGGATTTGATTATTTATGGGTCCCGGGCGCTGCAGGCCCCACCCAGGCGGAGGTAAGGATTTGATTATTTATGGGTCCCGGGTCCTGCAGGCCCCGCCCAGGCGGAGGTAAGGATTTGATTATTTATGGGTCCCGGGTGCTGCAGGCCCCACCCAGGCGGAGGTAAGGATTTGATTATTTATGGGTCCCGGGTCCTGCAGGCCCCACCCAGGCGGAGGTAAGGATTTGATTATTTATGGGTCCCGGGTCCTGCAGGCCCCACCCAGGCGGAGCTAAGGATTTGATTATTTATGGGTCCCGGGCCCTGCAGGCCCCGCCCAGGCGGAGGTAAGGATTTGATTATTTATGGGTCCCGGGTCCTGCAGGCCCCACCCAGGCGGAGGTAAGGATTTGATTATTTATGGGTCCCGGGCGCTGCAGGCCCCACCCAGGCGGAGGTAAGGATTTGATTATTTATGGGTCCCGGGTGCTGCAGTCCCCGCCCAGGCGGAGGTAAGGATTTGATTATTTATGGGTCCCGGGTGCTGCAGGCCCCACCCAGGCGGAGGTAAGGATTTGATTATTTATGGGTCCCGGGTCCTGCAGGCCCCACCCAGGCGGAGGTAAGGATTTGATTATTTATGGGTCCCGGGTCCTGCAGGCCCCGCCCAGGCGGAGGTAAGGATTTGATTATTTATGGGTCCCGGGTCCTGCAGGCCCCGCCCAGGCGGAGGTAAGGATTTGATTATTTATGGATCCCGGGTCCTGCAGGCCCCGCCCAGGCGGAGGTAAGGATTTGATTATTTATGGGTCCCGGGTGCTGCAGTCCCCACCCAGGCGGAGGTAAGGATTTGATTATTTATGGGTCCCGGGTCCTGCAGGCCCCGCCCAGGCGGAGGTAAGGATTTGATTATTTATGGGTCCCGGGTGCTGCAGGCCCCGCCCAGGCGGAGGTAAGGATTTGATTATTTATGGGTCCCGGGTCCTGCAGGCCCCGCCCAGGCGGAGGTAAGGATTTGATTATTTATGGGTCCCGGGTCCTGCAGGCCCCACCCAGGCGGAGGTAAGGATTTGATTATTTATGGATCCCGGGTGCTGCAGGCCCCACCCAGGCGGAGGTAAGGATTTGATTATTTATGGGTCCCGGGCGCTGCAGGCCCCACCCAGGCGGAGGTAAGGATTTGATTATTTATGGGTCCCGGGTCCTGCAGGCCCCACCCAGGCGGAGCTAAGGATTTGATTATTTATGGGTCCCGGGTCCTGCAGGTCCCACGCAGGCGGAGGTAAGGATTTGATTATTTATGGGTCCCGGGTCCTGCAGGCCCCGCCCAGGCGGAGGTAAGGATTTGATTATTTATGGGTCCCGGGTGCTGCAGGCCCCACCCAGGCGGAGGTAAGGATTTGATTATTTATGGGTCCCGGGTGCTGCAGGCCCCACCCAGGCGGAGGTAAGGATTTGATTATTTATGGGTCCCGGGTGCTGCAGGCCCCGCCCAGGCGGAGGTAAGGATTTGATTATTTATGGGTCCCGGGTGCTGCAGGCCCCGCCCAGGCGGAGGTAAGGATTTGATTATTTATGGGTCCCGGGTCCTGCAGGCCCCACCCAGGCGGAGGTAAGGATTTGATTATTTATGGGTCCCGGGTGCTGCAGGCCCCGCCCAGGCGGAGGTAAGGATTTGATTATTTATGGGTCCCGGGTCCTGCAGGCCCCGCCCAGGCGGAGGTAAGGATTTGATTATTTATGGGTCCCGGGTGCTGCAGGCCCCACCCAGGCGGAGGTAAGGATTTGATTATTTATGGGTCCCGGGTCCTGCAGGTCCCACCCAGGCGGAGGTAAGGATTTGATTATTTATGGGTCCCGGGCCCTGCAGGCCCCACCCACACTGGGTGGTGAGGAATGCAGCAGAGAGGGACCCTGGGCCAGCACCTTTATTGGGTCCAAGGTATTATCCCACCCTGTTTCCGGCTCGCAGTTGTCACGGGTGGTTGAGAGCCAGCAGGGAGGGTCTCTGAGAGGTGGCACCGTGCGGGCGTCGCCGGGAACAGAGGCACAAAGCTGGGAGCCCCGGACCCGGGTTTCAACAGCATGGGGCAGCCGCACGGCTCACGGGGCCTCAGGCCGGGCCGTGACGGGCTCAGAGCACACCTGCGTGAGCCGAGACCGGAGGCTACGTGATCTCATTCTGCAGGTGCGATTCCCGAAGCTGCTCTGTTCCGAGCTGCCTTGTTTAAAACCGTCGCCGGGCCGGGCGTGGTGGCTCACGCCTGTCATCCGAACACTCTGGGAGGCCCAGACGCGTGGATTGCCTGAGCTGAGCTCTGGAGTTCGAGACCAGCCTGGGCAACATGGTGAAATCCCGTCTCTACTAAAAAAAAAAAAAAAAAAAAAAATAGCCGGGCGAGGTGGCGGGTGCCTGTAATCCCAGCTACTCCAGAGGCTGAGGCAGAGAATCGCTTGAAAAGGGGAGGCGGAGGTTGCAGTGAGCCGAGATCGCGCCCCTGCACTCCAGCTTGGTCTCCGTCTCAAAAAATAAAAAATAAAAGTAAAGTCATCAATTCTGTTTTCCCCTGTCCTTGCCGAGAAGCAAAATGACATGAAAAGGATAGAGAATTGTGTCTCCGAAGCTGAGTCTTACCCCTTTACCAGAGAAAAGACACAACTTTGGGAGGCCAAGGCGGGCGGATGGCCAACATGATGAAACCTTGTCTCTACCAAAAAAAAAAAAATACAAAATTTAGCTGGGCCTGGTGGCACGCGTCTGTAATCCCATCTACCGGGAAGGCTGAGATAATCGCGGCTCACTGCAACCTCCATCTCCCGGGTTCAAGCGATTCTCCTGCCTCAGCCTCCCAAGTAGCTGGGATTACAGGCACCCGCCACCACGCCCGGCTAATTTAGTAGAGACAGGGTTTCATCATGTTGGCCAGGCTGGTCTCAAACTCCCGACCTCAGGCAATCCGCCCACCTTGGCCTCCCAAAGTGCTGGGATGACAGGCGTGAGCCACCGCACCCGGCCAGAGATACTGATTTTTATGAGCAACACGTATAGGCTTCCTAAATCACACCGCTGGAAAAAGTATTCTCCACGTCTGTAGCTCCTCTCTCTGCTGGTTTGGGGGTTCAGGAAGCAGGGCGCGATTTTGCATTATAAGTATCGACTAAAGAATGGTAAGGCTGGCTGGGTGCAGCGGCTCACGCCTGTCATCCCAGCAGTTTGGGAGGCTGAGGCAGGTGGATCCGTGAGGTCGGGAGTTCAAGACCAGCCTGGCCAACATGGTGAAACCCCGTCTCTACTAAAAATACAAAAATTAGCCAGCCATAGTGGTGAATGCCTGTAATCCCAGCTACTGGGGAGGCTGAGGCGGGAGAATTGCGTGAACCCAGGAGGCAGAGGTTGCAGTGAGTCGAGGTTGTGCCACTGCACTCCAGCCTGGGCTGCAATAGTGAAACTCCATCTCAAAAAAAAAAAAAAAAAAGGACAGGTGCGGTGCCTCACGCCTGTCATCTCAGCACTTTGGGAGGCTGAGGCGGGCAGATCACTTCAGGTCAGGAGTTCGAGACCAAAAATATAAAAAATTAGCCGGGTGTGGTGATGCTCACCTGTAATCCTAGCTCCTTGAGAGGCTGAGGCAGGAGAATCACTTGAACCCGGAAGGCGGAAGTTGGAGTGAGCCAAGATCTAGCCATGGCACTCCAGCGTGGGGGACAGAACCAGACTCTGTTTCAAAAAAACAAACAAACAAACAAAAAACAAAACAAAAAAAGAATGGTGAGGCTGCAAAGGACAGCTTTGTTTCTCATAAGGGGTTAGGCGCAGGGGAGCTATTCCTACAGCCTGGGAAGCAGAGTCAGAAGCCAGAAGCAGACACCTCCAGAGAGGGGCAGAAGGAACAGGAATCAGCCGGGCGCGATGGCTCACGCCTGTCATCCCAGCACTTTGGGAGGCCGAGGCAGGTGGATCACGAGGTCAGGAGATCGACACCATCCTGGCTAACACGGTGAAACCCCGTCTCTACTAAAAATACAAAAAATTAGCCGGGCGTGGTGGCGGGCGCCTGTAGTCCCAGCTACTCGGGAGGCTGAGGCAGGAGAATGGCGTGAACCCGGGAGGCGGAGCTTGCAGTGAGTGGAGATCGTGCCATTGCACTCCAGCCTGGGGGACAGCAATAGACTCCGTCTCCAAAAAGAAAAGAAAAGAAAAAAAGAAAGAAGAAAGAGAGAGAGAGAGAGAGGGAGGGAGGGAGGGAAGGAAAAGAAAGAGAAAGAAAAAAGTGCCCGTTTCCTCTGGCACAAGGGTGCCCGTGCCACAGCTGAGCTGGAGAAGGAAGTCAGGGATGAGGAGTGGAGTCAGGTATGCGGCCCTCTCACCCCTGATGCCAGGCGCACCTGCCCACCTGGTCCCATGCTAATCATTCATACTCCAAGTCCCCACGCTTAAAATTGTAACACAGCCCTAAATGTCCCAAAATGTCCTCTGATCACACACAGCAGGAGAATCACTCGACTTTGCATAGAGTTGTCAAAACACATACAAATATATGCTACCACACACCGGTATTGAACGTTAAAATCGATTACCATTTTCCACTGATCAAGTCAACAGAGATTGAAAAACCAGCACTTTTGGGAGAGGCCGAGGCAGGCAGATCGCTTGAGCCCAGGAGTTCCAGACGAGCCTGAGCAACATGGCAAGACCCTGTCTCTACAAAAAATATAAAAATTAGCTGGGCGTAGTGGTGTGCACTTGTAGGACCAGCTACAGAGACCTCTTCCCTCCTCCTGTAGTCCCAGCTACTCAGGAGGCTGAGGAGGGAGGATCACTTGAGTCTAGGAGGTCGAGGCTGCACTCCAGCCTGGGGGACACAGTGAAATCCTGTGTCTACCAAAAAAGGTGAAAAGAGAAACTTCTGTCTACAATATTGATGGTTCCTGAAGTTGCCTCCCAACATATTTTAAGTTCGGCCTAAAGATTTCTCTGTACATAGTGAACTGTGACGTAACAGGAGGTGTCAACAGACCAGAACCTACTCTTGTGGCAATCACTGAATCTCAGCCAAAGGCAGCCAAATGTTCCAACCGGGTTCAAACAAGGTAAACGCCAACCCACACCCAATGCAGCTGTTTCTCTGCTTTCTGTGTGTCCTGTCCTTTTCTTTCTTTCTTTCTATCTTTCTTTCTTTCTTTTTCTTTCTTTCTTTCTTTTCTTTCTTTCCTTTCTTTCTTTCTTCTTTCTTTCTTTCTTTCTTTTCTTTCTTTCTTTTCTTTCTCTCTCTCTCTTTCTTTTTCTTTCTTTCTTCTTTCTTTCTTTCTTTTTTTTTGTGGAAACAGAGTCTCGCTCTGTCACCCAGGCTGGAGTGCAATGGCGCGATCTCGGGTCACTGCCAGCTCCGCCTCCCGGGTTCACGCCATTCTCTGCCTCAGCCTCCTGAGTAGCTGAGACTACAGGCACCAGCCATCATGCCCGGCTAATTTTTTGTATTTTTAGTAGAGACGGGGTTTCACTGTGTTAGCCAGGATGGTCTCGATCTCCTGACCTCGTGATCCACCCACCTAGGCCTCCCAAAGTGCTGGGATGACAGGCCTGAGCCACCGCGCCCGGCCCACTTTATTTTATTTTTTATTTTTATTTTTCAGACAGAATCTCGGTCTGTCACCCAGGCTGGAGTGCAATGGCGCGATCTCGGCTCACTGCAACCTTCACCTCCTGGGTTCAAGCGATTCTCCTGCCTCAGCCTCCCAAAGTGCTGAGATTACAGGCATGAGCCACCGCACCCAGCCTAAGACTTATTTTTCTTCCACATCCCCAAAACTACAGCGTCTGCAAATCCACACGGGCGTTCCCGACCGGACCTGGATTCCCCACTGTCCCCAACCCTGCCCCTTAGAGGCGGTTCAGACGCCGCCGACCTTGAAGCCAACGACAGACACCTGTTGTTTCCACGCAGGGAAGAAGCCACAGCTCAGGGTACAAGAAGCCTGTGCTGGCTCAGGTTGATCTTTTTTCTTTTATTTTTGAGACAGAGTCTCACTCTGTCTCCCAGGCTGGAGTGCAGTGGCACGATCTTGGCTCACTGCAACCTCCGCCTTCCAGGTTCAAGTGATTCTCCTGCCTCAGCCTCCCAAGTGAGTACCTGGGATTACAGGTGCCCGCCACCACACCCGGCTAATTTTTTGTATTTTTAGCAGAGACTGTTTTTCACCATGTTGGCCAGGCTGGTCTCGAACTCCTGACCTCATGTGATCCACCTGCCTCGGCCTCCCAAAGTGCTGGGATTACAGGCGTGAGCCACCGCGTCCGGCCCCTGATTCAGTTTTTGACCACAGCTGGTTTCCTCTTTTATTTCAGGTATACAGGCCATATACACTGATTGTTGTAAAATATATTCCATCTTACTCTTCTTCATATACACATATATATATTTCATTTCCTTTTTTGAGACACTCCAGCCTGGGTGAAAGAGCGAGACTCCATCTCAAAAATAAATAAATAAATAAATAAATAAATAAATAAATAAAATAAAAAATAAAACTCCGCGGCCGGGCGCGGTGGCTCACGCCTGTCATCCCAGCACTTTGGGAGGCCGAGGCGGGTGGATCACGAGGTCAGAGGATGGAGACCATCCTGGCTAACATGGTGAAACCTCGTCTCTACTAAAAATACAAAAAATCAGCCGGGTGTGGTGGCGGGCGCCTGTAGTCCCAGCTACTCGGGAGGCTGAGGCAGAATTACTTGAACCCGGGAGGTGGAGGTTGTGGTGAGCCGAGATCACGCCACTGCACTCCAGCCTGGGTGACAGACCTAGAGAGAGAGATTATCTCAAAAAAAAAAAAAAAAAAAGATCCTGCCAAGCTTGTGACTACTAAATGCCACTGCAGTGCACACTTTGAAATGGGTAAGTTGACATTATATAATTTCACATTGAATGATTAAAAACAAAAATGCAAATTGTATGTAAAATTCAATGATTAATTAAATTGCAAATTGAATGATTACAAATAAGTATTGACTATGAATAGGTTACCTTTTCTGAAGAATAGGAGAGGTTAAAAAAGACATTTTTTCCTTTTTTACTTTATAAACATCTTTACAGTTGAATTTTTATTTTTATTTATTTATAATTATTATTTTTTGTAGAGACAGGACCTGGCTATGTTGCCCCGGCTGGTCTCTAAATCTGGGGCTCAAGCGATCCCCCAACCTCAGCCTCCCAAGGTGCTGGGATTACAGGCGTGAGCCACTTCACCGGCCTGTTTGCATTTTAAAAATAAGCTTGCATCACTTTTTAGATAAAAATTAACTACAGATAACCTCAACTGACCCTAGCAGGAACTGGAGTCTCTGCTCCTCCTCTGAGGCCCTCAGCTCCCCGTGGGTGGGGGCTCTCTAGGCAGCCCCCAGGAACAGGTGGGCCTCCTTGGTAACCCCCAGAGACCCCCAACCCTGGCATCCTGCAGGGTGGCCGGGCAGGGAGGGAGCTAGGGAGCTGGGCAAGGCGGGTCCCACAGGAAAGGGCTCTACTCCCTGAGATTGAAACCATTTTTGCAAAAACAATTTTTCTTTCTTTTTTTTTTTTTTAAGACAGAGTCTCGCTCTGTCACCCAGGCTGCAGGGCAGTGGCGCGATCTCGGCTCACTGCAACCTTCGCCTCCCATGTTCGAGCCATTCACCTGTCTCAAGCTCCTGGGTAGCTGGGACCACAGGCACCCACCACCATACTCGGCTAGTTTTCGTATTTTTATTAGAGACGGGGTTTTACCACATTGGCCAGGCTGGTCTCAAACCCCTGACGCTGTGATCCTCCCACCTCAGCCTCCCAGAGTGGTGGGATTACAGGCATGAGCCACCGCGCCCGGCCTGATAAAATTGTAAGTGAGAACATTAGGGCAGTGAAGGAGAGCTAACCTCACTGAGTCCGTCTTGCTTCGAACTTCCACGCTGTCTGCAAGCTGTCTCCAAGCTGTCTCCAAGCTGTCCTTCTTCACTCATGGGTGTCACCCACACTATCTTTGGGAGGAACTTAGTTTATAGTTTAGCTTTGACACGAAGATGATAATAGCCCTTTCCCAGTGCAAACCTCCTTCTTGCCTGGGGACTAGGCCGTGTTTACAGGACTAAGAGATTATCCCCTGGATTAGAAATGATGGTTTAGGACTCTGGCCTCTGGAGGCTGCAAGTTTCTGACCCTCCTCAAATTGCTCCTGCTCACATCGCTTTTGTGAAACCTACAATCAGTGCTGAGATATGTCACAGACCCTTCACTGGACGGATCAGCTGGCACCACCCAGATGATCAACCGGCTAATCTGGTCTGCGGCCCCCACCCAGGAACTGACTCAGCGCCAGACGACAGCTTCGACTCCCTGTGATTCCATCTCTGACCCAACCAATCAGCACTCCCCACTTTCTGACCTCCTACCCAGCAAATTATCCTGAAAAACTCCAGTCCCAGGGTCTCTGGGGAGACGGATTTGAGGAATAAGGAAACTCCGGCCTCCCACGCAGCCGGCTGGGATTGCAGCTTTGTGGTAGTGATAAATCACTCTGTCCACGCAGCCGGCGAGGTGAGCCCCTTGGGCGGTGACAGGAAGACCAAGGAGGATAAAGAAAAGCCAGCTCCTGGGGGCGCGAGGTCACAGCCGTGGCTCGGACGGGAACCCCAAGGTCAAAGGATAGCAGGGGCAGGAGGTGCCGGCCTTGGAAGGCAGCGGCAGATTCCACAGAAGCCTCTGGAGTCCTCGTCCCAGGCAGACGCCGTGCACCGCCTGGAGGTGGTGGGAAGAGCGCACACAGCTTGCAAAGGCCGGGGTACGTCGCCAGAGGGGCACAGGCGCAAGGGGGCCTGGCTGGCCCAGAAGAGGGGTCCCCGGAACCCCAGGTCCATGTCAGGGCCGGAGCCTGCCCAGATCCATTTTCCCTGCTGATTCCCAAGGTGCTCTGTGCCCCCAGAGAACTGCTTTGAAACCCACATACCTCACGGTGGGGCCCACCCCAAAAGCCCATCCCTGGGCTTCATGAGGTGTGGTTTGAGACCCTATATTTTTTTCTGTTTTGAGACGGAGTTTCGCTCTTGTTGCCCGGGCTGGAGTGCAATGGTGCCATCTCGGCTCACTGCAAGCTCCGCCTCCCGGGTTCAAGCGATTCTCCTGCCTCAGCCTCCGGAGTAGCTGGGATGACGGGCACCCGCCACCATGTCTGGCTAATTTCTTTTATTTTTAGTAGAGACGGCGTTTCACCATCTTGGCCAGGCTGGTCTTGAACTCCTGACCTCGTGATCCACCTGCCTCAGCCTCCCAAAGTGCTGGGATTGCAGGCTTCATTTTTTTTTTTTTTTTTTTTTTTTTGAGATGGAGTCTCGCTCTGTCGCCCAGGCTGGAGTGCAGTGGCGTGATCTCGGCTCACCACAACCTCCACCTCCTGGGTTCAAGCAATTATTTATCTGCCTCAGCCTCCCGAGTAGCTGGGACTACAGGCACCCGCCACCACACCCGGCTAATTTTTTGTATTTTTAGTAGAGACGGGGTTTCACCAGGTTAGTCAGGATGGTCTCGACCTCCTGACCTCGTGATCCGCCTGCCTTGGCCTCCCAAAGTGCTGGGATTACAGGCGTGAGCCACTGCGCCCCGCTATTGTTCTAAGCCTAAAGGGGGAAGGCCTTGTGAGCTGTGCTTCGTACTGGTTTTTTTTTCACATTACACCAGGTTCAAGCAATTCTCCTGCCTCAGCCAGGCTGGTCTCAAACTCCTGACCTCATGATCCGCCCACCTCGGTCTCCCAAAGTGCTCGGATTACAGGTGTGAGCCACCGCGCCCGGCCACAGTTAACCATTTTCACCGTGCCCGGCCAGAATTAACTATTCTAATGGGTCCATTCACTAGCATTTAGCACCTGTTTCCGCAGGGGCCGGGTCTGTGCAAACCACACCCCGGAGGTCGAGGAAGCTGAGAGCTGAAGGAAGAAGCTGACTAATCCAGATTCTCCGAAAGAAATACTTAGCAGAGATGTAAGAACAGAAGCCGTGTCTGCGAGGAGAGTGGATCCCGGTCGTCCCTGCAGACCCAGGGCTTCACCCCAGGGAGGAATATGCAGGAAAACGTTGGTGGGAGGGAGGGGGGCCCTCACGGTCAGGGAAGGTGCCTCAGGGACAGCCACGTGCACCTGCCCCAGGGCAGGGTTTATGGTCCAGGCTATTGAGGTCACATTGGAGAAAGTAGCAAAATCATCTTAGAGACCTTCCCAGAGCAGCGGTTGGTCAGAAGTGAACAGGTGGATCAGCATTCCAGATGGAGTTGCTCTCTCTTCCACAAACACTCACTGTCAGATGCAACCCCCACTCTCTCTAGCTACCCCCCCCAGCTACCCCCACTGTCTCTAGCTCCCCCCACTGTCTCTAGCTACCCCACCTCTCTCTAGCTATCCCCCCCTCTAGCTACCCCCACTGTCTCTAGCTCCCCCCACTGTCTCTAGCTACCCCCGCCTCTCTCTAGCTATCCCCCTCTCTAACTACTCCCCACCTCTCTCTAGCTATCCCCCTCTCTAGCTACCCCACCTCTCTCTAGCTATCCCCCTCTCTAGCTACCCCACCTCTCTCTAGCTACCCCCACCTCTCTCTAGCTACCCCCCCCAGCTACCCCCACTCTCTCTAGCTACCCCACCTCTCTCTAGCTATCCCCCTCTCTAGCTACCCCACCTCTCTCTAGCTACCCCCACCTCTCTCTAGCTACCCCCCCCAGCTACCCCCACTCTCTCTAGCTACCCCACCTCTCTCTAGCTATCCCCCTCTCTAGCTACCCCACCTCTCTCTAGCTATCCCCCTCTCTAGCTACCCCACCTCTCTCTAGCTATCCCCCTCTCTAGCTACCCCACCTCTCTCTAGCTATCCCCCTCTCTAGCTACCCCACCTCTCTCTAGCTACCCCCCCCTCTCTAGCTATCCCCACTCTCTCTAGCTATCCCCCTCTCTAGCTACCCCCACTGTCTCTAGCTACACCCCCTCTAGCTACCCCCACTGTCTCTAGCTCCCCCCACTCTCTCTAGCTACCCCACCTCTCTCTAGCTATCCCCCTCTCTAGCTACCCCCACTCTCTAGCTACCCCACCTCTCTGTAGCTACCCCACCTCTCTCTAGCTACCCCCCTCTCTTTAGCTCCAGCACATTCTCATGACTCCACAAGGAGACCATGTGTCAGAACCCCGTTCCTTTTCATGGCTGCATACTATTCCACTCTGTGGACAGAGCACATTTTGTGTGTCCCTTCCTCTCATGACGGCCTGTGCTCTCTCCTGAATGCACCATGCATGCAGGTGACGTGTGTGCAAAGCCATTGCCTGGCAGGTCCCAGAGACCCTCTGCTGGCTCCCAAGCAGGTCCCCTCCCACCTCACGGGTGACCACGCTGAGGTTCAGGACAGATGAGGCAGGTTGCTGAGATGAGGGGCAAGCCCAGCCCTGTGGGGGCCCAGCTGGGTGCCCGGGTGGCTCACGTCACCAGAGGGGCCTCCTGCTGCACCTTTGAGCCAATGGCACTGAGCATGGGGTGGGTCTCTATGAGCTGGTTCACACAGACACCCCCACACCCACCCCATGGATGTGGGAGCCTCCACCATTTCCCCTAGGGGTTCGCAGCCTCTCCCCAACTAGAGACCCCCTCCCTGGGAGTCCCTCAAGGGCTCCCCACCCCCATACCCATACACCATTGCAGTGTTGGCAGCTGGAAGCCCCCCAGGGGCCCTTAGGGACCTGAGGACAGGAATGGAGGGAGGAAGCTTCCCTGTGTGTGGTTCCTGTTTGCTCTGTGAGGTGAGGTGTGGACACCCACAGTCAGCAGGTCAGAGGGACCTGCAAGGTCAGGCAGCGTCTCCCAGGCTGGCCAGGGGCCAGGGTTAGGGTTGGAAGACCGGGATGGTCTGTGGAATCCCCATGCTCACCCCCCACCGCCGATTACCCTGGGAGGGCAGTGGCCACAGTCAGGTCCCAGCAGCAGAGCCCAGCTCTGGGGGTGGATGCAGGGGGTGCTGCAGGGGCCGGCTGTACCATCCCAGGCGGTCTTGGGGGGTCACGATGTCCCCAACACGGTGGGAGGGAGGCAGAGGCCCCCCTCAAACTCCTGACCTCAGGTGATCCAACCGCCTCAGCCTCCCAAAGCGCCGGGATCACAGGCATGAGCCACCGTGCCCGGCCACTTTCCGCTTATTTTTACAGCACTGATTTTGCAGAAGTCTTTTGCTTTAGGGCCCTGGCCCCGGCCCCTATGCCACCTCGCACCCCTCCACCCCTCTCTGCCCGGATCCTGGCCTCCCCGTACTCATCCAGGCTGCCCTCAGCCTTCCCATGCAGTCCTGGACAATACAAGGAGCTCCGTCCACACTGGCTCCGGCACGTGGAGAGGGAAACCTGGCTCCTCGGCTCAAGGAAAGTACTTTTTTTTTTTTTGAGATGGAGTTTCACTCTTGTCGCCCAGGCTGGAGCGATCTCGGCTCACTGCAACCTCCACCTCCCCGGTTCAAGCGATTCTCCTGCCTCAGCCTCCCGAGTAGCGGGAATTACAGGTGCCCGCCACCACGCCCAGCTAATTTTTGTATTTTTAGTACAGATGGGGTTTTGCCAAGTTGGCCAGGATGGTCTCAAACTCCTGAACTCAGGTGATCCACCCGCCTCTGCCTCCCAAAGTGCTGGGATTACGGGCGTGAGCCACCGCGCCCAGCCAAGCAAAGTATTTTTTAAAGCTCTGTCTTGTGGTAAATCTCACAGCAGGTGAAAGCATCTCGATTCATAGAATAACCTGGGCGTTGGCCTCACAGTTGCAGCAGCAACCAGCCGGGCCTCCCGTCGCAACTCCATCCGAGCTCCCAGACTCCCCACCCTCCTGTCCACCCTGCCTGGCTTGAGACAGGTGGATCACCTGAGGTCAGGAGTTCAAGAGCAGCCTGGCCAACACGGTGAAACCTCATCTCTACTAAAAATATAAAAATTAGCCGGGCGTGGTGGCTCACACCTATAATCCCAGCACTTTGGGAGGCTGAGGCGGGCGGATCGGGAGGTCAGGAGTTCGAGACCAGCCTGGCCAACATGGCAAAACCCTAAAAGAACAAAAATTAGCCGGGCGTGGTGGCGGGCGCCTGTGGTTCCAGCTACTTGGGAGGCTGAGGCAGGAGAATCGCTAGAACCCGGGAGGCGGAGGTTGCAGTGAGCTGAGTTTGTGCCACTGGACTCCAGCCTGGGTGACAGAGCAACACTCCGTCTCAAAAAAAAAAACACAAAGTGCTAATTATATATATATTTACCACAATTTGGAAACATTGTTCGCCGGGCGCAGTGGCTCACGCCTGTCATCCCAGCACTTTGGGAGGCCGAGGCGGGCGGATCATGAGTTCAGGAGATTGAGACCATCCTGGTTAACACAGTGAAACCCCGTCTCTACTAAAAATACAAAAAATTAGCCAGGCGTGGTGGCGGGCGCCTGTAGTCCGAGCTACTCGGGAGGCTGAGGCAGGAGAACGGCGTGAGCCCGGGAGGCGGAGCTTGCAGTGAGCTGAGATCACACCACTGCACTCCAGCCTGGGCGACAGAGCGAGACTCCGTCTCAAAAAAAATAAAATGCTCATTATATACATATTTACGCCAATTAGAAAACCTTGTTCATCCTATCAGTCACTTCTGGGCGGGGAGTTAGAATTCCGCAGAGACGCCTTCTGTCTCGCACAGATGACTTCTGGGAGGGCCGGTGAGCTTACGGGGCCATGAGGTGTGTAAGGGGGATCTGCACAGCCCCAGGCAGGACTTATGCCACACAGAGGCCCAGTGCTTGGTCCCTCGGCTGTGACTGACGTCCCCACGGCAGCCACAACCGAGCTGACTTTGAAGAACGGCTGCCTTTATTGCCCGCTGTGAACCCGACGCTGCTGCGGGAATGAGCGTGCGGGGGGCCGCTGACGCCGGCCCAGCACCCCCGCACGGAGGCCAACGCACGAAGCTGCCCTGGGAGCGGCTCTCGGCTCAGCCAGTGAAGGGGTAAACGGGGGCCTCCTCTCACCCCAAAGCCCGTGACCCCTGGATGGAGCCGGGATGCTGCGATCAGTTCCAAGGCTGTGGCCGAAACACCGTGTTACCGGCAGAGTAAGGCCAGAACAATGCTGGAGGCTTTAAAACCCACACGTTAAAAACACAATTTTTGTTTGTTTGTTTGTTTTGAGACGGAGTCTCGCTCTGTCGCCCAGGCTGGAGTGCAGTGGCACGATCTCGGCTCACTGCAACCTCCGCCTCCCAGGTTCATGCCATTCTCCTGCCTCAGACTCCCGAGTAGCTGGGACTACAGGCAGGTGCCACCACGCCCAGATAATTTTTTTTTTGTATTTTTTAGTAGAGACGGGGTTTCACCAGGTTAGCCAGGATGGTCTCGATCTCCTGACCTCATGATCCTCCTGCCTCGGCCTCCCAAAGTGCTGAGATGACAGGCATGAGCCACTGGGCCCGGCCTAAAAACACAATTTCTATCTAACACCCGGGGGCATAAAACCTTTGAAACTGGCCGGGCGCAGCGGCTCGCACCTGTCATCCCAGCACTTTGGGAGGCCGAGGCCGGCGGATCACCTGAGGTCGGGAGTTCGAGACCAGTCTGACCAACATGGTGAAACCCCGTCTCTACTAAAAATACAAAATTAGCCGGGTGTGGTGGTGCCTCCCTGTAATCCCAGCTACTCAGGCGGCTGAGGTGAGAGAATCACTTGAACCCAGGAGGCGGAGGTTGCAGTGAGCCGAGATCACGCCACTGCACTGCAGCCCAGGCAACAGGAGCGAAACTCCATCTCAAAAAAAAAAAGTTTGGAAACGTTTGTTTTCTAGGAAACAGAAACAATAACCTCCGTCTGTCTGCAGACATCGCCCACCCTGCCCGAGCTTCCCACCGAGGTTAAAGATGAGCTCTCGCCCGCGGCCCCAGGAGGGACTCTCGGCAGAAAACCCTTACGGAACCTTGAAGATGTGTCCAGCCCGGGGCTCCCGTAACAAGTGCTCCGGACTCAGGCGGTCCGCCGCGGAGGTCACGTAGAGGTTGTCGTAGCCGGGTCCCCGAAGCAGCAGGAGGTGACCCTGTACACAGGCAGCTCCACCGTGCACAGCACCTTCCCTGTGAGCGAGCGTGGGGGCTGAGCCTGAGCACCCCAGGCCGCCTGCCTGGCCGTTCCTCCTGACCCTGGGCCCAACCCCCGGGCAGCATGGGTGTCTCTGTGGCACCTGGAGCTGCCAGATTGGCACCTGCCTAGCCAGGCCCAGCCGCACCTGCTCTAGTGAGCTCTGTAGTCTCCCCAGATTCATGCCAAGTAGGATCTCAGAATGGGAAATTATTTGGAAATAGGGTGTTTGCAGAGGTAATTAGTAGGTCAGAGCAGGTTAGGGTGGGTCCTACATCCAATCACCAGTGTCCTTCTAAGAGACAGAAGAGCAGACACAGACACAGAGGAGGAGGCCACGTGGAGACGGAGGCAGAGACTGGAGTGATGCGGCCTCAAGCCCAGGGATGCCTGGAGCCCCCAGGAGCTGGGAGAGGCAGGAAGGACCCTCCCCTAGAGTCTCAATACAATTGAAGTGGATTGAACTGTGGTTCCCAAAAAGATCTGTCTACACCCTAATATCCACAACCTAGGAATGAGACCTTGTATAGAAATAGGGTGTTTCAAGATCTAGTTAGTGAAGGATCTTGAGATGAGATCATCCTGGAGTAGGGTGGATCCTAAATGCAATGACAGGTGTCCTTCTAGAGACAGAAGAGGAGACACAGACACAGTGGATGAGGCCTCGTGGAGACGGAGGCAGAGACTGGAGTGATGCGGCCACAAGCCCAGGGACGCCTGGAGCCCCCAGGAGCCGGGAGAGGCAGGAAGGACCCTCCACTACAGCTCCTGGAGGGAGTACGGCCCTGAAACTCCTCGGTCTCAGACTCCTGCTCTGCAGGACTGGGGGAGGTGACTTCCTGTTTCTTAGGCAGCCAGTCCTTGGTTGCGGCAGCCCCAGGACCTAGCACACCTGCAGAGGGAACCTGGGAGTCCGTGCCGTCGGGAAACGGAGGCCCCTTAGTCTCTACAAATTCGCGATTGCTGCCCGGCCCCGACTTCTGAAGCCAGAACGCTGCAGACGCAGTGGACACCCGATGTGGCCAAGCCTCATACGGCCCCGCCATCCGGCACACACCTGTCTCGGGGTCAAGGCGTATCACCTTGCCTCTATCGACGCAGAGGCCACCCAGAGCTTCCCCGCAGCGTCCACGCACACGCCGGCCGGCATGCCCTGCTCCGGATGCAGCCGGTACAGGAGCCTCCGGTTCACTGCAATGAGAGGACCGGGATGGGCAGGGGCCTTCCCAGCCCTGGTGAGTGCCCTGCTGAGTGCCAGGAGCAGGCAGACCTCAGGCAGGCCCGTGACCCTCCTGGATGTGAGTGGAGCCTGGAGGAGGTGCACCTAGCTCGTTGGGAGCCTTGGACGTGGCTGGATCCTGATGCGTACAGACCCCGTTTGGCGAACAGCTGTAGGCTGAAAATTAATGTCCCCAAATACAGCTGACCAGGGCACACACCTCCTCAAACGCCGGCCCAAGGACATCACCCTTTAAACAGCATCCAATCTCTCTCCTAGTTCCCACCGAGGATTATGAACGAAGCCTTGATGTACACCTGTTGACTTTGTGGAAGATGGGAGACTTCTCTCCCAACCCGAAGCACTTCCAGCCCAGAAACCCCAGTGACACCTGGTCGAAGGCCTTGTACCTTGGCCTTTCTTTCCTCAGGTGGAAATGAGAAGAAAGAACATGGCCCCAAGGACAGACACCAGATAACTGGGGACTTGGCTGTCCACCAGCTGGGAACTGAGAGTTATGCCTGCTCCAGTGGCCCATCCTGCTAGAAAAAAGATGTCTTTACCAGGAAAACGGGATGTGGCAGTCCTCACCCACCCACAGGATGACCTGGTCCCCACCAACATCCAGGGATAACCTTGAACCCATCGACATCCAGGGATAACCTTGTCCCAGTCAACATCCAGGGATGACTTTGTCCCCACCCACATGTGGAGGTGACCTCGTCCCCATCAACATTCACCAAACATGCAGAGATCACCTTGTCCCCACCAACGTCCGGGGATAATCTTGTCCTCATCAACATACAGGACTGACCTTGTCCCGATAAGCACCCAGGGATGACCTTGTCCCCACTAACAAGCAGAGATAACCTTGTCCCAATCAACATCCAGGATGACCTTGTCCCCACTGACATGCAGAGATCACCTTATCCCCACCAACATCCAGGGATAACCTTGAGTCAATCAACATCCAGGATGACCTCATCCCCACCCACATGCAGAGATCACCTTGTTCCCACCAACATCCGGGGATAACCTTGAATCAATCAACAACCTTGAACCAATCAACATCCAGGATGACCTTGTCCCTATCAACATCCAGGACGACCTTGTCCCCACCCACATGCAGAGATCACCTTGTCCCCACCAACATCCAGGGATAACCTTGTCCCAATCAACATCCAGGATGACCTTGTCCACCACCCACATGCGGAGATGACCTCGTCCCCATCAACATTCACCAAACATGTAGAGATCACCTTGTCCCCACCAACATCCAAGGTTAACCTTGAACCAATCAACATCAGGATGACCTTGTCCCCACCCACATGCAGAGATGACCTCGTCCCCATCAACATTCACCAAACATGCAGAGATCCCCTTGCTCTCGCCAACGTCCGGGGATAATCTTGTCCCCATCAACATCCAGAATGACCTTGTCTTCACCAACATCCGGGACTGACCTTGTCCTGATAAGCACCCAGGGATGAACTTGTCCCCACTAACAAGCAGAGATGACCTTGTCCCAATCAACATCCAGGATGACTTCGTCCCCATCGATATGCACAGATTCTAGGGAAAAGAAAGAGAGATCAGACTGTCACTGTGTCTATGTAGAAAGGAAAGACATAAGAGACTCCATTTTGAAAAAGACCTGTCCTTTAAACAATTGCTTTGCTGAGATGTTGTTAATTTGTAGCTTTGCCCCAGCCACTTTGCCCCAACCTGGAGCTCACAAAAACATGTGTTGTATGAAATCAAGGTTTAAGGGATCCAGGGCGGTGCAGGACGTGCCTTGTTAACAAGATGTTCACGAGCGGTATACTTGGTAAAAGTCATCGCCATCCTCTAGTCTCAATAAACCAGGGGCACAGTGCCCTGCGGAAAGCCGCAGGGACCTCTGCTCTTGAAAGCCGGGTATTGTCCAAGGTTTCTCCCCATGTGATAGTCTGAAATATGGCCTCGTGGGAAGGGAAAGAGCTGACCATCCCCCAGCTCAACACCCATAAAGGGTCTGTGCTGAGGAGGATTAGTAAAAGAGGAAGGCCTCTTTGCAGTTGAGATAAGAGGAAGGCATCTGTCTCCTGCTCGTCCCTGGACAATAGAATGTCTCGGTGTAAACCGATTGTATATTCCATCTACTGAGATAGGGTAAAACTGCCTTATGGCTGGAGGTGGGACATGCTGGCGGCAACACTGCTCTTTAAGGCGTTGAGATGTTTATGTATGTGCACATCAAAGCACAGCACTTTTTTCTGTACCTTGTTTATGATGCAGAGACATTTGTTCACGTTTTCCTGCTGACCCTCTCTCCACTATTACCCTATTGTCCTGCCACATCCCCCTCTCCCCGATAATGATCAATAAGTACTAAGGGAACTCAGAGGCAGGTGCCGGCGCGGGTCCTCTGTATGCTGAGCGCCGGTCCCCTGGGCCCATTTTTCTTTCTCTCTACTTTATCTCTGTGTCTCTTTCTTTTTTCAAGTCTCTCGTTCCTCCTGATGAGAAATGCCCACAGGTGTGGAGGGGCAGGCCACCCCTTCAAGGATGCACATGGAAGGATGCACAGAGGAGGATGCACATGGGAGGATGCACATGAGTTGTACAGAATGGATGAGTCCCTACACACAGGAGACTCCTTCCTGTCACAACCTGAGACCCGCTCTTCCTGTCACGGCCCGAGACACCCTCTTCCTGTCACGGCCCGAGACCCCCTCTTCCTGTCACGGCCCGAGACCCCCTCTTCCTGTCACGGCCCGAGACTCCCTCTTCCTGTCACGGCCCGAGACTCCCTCTTCCTGTCACAACCTGAGACCCGCTCTTCCTGTCACGGCCCGAGACCCGCTCTTCCTGTCACGGCCCGAGACTCCCTCTTCCTGTCACGGCCCGAGATCCCCTCTTCCTGTCACGGCCCGAGACTCCCTCTTCCTGTCACGGCCGGAGACCCCCTCTTCCTGTCACGGCCCGAGACCCCCTCTTCCTGTCACGGCCCGAGACCCCCTCTTCCTGTCACGGCCCGAGACCCCCTCTTCCTGTCACGGCCCGAGACCCCCTCTTCCTGTCACGGCCCGAGACCCCCTCTTCCTGTCACGGCCCGAGACTCCCTCTTCCTGTCACGGCCCGAGATCCCCTCTTCCTGTCACGGCCCGAGACCCCCTCTTCCTGTCACGGCCGGAGACCCCCTCTTCCTGTCACGGCCCGAGACCCCCTCTTCCTGTCACGGCCCGAGACCCCCTCTTCCTGTCACGGCCCGAGACTCCCTCTTCCTGTCACGGCCCGAGACTCCCTCTTCCTGTCACAACCTGAGACCCGCTCTTCCTGTCACGGCCCGAGACCCGCTCTTCCTGTCACGGCCCGAGACTCCCTCTTCCTGTCACGGCCCGAGATCCCCTCTTCCTGTCACGGCCCGAGACTCCCTCTTCCTGTCACGGCCGGAGACCCCCTCTTCCTGTCACGGCCCGAGACCCCCTCTTCCTGTCACGGCCCGAGACCCCCTCTTCCTGTCACGGCCCGAGACCCCCTCTTCCTGTCACGGCCCGAGACCCCCTCTTCCTGTCACGGCCCGAGACCCCCTCTTCCTGTCACGGCCCGAGACTCCCTCTTCCTGTCACGGCCCGAGATCCCCTCTTCCTGTCACGGCCCGAGACCCCCTCTTCCTGTCACGGCCGGAGACCCCCTCTTCCTGTCACGGCCCGAGACCCCCTCTTCCTGTCACGGCCCGAGACTCCCTCTTCCTGTCACGGCCCGAGACCCCCTCTTCCTGTCACGGCCCGAGACCCCCTCTTCCTGTCACGGCCCGAGACCCCCTCTTCCTGTCACGGCCCGAGACTCCCTCTTCCTGTCACGGCCCGAGACTCCCTCTTCCGGTCACGGCCCGAGATCCCCTCTTCCTGTCATGGCCTGAGTTGTTTTTCAGGTTTCTTTGGGATCCCCTTGGCTACAAACAGGTCCACTCAGTCAGCTGAGGGGCTTAGAATTCTATTTTTGGTTTACCCCACTATCAGGAGGTTGTCTGAGATAAGCCAGCCCCTCCCACCCTTGCAGGCACAGTGTGCAAGCATAAGATCTCGTGCTGGCCGCCATTCAGGTGGCAGCCACAGGGATGGTCCAGACGTGGCTCTCCAACCGTCCTTAGACCACACAAAGCTTTAGGATTTCTGGGGTCCCAATGCAGACTCTAAAGGTTGCATAGTCTGGTCTCTATCTGCCCTCAATGAGACCTAGGCCCAGTGCAGACTCTAAAGGTTGCATAGTCTGGTCCCTATCTGCCCTCAATGAGACCTAGGCCCAGTGCAGACTCGAAAGGTTGCACAGTCTGCTCTCTATCTGTCCTCAATGAGACTTAGGCACAATGCAGACTCTAAACGTTGCACAGTCTGCTCTCTATCTGCCCTCAATGAGACCTAGGCCCAATGCATACTCTAAAGGTTGCACAGTCTGCTCTCTATCTGCCCTCAATGAGACCTAGGCCCAATGCAGACTCTAAAGGTTGCATAGTCTGGTCTCTATCTGCCCTCAATGAGACCTAGGCCCAATGAAGACTCTAAAGGTTGCGCAGTCTGCTCTCTATCTGTCCTCAATGAGACCTAGGCCCAGTGCAGACTATAAAGGTTGCACAGTCTGGTCTCTATCTGTCCTCAATGAGACCTAGGCCCAATGCAGACTCTAAAGGTTGCACAGTCTGCTCTCTATCTGTCCTCAATGAGACCTAGGCCAAGTGCAGACTCTAAAGCTTGCACAGTCTGCTCTCTATCTGACCTCAATGAGACCTAGGCCCAATGCAGACTATAAAGGTTCTACAGTCTGCTCTCTATCTGTCCTCAATGAGACCTAGGCCCAATGCAGACTCTAAAGGTTGCACACTCTGGTCTCTATCTGTCCTCAATGAGACCTAGGCCCAGTGCAGACTGTAAAGTTTGCATAGTCTGCTCTCTATCTGTCCTCAATGAGACCTAGGTCCAATGCAGACTCTAAAGGTTGCACAGTCTGCTCTCTATCTGTCCTCGATGAGACCTAGGCCTAGTGCAGACTCTAAAGGTTGCACAGTCTGCTCTCTATCTGCTCTCAATGAGACCTAGGCCCAATGCAGACTCTAAAGGTTGCACAGTCTGCTCTCTATCTGTCCTCAATGAGACCTAGGCCCAATGCAGACTCTAAAGGTTGCACAGTCTGCTCTCTATTTGTCCTCAATGAGACCCAGGCCCAATGCAGACTCTAAAGGTTGCACAGTCTGCTCTCTATCGGTCCTCAATGAGACCGAGGCCCTATGCAGACTCTAAAGGTTACACAGTGTGCTCTCTATCAGTCCTCAGTGAGACCTAGACCCAATGGAGACTCTAAAGTTTGCAAAGTCTGCTCTCTATCTCTCCTCAGTGAGACCTAGACCCAATGCAGACTCTAAAGGTTGCACAGTATGGTCTCTATCTGCCCTCAATGAGACCTAGGCTCAGTGCAGACTTTAAAGTTTGCACAGTCTGCTCTGTATCTGTCCTCAATGAGACCTAGGCCCAATGCAGACTCTAAAGGTTGCACAGTCTGCCCTCTATCTGTCCTCAATGAGACCTAGGCCCAATGCAGACTCTAAAGTTTTAACAGTCTGGTCTCTATCTATCCTCAATGAGACCTAGGCCCAATGCCGAATCTAGAGGTTGCACAGTGTGCTCTCTGTCTGCTCTCAATGAGACCTAGACCCAATGCAGACTCTAAAGGTTGCACAGTCTGCTCTCTAACTGCCCTCAATGAGACCTAAGCCCAATGCAGACTCTAAAGGTTGCACAGTCTGGTCGCTATCTGTCCTCAATGAGACCCAGACCCAATGCAGACTCTAAAGGTTGCACAGTCTGCTCTATATCTGTCCTCAATGAGACCTAGGAAAAGTGCCGACTCTAATGGTTGCCTAGTCTGCTCTTTATCTGTCCTCAATGAGACCTAGGCCCAATGCAGACTCTAAAGGTTGCACAGTCCGGTCTCTATCTGTCCTCAATGAGACCTAGGCCCAATGCCGACTCTAAAGTTTGCACAGTGTGCTCTCTATCTGCTCTCAATGAGACCTAGGCCCAATGCAGACTCTACAGGTAGCACAGTCTGCTCTCTAACTGCCCTCAATGACACCTAGGCCCAATGCAGACTCTAAACGTTGCATAGTCTGGTCTCTACCTGCCCTCAATGAGACCTAGGCCCAATGCAGACTCTAAAGGTTGCACAGTCTGCTCTCTATCTGTCCTCAATGAGACCTAGGCCAAGTGCAGACTCTAAAGCTTGCACAGTCTGCTCTCTATCTGACCTCAATGAGACCTAGGCCCAATGCAGACTACAAAGGTTCTACAGTCTGCTCTCTATCTGTCCTCAATGAGACCTAGGCCCAATGCAGACTCTAAAGGTTGCACACTCTGGTCTCTTTCTGTCCTCAATGAGACCTAGGCCAAATGCAGACTCTAAAGGTTGCACAGTCTGCTCTCTAACTGTCCTCAATGAGACATAGGCCCAATGCAGACTCTAAAGGTTGCACAGTCTGCTCTCTATGTGTCCTCAATGAGACCTAGGCTCAGTGCAGACTCTAAAGGTTGCATAGTATGCTCTCTATCTGTCCTCAATGAGATCTAAGCCCAATGCAGACTCTAAGGGTTGCCGAGCCTGCTCTCTATCTGCCCTCAATGAGACCTAGGCCCAATGCAGACTCTAAAGGTTGCACAGTCTGCTGTCTATCTGACCTCAAGGAGACCTAGGCCCAATGCAGACTCTAAAGGTTGCACAGTCTGGTCTCTATCTGTCCTCAATGACACCTAGGCCCAGTGCAGACTCTAAAGTTTGCACAGTCTGCTCTCTGTCTGTCCTCAAAGAGACCTAGGCCCAGTGCAGACTCTAAAGGTTGCACAGTCTGCTCTCTATCTGTCCTCAATGAGACCTAGGCCCAATGCAGACTCTAAAGGTTGCACAGTCTGCTCTCTATCTGCCCTCAATGAGACCTAGGCCCAATGCAAACTCTAAAGTTGCACAGTCTGGTCTCTATCTGTCCTCAATGAGACCTAGGCCCAATGCGGACTCTAAAGGTTGCACAGTGTGCTCTCCATCTGTCCTCAATGAGACCTAGGCCCAATGCAGACTCTAAAGGTTGCACAGTCTGCTCTCTATCTGCCCTCAATGAGACCTAGGCCCAATGCAGACTCTAAAGGTTGCACAGTCTGCTCTCTATCTGCTCTCAATGAGACCTAGGCCCAATGCAGACTCTAAAGGTTGCACAGTCTGGTCTCTATCTGTCCTGAATGAGGCCCAGGCCCAATGCAGACTGTAAAGGTTGCACAGTCTGCTCTCTATCTGTCCTCAATGAGACCTAGGCTCAGTGCAGCCTCTAAAGTTTGCATAGTCTGCTCTCTATCTGTCCTCAATGAGACCTAGGTCCAATGCAGACTCTAAAGGTTGCACAGTCTGCTCTCTATCTGTCCTCAATGAGACCTAGGCCTAGTGCAGACTCTAAAGGTTGCACAGTCTGTTCTCTATCTGTCCTCAATGAGACCTAGGCCAAGTGCAGACTCTAAAGCTTGCACAGTCTGCTCTGTATCTGACCTCAATGAGACCTAGGCCCAATGCAGACTATAAAGGTTCTACAGTCTGCTCTCTATCTGTCCTCAATGAGACCTAGGCCCAATGCAGACTCTAAAGGTTGCACACTCTGGTCTCTATCTGCCCTCAATGAGACCTAGGCCCAATGAAGACTCTAAAGGTTGCGCAGTCTGCTCTCTATCTCTCCTCAATGAGACCTAGGCCCAATGCAGACTCTAAAGGTTGTACAGTCTGCTCTCTATCTGTCCTCAATGAGACCTAGGCCCAATGCAGACTCTAAAGGTTGCACAGTCTGCTCTCTATTTGTCCTCAATGAGACCCAGGCCCAATGCAGACTCTAAAGGTGGCACAGTCTGCTCTCTATCGGTCCTCAATGAGACCGAGGCCCTATGCAGACTCTAAAGGTTACACAGTGTGCTCTCTATCTGTCCTCAGTGAGACCTAGGCCCAATGCAGACTCTAAAGTTTGCGCAGTCTGCTCTCTATGTGTCCTCAATGAGACCTAGGGCCAGTGCAGACTCTAAAGGTTGCATAGTCTGCTCTCTATCAGTCCTCAGTGAGACCTAGACCCAATGGAGACTCTAAAGTTTGCAAAGTCTGCTCTCTATCTCTCCTCAGTGAGACCTAGATCCAATGCAGACTCTAAAGGTTGCACACTCTGGTCTCTTTCTGTCCTCAATGAGACCTAGGCCAAATGCAGACTCTAAAGGTTGCACAGTCTGCTCTCTAACTGTCCTCAATGAGACATAGGCCCAATGCAGACTCTAAAGGTTGCACAGTCTGCTCTCTATGTGTCCTCAATGAGACCTAGGCTCAGTGCAGACTCTAAAGGTTGCATAGTATGCTCTCTATCTGTCCTCAATGAGATCTAAGCCCAATGCAGACTCTAAGGGTTGCCGAGCCTGCTCTCTATCTGCCCTCAATGAGACCTAGGCCCAATGCAGACTCTAAAGGTTGCACAGTCTGCTGTCTATCTGACCTCAAGGAGACCTAGGCCCAATGCAGACTCTAAAGGTTGCACAGTCTGGTCTCTATCTGTCCTCAATGACACCTAGGCCCAGTGCAGACTCTAAAGTTTGCACAGTCTGCTCTCTGTCTGTCCTCAAAGAGACCTAGGCCCAGTGCAGACTCTAAATGTTGCACAGTCTGCTCTCTATCTGTCCTCAATGAGACCTAGGCCCAATGCAGACTCTAAAGGTTGCACAGTCTGCTCTCTATCTGCCCTCAATGAGACCTAGGCCCAATGCAAACTCTAAAGTTGCACAGTCTGGTCTCTATCTGTCCTCAATGAGACCTAGGCCCAATGCGGACTCTAAAGGTTGCACAGTGTGCTCTCCATCTGTCCTCAATGAGACCTAGGCCCAATGCCGACTCTAGAGGTTGCACAGTGTGCTCTCTATCTGCTCTCAATGAGACCTAGGCCCAATGCAGACTCTAAAGGTTGCACAGTCTGCTCTCTAACTGCCCTCAATGAGACCTAGACCCAATGCAAACTCTAAAGGTTGCACAGTCTGGTCGCTATCTGTCCTCAATGAGACCCAGGCCCAATGCAGACTCTAAAGGTTGCACAGTCTGCTCTATATCCGTCCTCAATGAGACCTAGGACCAGTGCCGACTCTAATGGTTGCCTAGTCTGCTCTTTATCTGTCCTCAATGAGACCTAGGCCCAATGCAGACTCTAAAGGTTGCACAGTCCGGTCTCTATCTGTCCTCAATGAGACCTAGGCCCAATGCCGACTCTAAAGTTTGCACAGTGTGCTCTCTATCTGCTCTCAATGAGACCTAGGCCCAATGCAGACTCTAAAGGTAGCACAGTCTGCTCTCTAACTGCCCTCAATGACACCTAGGCCCAATGCAGACTCTAAACGTTGCATAGTCTGGTCTCTATCTGCCCTCAATGAGACCTAGGCCCAATGCAGACTCTAAAGGTTGCACAGTCTGCTCTCTATCTGTCCTCAATGAGACCTAGGCCAAGTGCAGACTCTAAAGCTTGCACAGTCTGCTCTCTATCTGACCTCAATGAGACCTAGGCCCAATGCAGACTATAAAGGTTCTACAGTCTGCTCTCTATCTGACCTCAATGAGACCTAGGCCCAATGCAGACTATAAAGGTTCTACAGTCTGCTCTCTATCTGTCCTCAATGAGACCTAGGCCCAATGCAGACTCTAAAGGTTGCACAGTCTGCTCTCTAACTGTCCTCAATGAGACATAGGCCCAATGCAGACTCTAAAGGTTGCACAGTCTGCTCTCTATGTGTCCTCAATGAGACCTAGGCCCAGTGCAGACTCTAAAGGTTGCATAGTATGCTCTCTATCTGTCCTCAATGAGATCTAAGCCCAATGCAGACTCTAAGGGTTGCCGAGCCTGCTCTCTATCTGCCCTCAATGAGACCTAGGCCCAATGCAGACTCTAAAGGTTGCACAGTCCGCTCTCTATCTGTCCTCAATGAGACCTAGGCCCAATAGAGACTCTAAAGGTTGCACAGTCTGCTCTCTATCTGTCCTCAATGAGACCCAGGCCCAATGCAGACTCTAAACGTTGCATAGTCTGCTCTCTATCTGTCCGCAATTAGACCTAGACCCAATGCAGACTCTAAAGGTTGCACAGTCTGCTGTCTATATGACGTCAAGGAGACCTAGGCCCAATGCAGACTCTAAAGGTTGCACAGTCTGGTCTCTATCTGTCCTCAATGACACCTAGGCCCAGTGCAGACTCTAAAGTTTGCACAGTCTGCTCTCTGTCTGTCCTCAAAGAGACCTAGGCCCAGTGCAGACTCTAAAGGTTGCACAGTCTGCTCTCTATCTGTCCTCAATGAGACCTAGGCCCAATGCAGACTCTAAAGGTGGCACAGTCTGCTCTCTATCTGCCCTCAATGAGACCTAGGCCCAATGCAAACTCTAAAGGTTGCACAGTCTGGTCTCTATCTGTCCTCAATGAGACCTAGGCCCAATGCGGACTCTAAAGGTTGCACAGTGTGCTCTCCATCTGTCCTCAATGAGACCTAGGCCCAATGCAGACTCTAAAGGTTGCACAGTCTGCTCTCTATCTCTCCTCAATGAGACCTAGGCCCAATGCAGACTCTAAAGTTTGCACAGTCGGCTCTCTATCTGCCCACAATGAGACCTAGGCCCAATGCAGACTCTAAAGGTTGCACAGTCTGCTCTCTATGTGTCCTCAATGAGACCTAGGCCCAGTGCAGACTCTAAAGGTTGCACAGTCTGCTCTCTATCTGCCCTCAATGAGACCTAGGCCCAATGCAGACTGTAAAGGTTGCACAGTCTGCTCTCTATCTGCTCTCAATGAGACCTAGGCCCAATGCAGACTCTAAAGGTTGCACAGTCTGGTCTCTATCTCTCCTGAATGAGGCCCAGGTCCAATGCAGACTGTAAAGGTTGCACAGTCTGCTCTCTATCTGTCCTCAATGAGACCTAGGCTCAGTGCAGCCTCTAAAGTTTGCATAGTCTGCTCTCTATCTGTCCTCAATGAGACCTAGGTCCAATGCAGACTCTAAAGGTTGCACAGTCTGCTCTCTATCTGTCCTCAATGAGACCTAGGCCTAGTGCAGACTCTAAAGGTTGCACAGTCTGCTCTCTATCTGCCCTCAATGAGACCTAGGCCCAATGCAGACTCTAAAGGTTGCACAGTCTGCTCTCCATCTGTCCTCAATGAGACCTAGGCCCAATGCAGACTCTAAAGGTTGCACAGTCTGCTCTCCATCTGTCCTCAATGAGACCTAGGCCCAATGCAGACTCTAAAGGTTGCACAGTCTGCTCTCTATTTGTCCTCAATGAGACCCAGGCCCAATGCAGACTCTAAAGGTTGCACAGTCTGCTCTCTATCGGTCCTCAATGAGACCGAGGCCCTATGCAGACTCTAAAGGTTACACAGTGTGCTCTCTATCTGTCCTCAATGAGACCTAGGCCCAATGCAGACTCTAAAGTTTGCGCAGTCTGCTCTCTATCTGTCCTCAATGAGACCTAGGGCCAGTGCAGACTCTAAAGGTTGCATAGTCTGCTCTCTATCAGTCCTCAGTGAGACCTAGACCCAATGCAGACTCTAAAGTTTGCAAAGTCTGCTCTCTATCTCTCCTCAGTGAGACCTAGACCCAATGCAGACTCTAAAGGTTGCACAGTATGGTCTCTATCTGTCCTCAATGAGACCTAGGCCCAGTGCAGACTCTAAAGGTTGCACAGTCTGCTCTCTATCGGTCCTCAATGAGACCTAGGCCCAATGCAGACTCTAAAGTTTGCACAGTCTGCCCTCTATCTGTCCTCAATGAGACCTAGGCCCAGTGCAGACTCTAAAGGTTGCACAGTCTGCTCTCTATCTGTCCTCAATGAGACCCAGGCCCAATGCAGACTCTAAAGGTTGCACAGTCTGCTCTATATCTGTCCTCAATGAGACCTAGGACCACTGCCGACTCTAATGGTTGCCTAGTCTGCTCTCTATCTGTCCTCAATGAGAACTAGGCCCAATGCAGACTCTAAAGGTTGCACAGTCTGGTCTCTATCTGTCCTCAATGAGACCTAGGCCCAATGCCGACTCTAAAGGTTGCACAGTATGCTCTCTATCTGCTCTCAATGAGACATAGGCCCAATGCAGACTCTAAAGGTTGCACAGTCTGCTCTCTATCTGCCCTCAATGAGACCTAGGCCCAATGCAGACTCTAAAGGTTGCACAGTCTGCTCTCCATCTGTCCTCAATGAGACCTAGGCCCAATGCAGACTCTAAAGGTTGCACAGTCTGCTCTCTATTTCTCCTCAATGAGACCCAGGCCCAATGCAGACTCTAAAGGTGGCACAGTCTGCTCTCTATCGGTCCTCAATGAGACCGAGGCCCTATGCAGACTCTAAAGGTTACACAGTGTGCTCTCTATCTGTCCTCAGTGAGACCTAGGCCCAATGCAAACTCTAAAGTTTGCGCAGTCTGCTCTCTATCTGTCCTCAATGAGACCTAGGGCCAGTGCAGACTCTAAAGGTTGCATAGTCTGCTCTCTATCAGTCCTCAGTGAGACCTAGACCTAATGCAGACTCTAAAGTTTGCAAAGTCTGCTCTCTATCTCTCCTCAGTGAGACCTAGACCCAATGCAGACTCTAAAGGTTGCACAGTATGGTCTCTATCTGCCCTCAATGAGACCTAGGCCCAGTGCAGACTCTAAAGGTTTCACAGTCTGCTCTCTATCTGTCCTCAATGAGACCTAGGCCCAATGCAGACTCTAAAGTTTGCACAGTCTGGTCTCTATCTGTCCTCAATGAGACCTAGGCCCAATGCCGACTCTAGAGGTTGCACAGTGTGCTCTCTATCTGCTCTCAATGAGACCTAGGCCCAATGCAGACTCTAAAGGTTGCACAGTCTGCTCTCTAACTGCCCTCAATGAGACCTAGGCCCAATGCAGACTCTAAAGGTTGCACAGTCTGTTCTCTATCTGTCCTCAGTGAGACCTAGGCCAAGTGCAGACTCTAAAGCTTGCACAGTCTGCTCTCTATCTGACCTCAATGAGACCTAGGCCCAATGCAGACTCTAAAGGTTGCACAGTCTGCTCTCTATCTGTCCTCAATGAGACCTAGGCCCAATGCAAACTCTAAAGGTTGCACACTCTGGTCTCTTTCTGTCCTCAATGAGACCTAGGCCAAATGCAGACTCTAAAGGTTGCACAGTCTGCTCTCTAACTGTCCTCAATGAGACATAGGCCCAATGCAGACTCTAAAGGTTGCACAGTCTGCTCTCTATGTGTCCTCAATGAGACCTAGGCCCAGTGCAGACTCTAAAGGTTGCATAGTATGCTCTCTATCTGTCCTCAATGAGATCTAGGCCCAATGCAGACTCTAAGGGTTGCCGAGCCTGCTCTCTATCTGCCCTCAATGAGACCTAGGCCCAATGCAGACTCTAAAGTTTGCACAGTCCGCTCCCTATCTGTCCTTAATGAGACCTAGGCCCAATAGAGACTCTAAAGGTTGCACAGTCTGCTCTCTATCTGTCCTCAATGAGACCCAGGCCCAATGCAGACTCTAAACGTTGCATAGTCTGCTCTCTATCTGTCCGCAATTAGACCTAGGCCCAATGCAAACTCTAAACGTTGCACAGTCTGCTGTCTATCTGTCCGCAATTAGACCTAGGCCCAATGCAGACTCTAAAGGTTGCAGAGTCTGCTGTCTATCTGACCTCAAGGAGACCTAGGCCCAATGCAGACTCTAAAGGTTGCACAGTCTGGTCTCTATCTGTCCTCAATGACACCTAGGCCCAGTGCAGACTCTAAAGTTTGCACAGTCTGCTCTCTGTCTGTCCTCAAAGAGACCTAGGCCCAGTGCAGACTCTAAAGGTTGCACAGTCTGCTCTCTATCTGTCCTCACTGATACCTAGGCCCAATGCAGACTCTAAAGGTTGCACAGTCTGATCTCTATTTGTCCTCAATGAGACCCAGGCCCAATGCAGACTCTAAAGGTTGCACAGTCTGCTCTCTATCGGTCCTCAATGAGACCTAGGCCCAATGCAGACTCTAAAGGTTGCACAGTCTGCTCTCTATCTGCCCTCAATGAGACCTAGGCCCTATGCAAACGCTAAAGGTTGCACAGTGTGGTCTCTATCTGTCCTCAATGAGACCTAGGCCCAATGCAGACTCTAAAGGTTGCACAGTGTGCTCTCCATCAGTCCTCAATGAGACCTAGGCCAAATGCAGACTCTAAAGGTTGCACAGTCTGCTCTCTATGTGTCCTCAATGAGACCTAGGCCCAGTGCAGACTCTAAAGTTTGCACAGTCTGCTCTCTATCGGCCCTCAATGAGACCTAGGCCCAATTCAGACTCTAAAGGTTGCACAGTCTGCTCTCTATCTGCTCTCAATGAGACCTAGGCCCAATGCAAACTCTAAAGGTTGCACAGTCTGGTCTCTATCTCTCCTGAATGAGACCCAGGCCCAATGCAGACTGTAAAGGTTGCACAGTCTGCTCTCTATCTGTCCTCAATGAGACCCAGGCCCAGTGCAGACTGTAAAGTTTGCATAGTCTGCTCTCTATCTGTCCTCAATGAGACCTAGGTCCAATGCAGACTCTAAAGGTTGCACAGTCTGCTCTCTATCTGTCCTCGATGAGACCTAGGCCTAGTGCAGACTCTAAAGGTTGCACAGTCTGCTCTCTATCTGCCCTCAATGAGACCTAGGCCCAATGCAGACTCTAAAGGTTGCACAGTCTGCTCTCTATTTTTCCTCAATGAGACCCAGGCCCAATGCAGACTCTAAAGGTTGCACAGTCTGCTCTCTATCTGTCCTCAATGAGACCGAGGCCCTATGCAGACTCTAAAGGTTACACAGTGTGCTCTCTATCTGTCCTCAGTGAGACCTAGGCCCAATGCAGACTCTAAAGTTTGCGCAGTCTGCTCTCTATCTGTCCTCAATGAGACCTAGGGCCAGTGCAGACTCTAAAGGTTGCATAGTCTGCTCTCTATCAGTCCTCAGTGAGACCTAGACCCAATGGAGACTCTAAAGTTTGCAAAGTCTGCTCTCTATCTCTCCTCAGTGAGACCTAGACCCAATGCAGACTCTAAAGGTTGCACAGTCTGGTCTCTATCTGCCCTCAATGAGACCTAGGCTCAGTGCAGACTTTAAAGTTTGCACAGTCTGCTCTGTATCTGTCCTCAATGAGACCTAGGCCCATTGCAGACTCTAAAGGTTGCACAGTCTGCCCTCTATCTGTCCTCAATGAGACCTAGGCCCAATGCAGACTCTAAAGTTTCAACAGTCTGGTCTCTATCTGTCCTCAATGAGACCTAGGCCCAATGCCGACTCTAGAGGTTGCACAGTGTGCTCTCTATCTGCTCTCAATGAGACCTAGACCCAATGCAGACTCTAAAGGTTGCACAGTCTGGTCTCTATCTGCCCTTAATGAGACCTACACTCCCAGGAGTCTGCAGAACAGGGTGTGTGTAAGTTTTCTGGGGCCGCTCAAGGAAACGGGGGATTAAAAAATATTATCCTCACAGTGCTGGCATGTTGGCCTACACAGAGCCCTGCTCGCCGTGAACGTCAGGACTTCCTGCGTGATCTCTTCAAGTCCGATTGGGAGCCCTTTGACTCGCCCCCTGTCTGTGCTGGAGAATTCAGAGCCCACTGACTCATCTTTCTTTGTGGCCTGGGAGAGTTGTGGAGAACATGCCGTACCTTCGCGGTGCCGCACGGATCTTCCTGCTCCCTCCCTCGGGAGTCTCGCAGGGACCCCATCTCGTTTTAATGTTTTGTCAATACGGCACCCACGAGAACGTTGCAGGGAAGACACCACTGTGGCCGTAAACCACAGAAACTAGAGCTGAAGTGGCCCCAGGTGGCCTCCAGTCAAGTGGTATCCAAATTCTTCACCCTGAGGCCCTTTATTTATTATTATTATTATTAGAGACGGAGTTTCGCTCTTGTTACCCAGGCTGGAGTGCAATGGTGTGATATCAGCTCACCGCAACCTCCGCCTCCCGGGTTCAAGCAATTCTCCGGCCTCAGCCTCCCAAGTAGCTGGGATTACAGGTGGGCGCCACCACGCCTGGCTAATTTTTTGTATTTTTAGAGATGGGGATTCTCTATGTTGGTCAGGCTGGTCTCGAACTCCCAACCTCAGGTGAGCTGCTGGCCTTGGCCTCCCAAAGTGCTGGGATTACAGGCGTGCACCACCACACCCATCCCTATCTTATTCTTTTTCTCTCACCAGGGACCCCAAATTTGGAAGAACCATAATCATGTTTATTGACATCATGTTAAATTAAGGTTCCCACGTTTATTAATAAAAGAAATATATCATTAGCCTGGCCTTTTAAATTTTTCTTAATTTAATTTTTTTTTTTTTTGAGGCAGGGTCTCACTCTGTCACCCAGGCTGGAGTGCAATGGTACCATCATGGCTCACCACAGCCCCCCGCTCCTAGGCTCAAGCAATCCTCTTGCCTCAGCCTCCTGAGTATCTGGGGATTATAGGTGCACACCATCACACTCAGCCAATTAAAAAAAAATTTCTAGTAGAGATGGGGTCTCACCAAGTTGTCCAGGCTGGTCTCACACTTCTGAGCTCAAGTAATCCTCCTGCTTTGGCCTCCCAAAGTGCTCGGATTACAGGGGTAAGCTACCACATTCAGCCTTTATTTTTATTTTTAATGGAGGTAAAAGCCACATAACATAAAATTTACCCTTTCAACTACTTCTTTTTTTTAGATGGAGGCTTGCTCTGTTGCCCAGGCTGGAGTGCAGTGGCACAATCTCAGCTCACTTCAACCTCTACCTCCCGGGTTCAAGTGATTCCCCTGCCTCAGCCTCCCAAGTAGCTGGGATCACAGGCACCCGCCACCACACCTGGCAATTTTTTTGTATTTTAGTAGAGACGGGGTTTCACTGTGTTGGCCAAGACGGTGTCGATCTCCTGACCTCGTGATCCGCCTGCCTCGGCCTCCCAAAGTGCTGGGATTACAGGCATGAGCCACCGCGCCCGGCCCCTTTAAAGTATTTTTAAGGATACACTTCAGCAGTGTTCATCATATCCGCATTGTTGTATAACAGATGTTTACAACTTCTTCATCTTACAAAACAGAAACTGTGTCCACATCAAACCAGGGTGCCCCATTCCCCCGGCCCCTGGCACCCACCATTCTACTGTCTGTCTCTATGAATTCCACTCTTCCAGAGACCTCATAGGAGTGGGATCACACAGCACTTTTTTGTCTGGCTTATCTTGTTAACAACAGGTGAGTCCATGTGGTAGCCTGTCTCATCATTCCTTCCTTTTTAGGGCTGATTCATATTTCATTATATGGATGAACCACATTTTCTTTTTCCAGTCATGCTGTAACAGGATGAGTCACAGTCAAAACTCCTCAGACACCAGATTAAAGAAGGAAGAGGTTTTTTTATTTGGCCGGGAGATTCGGCAGACTCGTGTCTTAAGAGCCGAGCTCCCCGAAAAAGAAATTCCTAGCCCTTTTAAGGGCTAAGAACTCTAAGGGGTCTATGTGAAAGAGTCATAATAGATCAAGTAAGTGTGAGGAACGTGAGTGGGGGCTACATACATCAGCTAAGAGAACAAAAAGTTTTTATTTTTTTATTTTTTTTGAGACGGAATCTCGCTCTGTGGCCCAGGCTGGAGTGCAGTGGTGTGATCTCAGCTCACTTCAAGCTCCGCCTCCCGGGTTCACAGCATTCTCCTGCCTCAGCCTCCCCAGTAGCTGGGACTACAGGCGCCCGCCACCGCGCCCGGCTAATTTTTTGTATTTTTAGTAGACACGGGGTTTCATCATGTTAACCAGGATGGTCTCGATCTCCTGACCTTGTGATCCACCCGCCTCGGCCTCCCAAAGTGCTGGGATTAGAGGCTGGAGCCACCGTGCCCGGCCTGCACCCAGCTAATTTTTTGTATTTTTAGTAGAGATGGGGTTTCACCGTGTTAGCCAGGATGGTCTCCATCTCCTGACCTCATGATCCGCCCACCTCGGCCTCCCAAAGTCCTGGGATTACAGGCGTGAGCCACCGCGCCCGGCCAGAACAAAAAGTTTTACAGTGCTTTCTCATACAATGTCTGGAATTTACAGATAGCACCAGTAGTTTTGGTCAGCGGTTAATACTATTATTATTTTAATCACCAGGGCCAGGTGGTGGCACCAAGGTCGTCTAGCTATTTATCTTACTTTTGTTTCTTTCCAACTTTTTGCTTTCTCTCTTTTCTCTTGTCTTATAAACTAGGGAAAAGGGGAGGTTGGGGAGAAACTGGAAAGGACAACAGGAGAAGTGGTGGTGTCATAACATAATGCGATCATGGGCACCGGGCTGCTTCCATCTTTTGGCTATTGTGAATACTGCTGTAACGACCACGGTTGTGCAATAATCCCTTCCAGACTCTGCTTTCAATCTTTTTGGATTTAGTCGGAGAAGTAATGTGATTGCTGGTTCATAGGTGGTTCCATTTCTGGTTATTTATTTATTTTTTAAGAGACAGAGTTTTATATGTTGCCCAGGCTGGCCTTGAACTCCTGGGCTTCAGTGATCCCCTTCCCTCAGCCTCCCAAGTAGCCGGTAGTGCAGCTGCACATCACCACACCCAAGTGATTTTTAGTTGTTATTTTTCTGGTTTTGTTTTTGCGGAGATGGAGTTTCACTGTGCCGCCCAGGGTGGAGTGCGGTGGCATAATCGGCTCACTGCAGCCTCCACCTCCTGGTTCAGGCGCTTCTCCTGCCTTAGCCTCCCGAGTAGCTGGGACTATAGGCATCTGTCACCACACTCAGCTAATTATTTTGTGTTTGCTTCCCCCCACCCCGCCCCCCCGAGATGGAGTCTTCCTTTGTCACCCAGGCTGGAGTGCAGTGGCGCGATCTCGGCTCAATGCAACCTCTGCCTCCGGGGTTCAAGCAATTCTCCTGCCTCAGCCTCCCGGGTAGCTGGGATTCCTGGCACCCACAACCACGCCCGGCTAATTTTTTATTTTTAGTAGAGACGGAGTTTCACCATGTTGGCCAGGCTGGTCTCGAACTCCTGACTTTGTGATCCACCTGCCTCGGGCTCCCAAAGTGCTGGGATGACAGGTGTGAGCCACTGTGCCCAGCCTGATATTTAGTGCTTTTTTGAGGAGGCTCCATAGTGTTTTCCACGGTGGCCACACCATTTTCTAGTCCTACAGGCAATCCACGAGGGCTCCAATTTCCACACATCCTTGTTAACACTATTTTTGTTTCACTGTAGCATTTCATGGATGTGAGGTGCTATCACTGTGGTTTTGATGTGTATTTCTCTAATGATTACTGATGTTGAGGATCCTTCCATGTTTGTTTGCTACTTGTATATCTTTTCTGGAGAAATATCTATTCAGGTCGTTTGCTCATTTTTCAATCAGTTAACTTGTTTTTCAATTGTTCAGTTGCAGGAGCTCTTTATATGTGCTGGACGAATATCCGACGTACCAGACATATAATCTGCAGTTATTTCCTCTTATTCCATGTCTTGCCTTTCCACTGTTGTTTCCTGTGCAGAAATGTTTAACCTCGAAGTTGGACCATTTGTCTATTTGTGCTTTTGTTGCCTGTGCTTATCTGGGCTTTGGATAGGCCAGAGGTAAACGGCAGGTGTTACTGCACCAAGTTCATAAAATCGAGCCCAAAACAAAGGAGTCGACACAGTAATTAGCTGGTGTGTCGCCTTGGCGAGAATATATATGACTTTTGCTGAGAATTTTCATTAATGTTTATTTTCTATTTTTATTTTTTGAGATGGAGTCTCGCTCTGTCGCCCAGGCCGGAGTGCAGTGGTGCAATCTCAGCTCACTGCAAGCTCCACCTCCCGGGCTCACGCTGTTCTCCTGCCTCAGCCTCCCGAGTAGCTGGGACTACAGGCGCCCGCCACCGCGCCCGGAGAATTTTTTGTATTTTTAGTAGAGATGGGGTTTCACTGTGTTGGCCAGGATGGTCTTGATCTCCTGACCTCGTGATCCACCTGCCTTGGCCTCCCAAAGTGCTGGGATTACAGGCGTGAGCCACCGCGCCCGGCCATTAATGTTTATTTTGACGCAACTTCACAGTTACATTAAGGCAACAATATGGCACAAAGAATTCCTTCGTATCAGGCATTCACATTCCCCAAACGCTGGCGGTCTACACCGGCTTCATCCTGGATCAGAACCAAGTGGAGGGACTGCTGTTTCTGTGGGCTGGTTTCCTGGGGGCTGCCATAACCAGTGACCAGAAACCGGGTGGGTACGTCAACAGGAATTTATCATCTCCCAGTCTCGGATGTCGATGTTGAAGCCCTAACCCCCACTGCCTCAGAACGTGAGTGTATTTGGCCTCATAGTATTAGAACGAGGCTGTCAGGGTGGGCCCTAAAGCAACCTGCTGTTCTCATGAGAGGAAGTGTGGACACACACAGAAGAGACGATAGGGATACTTGTGCACAGTGAAAAGACCCTATGAGCGTACACCAGACGGCGTCCGCAAGCCGAGGAGAGGAGAAACCAGCCCTGCTGACAACACCTTGCTCTCGGACCTCAGCCTCCAGGTCTGTGGGAAGATAATTTTCAGTGAAGCCCTCCAGTCTTGGTACCTTATGGCGGCCCTGAACACTCATACAGACGGGTACATTTACTGTCCCTGTTCTTCTGCCGAGGAAATGGAGGCACAGAGACGTTTAGTGAGCTTGACCCATGCGGGAGGGCCAGGAGCGGTCAAGGTTGGATTGGAACAAACCACCCTTTTTGCAGCACTCACGTTCTTAGGCACGACGCCTGCTTCCTTAGGTGCTCTGCAAAGAGAATACGGCAGAGTGCACCCCGAACACGCAACGGTACAGTCACAAAGATGACACTGGCTCCAAGTGTCTTCAGCAAAATGGGAACGTGTCAGAAGAGTAGGGGGGTCGCTGCGGGAACAGGGTTGGCCCAAGGCAGCCGCCGGTCCCGAGCAGCATGCGCGATGCGGGCTGGGCAGGACCCCGTGGCCCCTCCGCCGCCCTCTCAGTCCGCGCGAGGGCCCCACTCGGGGCTCGGCCGGGCTCCGGGAACGCGGTCTGCGGTCCAGGGGCCGCGAGCCTCCGCCGCTCCTCGGCCTCGTGGGCCCGGGCGCTGGGTGGGGCCGCGGGTGGGCGTCAGGGGCCAGGCTGGGCGCCGAGGTCTGCAAAGGGGCGGAGAAGACGGCCTTGGGCTCCGCGCAGAACCTGCGAGTGGGCGGCGGTGCACCTCCCACCCGGGTCACCTCGGTGCCACCCATGCCTGCCTCAGTGCAGGCGGACCCACGGCCCTCCACGCCCTCCCTCGCTCGCGTGCTGCCCGGCTGGCCGCTGTTCGCATCCTCTCGCTAACTCCGTGGGGTCCCGCCCATTCGGGCGACTGCCCCGGCTGCAGCCCACCCGCTAATCTCGGCTATCTTCCCTCACTCAGTTCTTCGCCTCCACCAGCTTCGGCTCTTTTCGTCACCCCTCTTTACTCCCCGTTCCTCTCCGTCACTTTCCGTCATCTCCGAATAGGCTCGGCCGGCTGCATCTCACCATTTCGCTTTCCTCTTTGTCGCCCTCTGATAAATTTCGTGACTCTTCGTCACTGTCCGTCAGTCCCCGTCACTTTCCGTCAATTCTCGCCACTTTCCGTCGCTCTCCGCCGCCCTTCAGCTCCGCTCGGCTCTTCTCCGTCAGACATCGTCTACTTTCGTCACTCTCCGTCACCCTCCGTCACTCTCCGTCTGCTCCCTACCCCGCACTCCGGGTGGAGAAAGCCTCAGGGACTTTTCCTGCCCTTAGCCCTTTTCCGTCCCTCTCCGATCCTGCTGTCTGTCAGTCCCTGGTTATTTCTGGTCTGCTCGTGACTCTGTCCTCCTCCCTTCACTCCTGGGAGGGTGGCCTGGTCCCTCCTGAGAGGCCTCTCCCCACTACCCGGCCTGAATGATGGTGGTGAGCGGGAGGTCTCGAGGTGATCCCGAGGGAAGGAGCGGGGGTCTGAGGGTGGTCCCGAGAGGGACCCGAGGGGTGGAGCGGGGGGAGGGTCTGGAGATGGCCCCGAGGAGGTCCCGATAGGAGGAGCGGCAGTCTGGGGGTGGTGCCGAGGGAAGAAGCCGTCTGGTGTGGTCTGGAAAATGGGAGCAGGGGGTCTGGGGTGGTCCCGAGGGGAGGAGCGGGGGTCTGGGGTGGTCCCGAGGGGAGGAGCGGGGGTCTGAGGTGGTCCCGAGGGGAGGAGCTGGGGGTTCTGGGTGTGGTCCCGTGGGTAGGAGGGGGGGTCTGGGGATGGTCCTAAGAGGAGGAGCAGGGGGTCTGGGGGTGGTCCCGAGGGGAGGAGCGGGGGTCTGGGGTGGTCCCGAGGGGAGGAGCGGGGGTCTGGGGTGGTCCCGAGGGGAGGAGCGGGGGTCTGGGGTGGTCCCGAGGGGAGGAGCTGGGGGTTCTGGGTGTGGTCCCGTGGGTAGGAGGGGGGGTCTGGGGATGGTCCTAAGAGGAGGAGCAGGGGGTCTGGGGGTGGTCCCGAGGGGAGGAGCGGGGGTCTGGGGTGGTCCCGAGGGGAGGAGCGGGGGTCTGGGGTGGTCCCGAGGGGAGGAGCGGGGGTCTGGGGTGGTCCCGAGGGGAGGAGCTGGGGGTTCTGGGTGTGGTCCCGTGGGTAGGAGGGGGGGTCTGGGTGTGGTCCCGAGGGGAGGAGCTGGGGGTTCTGGGTGTGGTCCCGTGGGTAGGAGGGGGGGTCTGGGGATGGTCCTAAGAGGAGGAGCAGGGGGTCTGGGGGTGGTCCCGAGGGGAGGAGCGGGGGTCTGGGGTGGTCCCGAGGGGAGGAGCGGGGGTCTGGGGTGGTCCCGAGGGGAGGAGCTGGGGGTTCTGGGTGTGGTCCCGTGGGTAGGAGGGGGGGTCTGGGTGTGGTCCCGAGGGGAGGAGCTGGGGGTTCTGGGTGTGGTCCCGTGGGTAGGAGGGGGGGTCTGGGGATGGTCCTAAGAGGAGGAGCAGGGGGTCTGGGGGTGGTCCCGAGGGGAGGAGCGGGGGTCTGGGGTGGTCCCGAGGGGAGGAGCGGGGGTCTGAGGTGGTCCCGAGGGGAGGAGCTGGGGGTTCTGGGTGTGGTCCCGTGGGTAGGAGGGGGGGTCTGGGGATGGTCCTAAGAGGAGGAGCAGGGGGTCTGGGGGTGGTCCCGAGGGGAGGAGCGGGGGTCTGGGGTGGTCCCGAGGGGAGGAGCGGGGGTCTGGGGTGGTCCCGAGGGGAGGAGCAGGGGGTCTGGGGGTGGTCCCGAGGGGAGGAGCGGGGGTCTGGGGTGGTCCCGAGGGGAGGAGCTGGGGGTTCTGGGTGTGGTCCCGTGGGTAGAAGGGGGGGTCTGGGGATGGTCCTAAGAGGAGGAGCAGGGGGTCTGGGGGTGGTCCCGAGGGGAGGAGCGGGGGTCTGGGGTGGTCCCGAGGGGAGGAGCTGGGGGTTCTGGGTGTGGTCCCGTGGGTAGGAGGGGGGGGTCTGGGGATGGCCCTAAGAGGAGGAGCGGGGGTCTGCGTGTGGTTTTCAGGGGTGGAGCATGGGGTCTCCCTGTGGTTCGGAGGGTGGAGCAGGGGGTCTGGGGTTGGTACTTTTGGGCGGGACAGCGCTATTTCTCTTTTTGGTCCGGTTCCCATCTGCTGATCTGGGGGTCCTTGTGATCCTGACAGGTGGGGCCGAATGGGAGGGTCAAGGTGAGGGGAAGGAAGGAGTGGCAGCCTGGTCCCAAGGGAGCAGGAAAGGGTTTGTGGTTCAGTTCTGATGTGTGACCCATCCATAGGAGAATGGACACCTCAGACTCTCTCAATCCTGGCCAGTGGCAGGTCCCAGTAGCTGCCTTCCCTGGCTGTCCTTGAGGCTCACTGGAGGATACTTCTTTTTCATTCTGGCAAATTTTAAAAAATTCTTCTATAGATCTCAGTGAGTTCAAAGCTGCCTGTGTGCAGGCATAGATCCGTTCTTTGCTGAGCTTCCACTCTAGTCGGCTGAAAGGAAAGGGTAATATAGCTGGAAAAGGTATCCTGGGGTGATTAGAGGATTCTACATTTCATCTTAGAAAGGGATATTGACAGGAGACCAGAACTTCCAGATCCTCTTGAATTTCAAGAACTACTTCCAAGCCTGGACAATATCGGGAGGCCTCATCTCTACAAAATAAAAATTAAGAAATTCGCCACGTGCGATGGCACACTCCTGTAGTCCCACCTACTCTGGAGGCTGAGGCGGGAAGATCGCTTGAGCTTGGGAGTCCGAGGCTGCAGTCAGCTGTGATCATGCCACTGCACTCCAGCCTGGGTGACAGAGCAAGACCCTGAAAAAAAAAAAGGGAGGGAGGGAAGGAGGGAGGGAGGGAGGAAGGAAGGAATGAAGGAAGGAAGGAAATGGCTTAAGCTCAGAGAGCTGTGTGTGGCCCCCAGCTCCCAACCCCTACCAAAGGGCCTGCAAACCCACGGAGGGGCAGGTTGTCTTGAGCTGGAGCTACGGGGACGGGGGGACCTGAACTGTCGGGGTTAGGGTTAGGGTTAGGCTTTGAGATTTCGGGTTACAGAATATAGATGGGTTTGGTCCTGGGAAAATTCCAGGTCTGGGTTTTGCAGTTGGGGGTTGGTCTCAGGTGAGATGCGGCAGGTTTACAGTGTTTGCAAGGTATGTACAGATTTATATGGTGCTATTGCTTGAATGTGTTCTCCAGATTTCATGTGTTGGCAATTTTTTTTCTTTTCTTTTTGACATGGTGTCTTGCTCTGTCATCTATCACCCAGGCTGGAGTGCAATCGTGGGATCTCGGCTCGCTGCAACCTCTGCCTCCCAGGTTCGAGCGATTCTCACACCTCAGCCTCCTGGTAGCTGGCATTGTGGCAGGACAAGCCGCAGACAAAATTCCTCAGACACTGGGTTAAAGAAGGAAGGGCTTTACTCTGCCAGGAGCATCGGCACACTTGCGCCTGAAGAGCCAAGCTCCCCGAAAACGAAATTCCTAGCCCTTTTAAGGGTTTACAACTCTAAGGGGTTTACGTGAAAGGGTTGTGATAGATCGAGGAAGCGTGGGGAACGTGACTGGGGGCTACACGCATCAGATAACAGAACAGAAAGTTTTGCAGGGCTTCCTCATACAGTGTCTGGAATTTACAGATAACACAAGTAGTTTAGGTCAGGGGTTAATATTATTATTATTATTATTTTAACCACCAGGGTCGGGTGGTGCTGCCAAGGTCATCTAGCTATTTATCTTACTTCTGTTTTTTTTTTTTTTTAAGCTTTTTGCTTTCTCCCTTTTTCCCTGTTTTATAAACTAAGGAAGCGGTGTGGGGAAGGGAAGGGCAGCAGGAGGAGTGGTGGTCTCCTTCCTTAGGATTACAAGCACCGGGCCTCATTCCTGGCTAACGTTTTTTGTTTTTTTTTTGTATTTGTATTAGAGATGGGGTTTCACCATGTTGGCCAGGCTGGTCTTGAACTCCTGACCTCAGCTGATCGCCTGCCTTGGCCTCTGAAAGTGCTGGGATTAAAAGCACAAGGCAGCTGGGCGCGGTGGCTCAGGCCTGCAATCCTAGCACTTTGGGAGACCGAGATGGGTGGATCACGAGGTCAGGAGATCGAGACCATCCTGGCTAACATGGTGAAACCCTGTCTCTACAAAGAAATACAAAAAAAAAAAAAAAATTAGCTGGGCGTGGTGGCGGGCGCCTGTAGTCCCAGCTACTCAGGAGGCTGAGGCAGGAGAATGGCGTGAACCCGGGAGGCAGAGCTTGCAGTGAGCCGAGATAGCGCCACTGCACTCCAGCCTGGGCGACAGAGCGAGACTCCGTCTCAAAAAAAAAAAAAAAAAAAGCACAAGGCATCGCGCCCAGCCATGTGTTGGCAATTTAATCCCCGAATTCATGTCCTGATTGGAGATATGGCCTTTGGGAGGCAATTAGGATTAGATAATGTTATTAGGTTGGGTCCCCAGTCATGGGACTCGTGGCTTTATAAGATGAGGAAGAGAGACTGGAGCGGACACGCAGTCTTGCCCTCTCCTCCCTCGCCCGCACACTCTTGCTCTCCCCTCCCCTGCCATGTGCAGCCCTCCACTGGGCTGTGATGCTCTAGGCCTCCCCAGCCACCAGAACTTGCCCTCCCCTCCTCGGCCATGAGTGGACACAGACTCCCGCCCTCCCGCCATGTGCCGCCCTCCACTGGGCTGGGATGCTCTGGGCCATGTGCTGCCTGGGGTCCAGGGGCCGTTAGTCTCCGCCGCTCCTCGGCCTCGTGGGCCCGGGCGCTGGGTGGGGCCGCGGGTGGGCGTCAGGGGCCAGGCTGGGCGCCGAGGTCTGCAAAGGGGCGGAGAAGACGGCCTTGGGCTCCGCGCAGAACCTGCGAGTGGGCGGCGGTGCACCTCCCGCCCGGGTCACCTCGGTGCCACCCATGCCTGCCTCAGTGCAGGCGGACCCACGGCCCTCCACGCCCTCCCTCGCTCGCGTGCTGCCCGGCTGGCCGCTGTTCGCATCCTCTCGCTAACTCCGTGGGGTCCCGCCCATTCGGGCGACTGCCCCGGCTGCAGCCCACCCGCTAATCTCGGCTATCTTCCCTCACTCAGTTCTTCGCCTCCACCAGCTTCGGCTCTTTTCGTCACCCCTCTTTACTCCTCGTTCCTCTCCGTCACTTTCCGTCATCTCCGATTAGGCTCGGCCGGCTGCATCTCACCATTTCGCTTTCCTCTTTGTCGCCCTCTGATAAATTTCGTGACTCTTCGTCACTGTCCGTCAGTCCCCGTCACTTTCCGTCAATTCTCGCCACTTTCCGTCACTCTCCGCCGCCCTTCAGCTCCGCTCGGCTCTTCTCCGTCAGACATCGTCTACTTTCGTCACTCTCCGTCACCCTCCGTCACTCTCCGTCTGCTCCCTACCCCGCACTCCGGGTGGAGAAAGCCTCAGGGACTTTTCCTGCCCTTAGCCCTTTTCTGTCCCTCTCCGATCCTGCTGTCTGTCAGTCCCTGGTTATTTCTGGTCTGCTCGTGACTCTGTCCTCCTCCCTTCACTCCTGGGAGAGTGGCCTGGTCCCTCCTGAGAGGCCTCTCCCCACTACCCGGCCTGAATGATGGTGGTGAGCGGGAGGTCTCGAGGTGATCCCAAGGGAAGGAGCGGGGGTCTGGGGGTGGCGGCGAGGGGGTTCCGAGGGGAGGAGCGAGCGTCTGGGGATGGTTCCGAGAGGGACCCGAGGGGTGTACCGGGGGTAGGGTCTGGAGGTGGCCCGAAGGGGGTCCCGACAGGAGGAGCGGCAGTCTGGGGGTGGCGCTGAGGGAAGGAGCAGTCGCGTGGTCCGGAGGACAGGAGCAGGGAGTCTGGGGGTGGTTTCGTGGGGAGGAGCAGGGGGTCTGGGGGTGGTCCCGAGGGGAGGAGCGGG